>NC_000018.10:22786206-23411206 GCF_000001405.40 Homo sapiens | reverse complement strand
CCTTCCTTCTCTTTCTCTCCTTCCTTCCTTCCCTCCTTCCCTCCTTCCCTCCTTCCTTCCTTCCTTCCTTCTTTCTTCTGTAGCTCAGTATCTCCCTAGAGGCCCGCACACCACAGAGACCTGAGATCCCACCAGGACCATCTCAGGATTTAATTCCATCTTGCCTCCTTTGTGGGCCAGCAGGACAATGAAAGAATAAACCAGCACAGGAGGCCCAGATGGCACCAGCTGAAGAATTAGAGGTGGGGAATTGTTGCATTAGTTGCATGTGCCTAGTTTGTTCCTAATGTTCAGGCCTCTGGCTATCCTAGAATCAGACAGCATTAGATCTGTAAAGGAGGGCAGGTCATTACAACCTCTCTGGAAGGTGATTTGGTACCCAGTTATGAACTTTTTTCTTTTTGTTTTTGAGATGGAGTCTCACTTGTGTCGCCCAGGCTGGAGTGCAGTGGTGCGATCTTGGCCCACTGTAGCCTCTGCCTCTCAGGTTCAAGCAATTATCGTGCCTCAGTCTCCCGAGTAGCTGGCACTACAGGCGCCCGCCATGATGCCCGGCTACTTTTTGTATTTTTAGGGGTTTCACCATGTTGTCTAGGCTCGTCTTGAACTCCTGACCTCAGGTGATCTGCCCGTCTCAGCCTCCCAAAGTGCTGGGATTACAGGCGTGAGCCACTACGCCCAGCCCCCAGCCCCCAGTTACGAACTTTAATGCACCTTTTTTTTTTTTTTGAGACAGAGTCTCGCTCTTTTGCCCAGGCTGGAGTGCAGTAGCGTGATCTCGGCTCACTGCAAGCTCTGCCTCCCGGGTTCATGCCATTCTCCTGCCTCAGCCTCCCAGAGTAGCTGGGACTACAGGCGCCCACCACCGCACCCGGATAATTTTTTGTATTTTTAGTAGAGATAGGGTTTCACTGTGTTAGCCAGGATGGTCTCGATCTGACCTCGTGATCCGCCCACCTCGGCCTCCCAAAGTGCTGGGATTATAGGCCTGAGCCACCGCGCCCGGCCTAATGCACATATCTTTTAATAGCATTTCCACTTCAGGGAATTTATCCTACATATCGCAAAAACACCATGATATGAGACAAGAATACAGTTGACCCTTGGTATATGTGGGGGACTGCTTCTAGGTTCCCTCTCATAACCAGATTTCCAGGTGCTTAAGTTCCTGATATAAAACAGCACAGTATTTGCACATAACCTACACATGTCATCCCATATACGTTAAATCATCTCTAGATTACAACGTAAATGCTACGTCAGTAGTAGTTACGCTGTATTGTTTAGAGAATAATGGCAAGAGAAAGGTCTGTCTATGTTCAATACAGATACAACCATCCTCTTTTTTTTTTTTTTTTTTTAAGAGACGGAGTCTTGCTCTGTCGCCCAGGCTGGAGTGCAATGGTGCGATCTCGGCTCACTGCAGCCTCCACCTCCTGGGTTCAATCCATTCTCCTGCCTCAGCTTCCCAAGTAGCCGGGACTACAAGCATGTGCCACCATGCCCAGCTAATTTTTGCATTTTTTAGTTGAGACGGTGTTTTACTATACATTGGCCAGGCTGATCTTGAACTCCTGACCTCAGGTGATCCTCTGCCTTGGCCTCCCAAAGTGGTGGGATTACAGGGCGTAAACCACCTTGCCCAGCCTTTTTCCTAATATTTTTGATCTGTAATTGATTGAATTGATGGATGTGGAGCCCACAGATACAGAGGGCCAGCTGTATATTTAAGGGTAACCATACAGTATTAGAATAGTAAAAATGTAGGATTAACTTAAATGTCCAGCAGTAGGGCTGGTATTCAATTATTGATAAATTGGGGATGACTTTTTTGACATGGAAAGATGTGAAGTGAAGCAGGTTGTAAATAATATGTACAATAGCATCCCGTTTTTGTTGAGTGTTCATATGTGCGCATATAGACAATGATTGGAAGGAGATATAGTAAGGTATTAACAGTGGTTTTCTGTGGATAGTGACATTGTAATTATAATCTTTTTCTTGATTATCTGTATTTTCAAAAATTTATGGTATAGATAGATACTACTTTTTTTCTTTTTTTTTCCTTTTTGAGATGGAGTTTCACTCTTGTTGCCCAGGCTGGAGTGCAGTGGCACAATCTCAGCTAACTGCAACCTCCGCCTCCTGGGTTCAAGCAATTCTCCTGCCTCAGCCTCCCAAGTAACAGGAATTACAAGTGCCCACCACCATGCCCGGCTAATTTTTGTATTTTTAGTAGAGACAGGGTTTCACTATGTTGGCCAGGCTGGTCTGGAACTCCTGACCTCAGGTGATCCACCAGCCTTGGCCTTCCAAAGTGTTGGGATTAAAGCTGTGAGCCACTGCGCCAGGCAGGTACTACTTTTTAATAAAAAAAAAAAAAAAAAAAAGAGAGATAAGATATAGAAAGCACAATAACTACCTCTATTCCAAGATTCTAAGTTTAAGTTCATGTCTGTTGAAGGAAAATATGTGTGTTTTTTAATGCAGTTAGTTTGTTGTTGTCACAGTTCTAGGTTACAACATGATGGTTAATAAATGTTTATTGAATTTGAAATTGTTAGATTCCCCATTAGGGCCATTTCAGAGAGACAGGTGTGGGATGTAGGCATTTTTTGTTCTTATCCCTGCTCTTGAAAACCGAGTAGCTGTCAACACCAGCAATTCTGTTCAGAGCAAAGTCTCTAAAGGGCTGGAGAAAAAGAAGAAATGTCAGTTGTGGTCATGGTTGGATTTTGTTGCTGTTGTTTTCCCCTTGTAACAATCTAGAGAGAGAAGACAAAAAAAAATGTTATAAGATACCAAAGTAATGCCTGGAGAATCATTCTGCAAATATTTGAGTGTCT
The DNA here is from genome assembly GCF_000001405.40 of Homo sapiens. Taxonomy (NCBI): domain Eukaryota; kingdom Metazoa; phylum Chordata; class Mammalia; order Primates; family Hominidae; genus Homo; species Homo sapiens. The sequence goes on along the minus strand of NC_000018.10, from coordinate 23,408,360 downwards.
GCTATATGCCAGGCATTGTTCTTGGTGCTGGAGATGTGCAGGGAGCAAAACAAAGATTGTTGCCCTTGTGGAACTGGCATTCTAGTTGAGGTAGACAGACAATAAACACATGAAAATGTAAGTGCATAGTGTGTCCAATTGTGGTACATGTGGAGAATATAGCCAGGTAAGAGGTTAGGGGTGTGTGTGTGTGTGTGTGTGTGTGTGTGTGTCTCAGGCCAGTGGATAGGGGGTTATTTTATAGAGAGTGGGTAAGAAGGACTCACAGATAAAATAACTTTTAGGCAGAGATCTGATTCTGTGGGAGAACAGGCCATGCAGGTGATTTGTGGGGAGAGGGTTCCTGGCAGAGGAAACAGCAGCCAGCCCTGAGGTGCTTGGCATATTTGCTGACCAGCAAAGAGGTCAGAATGCTGTTTTATTTCCACCTGTAAATGAAAACTTTATTGTAGGTAACTTTACTCATATCCAAGGATAAAGTCATGGAAGTGAATTTTCTGGCTCAAAAAGTACGCATATTGAGGCTTTTGATAAATGCAGCCAAGTAGTACATACATATCCTACGGAAAGATACCAGTCTATATCTCACAGCAGTGTGAAGGTGTTGGTTTCATTATCCCCTCTATTGGATATAACTTTTAAAAATTGCTAGTTTCTTGGGCAAAGCATGATGTATCTTTAATTCAAAATTATTTAATTTAAAGTTCCTTTATTATTAGGAAAGTTGGATAATTTTTCATATGTTTGTTGGCCATTTATATTTCTTGTGTGTGTGTGTGTGTGAGATAAAGAGAAAGAGACAGACAGACAGAATTACCTGCTTTTGTCCACTGACTTTTTTTTTGGAGAGCTGATTTTTTTTCTTTTTGATTTATCGTACATTAAGGATACTAAAATCCAGCCTGTTTCATATGTTGCCAGTGTTTTTTCCTGGTTTGTTAATTTTCTGTTGATTTTCTTTATGGTGTTTTTAGCTGTTGCATTTTATGTAGGCAGATCTATCAGTCTTCCTTGATGGTTTCTGTCCTTGTAGTGATGTATAGAAAAGCCAGAAGGGCAGCATTTATTGAGGTTGTTATTGTTTTTAATGTGCCATGCACTGCTCCCAAATACTGTATATTCATTCTCTTATCTTCTCGGAATCCTTCTGAGCATTATTATCCCCATTTGATAAATGAAAAAAGTGAGTTCTCATTGCAAACTATGGATATGGATCCGGTTTTGCCTGACCACATTAAAAGAAAAACTTTAGGCTGGCCACAGTGGCTCATGCCTGTAATCTCAGCACTTTGGGAGGCTGAGGTGGGAGAGTTGTTTGAGGCTAGGAGTTCAAGACCAGCCTGAGAAACACAGGGAGACACCGTCTCTACAAAAATAAAATAAGGTAATTAGCATGGCATGGTGGTGTGCACCTGTAGTCCCAGCTACTTAGGAGGCCTAAGGTGGGAGAATTACTTGAGCCTGGGAGGTTGGGGCTGCAGTGAGCCGTGATGGCACACTGCACTCCAGCCTGAGCAACAGAGTGAGACCCTATCTCTAAATAAATAAAGAAAAGAAAAACTTTAGACAAAATAAATTTAACAGAGATTATTTGATCAAACAACAATTCATGACTCAGGCAGCACTCAGAACCAGAGGAGGCTTAGAGAACTCTACTGTAGCAGCCTGGCTGTGAGCTTTTATAGCTGAAGTAGCTGAATGTGGAAATAAAGTTATTACATAACTGGCTATAGCTAGGCACTGGCTTTCTTTGGGTGTAGTTCAGTGGGAGGTCCCTGATTTTTAACCAGTTGTTTGGTTGACTGTGATTGATTGATTGATGCTCAGTTTTGGTTTTTCTTTTTTAGTCACTTATAAGAAATGCATCCAAGTTTAGGTGTGGTCTGCTTACTTAAGAGCTCCTAGTGCAGAGACAGGATCAGGCTAATGGCCTCCTTCTTATCTGCTTTAACACCACGAAGGTCACATTCTTTCCACTGTATGAAACCCTTTGCCCTGGACTTGTACATCCTTCCCACCCCCTGCCGCCCATGACATGGCTTATACTAGAACTGAGAACATAGCCCAGCCCAGGGAAATGTGTGAAGTTTCTCTGTCTCGTAGAGCTATTGGCTAAAGTTAATCTGCAAATTGCTGGCAGTTCCTTGGGAGCAAGAAAACTAATTATAATTTCAAAAGATTTGGATAACCATGTAAATGTTATAAGATTATACTCTCTAGTGCCCAGAATCAGGTATGAGTTGTATCACTTGTTGCTATATCTCCCTACAAAATAATCCTTAGGTACAGCAGAACTAACTAGGATTTTAAAGTTGTAGCTTCATTTCTTCCTGAAGAAATGACTTCAAAAAATATTTCAGGAGATGACAAAAGCACAAAGAAGCACTACACTTGTAGCTCATGTCTTTACCTTGTCTCTATGCTACCTGGAAAAGTATGGAAATCTCAGTTGTCATGGATTTTACACATACCAGGTGACTAACTATTGAAAGGTCTGACCCCACTGGATTGTGACAGCACAGTAACAGTTGTGGAACCTGTAAAGCCAGAGATCCAAATCCTTATTCCTGAGCAGCAGGAATAAGTGTCAACAGTTCAAATTATGTACATGGAGCTGTTGGCCATTGCAACAGGCTTTCTCTCTCCTTCCCCGACACCCCTCTCTCTCCTCCCATGACTACTACAGTCTACTTATTGCCTACCTCTCCCATTGGACTTGGTCTGTCATATTAAGAGCTGTGTCTTCATTGACTAGAATATTGGAATATAATGGGTGCTTAATGAATATGAATGAGTTAACGAGTGTTTTAGTTCATTTGGGCTTCTGTAACAAAATAGCATAGACCAGCTGGCTTATAAACAACAGAAATTGGCCAGGTGTGGTGGCTCATGCCTGTAATCCCAGCACTTTGGGAGGCCAAGGCAGGTGGATCACTTGAAGTCGGGAGTTTGAGGTCAGCCTGACCAACATGGTGAAACGCCCATCTCTACTAAGAAATACAAAAATTAGCCAGGCGTGGTAGTGGGCACCTGTAACCCCAGCTACTCGGGAGGTTGAGGCAAGAGAATCACTTGAACCTGGGAGGCGGAGGTTGCAGTGAGCTGAGATTGTGCCATTGCACTCCAGCCAGGGTGACAGAGCGAGACTCCATCTCAAATAAATAAATAAATAAACAACAGAAATTTATTTATCACAGCTTCTAGAGGCTGTGAAGTCCAAGATGAGGGCACTGGCAGATTTGATGACTGGTGAGGGCCCACTTTTCTGGTTCATAGGAGGTGCCTTCCATCTGCATCCTCACTTGGTACAAGAAGTGAACAAGCTCCCTTGGGCCTGTTTTTTTTTTTTTTTTTTTTTTTTTTTTTTTGAGACGGAGTCTCGCTCTGTTGCCCCCAGGCTGGAGAGGAGAGCAGTGGTGCCATCTCAGCTCACTGCAACCTCTGCCTCCTGGGTTCAATCAATTCTCCTGCCTCAGCCTCCTGAGTAGCTGGGACTACAGGCACGGGCCACCAGGCCCAGCTAATTTTTGTATTTTTAGTAGAGATGGGGTTTCACCATGTTGGCTAGGATGGTCTCGATCTCTTTACCTTGTAATCTGCCTGCCTCGGCCTCCCAAAGTGCTGGGAGTGCTGGGATTACCAGTGTGAGCCACCGTGCCTGGCCTTTTTTTTTGAGATGGAGTCTTGCTCTGTCACCAGGCTGGAGTGCAATGGCGTGATCTCGGCTCACTGAAACCTCTACTCGGCCCGCCGCAAGCCTCCCGGGTTCAAGTGATTCTCCTGCCTCAGCCTCCCGAGTAGCTGGGACTATAGCCATGGGCCACCATGCCCAGCTAATTTTTGTATTTTTAGTAGAGACGGGGTTTCACCATGTTGGCCAGGATGGTCTCGATCTCCTGACCTCATGATCCGCCTGCCTCGGCCTCCCAAAGTGCTGGGATTACAGGTGTGAGCCACCGCGCCTTGCCTGGGGCTGTTTTATAAGGACACTAATCCCATTCATGAAGGCTCTGCCCTTATGGCATAATCACTTCCCACAAGACACCAACTCCTAGTACCATCACTTTGGAGGTTAGGACTTCAACATATGACTTTTGAGGGGACGCAGATTCAGACCATAGCAATGAAGAATAGGTTTGTGACAAAGTCTTTCCAAGCCACAGAAGGCTCTTATTGCTGTAATAATAAACTAAAGGGAGACATTATGTTGAAGAAAATGTTATGTGTATTTACTTTTTTTTTCTGAGACAGAGTCTTGCTCTATCGCCAGGCTGGAGTGCAGTGGCACAGTCTCGGCTCACTGCAATCTCTGCCTTCCAGATTCAAGAGATTCTCCTGCCTGAGCCTCCCGAGCAGCTGGGACTACAGACATGAGCCACCGTGCCCAGCTAATTTTTGTATTTTTAGGAGAGATGGGGTTTCACCATGTTAGCCAGGATGTTCTCGATCACCTGACCTCGTGATCTGCCCGCCTTGTATATTTTATTCTCAGAACTGAAGGATAAGGAAATACAGTAAAACCAAATGTAAGACATGCTTAACAGTGCATTCTTGCTCACTAGAGGACAGGAAAGGATCCTTGATCCAGTTGCCTACTTGATATCTCTGCTTGGGTGTCCCAAAAGCATCTCAAGTTCATAATTTTCAAGACTGAATTCATGATTTTCTCCAGTCAAGCGTTTTCAACTTTTTCCTGTCTTAATGCACCACCCCTAACCCTGTTCCAACGTGTTCTCCGTACTACAGCCAGAGCAACCTTGTCAAAATACAAGTTAGACCATATTATTCGCTCCCTACCCTGGGTTTATTCCTCCATCTTCTCAAGCTACACTTGCCTTCCTCCAATTTCTTCTTGCCACAGGGCCTTTGCACATGCCGTGTTTATGTCTGGAATGTCGTGTCCCTTGCACTGTTCTACCCTGTCTCCTGTAGCCAGTTTAACTTTGAATTTCCCTCTCAAACGTCACGTATATGGGGAAGCTTTCCCTATTCTCACTGATTAGGTCAGTTTCCCTTATTGTATAGCATGGTCCTTTAGTCTCCTTTATAACAGTTATCAATGTAGTGTTTTCATTTATTTTATATGAACAAAACACATACGGTTCCCACCCATGTGACACAGTGTATTTGAGGGGTGGAGGAGACATTAATAATATATACAGGAGCTCCCTTTTCTGACTCTGTCAGTCAGATAATTAGTGGGTTAATTGAAAGTCACATAAATCAGGGAATCTTATTTTTATTTTTATTTTTTTGAGATGGAGTCTCACTCTGTCACCCAGGCTAGAGTGCAGTGGCACGACCTTGGCTCACTGCAACCTCCACCTCCCAGATCCAAGTGATTCTCCTGCCTCAGCCTCCTGAGTAGCTGGGACTATAGGCACCCACCACTTTACCCAGCTAATTTTTGTATTTTTAGTAAGAGACAGGGTTTCCCCATATTGGCCAGGCTGGTCTTGAACTCCTGACCTTGTGATCTGCCCATCTCGGCCTCCCAAAGTGCTGGGATTACAGGCGTGAGTCACCACACCTGGCCTATTTTTATATTTTTTTAAAAAGACAAGGTCTTACCCCTGCTGCCCAGGCTGGAGTGCAATGGCATGATCATGGTTCACTGCAGCCTTGACCTCCTGGGCTCAAACGATTCTCCCACCTTAGCCTCCCAAGTAGCTGAGATTACAGTCTCAACCCACCACACTCAGCTGAATTTTTAAATTTTTTGTAGAGACAGGCTTGCTGTGTTGCCCAGGCTGGTCTGAAACTCCCAGACTCAAATTATCCTTCCATTTTGGCCTCCCAAAGTGCTGGGATTATAGGTGTGAGTTACTGCACCTGGCCTAGGGAATCATCTTTTGCTGAAACAATCTATTTATTTTAATTAAAGACATATAAATGTGCATTAATTTGCTGATTTTGTGGTAAGGCTTTTCGTTTGTGTGTGGATTGTTGACTGGTGTCCGTTTCTTGCATATACTACCCTTAGCATATACTCTATGATTTTCCATTGAAATACATGGTTAAAGTAGAATGAGGCCTTTGGTACTTTGAAACAATATAAATCAAGAGTCTTTGATTTTTAATTCTTTTTCCTTTTTGCCCTATCCCTTCACACTTGCCTTGCCCACACCTGTTTTGTCAGCCATTTTTCCAGTGATTCAAATGTATTCTTAGCAGCGGCTATGGTCTTAGGTTGGTGTGTGGTGGAGAAAGACAGCCGTCACACTGACAGCATGGTGGCTCTGCAGTCCACTGCCTCTCCTGTGTGTCTGAAGTGCCATGAGTGTGTGTTGCTTTGGCCCTGTTGCCCCTGAGGGAGATGACTTCGGAGAACACAAGCACCGGGGTCCTGTGCCTGGGAGGTGGTCCCACGTCTGGAGCCAGAGGCTCACTCCGCTGTCCTCTAACACTTCCCACAAGTCTGTTTGGTCCTACTAGTCCTGTGTATCTCTTTTCTAGTTAAAGTTATTTCTTTGTATTTTTGGGTAGGAGGGTTAAAATACAAGGTGTTCCCTAGGCATGTTTTCTTTTCCTCACATCCATGGCCATTCAAACACCCTGATGCCTCTTGGAATATATAACTCAGCAGTTTTCTTTGTTTTAAGAGGGCATGGAGTACACATGTCTGGGGCCTCGCTGACCTTACATTCCAAAGTCCTGGGCCTCCCGCAGTGAGGCCAGCTGCCGTTTCACCCAGTGCACCTCCTCCTTCCTCCTCAATGCCCTGCCTGCAGTATGTGCTCTGTGCTTCCTTCTGGTGCACAACAGGCCATGGGCCTGTATCCTGCCTCCCTTGATTCATGTGAGCTTAATGTCAAGTGGGAAAAGCCACTTCCTAGAAGAATAGCAATTGACTGATGTCACCCCTGATCCATTGCAATGGAGGATGGGATCTTCCTTTCTCTGTTCATCTTTTGGTTGGGGGTGCTGACATCTATTACAGCACGACTAGTGTAACAGAATATCCCTCAGATAATTGGCTGCTTGGTCAATTATCTGAGTGTTTGCAGCTTATCTATTTGTATGTCAGTGTCTCCCATTAGATTATGAGGTCCGTGAAGGCAAAATATGAATGGGCGTTTAACAGCTAGGGCTTTGGAGCCAGACAGACCTCAATTCAAATTCTGGCTTTGCCATTTACCAGCTCTTCTCACCGCAGGCAAATTATCTAAACTCTTTGTCTCAGTTTCCTCATCTGTACAATGAGGGTAATAATAATAAATACCTTCCTCATAAGATTATTGTGCAACTTTAAGAAAGATGCAGTATATAAAACATTTAAAACAAAAAATGCAGCATATAACACATTTAAAACATATAAAAGAAAAAACCAGCAAAGTGCTTGGTTTGTGGCAAGTGTTCAATAAATGTTACCTGTGATGCTGCTATTAATGATAATTCTCAGCACCTTGTAAGTTGCTGTAAGTATTTGCACAATGAGTTTATGCAGCAAGTAAGGATTGAAGGCCCTTGCTAGACTGGAAACATTTAAATGCTAGGTTCTCCAGGAAGTTGTACAGATCAGACCTGATCTTGGATGGAGTGCTTGCCCATGCTAATAAAATTAACAAAGAACATTTCTTGAGCAGGCATCATTCCAGGAGATCAGTTCATTGAGTTAGTTGGGATTATTATGTTATATCCTGCTGGAATGGTTTCATTTATTTTTATTCATTATTAGGATAACTCTGGGAACTTGAATTAGTAGATTGAATATGCTTCTTTTTTTATTTTTTTGAGACAAGGTCTTGCTCTGTCGCCCAGGTTGGATTGCAGTGGCGTGATCTTGGCTCACTGCAACCTCTGCCTCCTGAGCTCAGGTGATTCTCCTCCCTTGGCCTCCTGAGTAGCTGGGATTATAGGTGCTCGCCACCACCATGCCTGGCTAACTTTTGTATTTTTAGTAGAGACGGGGTTTCACCATGTTGGCCAAGCTGGTCTAGAACTCCTGACCTCAACTGATCCACCTGTCTTAGCCTCCCAAAGTGCTGGGATTACAGGCCTGAGCCACCATGCCCGGCCAATAAAATGCATTTCTAACTGATGAGAGAAGCAGGTTGCAACCTCAGTGATATGCACTGTGTGTGAGAACTAGGATTTTGATTCTAAATTGTAAGAGAAAAGCAGTTCGTGGTGTGGCTACAATTGAAAAATAAATGTACCCTTCGGAAGTCCTTAAAGGGTCCCTGAACCAGAATTCCAGCAATGCCAGGTTAATGGTTGAAAAAGCCAGCCTATGGCCACCCAACTGAAGTTCTGGGATTCTTTTTTTCAATTTCATCCCTTGAAACTGGTTCTTTTTGTTGTGATTCCACGGAGCTGTTTGGTGTAGCCTGGGTAAATAACCTTTTCAATTTTTAATAATCTGTAGTGGATTCAAAACTTTTGGTTACTTAAAATCCAAAGAATAATGTTCACTGCCCTTGGAAAAAACCAGATCTGTTCTCTCTTCCAAGCTGCAGCAAGGCGTTTGCCATTTCCATTTCTGGGATCTCTTAGGCTAGATGATCAGTAATGATGGGATTGTAGGTAGGATGGCTTTATCTGCCTCCACTACTCAATCGATAAAGACTACATCTCACTTAACAAGTCTGCCAGGGATTTTTAGACAGCCTCTGTTGTTGTAGTTGATGCATCTGGAGGGTCAGCCTTTCCAGCTAGGTCTTTCTTAACAAAAAGTGGCAAAAGTGTTATTGCTTTTTTCCCCTCTTTTCAGATCTCATGTTCTTGTGTGGCTTCCTGCTTCAGTGCTGTTTGTGGGTATAATCTATGCTGGGTCCAGAGCATTGTCCAGACTGGTAAGTATTAGAGGTTCAGGGGAAACAACTCCTCTCTCCCTTTCCCCTTTGCCTTTTAACTTATCATGCCTCAGCTCAATAAGGGCAAAGAATCACTTTAATAATGATAATAATGGGACCTATTACTCCCTTTTGTTGAGTTGAAGATAATCAGATAACAGGGAAGGCCAACTTGTGTTACAAGGTGGGGATGCACAGGGAGAAGCAGAAGAAAGAGTAATGGTATTCGTGGAGCTGGCCAGAGACGGGCCCTGCTGGGACTGCTTCCCCGTGGAGATGGGCAGAGTGGGAATGCCCCAACTCTGCCTGAATGCAGGCTGTCCACAGGAGCAGGGAGGCAGGGCCCAAACTACTCCTTGCTTCTGAGGAACCAAACCCTGCCCATTGGTAACGTGGCCTGGTGAGCTTGGTCATGGATGCAAATGCCTGGCACAGGGTTGATGTCCTGTACACGGGGAAGCTAGTAAAACAAGCTGACTGTTTTGTCCTCCCACCACTTCTCTGCAGGACTGAGCTCCTCAAATGCAGGAACTGTGAAGAGCTAAGTTACTTCCAGATACATTATTTGGAACTCCAAAAATTTATTTATTTTGCCATCAAAAGAGAATCCATTAAAACCATCATTAACAGAAGGTGGCTTAAAAATCAGGAATGATGTTAATACCTCCTCCAGTCTTGTACCATGACTACTAACTGTTTTTATCTATTAGAAAATAGTTGTATTCTGACTTTGGGGAAAGTGCAGAATGTGCAAAACATTTTAGTCTTTTAATGTAAAATTCTTGTTGTTATGTTAGCCCCTTAGATCTCAGCTATAAAAACAGTAAAAACAAACAAATAAAATCTGCCTAATTGGATAACAATGTTGTTGTTAGGACAGCAACTCCAAAGTTGCAAAATAGCAGTGAGGACTGTAATTTTGAAATTAAATAATCATTTTTCTTTCATGATTCATAAGCTTGAGTAGATGGGGTGATATATGCAATGGGGAAGAACTTTCCTGGGTGGGCCTGAGAACTGACCCACGGTGCATGTTGCTGCTCAGCTCAGACCACGAGGCTTGCCCTGGCTGTCTGCTGTGCCTTCTTTGTTCTCAGGCTCTTACCGCCTCAGTTTATACCCTTTGGCCTGCAAAGAGTGTTTCCTCTCCTACGCCATAGACTATTGGATTTTGGTAAAAGCAATGTGTTGCTCAAATTCTTTTAAATTTTTTTCTAGGCTCTGGATAGTTACATTTGCCAGAATTTTGAAGTTTGAATAACAAGGTGTTATGTTCATAATGATAATACTTTTTGTTCATACAGTGCTTTTTTTCATAGGCTTCCAGAGTGATTTCCTTCGTGTCCTTTTATGTGATTCTTGCAATCTTTTGACAGATGATAGGTGAGGCAGCTGCTAACCACTTGACAGAGGAAGAGATGTAGGTGTGGAAAGTCTTGCTAAACTTGCCTCTAGTCCCAGATAGTGGCAGCTCTCGTTTTTTTGTTTTTGTTTTGAGACAGAGTTTTGCTCTTGTGGTCTTGTGGCTCAGGCTAGAGTGCAGTGGCACAATCACAGCCCACTGGAGCCTCGACCTTCTGGGCTCAATAGGCTCAAGTCATCCTCCCACCTCAGCCTCCCAAGTAGCAGGGAATACAGGTACTTGCCAATACACCCAGCTATTTATTTATTTTCTTTTAGAGATGGGGTCTTGCTCTGTTGCCCAGACTGATCTTGACCTCCTGGGCGCAAGCAATCCTGCCGCCTCAGCCTCCCAGAACACTGGGATTACAGGCATGAGCTACTGCACCTGGCATGGCAGCTCTTCTAACTCCCCACCTTTTGCCTTTTCAGAATTGTTTCTTTAGGGCCAATGCGTATGGATTTTAGAGTGAGCCCAGGGTGTAGTAGTCATTGTATAACATTAGACTCTTTCAGTTGCAAGTGTTAGAAAGCTCAAAAACTGGTCTAAGCAAAAGGAAGATTTACCAGTTCATATAACTGAAAAGTCTTGGGGTAGAAACCTATGTCACGAATGGCTTTGTCCAGAGGCTCCAGTATTACACTCAGAATCCAGTTTCTCTGTCTTTCAATTCTGCTCCCCATCTTTGTTTCTTTTCACATCCAGCCCACCCCTATAGCAACAATGAGTGTTGTACAGCTGCCCCCAACAATGGGTGTCAACTGCAGCCTCACATTCTCACAACTTTAGTGGAAAGAGACCATTTTCCTGGTAGTTCCTGCATGAGTCCCAGGCTTCACTCTGATTGGATCAGTCAGGGCCACTGCCCATCCTTGATCTGAAAACTGACCACAAGGTTGGAATTATGTTGATTGGCCAGCCCTGGTTCAAGACTTCCCTGAACCATTCACTGTGGTTGGAGACACTTGGAGGCCTATTCATGTAGGATCTCTGCCTGGGTCCCAGATATGGAGAGCAGGCTGTAATGGATCCTCAATGTTGGAGTGCTTTACCCTCCCCCCGCCGCCCCACACACACACAAAGAGGTACTGATACTAAGTTGCCAAACCCTCTCAGAAGACCATGGTAAATGTCAGTCTAGTGTGTTTTCAGGCAGTTGGGGAGTTCTGCAGCCTTCAACAACGCTTCTTGAGCTGTGATCTGCAGCTGTCCTGGTCTTTGAATTCTTTGTTACCTGTCCATGAAGAGATCGACTTTGGCACTAATCACACTGTTTAATTGAGCTGGCTTTTTTTTTTTGCAAGACATTTTGAAGGAGGAAGCGATGCATTGATTTTACATTCTCTTGCCAACTCCTTATCTTCTCGAGGACCAGCACTTTGAGTGGCATTCCTCTAGAGCACAGCCTTTTTTTAGAGATGGGGGTCTCACTGTGTTGCCCATGCTGGCCTCAAACTCTTGGGCTCACGTCATCCTCCTGCCTCAGCCTCCCGAGTAGCTGGGACTACAGACACGGGCCATGCACCCTGCTGAGAGCACATTCTTCTTAAATAAGCAAAAAGAAGCTGTTGCAATTCAAAATCTTTGAACAAAGGGAAACAACCAAAAACCAAATACACCCAATTAGAGTGGGAGGAGGGCGGAAAGCAGATGCTTATTATTGTTTTATAGTAAAATAACTCAACCCAGCATCTTTTCTTTGTTTCTGAGTTCTTTGTTTTTACATCGTTGCTTAGAAATTCATAGGGTGGATAAACATGAGGCACTTGTACAGTTTGTGTTGGATAGAAAACAGGCATCAATATGCTGGTGCCAAGCTGTCAGTTTAATGAATCCATAAGGAATGGGGGAAAAGCGCTCCATTAAAATCCGTAGATGTATTGTTATGCAAAACACTTTCGGGGTAGCTCTGCTCCATAAAGCCCTCCTTTATCTGACAAGACCTTGAAGTTCTGTTCTCCTGATCTGTAGCTTCTGGGAGGAAGCTGAGTTAACTCTGCACAGATGCTATGGGAAAAGCTCTTGGTTGATTTTTCTACCTCAGACTCACAACCAAATGATCTACAGAGTTAAGGGAAAGGAGATTTTTCTTGTAGCTGTCCATTCACTACATAGTTATTTGGGACCTACTATGTGTTGGGGGCATAAAGACAAATAAGACCTGGTTTCTGACCTTGAGGAACTGAAAGGGATGGGGCAGGGAGTGAAAGACACACAGCTCACCATGGGAACAGCCACCATGAATATTTGATGTTAAGCATGTGCCAGGCACTTTCTGTCACCAATCTTGATGAAGTGTGAGTTGGACTTGGGCTGATTCGGGCCTGCTTGCCCAGCTTTCCTACACTGAGTAAGGTCACAGTGATCATGGCTCTGATGGGTGAGTGTCAGTCTTGGAGGGACAGTATGACTTTGATGGCTCATGACTCTTCTTATAATTTCCTGGTCAAAAGCCTTCTCAGCTGGACAGGACTGCCTCAGCCTGTGCTGGCCAGTGTTCAGAAAAGATGTACAAATTCATACATTACTGAGCTTGGTGGAGAGAGGCCATCCTGGCATTGGCAATTTGGCTCAAGCCATGCTGTTTTCTTGCTTGGGGGAGGCCAGGGTCTGCAGCTGGAGGGACCCTAGAAGTCTAGGTCAAGGCACCTTGACAGGACAGGAATTGTTTTCCTTGCTGAGCTCTTTGATCTTGGTCCTTCCTAATGGCTTGTCCTTGTTTCTCTCTTCCATGAGCACAATATTCACTCAACATACTGGGGATGGAGATGGGATTGTGTGTGCGGTAGGGGGATGTTGATGAGGAAACACATATGGATCATTAAACCCATGTGGAGTGAGTTACTCAGTTAAGCAAAATGGTACCCGTGGGTCCTCTCTGTCTTTGTGTGGCTCCAATATCATAAAGGAAGTTGGATCCACAAAGGAAGAGTGTAAATGTTGGTGTAGAATGGAGCATCCGCCCCTAATGTCCCTGTTACTGCTGATGAGAGGCAGCTCCCTCTGTCACACTGTGTTTTCATCACAGGTGATCAGAGTCCAACTACAAGGATAAGTTTTTAAAATGTGGGCTCAGTGGCAATACAGTAAACTCCTCCCTGGATTTTTCTTATCATCTTGCTCCCTCTAAAAATTGTCCTGTAACTTTTATAAAATGGCTTTTTTTTTTTTTTTTTTTTTGAGATGGAGTTTCGCTTTTGTTGCCCAGGCTGGAGTGCAATGGCGTGATCTCGGCTCACCACAACCTCTGCCTCCCAGGTTCAAGTGATTCTCCTGCCTCAGCCTCCCGACTAGCTGGGGTTACAGGCATGCACCACCACGCCTGGCTACTTTTGTATTTTTAGTATAAAAAATACTAGAGATGAAATTTCTCCATGTTGGTCAGGCTGGTCTCAAACTCCCGACCTCAGATGATCCACCCGCCTCAGCCTCCCAAAGTGCTGGGATTACAGGCATGAGCCACTGCGCACGGCCATAAAATGGCTTATTATTAACATTGAACTCCTGGGGGAAAAGCTTCATGATGTTGGATTTGGCAAGGATTTCTTGGATATGACACCAAAGGCACAGGCAGCAGAAGAAAAATAGAGTAATTGGACTTCATCAAAATGAAAAATTTTGGTGCTTTAAAGGATACTATCAACAAAGTAAAAAGGCAACCCCCAGAAAGGGAGGAAATATTTCCTATTCACTCTTCAATTGCGGGATTCACTTATAGGCTATATAGAGAACTCATAAAACTTAATAGAACAAAAGCAAACAACCTGATTGAAAAATGGGCAAAGGACTTGAATAGGTATTTCTCCACAGATGATATTTAAAGACTGATAAATCCATGAAAAGAGGCTCAACATCATTAATCATTAGAAAAATGCAAATCAGAACTATAGGAGATACCACTTCACACCTATGAGAATGGCTGTTACCAAAAAACCAGAGAATAACAAGTGTTGGTAAAGATGTGGAGAAGTTGGAACCCTTGAGCACCACGGGTGGGAATGCACAGTGGTGCAGCTGCTATGGAAAACAGTATGGTGCTTCTTCAAAACATCAAAAGTAGGATTATTATATGATTCAGCAGTTCCACTTTTGGATGTATACCCAAAAGAACTGAAAGAAGGGAGAGGAAGAGATACTTGTGCATCCATATTCATTTGGCTATTATTCACAATAGACAAAAGGTAGAAGCAATCTCAGTGCCCATTGATGGATGAATAGATAAAATGTGATAAATACAAACAATGGGGCTGGGCACAGTGTCTCACACCCACAATCCCAGCACTTTGGGAGGCCAAGGCAGGTGGATCACCTGAGGTCAGGAGTTCGAGACCAGCTTGACCAATGTGGTGAAACCCTGCCTCTACTAAAAATACAAAAAATTATCTGGGCATGATGGTGAGTGCCTGTAATCCCAGCTACTTGGGAGGCTGAGGCAGGAGAATTGCTTGAACCCAGGAGGCAGAGGTTGCAGTGAGCCAAGATTGCACCATTGCACTCCAGCCTGGGCAACAGAGCAAGAGTCTATCTCAAAAAAATAAAAATAAAAATACAAACAATGGAATATTATTCAGCCTTAAAAAGGAAGAAAATCCTGGCTGCAACATGGATGAACCTTGAGAACATTATGCTAAATAAGTCAGTCACAAAAAAGATAAATACTGTGTGACTCCACTTATATCTGGTACTTAGAGTAATGAAATTTATAGAGGCAGAAAGTAGTATGGTGGCTATCAGGGGTGGGAGTAGGGGAGAATGAAGAGATAGTGTTTAATGGGCACAGAGTTTCAGTTTTGCAAGATGAAAAGAGTTCTGGCAGTGGAGGGTGGTGATGGTTGTACAATGGTGTGAATGTACATAATGAAGTGTGAACGGACTATGCTCTTAAAAATGGTTAAGGTGGCAACTTTTTGTGATGTATATTTTACCACAATAAAAAAAAAAATAATCTAGGCCAGGCTCGGTGGCTCACGCCTATAATCCCAGCACTTTAGGAGCCTGAGGTGGATGGATCATGAAGTCAGGAGATCGAGACCATCCTGGCCAACATGGTGAAACCCCGTCTCTATTAAAAATACAAAAAATTATCCTGGCATGGTAGCATGCACCAGTAATCCCAGCTACTCAGGAGGCTGAGGCAGAAGAATCGCTTGAACCCGGGAGGCGGAGGTTGCAGTGAGCCGAGATCATGCCACTGCACTGCAGCCTGGAAGACAGAGCGAGACTCCGCCTCAAAAAAATAAATAAAAATAAAAATCACCTAGGTTCCAGTAGGAGTTTTTTTGAGGATTGTGTGAAAAGGAGGGGGTGATAATGTGTTCTTACTTGTCTCACTCAGAACTCCTCTGTGTTCCTGTGGGATATGCATATTTAGTTTAACTGAATTCAGTTAGTGGACTTGGGTAAAGTGTGAAGAAAACAGCCATTCCCTGAGAGCAGGCAAGTCCGCCCACCATTCCCACCCATGCGTTAATGCCAGGCTGGAAGACTGAGGCCCCCTTAGGCCTTCTCTGATTCCCTGGCATCTCTCTTAGGATTAGTATTTTGCCAAATTGGAGGAGCTCCGGCAAGGTATGTATTTTTAATATGTTGAGGCCCTTACACACCAGGCAGCTACTTTATGTGATCCTCAAATGAAGGACAAAGAGGACCTCCCAGCTTGTACTGGAGGCTGGGAAAGAAGGCAGTCTGGTCCTCTGCCCTCAAGGAGTTTGCCATCTAATGGCAGAATAGTAAGATGAGTGTAAATAAACACTACAGTCTATTTCATACAAGTCAGTTTATGAATATTCACTTAAATGTGCACATATGCATATTCAGATACCTCACCTTCTTCCAGAGAGGATGTGTGGTAGCTTACAAAAATAATTACAGTTAAAAAAAGATAAACACTCTTATGAAGAGAATTGTATAAGAAATCTAAGTAAAAGGGCCAGCATGGTGGCTCATGCCTGTAATCCTAGCACTTTGGGAGGCCAAGGCAGGTGGATCACCTGAGGTTGGGAGTTCGAGACCAGCCTGGCCAACGTGGCAAAACCCCGTCTCTACTAAAAATACAAAAATTAGCCGGGTATGGTGGCGTGTGCCTGTAGTTCCAGCTACTCAGGAGGGTGAGGCAGGAGAATCGCTTGAACCCAGGAAGCAGAGGTTGCAGTGAGCCAAGATCGCATCACTGCACTCCAGCCTGGGAAACAGGGTGAAACTCTGTCTCAAAAAAAAAAAAAGAAGAAGAAAGAAAGAAATCTAAGTAAAAGGTAACAGATGATGTCACAGAGAGATTTAGCACATAGAAATTTATATTGTAGTATCTCACAACATAATTACAATTGGGTCTGAATTCAGCTCTGAGCTTTCTGCAGCCAAATAAAAAAGTTATGAAAGTCTAGACATGGTGGCCCATGCCTGTAATCCCAGACTTTAGGAGGCTGAGACAGGAGAATTGCTTGAGCCCAGGAGTTCGAGACCAGCCTAAGCAACATAGCCAGATCTCATCTCTACAAAAAATAAAATAAGTAGCCTGACCTGGTGGCATGTGCCTCTAGTCCTAGCTACTCAGGAGGCTGAGGTGGGAGGATCACTTGAGCCCAGGAGTTTGAGTCTGCAGTGAGTTATGATCACGCCACTGCATTCTAGCAAAAAAAGTCAACTTAAAACACAATTACAACTAATTGAAGTTTTCCTGAGGCCTCATAAAGGGTAGGCTGGGTGACTCAGTGAGGCAGGTCTTTAATAATGTCCTTATAACACTCAAAATACTCACCAGTGTCTAGAATTCTTAGTGCACATGGAGACAGAATGATGACACAGCACTGTTCAGTAGGAGCAGGTCTCTGGGGTAAAATCCATGCGTCTCTGGTTATTTGGCTCCGTTCAGGGCCTTAGACAATCCTCTAGGATCTTTTCTTTTCTTTTCTTTTCTTTCTTTTCTTTCTTTTTTTTTTTTTCTTTCAGAGTCTTGCTCTGTCACCCAGGCTGGAGTGCAGTGGTGCCATCTTGGCTCACTGCAGGCTCTGCCTCCCTTCAAGTGGTTCTCCTGCATCAGCCTCTTGAGTAGCTGGGATTACAGGTGCCTGCCACCATGCCTGGCTAATTTTTGCATTTTTAGTAGAGACGGGGTTTCACCATGTTGGCCAAGCTGGTCTTGAACTCCTGACCTTAGGCGATCCACCAGGTTCAGCCTCTCAAAGTGCTGGGATTACAGGCATGAGCCACTGCACCCGGCCTAGGAACATTATTTCTTGCATGCACGATTTTGGTAAAAATTAGTCAGCCAACAGTTCAGAGTTACTTTCTTTGACAAGGACCTGGAGGTCAGTTATTCTGTATTATAGGTTAAGGACACATCTGCATATTTAAAAATCACCCAAATAGAAAGGTAGGATTGACATTCTTTTACAAAAATTGAGAAGTTGACTCAGAACTTGCGCTTGAATAGGGGAGTCGTTCACACCTCTGTAGAGTGACCGAAGCCGTGCCTGTGAGCAGGGTCAAGACTTTCCATGGGAAACCATTCTAAGTTAGTTCCAACACCTGAACAAATAACCAAGCCTTCAAAATTCCACTCTAGGAAGTATGAGAATAATGAAATATTTCTGAGTGAGAGTTACCAATTTCTCTTTATAGCCAGAGAAAAATTTCAACGGTGCATGGATGAAATGTTGAATTTTCAGCTAATGGATTCTAGGAATAAAGTAGTTGCAAATTGTGTCCCTAAGTAATTTAATGCATTTTCCTGCAGTATGTTTAATTTGGTCAATTACCTTTTTACAGAATTATTTCAAAAATGCTGCTTTGGGCTTTATGGTTCCTGATGTTGTGCCATTTTCCCTGATGAAAGAGAGTAGGACCTTTTGATGTTGAGGCCATTCCTACAGTCTTGACAGTGGTGAAGAGCATCACCTAGTTTTCTGTTTCTCTTTAGCAGATATCTAGATCATCCAAAAGTGGTTTCAAATCATGAAGAGTCAGGTAAAAAAGAGAACCAGAACATATTCCTCAGTTTTCTTGACCGTATAATGGGGATTTTAATAATATCTATCTCATAGGGTTATTATGAAGTTTAAATATATAAAAGTGGTACAGTGTCTGACACGTAGTAAGCACTCAAGATATCTTAGCTACTATTATTGCTTTTATCATTTCTTAGCATTTTTGTTTGATTTAACAAAAATAAGTCCTGCTGAACTTGACTCCTTAAAGATAATAAAGGGCAGATTTTCTGAAAGCATCAGTCACTAGGGGTTTCCTGAACTAATGGGTTATAGTTCACATTAGGAATTGTACAGAGTTAGAGGCCAGGGAAAGATTGGTAATTAAAGTTGCAAACTGGCCGGGTATGGTGGCTTACACCTGTAAATCACAGCACTTTGAGAGGCCGAGGTGGGTGAATTACCTGAGGTCAGGAGTTGGAGACCAGCCTGATCAACATGGCAAAACCTCATCTCTACTAAAAATACAAAAATTAGCTGGGCGTGGTGGTGTATGCCTGTAATCCCACCTACTCGGCAGAGTGGGGCAGGAGAGTTGCTTGAACCTGGGAGGCAGAGGTTGCCAAGATCGTGCCACTGCACTCCAGCCTGGGCAATAGAGTGAGACTCCGTCTCAAAAAAAAAAGGTGCAAACTGTCTTAATATTGTTTTTAATAGAGCCCTACACAGGCTGATAGAGTGCAACTGGTCAATTGTAGAGTAAGGGTCTTTAAAGCCTGTTAGCTTCTCAGTAGAAAAAATGGCTTGAGAAAATCAGATTTAAAATTTATTAAGCAGGAGTAGAAGAAAGCCTTTTTAAAAAAGGCATAGGTTTACTCTGAGTTCATCCATTTTAGTTCTTACCAGCTGTATTAGTCCATTCTCACACTGCTATAAAGAACTACCTGACAGGCCAGGCACGGTGGCCTGTGCCTGTAATCCCAGCACTTTGGGAGGCTAAGGCTGGCAGATCACTTGAGGTCAGGAGTTCGAGACCAACCTGGCCAACATGGTGAAACCTCGTCTCTACTAAAAATACAAAAATCAGCTGGGCTTCATGGCAGGGCCTGTAGTCCCAGCTACTCAGGAGGTTGAGGCAGGAGAATCACTTGAACCCGGGAGGTGGAGGTTGCAGTGAGCCAAGATGGCGCCACTGCACTCTGGCCTGGGTGACAGAGCAAGACTCCAACTCAAAAAAAAAAAAAAAAAAAAGAACTACTTGACTGGGTAATTTATGAAGAAAAGATGTTTAATTGACTCACAGTTCTGCAGGCTGTACAGGAAGCATGGCTGGAAGGCCTCAAGAAACTTACAATCATGGTGGAAGGTGAAGGGGAAGCAAGCACCTCTTACCATGGCGGAGCAGGAGAGAATGAAGGGAGAAGGGCCGCACACTTTTAAACAACCAGATCTTATGAGAACCACTATCATAAGAACAGCAAGGGGGACATCCACCCCCATGATTTAATCATCTCCCACCTGTTCTTTCTCCCAAAATTGGGAATTACAATTCGACATAAGATTTGGGTGGGGACACAGAGCCAAACCATATCAGCAGGTTTATTACTGGAGAAGCAAATGGCCAGGATTTGGAACACACCAGTCATATTGAACTTTGGACAATTGGAGGTCCCGGAAGTTTTCACTGTGGCTTGACATAATTTGTGCGTCACAACTCCAAGGCTAGAAGGTGTGGGCTTTGCTGTTAGACAGGCCTGGATTGGGGTCATGGCTTTGCCACTGAACCAGCTGTGAATACTCGAGCAAGTGGCCAGTCTTTCTCAGCCCCATTTTCATTGTTTATAAAATCAGGGTAATAGCATCTGGTAAGAGAGGTGCTGGGAGGAGGTTTAAATAAGAGAATACACATAAAATACTTAGCACTATGTTTAACACATTGTTGGTGGCTATTGTTAGTGTACTTTAAAATTAATTCTACATGTATAAATAGATCCTTTTCCAGAATCTGATCAGAGTAAGGGCCTAGGAAGATTGAGAAAACAGCCTGCAGGTCCTAAAATTGAGAAAATTAAGCCTTGTCGAAGTCTAAAGTTGGGTCTAGAATTATCTGACCTCATTACTGATTTTATAGCCAAGGAGGCAAAAAACATTTACATAAGGTCTTAATTCAGTAAGATCCAGCCCCCACTTTAATATTAGCTTCCATGTGTCATGTGATTAACCTGTCCAAGATTTTTTTTGCTGTCCTTTCAAGCCAAGAATTGGAAGGCCAGGGCCCAAGTTTGCCAAACATGGGCCTAATGGAGAAAGCCAACTTTAAAATATGTAATCTCTTTAATAATCTTAACAAACATGAAAAATAAGTTAAAATCTAAAAATTTAAGAGGAATAAAAAGAAACACAAAGATAAATGAAAAAATAGAAGCTAAAATAGTTCTATTTTAAAAGAAAAAAACAATTTGAGTTGAACTTTTAATGAAAGATAAAAATAGAAAATGTTTTTTTAAAAAGGTAAGAAAAATGTAAGGCAAGAACTCAGAAATGAAACAGTGCGAGTTAGAACAGATTACTAAAATGGCACAGCTATATAAAGCTATAGAAGTTTTAAAAACAAGGTAAAAATATGTCCTCCGTAAAGATAAAGAATAAATTCATCTGAAAGTAGGCAAGCGGCATAATTTTGAAGCAGGTCCTCTAAACTGGAGCAGTTTACCCAGGTTGGTCCTCTGCAGAGGCTGCTGAGGGCGGGGCTACCAGTTAATGTTATTGACACCCTTTGTGCAGTGCTGCTGAGCCACTCATCAAGGTCCTTAACCTATAGTATTTGGGTCGTTCCTCTTGGCAGCTCCAGGCTATGGGGTATTGTTATCCCTGCTTTACAGGGGAGGAAACAAAAGTTTGGATGCAGACCTTGCCCCACTAGCAGGTGGTGGAGCTGGAGCCCAGAGTGATGACAAAACCTATGCTCTTATTTTCATTTTCTGCCTTCCAGGAAGCATCATTATCATTATCAACAATAAAGACAACAGGCCAGGGGCAGTGGCTCACACCTGTAATCCCAGCACTTTGGAGGCCAAGGCAGGTGGATCACTTGAGGCCAGGAGTTCGAGACCAGCCTGGCCAACATGGTGAAACCCCGATTCTACTAAAAAAATACAAAAATTAACCGGGCGTGGTTGCAGGTGCCTATAGTCCCAGCTACTTGGGAGGCTAAGGCAGGAGAATTGCTTGAACCCAGGAGGTGGAGGTTGCAGTGAGCCGAGATGGCACCACTGCGCTCCAGCCCAGGCGGCAGAGCGAGACTCTGTCTCAAAAAACAAAAATGAAAAACAAGGCAACAGAATTCCTCTCCTCCTCATTCTCCCCCCTCACCTTGTCAAGGCTACCTATCCATTAGGAGAGTATGCCACTCTTAACAAATGTCCCAGCAATGGGAAATGTGCAGTAGGTACCAGTATATCCTAATAATGCACTGTTACATTTTTTATATTTTCTCCTTTTTTTTTTTTTTTTTTTGGTGAGAGTTTATCCAGTTATTCAAATATTTACTTCAGTTCAGTCTCCTAAATATTTCTTTGATGTGGCCCCTTTCCTCCATCTTCGCTGCCAGTACCAAGTTCAGGTCACCATCCTGTCCTTCCTTGTGTTCATTTCCTGTGGCTACTGTAATAAATTACCACATACTTGGGTGACTTAAAACAACAGAAATGTATCCTTCATAGTTCTGGAGGCCAGAAGTTTGAAATCAAGGTGTGGGCAGGGCTGGGCCCGGTCCTGAGCCTCTAGGGGATAATCTGTTCCTGGCCTCTTTCAGCTTCTGGTGGCCACGGCATTGCCCAGCTTGTGGCTGCATCACTCCAGTCTCTGCCTCTGTGGTCACATTGCCCCTTCTCTGTGCATGTCAACCTGCCTCCTCTTATAAGGATATGTGTGACTGCATTTAGGGCCCACCCAATAATCCAGGATAATCTCCTGTCTCAAGATCTTCAATTTACTCACATTTGCAAAGATCCTTTGTTGCCATAGCAGACAACATTTACAGGTTCCAGGGATTGGAATGTGGATGTCTTTTAGGGGACCATTTTTCTTTCTTTTTTTTTTTTTTTTTTTTTTTGAGACAGAGTCTCGCTCTGTCACCCAGGCTGGAGTGCGATCTCAGCTCACTGCAAGTTCTGCCTCCTGGGTTCATGCCATTCTCCTGCCTCAGCCTCCCAAGTAGCTGGGACTACAGGCAACTGCCACCATGCTCGGCTAATTTTTTTTGTATTTTTAGTAGAGACGGGATTTCACCATGTTAGCCAGGATGGGCTCGATCTCCTGACCTCGTGATTCACTCTTCTCGGCCTCCCAAAGTGCTGGGATTACAGGTGTGAGCCACCACGCCCGGCCTTAGGGGGCCATTTTTCATCCTATGGCGCCCCTAGACTTTTGCAGCCCTCTCTGCCTCCTGTCTTCCACCCTGCAGCCCAAGTTCCTCTAAACATGCAGATCGTGTTATGGTCAGCTTTAAAACTCTTCACTGGTTCCTGGGTCCCTCAGAACCATCCTGTTTCCCAGTGTGGCCTGTGAATACCTCTCTACCTTCCTGTCCCTCACGTCCCCCTTCCTCATTATGTTCCACCCATGCCCCACTTCTTCCCATTCCCCGGAGAAGATGGATCCGCTCTCTCCTCTGGATCTTGGTGTGCCCCTCTGCCTGGGCCACTTTGCCACCTCCCTGCTTTTTGTTTGGCCCATGCCAGTTCATCGTTCAGTTCTCATTCCTTCACTTCACTTTGTAGTCCAAGTCCTCTTGGACTTCACTTCCTCTAAGAAAGCTTGCTCTGCGTGTGCCGGGCGGGGTGCACTTTTGCCCCATCTGAGCTCTCGCCTGAGGGGGCATGTTTACCTTGTCATGGGATGTGTTCTCTGTACCGGATGCAGTGCCTGACACACAGGAGACTTAAATGTTTGTTGATGAGAATGCCCGTAGGAGGGGAACCTCTACATCCACCTACAGAGAAATACTGCAGCAAAGAGCGCTAATCCATGTAGAAGTCTTTGCTGGAGTGATTATATATGTGGATGCCAAAAGTTTCCACAGCTCTTTATTTTTAAGCAAAAAATCAAGAACCATATGATTATGAGATCGAAGAAAATATTTTCATGTTTTTTATTCTGTTTTCTTTCAGGCCATTCCTGTGTTTCTCACTTTGCATAATGTAGCTGAAGTTATCATCTGTGGGTACCAGAAGTGTTTTCAGAAAGAGGTAAACGATCATGCAAAATGCTAGTGTTACTTCCTTGTTTTAGATTTCAAAGAAGTACTCTTCTTTTTATGGCCCAAATTAGTGTCTGCCTCTTCCTGCCACCAATCTCCAGGCAAGATTACCTGATAGTGATCAATGATACCATGGGACACAGTTTTGACTTTGCTGCAATTCACCAGACATATGTGGGAATATTGTTGATATGAACTGAACTCAGATCCAGGCCAGGCTGACCCAGACCCTCAGGAGACAAAGAGGAGTTTGCTGTGGGCCTGCTGGGGAAGCATTCCTACCCCCGGCCAATCCAGCACCACAGGACAAGGCGTAGCAGAGTTTTACACAGGGTGCCGCGGCACTAGCCCACCCCAGGGAAATTTGCTTTTCTCTCCAATATCAGCTATACCTCATACCAGCTAGAACAAGCTCCTTCACCTTCCAGGCCTCCATCTGTGCAAGGTGGTAATAATGACACCAGCTTGTTCAAGACTTTTTCGAAGAACACAGCAACTATCACTGTTAAGTAACTGCTTCCAGCCATTTCCTGCATGCAGTAGGTGCTCTGCACATCAGGAACAATTAGTAATGTTATCAGAGGTGGTTTTAAATTGGTCTTTCTTTTTGGAGTTTTTTTTTTCTTCTGGCATTTGCTATTTGATTTCATACCAATTTTTGGAACATTTTAATTTATTTTTATTTTTAGAGACAGGGTCTTGCTCTGTCGCCCAGGCTGGAGTACAATGGCACAGTAATAGTTCCCTGCAGCCTCAAATTACTGGGCTCAGGTGATCTTTCTGGCCCAGCCTCCTGAGCAGCTGAGACTACAGGCACAAGCCACTGCACCTGGCTACTTTTTAATTTTTATTTATAGAGATAGGGTCTTGCTATGTTGTCCAGGCTATTCTCGAGCTCCTAGGCTTAAAGGATCCTCCTGCCTCAGCCTTCTAAAGCATTGGGATTACAGGTGTAAAACATCACACCCCCCCCCCCCAATTTTTGGAACTTTTAAACTATAGAGAGGCCAGCTGGTCACCTCAGGCCACATGCTTTTTACAGGTGTGCAGGAAAGGAGGCCATGACCATACCCGATCTCCCCCCATCATCCTGCCGCTCCTTGGAGGTGGCCCTGTCAATTATCTCTCCTCTCTTCTACACTGTCAGCCTCTCCCTCGTCACTGGCTTATTTCCCTGGGCCCATAAACATGCCTTGGTGTTGTCATTGCACCAAGGAGAGGATGGGCTCTCCTTCCCATGTGACAATGAGAGACAGAAGAGACTCACTTCACCCAGCCCTGGAAGGGTGTGTTTACAAAACCATCCCTCGCACGGGAAAATCTCAAGCTGCCTTGCCCGTGCACCTCCCACTCTGCCTCATCCCTTCTCTCCCCTCCCATGCCACAGGCCTCAGGGCTGGGCTTGGTGTTGTCCATGCCCTCTTGTCCCTGTCACCTTCTGCTGCTCCTGCTTCTGCCCCCGCCGTTCCCCTGAAACTGTCCTGGCTGAAGGCACTGGTGGCTTCGTCTGTGCGACTCATCGTGTCTGTTTCCACCATTCCCCCCGCTTTCTCCTCTGGCCTCTCCAGGCCCCCGTGGCCTTCATGCCCCCTCCCTGCTTGGTTCCCTTCCTGTGTCTTGGGCTTTTCCTTCATCCATCTTTCTCTTCCTTTTCCTTTGTCTGCCTCTTCAGGGTTTCCCTGGGCTGTTTCTTAGGAGCCTCTGTCCTCATGCCACATACTTTCTGGAAAATCTCATCCACACCCATTGTGCCAGCCACCTGCTGCTCACAGAGGACCCCCAAATCTCCATCTCCAGCCCATACCTCCTGCTGAGCTCAGCTCCCCTGCAGAGCCCTGGGGCTTGCTGTCCTATGGTTCTCCCCGGACATCTGAAATGGAACTGATCTGTTTCTCCAGACCTGCTTCTCACTTGGTAGCCCCAATCCTGGTCATCATCACCGAAGTCAGAAACCCTGGAGGCCCCTTGGACTCCCCAGTATCCCCTCCCCACCACATCCAGCCTATTACCAAGTCTGTGCCTCCTCTACCCTCACAGCTGCTGCCGCCCTAGTTCAGTCCTCATCTTCTCCAGGCTGCCTTGCTGGGACTGAGGAAAAAGAGCTCGATCCCCTGAGCCCTTAGGCAGGGCCTGGAGTGAGCAGCCCTGGGCTTAGACAGTTGTCATTTTCTATTTGGCAGTCCCACGGCCAAAGCTGGGAGGTGGAGGCCTCTCGGCACTTGGGCTGATCTCTGTGCAGTTGGAGGGTTCCCTGGATGGACACCTTTCTCTGACATTTTACTTACAACACCATCGTGCAGTTTCCATAGTCCGTCAGTTCTAACATGTGCTTCTTTTCTTTCACATTTTAATTGAATATCTACAGTAGGAAGGCTCTTACAATCAATGATGTGTCATGGTGTAATTTTTTTTTCTTTCTCCCTAATACATAAAATAAGTGGAAGTTTTACAATCATTGGTGTCTTAGGATCAGTGAGATACAGCATGATTTTCCCCGTGTCTCAGGCCTGCTTCCCTGAGTCTTCCAATGGCAGGAACCACGTGGTGGTTCTCCTCAGAGCTCTGGGCTCAGCCTCCAGAACTGGGACTGAGCTAAAGAGTCACTAAATGGTCACTGAGATTCAGGAGCAGAACTTCCCTGAGAGTGGCTTAGCTCTGGGAACCTGACCTGTCCAAATTAAAAAAAAAAACTCATATTCTCCAAAGGGATCCTTTCTTTCTTTTTTTTTTTTTTTTTTTGAGACTGAGTCTCACACTGTCACCTGGGCTGGAGTGCAGTGGTGTGATCTTGGCTCACTGTAACCTACGCTGCCCGGGTTCAAGCGATTCTCCTGCCTCAGCCTCCCGAGTAGCTGGGATTACAGGTGCCCGCCACCATGCCCAGCTAATTTTTTGTATTTTTAGTAGAGATGGGGGTTTCACCATGTTAGCCAGACTGGTCTTGAACTCCTGACCTCATGATCCGCCCACCTCAGCCTCCCAAAGTGCTGGGATTACAGGCATGAGCCACTGCACCTGGCTGGGATACTTTCTTATGAATTTAGAAAGGAAGATTTACTTTCTTATGAATTTAGAAATGAAGATTTACCTGGATAAGATCAAGGCATCTCCACAGGGTTTTGCTTCCTGATGAGCAGGCCAGAGCCTGTAGATGAGGGTGACGGTAGGACTGAGGGTTAGAAAGTCCTTCAGGGATGTTTCCCTCTAGCAGGGGACCTCTTCCATTCTAGAGATGAGGGCAGATGTCTGGCTGAGAGGCCCTGTCCTTGGAAATAACTGAATGAACACCATAAGTGTTTGCATCTTCGACTCCATTTCATCACTAACACAAAACATCATTTCTTGTCAGGGCAAACTAGAAAAAAAGTGAGTGGGTAATTTGTTGTTGTTGTTGTTGTTGTTGTTATTAAAACAAACCTTTCTTTCCTTTATAAATCTAAGAAGATTTAAGATGTTGTAGAAAATACAGATGGAGGCCGGGCACAGTTGCTCATGCCTGTAATCAAAAAGCTTTGGGAGGCCAAGGCAGGAGGATCACTTGAGGCCAGGAGTTCGAGGCTGCAGTGAGCCATGATTGTGCCACTGCACCTCAGCCTGAGCAACAGTGAGACCCTGACTCTAAAAACCCAAAAATCAACTGTTTCTACTTCCCTGAGGAAACCACTCTATTCTTTCAGACTTTTTTCCCATGCACATATATAGATGTATTTACACGAACGGTAAGAAACATCCTGTTTTTCCATTTAACAGTTTGTCAGGAATCCCTATTAAGGCTATCATTCCACATTGGTTGAAGCATGAGTTGGCTGTTCCCTATTTGTAGAATTGTAGGTGGTTTTTAGCAATTTAGCGTTAAAATCTGCTCTATGATGCTGCTGTAATATGTTCTTGATGAGACTTACATTTCTGATGATACAGCTAGGAGCCTTGATGAAGTCATCCCTTATCATAAGGAACACACTTGCACGCCACCTCACAGACTGTTAAATGTTACCATGAGGGCTATTTTGTCTACTATGTGTAGATTTTACTAGAATCATTTTTGGAGAGTAAAAGTTGACCTCCTTGTGACTTCATTCTCAGATTATGAAAATAAACTATCTGGAGCTGTAGAGTTCATTTTCACCATCCACAACAAGGCCTTTGTGTATTCATGCACACACACACACACTCATGCACACATACACACACACACACACAGTTTGACTGTAAGGCAATACGTGGCTCGAGGAATTAATCTAACTACCTTGCAGAATTATTTATTATAGTTTAATATTAGAATACTCCTGTTTGTTTATTCATTTGTTCAGGATTTATCAAGTACCTATGAAATGTCAAACATGTTGCTAGGCCTAAAGCTGCAGAGACGTAGGAGACGCATTTCTTAGCCTTAACGCAGAGTTGGATGGAGGGGCTGGCCTGTACACTCGGGCTGGCACAGGGTATGGGTGGGCCAGCGGGTGAGCTCCAGTAATTCGGCATGGGAGGAGCAAGGAAAGCTTCCCTGGTGGATAGATTTGAGCTGAGTCAGGCAGGATGGGAAGGGACTTTCCAGTTTGATAAGGAGAAAGGGCTCTCCTTGTCAGGCAGGCAGAGGGAGCATCAAGTGGTGGCTAAGGGTGCCAGCAGGGGTGACACCGCAGGACTGGCAGGCAGGTGATGGGCAGCTTCCCTCATTCCTCAGTGCCTCAAGTGCTCTCCTCTCTAACATAGAACCAATGACTGTTAATTACCCCATGATTAAAGGATTCAGTACATGCAGAGCCCTTAGAACAGCACCTGGCAGTGTGAGTAGCCCTCACAGTTCAGTTAGCTAACCCAGAGGAATGTCAGCTATTTATTGTTAATTTTGGCAGCATGACTTCTTTTTTTTGTTTTGTTTTTGAGACCGCCTCACCCTGTCGCCCAGGCTGGAGTGCGGTGGCGTGATCTCAGTTCACTGCAATCTCCGCCTCCCGGTTCTAAGCGATTCTCCTGCCTCAGCCTCCCGAGTAGCTGAGATTACAGGTGTGCGCCACCACACCTGGCTAATTTTTGATATTTTTAGTAGAGACGGGGTTTCGCCATGTTGTCCAGGCTGGTCTTGAACACCTGACCTCAAGTGATCTGCCCTCCTCGGCCTCCCCAAGTGCTGGGATTACAGGCATGAGCCACCACCCCTAGCCCTTTGGCAGCATGACTTTTGAGGAGTTATAATAACCCATTTAGAACCCTGAGACCTCAGTAGGACTTGTTGCTAGGTTATTTTGGACTGAGTATCCTGAAAAGGAAAATGACTGCCATGAACTCAGTCATATCCAGAGCCCTGGGAGATGGAGCTAAGTAATGAACATATTGCCTGTTTTTACTCTCTGTATCCCAGGATCTGTGTGCTCTTTTACTCCCCTCCATGGAAGGGGCCTTTTCTTTTGGCCTGAAACATTAGCCCTGGAAGTTACTGGGTGAACATGCTATTCACAGAAGTGGAAGAGCATCCCTTTAGTCCCTCCTCTCAATTTCTGCTCTTACACTAGGCTGTTGAGGTTTTGGTTACATTTAGCTCTATTTTGAGTAACTGCTGGGCATGGTGGTTCAAGCCAGTAATCCCAACACTTTGGGGGGCAAAGGCAGGCAGATCACTTGAGGCCATGAGTTCAAGACCAGCCTGGCCAACATGGTGAAACCCCATCTCTACTAAAAATACAAAAATTAGCTGGGCATGGTGGCACACACCTGTAATCCCAGCTACTTGGGAGGCTGAGACAGGAGAATCGCTTGAACCCAGGAGGCAGAGGTTGCAGTGAGCCAAGATCACGCCACCGCACTCCATCCTGGGCAACAGAGCAAGACTCTGGCTCAAAAAAAAAAAAAAAAGAATTTTTGAGTAACACATTTATCATACCGGGGGCAGTTACGCAGGTGTGAGCCAGATCACCTTTGCCCTCCTCCTTTCAGCTCTTGAGGGCTAACTTCCCAGCAGATGGCAGTACAGCACGGTTGGCCTCGCGTCCTGTGCTCTGCAGAGGCAGGGTTGGACAAAGATCAAGATTAGAGTCTAAAGTTGCAAAAATAGAATCTGTTCATTAAAACAGGGGAAACTTTATTATTTAGGCACACATGAAAACTTAAGGTAGCCTTTGTAGTAAGCCACATGTTTCTCTTGTCAGCGCTTCACGTCTAAACAATATGTTCATACTTCACACTGCCTGAACTAGCATCAAAAATTGTAGTTTGTTCCCAGCTAGCAGAATAATCCTTCTGAAATGTTTAGAATTAATCAAAAGTTTAATTGTACCTGTTCATTTCCTCTATCAAATATAGAAGAAAAATCTGTGTCACCCTCTGCTAACATGTTACTCTCTGCTAACATGTACAAATGAGTTCTCAGTACAAAAGTCTGATTTCATTAAACTGACTCATCAAAAGGAATTATAAGGGTGAGTCCAAATCAGAATGTCTTCATTACAGGTAATTTAAATGCCAAGTTTATATTCCTCCAGTCTGCCTTTTTTTCCCTTGTCTCTCGGGATGGAGTAAAATGTCCCTTCTCCTTTTTTCTGTTTTTTAATTTTCATATCACACCAGATAGTTTATAGGACTGCTCTGAGTCAGCTGGATTAGTGAATGGAATATTTAAAGAGACAGAACTAAAATAGAAGTTGAGGTTGGGTGCAGTGGCTCACGCCTGTAATCCCAGTGCTTTAGGAGGCTGAGGCAGGAGAATCGCTTGAGGCCAGGAATTCAATACCACTGAGCAACATAGTGAGATCCTGCTGCTACAAAAATGAAAAAAAAAAAAAGAAAGAAAGAAAGAGTAGCCATACATGGTGGCTCATGCCTGTAGTCCTAGCTACTCAGGAGGCTGAGGTGGGAGGATTGCTTGAGCCCAGGAGTTTGAGGCTGCAGTGACCATGTCATTGCACTCCAGCCAGGGCAACAGAGTGATACTAGATAGATAGATAAATGGATAGATAGAACAAGAGCTTAATTGCTTTTTAAAATACAGGTTACATCTATTTCTTTCTCTCTCCTCTTCTTAGCATGTAAGATTTTTGAAGACACAGCCCCAGCGTCATTTTATCTTTCACGAGTAAACATCATTCTAATGGTGAAAGTACTTTGCTGAAGTGACTCAACTCTGGAATTCTGAGTCATCCTTCATTTGGCCCAAGCAGAAAAAGCCTCAATAAATACTAAAGTGCAGCAAGCTGTTAAGCTCTTGATAAATCTACTCATAATTTATTTGCCTCTTGATCAAAATGTTTCCTTTTAAGAGGAATTTAAAAAGTTTTAAAAGTCTAATTGTATGTTTCTTTACTTTTATGCAGAAAACATCTCCTGCAAAGATCTGTAGGTAAGTTTACTGCCCTCCCCCCAAAAAGCCATAATATAAGATTTAACCTATTTTTAACTTGAATGATAAACTGTTCAAGATTCATACTCTAAGAGGTGGCAGAAGAATTTATTATAAACATTCATATATCCCTAATTTGTGTCTTAGTCTAAAATTTCTTGTGTTTTTCTTTTCTTTCTGAAATATTTTATTCCAAAAGAGAAAACACCAGAACCAACCTGTGCTAGATTTCAGTCATTGATGCCCAAAACTTTACTAACAGTTGTGTAATACTGATGGAGAATGAAAATGAAAAACATGGAAATGACTTAAAAATTTAAAAGTAATGTTTGTAGTTTATTTAGTCTTTAATATTTTCCGTGGTGGAAAAAGCACCAGCCTGGAAGTCCTGGGATCTGAACTGCAGTCCTGGGCCATAGCAGGGTGATTGTGGGCAGCTTTCCTCGTCCTCTTTGCCTCAGTTTCCTCAGCTACAGCGTAAACTGGGCCGTCCTGTCATGCAGACCCCGGTGCCTGCAGCATTTGAATTCTAACCTGGGTGCCTTGCATCTGACTGCTTCCCGCTTCCTCTGCAGGCCAAGCAGCTCAGTCCTGGAGACAGAAAACCAACAGAGGTGCTTTGATAGATGGATTTAGGATTTCTACTGCAGATATTTCTGGGCTTTCATCCAATCCCCCACCCTCCTTTTATTCCTTTATTACAGGTTGCACCTTGAAAGAACAAGACAAAACCAAACTTCAAGACTATCCTCCTGTTTAAAAGGAGACTAGCAGGTGTCAAAGAGAGGCGGTAAAGCTCATGATACCTGATGTAATCAGGTACTGCTTGAGGCCAGGTGGGGTGGGAAGGCAGGCAGGTGTCTCACCCTTGGGTATCCCCCATCTTCCACAGTTCCAAGAGGTTGTCTGTTTGGGGTGATCTCTGATGCTCATTCTCCATGGATGGGGAAGCATCCTCTATTCTATAAAGCCTTTCACTGTAGGTAGACACCAAACCCATCAGGATATCAGGATTCTCCTCTCCTCCCACCACAAAACCTGCCTGTTCCTGGGCAGCCCCAAGAAGCTCCCCTGACAGTCTCTTCTCCACTCACCCCACTGTTTGCCTTGGATTCTTCTCTAGGTCATTTGTGTGTTGGGGTGCCTTGAAAGTCAGCAAGGCTATAGGAGTAGGGCAGGCTGAGGTAGAGAAGTGTCCTGAGCCTCAGGCTGCTCCATGTTGTCCTGACCTTCCCAAGGCTCTGGGGCCTCAGCTCCGAGGGCCCCTCTGCCAGTCCTCCTGCCTCTGGCCCAGCCGGTCAGTGCTGGTCCATTGGGTACAGTGACATCTACACATGGTTACAGCAGTGAGGACTGTCAGAATTGATCAGCA
Source organism: Homo sapiens (assembly GCF_000001405.40). Classification (NCBI taxonomy): domain Eukaryota; kingdom Metazoa; phylum Chordata; class Mammalia; order Primates; family Hominidae; genus Homo; species Homo sapiens. The sequence goes on along the minus strand of NC_000018.10, from coordinate 23,376,273 downwards.
CCACTGTTTTCAGTGTACTAAGATTACACATGCCAAGTTGTTGTGTGTTAGATATATATGTTTATGTGTACATATAAAAACATGTAGTCTCTATGTAGAATACAGAATCTGTGTTGGTGGGAGATGGCATATGGCAAAGTTCCCTGAAAGTGAAAACATTGTATTCGGTGCTTTTGTTCACGCCTTTGATCCTTTGCTGTTTGCTGCCTGATGGAATAGTCAGTAGTTAAGGGGCACTATATATATGTTGCCTCTATAAAATGGAAAGAGGAGAGAGACTAAGTGATAATTTGGGTTTTATGCTTTCTGGCGCCTTCTTTTAGGAGGAGAGAGTGGGGAAAGCTAGAGGCAAGAGCTTTTGGCATATGAAACTCAGAAGGAATAGGCCGTAAACCAGGGATTACTGAACCAGCTCCAAATTGACTTTCTAATGAGTGAGGATAGCTTCCTGAAAATATCTGTGTTTGGCAGTGTTACTTTTTTGAGCAAGAATTTTTAAAAATTGCTTTACGGTGAAAATTTCTAAAGACATATCAAAGTAAACAGAATAATGTAATGAATGAAGTCCTGTGTACCCAGTTCCCAGCTTCAGCCATTTTCAGCTTCTGGCCCCACCCACTGCCTTGCTCAGTATTTATTCCAGGCACCCTAGCATTTCATCTGTAAATATTTTAGTATGTATAAGAGATTTTTCTAATAAAACATTTTACGGGGGGAAAAGTTTAAACCTACAGAAAAGTTGCAAGAATATTACAGTGAGCTCTCATGTATTCTTCACCAAGATTCACCCATTGGTAACATTTTTTGCATTTGCTTTCTTGCTATCTCAATGTATATATGTATACACATGCATAAACATACATAAATATCACATAAATATATGATAATGTAGATATTATTCTTGCTCTTATTTTTTCTGAATCATTTGAGAATAAGTTGTAGAGGTCATGACTCCACTTCTAAATACTAAATACTGTGTCTCCTAAAAACAACCATCCCTTAGATAACCAAAGTGCAGTCATTGAATTTAGAAAATAACATCTGATATGATACTGTTATTTAATATTGAGTCCATGTTCAAATGTTGCCACTTATTATCTGGCCACAATATTATTATTATTATTATTTATTTATTTATTTTTATTTTTATTTTTTTTTTGAGATGGAGTCTCGTTTTGTTGCCCAGGCTGGAGTGCAGTGGTGCCATCTTGGCTCACTGAAACCTCTGCCTCCCGGGTTCAAGTGATTCTCCTGCCTCAGCCTCCTGAGTAGCTGGGACTATAGGCATGTGCCACCACGCCTGGCTAATTTTTGTGCTTTTAGTAGAAAAGGGGTTTTACCATATTGGCCAGGCTGGGCTCAAACTCCTGAACTCAAGTGGTCTGCCCGCCTTGGCCTCCTGAAGTGCTGGGATTACAGGTATGAGCCACCATACCTGGCACAATACTATCTTTTATAACATTTTTTTCCCCTAAAGATGTCATGTCTAAGCCAGGTGTATTGGCTCAGGCCTGTAACCCCAGCACTTTGGGAGGCCGAGGCAGGCGGATCACCTGAGGTCGGGAGTTCGAGACCGGCCTGACTAACATGGAGAAACCCCACCTCTACTAAAAATGCAAAATTAGCCTGGTGAGGTGGTGCATGCCTGTAATCACAGTTACTCGGGAGGCTGAGGCAGGAGAATCGCTTGAACCCGGGAGGCGGAGGTTATGGTGAGCCGAGATCGTGCCATTGCACTCCAGCCTGGGCAACAAGAGTGAAACTCCATCTCAAAAAAAAAAAAAAAAAGATGTCATATCTCTTTTGTACCCTTTAATCTAGAACAGTTCCTCAGTTTTTTATTGTCTTTCATTGCCTTCACATTTTTGAATAGGGGAGGCCTGTTGTTTTGTGAACTGTCCTAAATTTGGGTTTGTCTCAGTGTTTCCTCGTGGTTCAATCCACGCTCTGCATGTTTGGCAGGAATACCACCCAAGTGATGTTGTGTCCTTCCGAGCTTTATATCAAGAGGCACACAATGTGGATCTGCCTCATTATTGGTGGTGTTAAGTTTGATCATTCGGTTGTGGGGTTGCACAAAGGATTTTAATGCAATTTCCGTAGTGTTTTCATTTTTGAAACAGGCATATTTGTGGTCTGATTCCCCAGTTTTTCACTTGTATATTTTTGGGGATCTGCAGTTGAAAAAACACTTGTTTTATTAGATGTTTCACAGGCACACTATTTTCCTCAAGTGAGCCAGCTGTGGTTTTGCAGATGTCCTGTAAATGCCTGACTCTGGGAAACGGCTAGCTGAGGTCCAGAGAAGGAAATGTCTGCTTATGAGTAGAGCACATAATTGAAAACTACACAGGTAGTCAGGTTCACAGAGGAAGGACAGAGGAACCAAGTTGGTCTCGCAGGATCTTTGCCTCATCCAACTCCAGAGGATGCATTTTCACCTCCACGCTCTTAGGGAAACCTTTGATGTTGAAAGGTGAAGCTGCAGTGTTTTATCTCCCTCTCCACAGTGCCCTCCTCCTCCTGGCCGCAGCAGGATGCCTTCCCTTCAATGACTCCCAGGTAAGTCCAAGTGAACTCATTTGCCTTCAAAGTGTCTTTTATTCTCTGAAGCCTGGGTGTATGACCAGAATTTCCTAGTCCTTCCTTTTAGAAGCAGGATAACTTGGCCTATGCAGAAGCATTCCAAATCTTGCAGGCTGGGTAGCTCTGGGCCTGGGCAACACCATTTCCCCAGGCCTTTGCCTTCTCCGCAGGGCTGCAGGCATCGTGGCCTGCAGAGCTGTGGTCCCTGGGCACTGTGGTGGCTGCCATCTGTCCTCTGTACATGCCTGGTGAACCTGCAAGCCAACGCCCAAATTGCCCCAGCCTCAGCCATGGAGGCAAAGTTGATTTTCTCTCCTCCCAAGGGCCTCATCTCCTGCAAAGTGATTTTTTGTTTTTGTTTTTGTTTTGTTTTGAGACAGAGTCTCACCCTGTTGCCCAGGCTGGAGTGGAGTGGCACGATCTCAGCTCACTGCAACCTCCACCTCCCGGGTTCAAGCAATTCTCCTGCCTCAGCCTCCCGAGTAGCTGGGATTACAAGCGCCCACCACCATGCCCAGCTAATTTTTTGTATTTTTAGTACAGATGAGGTTTCTCCATCTTGGCCAGGCTGGTCTCAAACTCCTGACCTCAAGTGATTTGCCCGCCTCGGCCTCCCAAGGTGCTGGTATTACAGGCGTGAGCCACTGTGCCTGGCCTGCAAAATGATTTTTATTTTATTATCCTGTGCTAAAGTTGAGTTTTCTTTATGAGGTGCTGAGGACCCACCCCCGCCCCCCAGTAGTCATCTCATTTCTGGGTTTCCTTTCTTTCTTTTTTTCTCCCTCCTTTTCTCCCCCAGCATTATTAGGTCCCCACCACGTGTCAGGCACTGAGCCAGGCTCTGGGGACACAAAGAGGAAAATTAATCTTTGCTCAGGCAGAAGTCAAGCCTATTTGGAGCAAAGGGGAGGGAAACAGTCAAGTAAACAGATTGTTATCACACAGGGGGGCCAGGGCTCTGTCCTCGAGATACAGGGGGCTCTGAAGCACCTAAGAAGACGTGGGGCCTCAGGAAGTAGGAGTAGCCATAATTACAGGGAGTCTGCTGTGTGCCAGCCTCTGTGCCAATGCTTTCTGTGCCTTATGTTATTTAAAATCTCACAACATTTCTGTGAGGGTGGGAGCATTATTATCTCCATTTCATAGCATAGAATAAGGAGGCCCAAAAGGTCACCAGCTAACAAATAAGTGGGGATTTTAGAATTTATCCCAGATCTCTCTGATGCTAGAGCCAGACTCTCCTTACAGGACCTAAATCTGGAAGAATGAGGAGGAGTTAGCCAGGAGAAGAAAGCAGGCGAGGGCAGTCCTGGAGTGTCATGAGTATCCTGTGATCCAGTGTCATTGAGCACCTGCTATGTGTTTACCCCTGTTCTAATGCCCACCCTCCTGGAATGTGCAATCTAGGAGAGGGGAGGGCAGGGAGAGATAGAGACACATAAACAAATAAGGGGCTGGGCGCGGTGGCTCACGCCTGTAATCCCAGCACTTTGGGAGGCCGAGGCGGGCGGATCACGAGGTCAGGAGATCGAGACCATCCTGGCTAAAAACGGTGAAACCCCGTCTCTACTAAAAATACAAAAAATTAGCCGGGCGTAGTGGCGGGCGCCTGTAGTCCCAGCTACTTGGGAGGCTGAGGCAGGAGAATGGCGTGAACCCGGGAGGCGGAGCTTGCAGTGAGCCGAGATCCCGCCACTGCACTCCAGCCTGGGCGACAGAGCGAGACTCCGTCTCAAAAAAAAAAAAAAAAAACAAAAAAAACAAGGAAGAAATAAATAGGATGTGTCCTATGATACTAAGTCCTGTGGAGAATAATAAGGGAAGAAGTAGAGGGTCCCCTCGGTTGAGCTGTAGGGGGAAGCAGTCATGCTTGGGAAAATGCAAGTTATCCTTATTCAGGGACAGTAGGGGGTACATACAACCAGAGGGGTTGATGGGGGCTTGTCACAGAGGTCTTGGGGTGTCATGAGTTTGGATTTGAACTTTGTGATGGCAGTGTGGGGCATGGGGTGTTGGAGGCAGAGTCCTGTTAGGAAGATGTAGGCAACTGGTTGAGGAATGAGAGGGAACCAAGGAACTGATGTACGGCCCCAGGAGTCCTGTTTTGGGACCCTTGCTTGGCACTGAGCATTGATGACAGGTTTTCTGATGGCCACACTGGATTCCATTTGCCTTGCACTTATAGCCATTTTTTCTTTTTTTAATTTTGTGTTTCAGTTTAATCCAGATGGATATTTTTGGGCTATAATTCACTTACTCTGTGTAGGTAAGTTTTAAAAGAATTATTATGTAAGGCTGGGCACGGTGGCTCATACCTGGAATCCCAGCACTTTGGGAGGCCAAGGCAAGTGGATCCCTTGGGCCCAGGAATGGAAGACCAGCCTGGGCAACCTTGAGAAACCCCATCTCTACAAAAAATACAAAAATTAGCCAGGCATGGTGGCACATGCCTGTTGTCCCAGCTGCTCAGGAGGCTGAGGTGGGAGGATCACCTGAGTCCAGGGAGGTCGAGGCTGCAGGAGTCATGATCACACCACCGCACTCCAGCCTGGGCAAAAGAGGGAAACCCTGTCAAAAAAAAAGAAAGAGAGAGAGAGAGAGGGAGAGAGGGAAGGAGAGAGGGAGGGTGGGAAGGAGGGAGGGAAGCTTACTTGAATAATTGAGGTTTATTGTATACCCACTTTTTGGTGACCTTGGAAAATTAAATCCAAGGTGTGAAGGTTAAAATTAAATGGGCATTTTCTGGATTGGTTTTCTATTTTGAAGTTTTTCCTCAAATGTTTCCATTTCCAATATACTTTCCTCTTTTTCGTGACAAATATGAACTAACTCACTGTGGCTTGGGGTTTCACTTGCTCAAGTCAACTTTTGGAATGCTGATTGGTCTTCTCTAGAAATGGTGGGAAGATATCCAGAAGTTCATGTCAAAAACATTTTCTTTCAGTAATTTACCAAAAAAGTTTAAGTTGTTCAAATAAAGGGACCATCTGATTTTATTACAAATCACATATTCAGTGTTGCTTGTCTGTAGTCCTGGGGGAAAAACGGTGCCCTGACTATTAACACAGCTCAGAAATGTTCAGAAATCCAGGGGTGTTTCTCTTTTCATGTGCGTCATGTCAAGGAAGTAAAACCTTCCTGTTAATTGTGTCCTTCATAATCATGATGCTTTCCATGCCCAGCACTCTGGGGACCAATGGAAGGACTGACTGCGTTATCATAGAGGATTATTGAATTTGTATCCTTGAAGCCTTCCAAATGTTGATGGTCTTCTCCTGTCAGCTGGGTGTGACACTCGTAGGGAAAAGGACCAGCAGTCGTGCTTTTGGGAGCCTTTATCCATGTGGATTTTGTGTGTCCCCGGACAGGCCAGCAGCTCCTTGAGCAGAATACCATGACCAGTGATATGTTTTATTTCATTTTCAGGGGCTTATAAAATTCTACAGAAGTCCCAGAAACCCAGTGCATTAAGGTAAACTCTTTTTTTTTTTTTCCTTGAGATGGAGTTTAGCTCTTGTTGGAGTGCAATGGCGTGATCTGGAGTGCAATGGCGCGGTCTCAGCTCACCGCACCCTCCACCCCCCGGGTTCAAGCGATTCGCCTGCCTCAGCCTCCCGAGTAGCTGGGATTACAGGCATGCGCCACCATGCTTGGCTAATTTTGTATTTTTAGTAGAGAGGGGTTTCTCCATGTTAGTCAGGCTGGTCTGGAACTACCGACCTCAGGTGATCCGCCCGCCTCGGCCTCCCAAAGTGCTGGGATTACAGGCGTGAGCCACCACACCCGGCCAGGATAAACTCTTAATGTTTGGTGAGCTGTGGTTGGGTTAAAGGAAAGGGCTGAGACTTGTGGTATCATGAGATTCTTCCATTCAGCCAGAGACTCTACAGGCCTGGGTTGTGTTGAGGGCAGGGGACTTAGTCCTTGAAGCCGGCCCTCTTCTTGCTGTTTGGGCCACTCCAGGCTGTGTCCACCAACACCTGGAACATGTCTGCCTTTAGCCATGTGTGAAGAGGCATGGAAGTCTCAATCTCCTTCCTTCAGGGGATTCACATGTCACCTCTCAGATGACATGTGAATGAAATGTATGTGGCCAGCTGCTTTGGGTGCCAATCGGCTGCATCAAGCACAGAGGGACAGTACTTTTTCTTGTTTCCCCAGCCCCGTCCTAATTTGACTTACTTTAGACCCAGAAGTCTCCACTTACTAGCTCATTCTTGGGCAAAATGAGGCCTTTGTTGCAGCCAGTCAATGGAGCAGCTTTGGTGAATGTAAATGAGAAAAGACAAGACTTCAGGCCTGGAGCGCTGAGGCCAGTGCCCCTAGACTGGCCAGCTGGCCTCCAGGTTTTGGGGCCTGCTGAAGGCCTAAAGAGAAAAGGTCTGAAGGGAATGACTCCTGAGAGAAGGTCATCCACTCTGAGAATGTGGGGCTTCCACTCCCTGGAGCACCTTTTGTTCTTTTAATAAAGTGTTTTTGTAGCAAGAAGCCAGTAGAGTTGCCAGATAAAATACAGGATGCCTGGTTGCATTTGAATTTCAGATAAGCCTCGAATAATTTTTGTAATATTTGGAACATACAGTACTTACACTAAAACATTACTCTTTATCAGAAATTCAAATGTGTTTGATTGCCCTGTATTTTTATTTGTTAAATATGGTAGCCCCAAAAGCCAGTCCAGTGGCCTGAGATAGTTGACACTCCTTTGAAAGTGACAAATGTACATGTGGGAAACAGTTGCCCACAGGTGAAAATGTGTGTGATTTAAAATGAACTAGTAACTGGTTTTGAATATTAAATACTTTTCCCTCTATTTATGGATAATTTATAAAAGTAGTAACTAAAATAGAATTTATTAGTAGAAGACAATGATTATTTTATGTATTTAAAATAGTTCTGCTACTTCATTTATCTTTTTTTCCTCTCTCATTCCTTAGTGACATTGACCAGCAATACTTAAACTATATATTCAGGTAAAATATAATTTACATTTTTAAAGAACAATTCATATCCTAATGGATTTTTATTTTCCAATAATATTTTGATTGAAGAGTTCTGAGCCAATGTGCCTGCCAGGAAGATAAGTTACAGAATTTGTGAGATGACAGAGTTGAGGAGACCAAATAGCAGTCTTGCCCTTAGACCAGGCAAGAGGGGCCTCTCTCAGGCCCTAAACTTCAGAGGGCCACATCCCTTCTCCGGGACGTGGCATCTGTGAGGCTAAAGGACGTTTCTCTCATCCCAGAGGCCACACCCTCACTTCTAGATTGTGTCCTTGAATCCCCCACCCATGTCCCTGAGCTCGATTCCAGGGCTCCTTGGGTCCATCTTCCCAACTCATTCCCAGGCCCAAGGGGTGTCCAAAGAGAGGCTGTCAATGGGCAGGAGTGTAGGTGGAGAGGACCTTGCAGACTCAGGTGTCCACACACATGTGTGAGGCCCTTGGGCTGCAGGATGAAGCCTGGGGTGGAAAGAAAAGGGGAGCATTGGCAACCGGGAGTCAGAGGCTGCCCTGGGCTGCTACATTCTGACATGCAGCACCAGGGAGCCCAAGAATTCTACATTTTAAACTAGACTTTCAGGTTATTCTGAAGGTGTATTTGTTAAGGTAGGATGAAGTCTGAGGCTTGATTTATAACTTTTAAATATGGTATGTGGACTTCTGTTTGTATCCTTGTCCCAAGCCAAGCAGAGAATAAGCCTGCTTACTAGAACAGCATGATACACCCTTTTTATATTAGTAGAATTTCTTCATTATAATTTACATGTAATTTATAATCTTATAACTATAAGGGGTTTCTGTATTGGGAGGCTGAGGCAGGAGGATCACTTGAGCCCCAGAGCTCAAGGTTACAGTGAGTTATGACTGAATCACTGCACTCCAGCCTGGGCAACAGGGGGAGATCTTTCTCAAAAAAAAAAAAAAGTATCCAGGGCTTCAAGTTACGTTTTTCTTCAAACATAGTCCCACCACAGTACACCTAGAGGTGATTAATTGCAGTTCAGAAAACGTATTGAGTACCTGCCACATGATGTTTGGCACTGCTAGGGATCCAAGGATGAATAAAATATGGTTCTTGCCCCCAAGGAGGTCACAGTGTAGGATGCCACAGAGGGGAAAAGGTGAAAAGAGAATGAAGAGAGAGTGTTCCTTTGGTGTGAGCCCCATTCATCTTTGGCACCCTCCCATCGCCCTCTCTGGAAACCCCTCCCGTCCCCCAGCACCCCTCTGCAGTACCTTCATGCTGCTAAAGCCCACTGTGGGGGCCCCAGTCCCCCACCCTCTGCAACCTCTTCTATCAAAACTCATGCCATCCAGGTGGCTGATTGCGTTGGTTAGGAATAAAACTTGCTATCTAAGTATCGGAGGGAATTTTTTTTCAAGTGCGCTGAATGGCCTGCTTTGGTAGGAGTTAGGAGTGGCTTAATACTGTATTTGCAAAATTCAAACAAGGATTAAAGGACCAACTCTTCACTTAATTATTTCTTATATTCATCCCCTAATATTTTATTTGAGGTTACCCTTTGGGGCGATTCTGATGATGGGATTTGGGATACATGACAGGCTCTGGGAGATGTTTTGGGATGGCAAGAGACCCCTCATATCCTGCCATGAGAGTGATCACTTCTCCTCCTGAAGTTATAACCAAAAAGGGATTCAGGGAGGTAAAATAATGGAGTATATACAGGGTATATGTTTTCCAAAGAAAGGTGAGATGGAAGCAAAGACTTAGCCTATGCAAAGGGCTGATCATTGTGAAGTCTTCAGTCTTGTTTATAGCTACATGCAGCCCTGTCTTATAAACCTACAACTTCTCAATGACTGGATGTGTGGCTCTTCCCATTGGCTTTCTCGCAAACCTCCTGTCTAGCCTCTGTCCACACTGCTGCTGCCCTGGGGCCATCAGAGAACCTTAGCTTTAGAGGAAGAGCAAAGGAAGAACATGAGAAACACAGAAATGGCTCCGGGAGACAGCTCCTGGAGCAGGCAGGCTCCCAGTGGTTTTTTTGCTCACAGCCGTCTTCCTCCACACTGCCTAGGGTGTCACCACCAACTAGGGATTCCTTGTGGTGGTTCCCAATCCTGGTGTACTTTAGAGCCACTGAGGGGCCATAACAAAATAAAACAACTGATTGCCTGCACCTCAGAGATTCCAATTTAAGCCAGGACACTGGGCTATTCTGATATGCAGCCAGGGTTTAGAACCAGAGTAGGCCATCCAGCACTTTAAAAAATTCCCTGCCATACTTAGATAACATGTTTTATTCCTAATTCTCTAATTTGATTGGCTGCCCAGATGGCATGAGTTTTGATAGAAGAGGTTGCAGAGGGTGGGGGATTGGGCCCCTCAAGTGGGGTTTGGCAGCATGAAGGCACTGTAGAGGGGCACTGCGGGACGGGAGGGGTTTTCAGAGAGGACGATGGGAGATTGCCAAGGATGAACAGGGCTCACATCAGAGGAACACTCCTTTTCATTCTCTTTTCATCCTTTCCCCTCTGTGGCATCTATTGAAAATCAGTAAAGTTAGTTTTCAGCCACATGGTAGATGGGCTGGATCAATTGTGGGCTAGCCTCTTGGAAATGTAACTATCTTCTACACAGTTGATTTTGTGGCAAAAATATACGTAGCTCACACACAACAGCTAGCTTTTACATTGCAAGCTATTTTAATTTGGTGTTTGCTTTGTTTAGCTTATAAATACTCTTGGTAGATTAGGTGAGTATGATCATAACTAGGGTCAGCCAGGATTGAGAAAAGAGACACAGTAGACCCTCAGGTTGAGACATGGATTCATACTCTGTCCCAAGCCTGTCCCAAGAGGCAATCTTCTTGCCAAAACATGAGACATTTCAAGACATTCTTACTCTCTCTGAGGAGCTGGATTTAGGCAGAGTGAGTCAGTGCAGATAATTTGCTTTTAGGCATATTTAACTATTTCCAAGTAAAATGTGTGGGAACAGCTGGGGTTTTTGGTGCCGGGGAAACTTCTTGACTACTTTGCTGTCTCTTTTCCAGTGTGGTGCTCCTGGCATTTGCATCTCATCCCACAGGTAAATGCCCCCGGAGTGTTGTTTTGTTTGTCTGTTTGACATTGCTTATTGGACCCAGTGAGCCTGTCTCTCAGAGACATTTCATAAGAGCATGTCATTGCCCCCCAGGATGACTGAGAGGGCAGGAAGGTCCCACCTATTTGAAACTGCTCTTAATAAACCAATTTATCATCCAGGAATTTATTCTTACCCCTTCTTGTTGTCTGTGTTTTCATCCAGTATGATCTCAGATATACAGACAGGTCTATTTCCTGCCAAGTAAACTAGGGCTTATTTTGCCCGCTTCTGAAATTCCTTTTCCAAGCGTCCTGAATTGCTCTTCATTTCTAGTGTTAAAAAAATTGGTGAAAAAGTTCAAAAGTTCAAAAAACTCCCTGAATCCCTTTTTGGTGATAACTTCAGGAGCAGAAGTTATTGCTCTTATGGCAGAATATGAGGGGCCTCTTGCCATCCCATAATGTTTCCCAAGGCCTGCTATGGTACCCCAAATCCCATCATCAGAATCATCCCAAAGGGTAACCTCAAATAAAATACTAGCAGGTAAATATAAGAAATAATTAAGTGAAGGAGTTGGTTCTCTAATTCTTGTTTGAATTTTGCAAATATATTGTTAAGTTACCCTCTTTCTATCTGGCATCATTTTTAAAGTTTGTATCATATGTCACCATCCAATTCTCATAATTCCAGAAGAAAGGAGTCCTTTTTTTTTTTTTTTTTTTTTTTTTTTTTTTGAGACAGAGTCTCACTCTGTTGCCCAGGCTGGAGTGCAGTGGCATGATCTCAGCTCACTGCAACCTCTGCCTCCCAGGTTCAAGCCATTCTCCTGCCTCAGCCTCCCGAGTGGCTGGGACTATGGCGTATGAGACCATGCCTGGCTAATTTTTTGTACTTTTAGTAGAGATGGGGTTTCACCATGTTAGCCAGGATGGTCTCGATCTCCTGACCTCATGATCCACCCACCTTGGCCTCCCAAAGTGCTGGGATTACAGGCGTGAGCCACTGCGCCCGGCCAGGAGTCAATTTTTAAAATGTATCTTACTGCCTCAATTACTCTGTTGTTGCTTTTCAGATTAAGGAATTGCCCACAAGACCCTATTCCATCACAGTTTTTTGCTTTGAAAGGCTTTGAAATTGATGCCAAAAGATAAAACAATAATGTCTGTGTGTGGCATGGCTGAAAATACAAGTTATATTGGTTGTGCTCCTTGTGGCTTCGTGGAGTGTGGTGCAAAGAATAGACTCAGAAGGATTGGAACTTTCCTTGGCTCCCCCACTGAGTGGCCTTAAGATAGATTTTTGTTTTTGTTTTTTTTTAAAAACAAACAAACCACAAAATGAATGTTTACTCACCACTTGCTATGCATAAAGCATTACCTAAGCCCTCTAGGTCTCAGTTTTCGCATCTAGAAAATGAGAAAGGTGAATTGGCTGCTTTCTAAGGTCCCTTCTAGCTCTTACCCTGTGCTTAAAGCAGTAACAGCTTTCTGTTGGCGTTTTCAGCTGCTTCTTTCAGTTGGTATTTTACCTGCCATCTGAGTGAGGATCCTCAGGGAGTTGTTGCTAGTGACTCAGGAATAATGCTTCTGGATTGTATATGACATATCTGAATCCATGTCTCGTAAGGATAACTTGAATGCATTTTCTTATTACACTCCGCTTGCCATATGAAAGCACAGTTCCTATTGTCTGCCTGCTCCTATGAACGATGACTTCTCAAAACTCCAAGGTTGGCTGTTGAGTCCCCTCTCTGCTGTCATTTGCTGAAAGTCTATCCTTTGTGGAATAATAAGTCCTGTGAAGCCATACTGGTAACCCTAAATGGCTTCTGCTTACCCATACTGCTGGTTGTCTGCCTTTTAGTTGCGTCTCCTATCATTCCTTTATGCAGCCAGGTAGCTGCCACCCAGCAGACATTTAAGAGCCTACTAAGTGTCCTGCCCCTTTGAAATGTGCTTTTGTCAGCCGGGCGTGGTGACTCACGCCTGTAATCCCAGCACTTTGGGAGGCTGAGGCGGGTGGATCACGAGGTCAGGAGATCGAGACCATCCTGGCTAACACGGTGAAACCCCGTCTCTACTAAAAATACAAAAAATTAGCCGGGCGTGGTGGCGGGCGCCTGTAGTCCCAGCTACTCGGGAGGCTGACGCAGGAGAATGGCGTGAACCCGGGAGGCGGAGCTTGCAGTGAGCTGAGATCGCCTCACTGCACTCCAGCCTGGGCAAGAGCGAGACTCCATCTCAAAAAAAAAAAAAAAAAAAAAAAAAAAAAATGTGCTTTTGTCAAAGGCCTTTGGAAAGTTATGTTCACAGATTCTCCGTGGTTTACATCCTGAATTATTTCTAGTGGACTTGGGTGAATAATTCTTTTTTTTTTTTTTTTTTGAGACAGAGTCTTGCTCTGTTGCCCAGGCTGGCCAGGCTGGAGTGCAGTGGTGTATCTCGGCTCACTGCAACCTCTGCCTCCCGGGTTCAAGCAATTCTCCTGCCTCAGCCTCCTGAGTAGCTGGGATTATAGGCACCTGCCACCATGCCCAGCTAATTTTTGTATTTTTAGTAGAGACGGAGTTTCACCACATTGGCCAGTCTGGTCAGGAACTCCTTCCTGACCTCAAGTGTTCTGCCCACCTCATCCTCCCAAAGTGCAGGGATTATAGGCGTGAGCCACTGTGCCCGGCTGGGTGAATAATTTTTACCTAAAGAAATCATGCTGCCCTTCAGCTAAGAGGTTGTGCTTGTTCATTTGTTAAACTTATGATGGTCAGAGCTGGAAGGAATCTTGGTGATTATCCCAGGTGCCACCAAATTGTATTAATTACTTATGCATCATCCTAATACAAATGAGGAAATTGAAACCCTGAGGAGTTAAGTGATGTGACCAAGATGATGCAGAGTAGGCGACTAGCAGAGGGAGACTGGGGTTAGGTCTCCTGACCCTCTTTCTAACTTTTTCTTTTTAAATGCTGCTGCTCTTTCAGTGATCCTACACTTTATTGCCTTTCTTTGTTTGTTTTTTGTTTTTTGTTTGTTTGTTTGTTTGAGACAGAGTCTCGCTCTGTTGCCCAGGCTGGAGTGCAGTGGTGCAATCTTGGCTCACTGCAACCTCCGCCTCCCAGGTTCAAGTGATTCTCCTGCCTCAGCCTCCCAAGTAGCTGAGATTACAGGCACCTGCCACCATGCCTGGCTAATTTTTGTATTTTTAGTAGTGACAGGGTTTCACGATACTGGCCAGGCTGGTCTCGAATGCCTGACCTCAAGTGATCTGCCTGCCTCAGCCTCCCAAAGTGCTGGGATTACAGGCATGAGCCACCACGCCCAGTCCCCCTACACTTTACTATGAAGTATCCCACTCCAGTGAATGCTTTTGTACAACGTTCCTAAATTTTGGTCTGGAGCTGCTTTTGGTTTGGGGGATGTGTTTAGCCACCAGTTTCTGAACATGGTGACTGCTGGTAATAGTTTAGACATTTTGGCCAACAGTCTGACATTTTACCTTGAGTTATTGCTAAACTTTTAGGTCAATACAAAAATACCTTGGACACTTAATTACTCCCTGGGAATACAAAGTGGTCAGAAGTATATGATTGTAGAATGTCCTGGGCAGAGGAGTAATTTGAAATAGGCTTCAGTTTCTTTTTGAGGTAATGAAAATATTCTGGAATTAGATAGTGGTGATGGTTGCACAACTCTATGAATATACTAAAAACCACTGAAGTGTACACTTTAAAAGGGTGAATTTTATAGTATGCAAATTATATCTCAATAAGAAAATGTATTGGGGGAATAAAAGGACATCTTTCTCATTTGAAAACCTGTTTGGAGCTTAATTATGCCGGAAGGGATACTTGCATGGATTAATTTTCCTTCAAGTTATATTTTCATAATTTTTGAAAAAGAGTGGACACAAATGTTCACCTTCCCTTCCGTCTCCTGCAGGATGGGGGATGGGTCTGCAGTGGGCAACCCAGGGCATTGTGGAGCCTGTTGGATTCATCAGAGAGAGTCCTGGGACACTGCTCTTGAAGGACTCTTCTCTGCAACTTCGATTTGTTGAAGTTTCCTGCTAGCTGAGGTGGGGTCATTGCAGAGGCCAGGTACAGAAAGTCGGGCTTATAAGAAGGGTTTTGCTGGGCCGTGGCACTGCTGAAGTGGCTGTGGGCTCCCTTGCTGTAAGGGAGCAGGACTACTCTTACAGGGTGGCTCCAATTCCTGCCGATTCATTCATTAGCTTTCTGATTGGACCAAGTCTAGCCCACTTCAAGGTAGAACAGAACTTTATTCTTTTTCACTTGCTTATTACACTTGCTATCTAGAACGTCTGCAGTGGGGCCTGAGTGTGTGTTGGATGAGCTGTCTTCCTGGTTCCCTGCTGCTCCAGTTAAGACACAGTCACAGTCAGTCTCCATAGGGATAGTCTTGGAAGAATCTGTTCATACTTTCTGACATTTTACAGCAGGGCTCAATTCTTTTTGGTTTCTTCTTACCCCTTCTTTTTTTCTATTTTTCTTTTTCTTTTTTTTTTTTTTTTTTTTTTGAGACAAAGTCTCGAACTCTCTTGCCCAGGCTGTAGTACAGTGGCACAATCTCTGCTCACTGCAACCTCTGCCTCCTGGGTTCAAGTGATTCTCCTGTGTCAGCCTCCCAAGTAGCTAGGATTACAAGTGCCCGCCACCACGCCCAGCTAATTTTTGTATTTTTAGTAGAGACGGGGTTCCACCATGTTGGTCAGGCTGGTCTTGAACTCTTGACCTCAAGTGATCCACCCGCCTTGGCCTCCCAAAGTGCTAGGATTACAGGCGTGAGCTGCTGCACCCAGCCCCTTCTTTTATTACCTGTATCTTAGTTATTTGGTAGTACTTTAAAAACATTTTTAAATTGATATGTAATTTACATATATGAAATATACATGTTAAATGTATAGCTCGATCAATTTTGGCAAATCTACACACCTGCGTAACTTATACCCCATCAAGATATAAAACATTTCTGTCACTGCAGAAAGCTTCCTAGTCACTCCCTCTCCACACCATGAGACCTCTATGGATCTGATATCTGTTACCATAGATAAGTTCTGTCTATTCTCAAGCTGTTATAAATGGAATCATCAGTACTTTTTGTGTCTGGCTCATGAAGCACAATGTTTAGAGATTCATTCATGTTGTTGCGTATATCATGAGTTTGTTCCTTTTTGTTGCTGGTAGGGTTCCATTGTATGCATATACCACGTTTGTTTATCCATTTACCTGTTGATGCTCACCTGGGCTGTTCCCAGCTTGAGGCTGCTCTGAACATTCTCATACCAGCCTTTTTGTGACTTATGTTTTCACGTCTCTTGGATGAACATTTCAGAATAGGATTACTGGGTCTTAGAGTAGATGTATGTTTCACTTTCTAAGAAAGGATGTTTTCCAAAGTGTTTGTACCATTTTCCACTCCCACCCAGCAGTATGTGAGAGTTCCAGTTGCTCCACATCCTTACCAGCATTTAACATTGTCAGTCCTATTTTAACTCTTCTAGAGGGTGTGTGAGGGCTTCTGGATAGTGCTTTTGACTGAGCTTCCCTCCTCACTCACTCCTGAGTGATTGGAAGGAGGAGCTCTCTTGCAGGTGCACCTTTGGAGTGCGCTGGCAGCGGTGGTGGGACTCAGGCAGACAGTTCTTCATGCCCTCAGCATGGGCCCCACCACAGAGTTTGCTCCGAGAATCTCAGAACCTTCCTTGAGAAGAGGATCACCTTTCCCCCTTGCACTCTTTTAAGTATAGTAGAGGAAATTTCCCCTGTTAAAGAGTTTATACTTCCTATTTGTATGGGGCCCCTTAGCTGTGGTGTTCAAGAGAGCTCTAGAGAATTTCACGGAACAAGAGGAGCAGGGAGACTCAGGAATCTGACCCAGAAACAACCTTGTTACCTGGTGTGTCTGTGGCTCATGTGTGAGACAGAGCAAGCAGCACTAATTACTGCTTGGAACCGACCTCCTGTTTTCCTGCCAGTTTTGAGGGCGAGAACATGAGAGGAAATTTTCTTCACGTTCAAATATCAGTTAGTCTCGAATGTGGTAATATTGTGTCACACTTTTCACCATGGCAATTTCATGCTTTGTAATCTTTAGAAAGATGGGATTCACTCGCTCACTCAGAGTCAGCAGAATTGTAACTGCAGAACACAACAGTGAGGGCCTAACTCGGACTCCATTGCATAAGCCGCGTGTTGCTGTAGCAAAACATGTTTACAACTCTTTTTTTTTTTTTTTTTGAGATGGAGTCTCACTCTGTCGCCCAGGCTGGAGTGCAGTGGGACAATCTCGGCTTACTGCAACCTCTGCCTCCCAGATTCAAGCAATTCTCTGCCTCAGCCTCCTGAGTAGCTGGGATTACAGGCACCCGCCACCACGCCCAGCTAATTTTTGTATTTTTAGTAGAGATGGGGTTTCACCATCTTAGCCAGGCTGGTCTTGAACTCCTGACCTCGTGATTCACCCACCTCAGCCTCCCAAAGTGCTGGGATTACAGGCGTCAGCCACCGCGCCCAGCCTTGTTTACAAACTCTTTAGCCACTTGATTTGTGCTTAAGCCGTGTAGTTCAGCACTAGATGGTGCAGGAGTGTTGTTTTGCAGCAGACTCCTGGATCGAGTTTGCATGTGGCTGGGGCCAGCCAGCCACACGCTGCAACCTCTTCCGGGGGTATTTATAGCACAGTCACTAACATTTGCTGTTCCTGGGTTGCCGTGCACCCTCTCTGCTTAGGAGTACTACTTTAGCAAAAGAGAAGCCAGGTGGAAGGCATCGAAGGGGAATATTTGAGGTCAGCTTGAAATTGAGGACCACAGAGCCAGCTGGAAACTAGAACATTAGCTCTAGGGAAGGCAAGAGATGATCAGGTCTTTCCAATACTCTTGGTTTGGTAGTGCTTGCTGTGTGCTGGGTATATTGGTTATGGTGCTGACACACAGTGGGTGCAGGGGTGAGGAAAATAGCATCCCCACTCTCAAGGACTCGCTAATTCTAGGAGGAGGAGGGACAGGTGTGAAGTCAGCTAAGTGGTGTGTGAGAAACCAATGTGTGATGGTTTTAGAAATGGCTCAAAGGTAAGGGCTAGCTATTCTTATTTTCTCTCTCTCATTATGGGGTCAGTTTTCAGGATTTGGGTGGGGGTTATGATTTCCCGAGGACTGTGTTTTTTTTTCTTTCTTTCTTTTCCTCCCTCCTAGTCTTCCTCTGACCACACTTCTGCTCTTTAGACCCCCTCCAAAGCCTGGGCTGGGCTGTAAAAGCTGCCACGCGCCATGAGTCCCGTTCACCCTGCTGGAGCATTTCTGATGAAAGACTGGGTGCTGAGAGGGGTGAAGCCTGAGAGGACTCAAGGTCCTAAGTTTCATTCGTCTCCCTCTCCGCCGTTCCTCATTATCACATTGGCTGCGCTGCAGTTCCTCTCACACTGAGAAGGAAACTGGGAAAGGGCCAAGAGCACACAGCTGCCAAAGAGACGGAACGAATTCTCCATGGACGTGGACAGACTCTCCCTCCACTTTGCCTGAATGGAGGGCTCTGGCCACTCTCTAGGTCTGGGGTCCCCAGGGCACCCTTGCCTATCACTTCTATGGGGAAAGGGACTTCAGAATATATCCACGCTCTTCGCACACTAAATGACAACTGATGTTGTCATTTACAAATTCCCTCTACCAACACGGTTTGACAGTAGAGCTATTCAGAGGAATCGTGGCTGAAAGAGAACAAGAAATCTTGTTGGGCTTCATGAAAACCAGATCCCAAGAAATCCCTTCCTTGTAGTTAAACACACACTCACTCGCAGAAACAACACAAAGAAAATAACAGTCATAATTTTAAAAAGCCCTCCAAAGAAATTGAACTCAGAACTTTCCTTACCAATAGATAGTTGAATCATTTGAGATCGTTTGGGTCTCCAAGAAAGCATAGGAGCCCATCATGTCTTTTGATCTGAAACCCTTGATTAATAGCGTAGTGGTGAAGGAAATGCTGCCTGTGTGTTCCACTGTACACTTAATATACTAGCAATACTTAGGAAAATCAGCCCTCTCCCCCAGGCCCCCAGAACTGAGAGACAGGCCAAGGCCCAGGGGTCTGGAAGACCAGGCTCTCCAAGGGGTTCAGAAATTCCAGATTTGGAAGACAAGCTATCTGCTGTGGAAATGCTTAATTCCTTTTCTCCGGACATTTTTGGAAGGCTTTCTGCTTTTTTAATCTCCTGACTTCTTGTTTGTGACCAAGTTCAAATTCCAGAGAGGGAAGCAGCCAATATGTGTGATTATTTCCTCTTGCACCAAGTGGAACTAAAAGAATGAACTTACTTCACAAGAAACAAATGTACCCTTTGGACCTCAAACTAAAATGAATTTGCACAGTTGGTCTGGCCCCCGTGCTGTTCTTGCAGTCATTAAACATAAAAATGAAAAAAAAAATGTCAGGGCAGTACATTCATGACCTTTTTTTAGATATAAGGCAGAAAAGAAGAAAAGAGTCTTGAAAAAGATTCTTTTATCCTGCATGCTCCCTTGTGCAGGGTTGGCTGCCTGGTAGAGAGGAGACAGCCTAAGGTTTGGATTGACTGGAGTTAACATTCTGGCTCCATTGTTTAAGAGTTGTGCAATCTTAGCCATGTTTCTTAACTTCTCTGAGCCTTAGTTTAAATGGGCACAATAGAACCTCACAGAGTTGTTACTAAGATTGAAAGAGATAAATACATAAAGATTTTAGTATTGGGCCCTGCACAAGGCATGCTCTCACTAAATGGGCATTATTATTATCATACTGTTATTACCATGATAAGACAATGTCAGTAACAGAATCCCTGGGAATGCTGGAGTGAATTCAATGCCAGGGGACTGAAAGCACAGGACTGCTAAAGACGCCTTCCTTGCATTTCCTGGGGCAATGGGGCAGAGGGTCATGTGAGGCCTCATGGGTCACTGTTTCACCATTGCTGTTCCCCTCAGGTGATCTCTTCAGCGTCCTGGACTTCCCATTCCTGTACTTCTACAGATTCCATGGTAGCTGCTGTGCCAGGTAATCGTAAGCTCACTCATTTGTATGCTTTCTGTGCTGTCCGCTGTGTCTTCCTCTCTGTGAAGTTCAGGGTCACTGCTAGTGACCTGAGTGAGTGGCAGGAGAGAGTGGTGGTGGATGCAGGCAAGGAAGCAGTCATTATGTCACCAGCAGGCTGTCACTTAGCACCCTTAGATGCTCAGGGCCAGCTTGGGCCCTGCCAGGACCCCTGGCCCATGGAAGTCCCTCCGCCAAGACAGTGATTTTCGCGCTTGCTCTAGAGCTAGGATTCTCCCACTTTTTTCCTCCTCCACAAGCAAATCTCACATAGAACTCCAATATATAAAACTGATGAAATGGATCCAGTTCAAGGGAAGATTTGGGTTCAGAATCCCACCCGCTCAGCTTTCCCCTTGGCCTCCTTCTTGCTCCTTAAGGCAACCTCCAAAATAACCTCCACCAAACCTGAGGACTCTGGGAAATAGATTTTGGAAACTGATGGCTAGGAGATGTCTAGACAACCAGGTGATCATTAGTGCTTGGTCTTGGGAAGGACTCAGGGATATAGGCCAGTTGGAGGGCTACATCTGAACACACAGAAGTGTATCCTCACCCTCTCCCCATGTCCTGCCACGATCACCACTCTGCTTGACCTCATCATGCCAAGAAGTGGAAAGACTTATGTAGATAGGTCCAAAGCATGTGTGGTATCCCGATATGATAGAAAGACTGACCCAGGTTGAACCCCAGAATTGCTGTTGCTAATTGTATGATCTTTGGGTCTTAAGCTTTGTGCCTGGCCCAATAAATGGTGGTCATTATGATGATCTACTCAGGTTGACTATAAATACAATGTCAATAGATCGTGAAGAATTGCTATGTAAAAATCAGGCCACCTGTTCTCACAGATATCAAACAGTGCCTTGTGAAGCAGTGATTCTTTACAATGTTAAAAAGCTGCTATGTGGCTAGTGGGTATGTCCTGCTCCTCTGGTGTGTTTGGGCCAAAAAAAAAAAAAAAAGAATTACAGAGTTTGTTTCTGCATTTGAGCCTTGGAATGATTTATTTCTCACCCTCAGAAAAGTTTCAGGAAAACACTGACACAATTCACTTTCGTAGTTCCTGTCAATTGGTTAGGCCTTGCCCGTTAGCTGGGATCACATGGCATGAGTCTTCGTGCTGGGCGGGCGGCTGCGGACTTGTTTCCCTTTGAGTCTGGTTATTTGGCAGCATGGGCAAGCAGGGTGTAGAGGGGAGGTCAACCATTGTTTGGTTATTTGGAACAGAGCAGCACAGTTCACAGCCCATTGATGTTGGCTTTGTGGGGTGACAATTGGGCTCTATTTTTGCCCCTTTTAATCTGCAACTTTCTCATAATGCAACATGATAAATCAGGGTTTTGTTTTATTCTAAAGATCTGGAAATCTCTGTTTGAATTGATGTGACTCTGTTACATTTTACCCATGCTTCTGTACAGAGCTCAGCCTCTTTGAGGAATGCATTGGTTTTCCCTGTTTCATTTCAGAGGCTCCACCATATCTCAGACTGAGCATTGTCACCTTCAGGAGGTTCTGGGGGGGCTCAGGAGGGGCACGGTAGCCATAGCCCAAAGACCCCATTAACAGGGAGTCTCCTATTCCCAGATTCCTTTATTTCTGGGAGCCTCCCTCTGCTTTTCAGATCTGCCTCCCTAGCAAGGGGTAGATGGGCTGAAAGTGCAAGGAGAAAGATAAGAGATCCATGAGTAATGTAAAAATGAGTCACAGACATAGAAGTTAAGCGATGCAAAAGGGCCCCAGATGCTTCCAGAAGCCTGTCAGTCACAAACCTGCACGAGCTTATCCTGGCCCAGAGTCTGCACTGAGAGGACAGGTCAACATGGAATCATGCCACCCCTGTGGCTAGAGGCATAGAGGAGAGGGAAAGACTCGAGGGAAAGGAAGTCTGGGAGGTTGGGCAGGCACCTGTGAAGTTGTTACTTCCTTGGGTGCAGAGGTGGGAGCCACCAAGAGGAGCCTGGAGCACTGCTGCCTCCCTTTTCAGCCCCACCCTCATGACCACCAGTGCCTGGCACATCTTTTTTTTTTTTTTTTTGAGACGGAATCTCGCTCTGTCGCCCAGGTTAGAGTGCAGTGGTGCGATCTCGGCTCACTGCAAGCTCTGCCTGCCGGGTTCACCCATTCTCCTGCCTCAGCCTCCCGAGTAGCTGGGACTACAGGTGCCCGCCACCACATCAGGCTAATTTTCTTTTTTTTTTTTTTTTTTTTTGTATTTTTAGTAGAGACGGGGTTTCACCGTGTTAGCCAGGATGGTCTTGATCTCCTGACCTCGTGATCCGCCCGCCTCGGCCTCCCAAAATGCTGAGATTACAGGCTTGAGCCACCGCACCTGGCCATATCTCACTCTTTGTCTAGCTGGTCAAGAACACATTTCCATGAAGCTTCACGTCTTCCTCAGTTGTCCTGCCTCCAAATGCCAGGAAGAGTTTGGAGCTCCCTTTGCTATGGCTCTGGCCACACAGTGGCACTTTTGAAAATAGTTCCAGCGCAGGCAACTACATCTGTCCACTGCTGTGCCAGCGCCCTTGCTGGTCCAGAGATCTGAAGAGCCATGGAGACCTGGATTCTAATTGTACCTGTGCCCCAGTTTCATTGTTAATAAAGTGAGACTTTGGGGATAGGTAATCTTACTGTTCTAAAAGCCTCTGGTTTCCATTAAGATAGGATGAGGACTGCTATGATTATTTCTACTTTAAGGCAACTGAACCTGAGACAAAAAGGTGGGAAGGGGGATTTGGTTAAGGTTACGAGGGTCAGTAAGCACAGTGAGGAATAGAAATCCAGGCGCTGGGTGTGATTGGGTAGGCCTGCTGCTTACCCACGGGCCCTCTTTGCCTTTTGGGTGTGAGTAACTTGACATCTTAATCCATAGCTGTTCAGCCTCCCATGACTGCTGATGCAAATTGGAACAAACTTTGCAGGTCATTAGGGCCAAACAGGCTGAAATACACATGGGGAAACCTAATGCCTGTCTTTAGTCCTGCCCCAAGAATGTGGCTGTGAACTAGTCTAATCTAATGAAGTGAAGGTACACATTTCTGTGACATTTGGCCTTAGGTGTGTTCAATTAATTCAGTCTGCTTCCAATTCAACCTGACAAGCATTTAGTTAATGTGTACCGTAACTGAGGCACCATATTAGGCTCCGTTGAAAATACGAAGAGCAGCCCAAGATTGGGCTTTTCCTGCTCAGAGTTTATGATCAGTATTGGAGCTGCGCACCAGTGCCTGTATAAGGTCAGATGGAAGTGTGGCAGTCAAGGGTCTGGAGATGCAAATGAAGTACAACTCACAGGGCTTGCCTCTCTAGCTTGGAGTTACAACTGCAGTCATATCTCTTACTTTGCAATTTTCAAGTTCAAATAACAGTCACACTCAAACCACCACTTGCACATATTTGCATGAAGTCAGCCTTTCTCTCTCTCTCTCACATACACACACACACACACACACACACACACACACACACACACACACACTGTCTGTCTCACCTCTTCCCCAGTTGTCCTGCCTTCAAATGTCAGGAAGCATTTGGAGCTCCCTTTGCTTTGGCCTTGGCCACACAGGGCACTTTTGGAAATAGTTGCAGCACAGGCAACTACATCTCCATCCACTGCTGTGCCCTCGCCCTTGTTGGTCCACACTCCTGAATAGCCCCAAGATGCTGCCCCTTCCTCAGGTTCTCGAGTGGGGATCTTTCCATTCACACACATGTGTAGGCACCATTTCCAAAGCATACCTCCTATGGCAGGACAGCCTGGTTTGGGGGACTTCTGGCCTCAGCCATATGTGTCACTGAAGCCAGCCTTCCCCTTCAGATTCTTTTGAGCCTGGAGGCCAGTCCAGACTCTCTCTTCTCACATGGTGAGTTTCCCTTTGGAAGTCTTTTCCTGCCAGTTTATCTTGCTTGAAAAAAATTTAAGCTCTGCCTTGCCAAGCACCAAAACTCCAGAAGTTCTATGGGAAGGAACAAGAGGTGTTGTCCTCCACCTTTTTTTTCTTTCATGATTTAGCCAGAGGCCTCTGAAATTTCTTTGCACCATTCCTCTAATCAAAATTCTCCCACCATAGCTCCTTAGAAAAGCAGAGCTTAATGACTTTAAAATTTTTTTTATTTTCATCCAGAGATCACAGATCTAGAAAACACAGATGAGGTAGAGGTTGCATAATAATTTGAAATTGATTGGTAAAATGTAGCAGACACTAGTCAGCCATTGGCTAAGGGAAGACAAGCCTCACTAACAAGAGAATCTTTTCTCCTTCCAGTGGATTTTTGGGATTCTTTCTCATGTTCAGTACAGTGAAGCTAAAAAACCTTCTGGCCCCAGGGCAGTGTGCAGCCTGGATTTTCTTTGCTAAGGTAAGAGACAAGAGGGGTGGGAAATTCTCTCTCAAGAGCCTGTGTATCCAAAGATCTCAGAACCTGGGTAATGTGAAGTTGTTTGAGCTTCATGAGACCACTTCTAGGCGCTGTCCCTGAGCCTGATCCTTCCTTCATTCAGGTAACGATTTCTGAGGCCTGCTCATTTTATCAACATGGCATATTTCATCTTTCTTACAGTCCTGGAAGACAATCATGGATAGGCTCCTTATTTCCTTCCTGGAGGCTGTGCAGGTGTCCAGAGCTCAAGTGACTTACACAAGGGGACTCAGTCGATCCAAGGTGATAGAGAAAGGAAGATAGACAAATGGCCAGGTTGGGGCATTTCTATGAAACCTTAGAAAAGGGATTATTCTAAGAACAACCTCTGTGTATCCGAATGACTATGGGGGAAGCATAAGATAAAGTGGTGGGGGAACCACAAAGAAACAGAAGGAGCGGGGAAGTGGCTGTGGGATGGCCAATCTTAACTGAAACATGGTGGGGCCAACTTCTGTTGGCACGTTTCATTTCCTTAGTGCCTGTGAGGGAGGCAAGTTGTAGAGCTCTAGATGCTGCTTTCAAGGAGTAAGCCTCCTTAATTAATTAAATTTAATTTAATGAAATCATTATTTAACTTGGGCTTTTAGTCATCTTTGTGTTTTATGGGTTGAAGTTTCTCCAGAAAAAAAACCTCAAACATTTTGCTTTGAAAATAAGATTTTTAATGATATTTTCACCCCCATGCATTTTTTTGTTTTTGTTTTTGTTTTTGTTTTGTTTTGTTTTGAGACAGGGTCTTACTCTGTTGCCCAGACTGGAGTGCAGTGGCATGATCTCAACTCATTGCAACCTCTGCCTCCCAGGCTCAAGCGACCCTCCTGACTCAGCCTCCCAAGTAGCTGGGATTACAGGTGTGCGCCACCACACCCAGCTAATTTTTGTATTTTTAGTAAAGATGGAGTTTGACCATGTTGGCCAGGCTGTTCTCAAACTCCTGACCTCAAATGATCCACCCACCTCAGCCTCCCAAAGTGCTAGGATTACAGGTGTGAGCCACTGTGCTCGGTCCACATGGCCTATTTTTTAATAGCATTAATAATTCCAATTCTAGCAGAATGTAAAAAGTAGCTGAGATATTGATTTCTGGCATGACAGAGTGAGGAGGTTGATGAAACCTCTTCCCAAAAAACAGCTAGAAAGCTGGAAGAAAACTGTCAAAAACATCCATTTCAGCTCCCTAAAAATTGACCAAATATATGCAATAAATTGAGACGCATTTGTTCATGAAAACTATTAACCTTTGGGTAGGAACAGAACGAATCTGTGGTGTTCTTGCCTATCATCACTCCCATTCCCTCCTCCCCAGTGTGATAGTTCAACCAGAGCAGGCGAGGCTGTGAAAACCAGCAGGCTTACCACCACTTCCAAGAGGGGTTCACTCTGTTTGGAGGATTGTCTGTTAAATAGGCCAACTCGGTGGTGCATGAACACGAAAGGCCAGTAGCTTTACTAGCTTGAGTTGATAGTCCTCTTTGGAACAAGCAGTGGACCAGTGGTCTAGTGGGGGACTTAATAGGTAGTTCTGAGAGATGAGACAGCAATCAGGGGCTTGATTTTTTTTAATATGTCCCAGATTGAACTTAGTCTGTGTATATGAGCAGTAGTGATGGAACAGGCTCACGTATTCCTGGCCAGCAGAGCCTGCATACACACACAGAGGAGCTGTGAAAGAGCTAGCAGAAAGTAAAAGCCAGGGCAGATGTGAAAACAGCCTGGGGTTTGAATGTGCTCTCCCAGCCCGCACACAGAGTCAGGAGCAGGGAGAAGCCTTTCTGGCCCAAGGTGTTGGAGCAAAATTTCTGACTAGTCTTTGCCAGAACACTAAGCTATGCAGACATGAGGATGACCCTTAGACACCAGATTTAAAAATAAAAACAAGAAAAAAATTTGAGTAAAGACATCAGCAGCTGTAGCTTATATGGGAGACAGATTTCACATTCACAATTTAGTTCAGGAAAATCACTAAATAAGCAAAACAACAATAACAACAAATCTTGTGGGGAAAGTCAGATTTCAGAGTTGCTACCGTATGTTATGTAAAAGGTTCAGTATTCAACAAAAACATGAGAGACATTCAGAGAAGCAAAATGTGATCTGTGTGTAGTAAAAAAGTGGTCAGTAGGAACTATCTCTGGGTGTCTGTCCTCAGAAGTAGGATTTAGCCTAAAGAGTCTACAGAGCAGCTATTTAAATTTATTCAGAAATCAAAAGGAAACCATGTTTAAAGAATTGAAGCAAAGACTCGGTGAATACAGAATCTCAGTAAAGAGATATAAATTATTTACAGAAAGGAAAAGAAAGAACCAAATGGAAATTCTAGAGGTAAAAAGTACAATAACTGAACTGAAAGTGCTCTAGAGGGACTCAACAGATTTGACGTGGCAGAAGAAAGAATAAGTGAACTTATAAGTTCTTTTATAAGTACCACTTATAAGAAGGTAAAGCAAATGAAATAATTCAATCTAAAAAAATAGGCTTTTGTTTTGTTTTGTTTTGTTTTTTGAGACGTAGTCTCGCTCTGTCGCCCAGGCTGGAGTGCAGTGGTGTCATCTCAGCTCATTGCAACCTCCACTGCCTGGGTTCAAGTGATTCTCCTGCCTTAGCCTCCCGAGTAGCTGGGACTACAGGTGCGTGCCACCACGCCTGGCTGATATTTTGTATTTTTAGCAGAGACGGGGTTTCACCATGTTAGCCAGGATGTTCTCGATATCTGACCTCGTGATCCACCTGCCTTGGCCTCCCAAAGTGCTGGGGTTACAGGCGTGAGCCCCCGTGCCTGGCCAAAAAACAGGTTTTTTTTAAATTGAAGAAATGTGAACAGAGCCTCAGAGACCTGTGAGACATCAAATATAGCAACAAACATATGTGTAATAAGAATCCCAGAAGAGAAGAGAGGGTTAGAACAATATTTGAAGAAATCAATTTGTTGAAAAATATTAATTTACAGATTCAGTAAGTTCAGTGAGTCCCAAGTAAGATAAACAAAAAGAGATCTAGACACATTATAATCAAACTGTTGAAAGACAAGGAGAAAATCTTAAAAGTGGCAAGAGGGAAATTATTCAACATATATGGGGGAACAACAGTGCAATTAGTGGCTAACTTCTCATCACAAACAGTGGAGGCCAGAAGGCAAGTGGGGTGACACATTCAACATGCTGAAAGAAAAACCTGTCAACCAAGGATTTGATATATGCAAAACTATTCTTCAAATATGAAAGAGAAATAAAAACATTCCTAGATGAATAAAAACTAAGAGATTTGTTGCTAGCAGCCATATCCGTAATTACATTAAATATGAATAGACTAAATACCTGACAAAAAATAGAGACTGTCATATTGGATTTTTTAAAAACAAAACCCAGCTATATGAGCTATATGCTGTCTATAACAGTTATACCTTAAAGTAAAAGACACAAGTAGGCTGGAAGTAAAAGGATGGAAGAACCACACAGACAGTTACCATAAGAAAGCTGGGTATAGTGGCTATATTAAAATCAGACAAAATAGACTTTATAACAGGAAATATTACTAGAGAAAAAATAGGGACATTTAATAATGATAAAAGTGTTAATGCATTAGGAAGATATAACAGTTCTAAATATATATACACCTAAAACAGCACCCAAGGTATGTGAAACAACAAGTAATAGAAAAGATAAATAGATTATTTAACAATACTAATTGGAGATTTCAATACTGCACTCTCAGCAGTTGACAGAACAACTCAGTAGAAAAGCGTGAATATAGAAGTACATAGAAGACTTGAACAACACTATCAACCAATTGACATAACTGACATTTATGTGACACCCCACCAATTGATTTCAGAATACACATTCTTCTCAAGCGCACATGGAATATTCTCCACAATACATAGTATGCTGGTTGACAAAACAACTCCCAAGTTTTAAAAGACTGAAATCATATGAAGTATGTTCTCTGACCATAGCAGAATTAAATTTGAAATTCACAATAGAAAAAAATCTAGAAAAACCCCATTTAGTTGGAAATTAAATATACTTCTAAATAGTTTGTAGGTCAAGGAAGAAATTACAATGGATATTAAAATTTTTCAATCAAATGAAAACAGAAATACAACATATCAAAATTTATAGATGCAGCTAAAGTAGTGCTTGAAGGGAAATTTATATCTGTAAACACCCATATCAGAAATGAATGAAGGTCTCAAATCAATAACTTATGCTTCCATCTTAAGAAACTAGAAAAGAAGAAAGGGCAAACTAAATTCAGAGTAAGCAGAAGGAAGGATATAATAAAGTTTAATGTGGAAATTAATGAAATAGGAAACAGAAAAATAATGTAGAATATTAATGTTGATTCTTTGAAAACATCAGCAACATTGACAAACCTCTGGCTAGACTGACCAAGAAAATAAGAGAAAAGAGGCCAGGCATGGTGGCTCATGCCTATAATCCAAGCACTTTGGGAGGCCAAGGCAGGAAGATCACTTCAGCCCAAGAATTCAGGACCAGCCTGGGTAACGTAGTGATACACCATCTCTACAAGAAAAAAATTTTAAATGATTAGCTGAACATGGTGTCACATACCTGTAATCCTAGCTACTTGGGAAGCTGAAATGGGAGGATCACTTGGGAGGTCAAGGATGCAGTGAGCCGTGATCACGCCACTGCACTCCAGCCTGGGTGACAGAGTGAGACCCTGTCTCAGAGAGAGAGAGAGATAGGAGAGAAGAGAGAGAGAGAGAGAGATGCAAATTATCAAATTTGGAAATGAAAAAGATGTTACTACTGATCCTATAGAAGCTAAAAGGATTGTATATTGTAGATAACTTCAGATTTTGAATAACTTTATGACAGAAAATTAGTCAATTTGGATGAAATGGGCAAATTCCCAGAAAGGAACAAATAAGGAAAACTGACTCAAGAAGAAATGAAAAATCTGAATACATCCATAACAAGTAAATAAAAATAAGTAATTTAAAATCTTTCTTAGGTTTTTAGGAAAAGAAAAGCTCAGCCCCAGTTGGCTTTATTGATGAATTCTATCAAATATTTAAAGAAGAAGTGTTTTAAAACAAATTCTTTTAGAAACTAAAGGAAGAGGGAATAACTCCCAAGTTATTCTATGAGGTGGGTTACCCAGCTGTAAAGCCAGATAAAACAAATAATAAGAAAATTACCAATATTCCTCATGAACACAGGGACAAATATATTAGCAAAATCTTAGCAAACCAAATTTGGCAACATATAAAAAGAATTATACACCATAATCAAGTGAGATTTATCTCAGGAATGCATAGTTGGTTTAACATACAAAAATTAACTAATGTAATACCTTGTTTTCACAGACTAAAGAACAAAAATACATGATCATTTCAATAGGTTCAGAAAAATCATGACAAAATCTAGCATCTATTCATTATAAAAACTCTCAAAAAACTAGTAATATAAGAGAACCTGATAAAATCTGTGAAAATCCTGTAACTAACATTATCTTTAACAGGGGAAGACTGAATACTTTCCCCCTAAGATCAGGAGCAACATAAGAATGTCCACTTTCACCATTTCTATTGAACATTGGAATGGAGTTTTTAGGAATGCAATAGGCAGTGCAATAGGAAAAAAAAAAAAGCATCCAGATTGGAAAGGAAGAAATAAAATTGTCTTTATTCACAAATGAGACCATCATATATATAGAAAATCCCAAGGAAACTATAAAAATAGTTGAAGGCAGGGTGTGGTGGCTCATGCCTATAATCCTCGCACTTTCGGAGACTGAAGTGGGAAGATCACTTGAGACCAGCCTGGGCAACATAGTGAGATCCTGTCTCTACAAAAAATAAGAAAAGTAGTCTGGCATGGTGGCATGTGCCTATGGTCCCAGCTACTCAAGAGGCTGAGGCAGGAGGATCGCCAGAGCTCAGGAGTTTGAGGATGCAGTGAGCTATTGTCACCACTGCACTCCAGCCTGAGTGACAGAGCAAGACTTTGTCTCTTAAATAAATAAATAAAACTAGTTTTACTTTAAAAATATTTTTTTTTTTGTAGAGATGGGGTCTTATGTTGCCCAAGCTAGTTTCAAACTCCTGGCCTCAAGCAATCCTCCCATCTCAGCCTCCCAAGGTGCTGGGATTATGGGTATGAGCCAGTGCACCCAGCTCAAAGTTTTATATATTAGTAATGAAAAGTCATGTTTATTAAAATAAAATTAAGAAAACAATTCCATTCACAATAGCATCAAAAAGGAAAAAATACTTTGGAACTTAACAAAGAAGTATCACATTTATACATTGAAAACTATAAAACCTTTTTGAGAGGAATTAAATAAAATCTTAAAAAATCAAGAAATACAATATTGTTAAGATGGAAATTTTTGCTAAATTGATTCAATGTAATCCCTGTCAAAATCCCAGCAGGCTTTTTTTTTTGGTAGAAATTCACAAATTTGTCTAAAATTTATTTGGAAATGCAATAGCCAAAACAATGTTGACAAAGATAAAGTTGGGGGACTTAAATTATGTGATTTGAAAATTTAGTACTAAGCTAGAATAATCAAGACATTATGGTATTGGTGTAGGGATAGGCATTTATGGTCAATTAATTTTCAACAGAGGTGCCAATCACAATGAGGAAAGAATTTTTTTTTTTTTTTTTTTTTTTTTTTTTTGAGATGGAGTCTCCCTCTGTCGCCCAGGCTGGAGTACAGTGGTGCGATCTTGGCTCACTGCAACCTCCACCTCCCGAGTTCAAGCCATTCTTCTGCCTCAGCCTCCTGAGCAGCTGGGATTACAGGTGCCCACCACCATGCCCGGCTAATTTTTGTATTTTTAGTAGAGACAGGGTTTAACCATGTTGGTCAGACTGGTCTTGAACTCCTGACCTAGCGATCCGCCCACCTCGGCCTCCCAAAGTGCTGAGATTACAGGCGTGAGCCACTGCGCCTGGCCAGGATTGTTTTTTCAACAAACGGTGTTGGAGCAATCAGATATCCATATACAAACCAACCTACAAATAAACAATCTTAGATCCTTGCTCGCCATCATTAACTCAGAATGGATCACAGACCTGAATGTAATGCTAAAACTGGAAAACTATTAGAAGAAAACATAACAAAAAGCCTTAATGGCCTTGGGTTTGGCAGATTCTTAGATATGACACCAAAAGCATAAGTCATAAAATAATTGATAAAATGTAGTTTACTTAAAACCTTTTACAATTCAAAAAACACCATTAAGAAAATGAAAAGGTAGGCTAGGTGCTGTGGCTCACGCCTATAATCCCAGCACTTTGAGAGGCCAAGGCGGGCGGATCATGAGGTGAGGAGATGAAGACCATCCTGGCTAACATGGTGAAACCTGGTCTCTATTAAAAATACAAAAATTAGCCAGGCGTGGTGGCGGGCACCTGTAGTCCCAGCTATTCGGGAGCCTGAGGCAGGAAAATGGCATGAACCCAGGAGGCAGAGCTTGCAGTGAGCCGAGATCGCGCCACTGCACTCCAGCCTGGGCGACAGAGCGAGACTCTGTCTCAAAACAAAAAAAAAAAAAAGAAGAAAAAAAAAGAAAAAGAAAATTAAAAGGTAAGCCACAGCCTAGGAGAAAATATCTGCAAATCATAATGTCTGATAAAGGAACTATATCCAGAATATATAAAGAATTCTTACACCTCAATGAGATGACCTACAACCCAATTTAAAAATGGTCTAAAGGAAAGCAGTTTGTTGATTGCTGAAAGAACTTAAAACAGAATTACCATTCAAACCAGCAATCCCATTATTGGGCATATAGCCAAAGGAATGTAAATTGTACTACCATAAAGACACATGCACATGTGTGTTCATCACAACACTAGTCACAATAGCAAAGACATGGAATCAACCTAAATGCCCATCAATGGTAGACTGGATAAAGAAAATGTAGCACATATGCACCATGGGATACTATGCAGCCATAAAAAAGAATGAGATTGGCCGAGCATGGTGGCTCACACCTGTAATCCCAACACCTTGGGAGGCAGAGGCAGGTGGATCACCTGAGGTCAGGAGTTTGAGACCAGCCTGACCAACATGGTGAAAATACAAAAATTAGCTGGGCGTCGTGGCACGCACCTGTAATCCCAGCTACTCTGGAGGCTGAGGCAGGAGAATCACTTGAACCTGGGAGGTGGAGGTTTCAGTGAGCTGAGATAGCGCCATTGCACTCCAGTCTGGGCAACAAGAGCGAAACTCCATCTCAAAAAAAAAAAAAAAGAATGAGATCATGTCCTTTGCAGCAACATGGATGGAGCTGGAGGCCATTATCCCAAGCGAAACAACATAGGAATAGAACACCAAATATCGCATGTTCTCACTTATAAGTGGGAATTAAACATTGAGAACACAAGGATGCAAAGAAAGTAACGGCTGACACCGGGGCCTACTTGAGGGTGAGGGATGGGAGGACAGAGAGGATTGGAAAACTACTCGTTGGGTACTATTCTTATTACCTGGGTAATGAAATAATCTGTACATCAAACCCCTGTGACATGCAATTTACCTATATAACAAACCTGGGGATGTACCCCTGAACCTAAAAGTTAACAAAAAATACAAGTTAAAAATAAATAAATAGGCCAGGCTTGGTGGCTCAGACCTGTAATCCTAGCACTTTGAGAGGCGGAGGTGAGCGGATCACCTGAGGTCGGGAGTTTGAGACCAGCCTGACCAACATGGAGAAACCCTGTCTCTACTAAAAATACAAAATTAGCCAGATGTGGTGGCGCATGCCTGTAATTCCAGCTACTCAGGAGGATGAGTCAGGAGAATCGCTTGAACCCAGGAGCCAAGATCACGCCATTGCACTCTAGCCTGGGCGACAAGAGTGAAACTCTGTCTCAAAAAAAATAAAAATAAAAATAAAAAATATAAATAAATAAAATGATAATGTTGAGGCCAGACATAGTGGCTTATGCCTGTAACCCAGCACTCTGGGAAGCCGAGGCAGGTGGATCACCTGAGATCAGGAGTTCGACACCAGCCTGGTCAACATAGTGAAACCCTGTCTCTACTGAACATACAAAAATTATCTGGGTGTGGTGGCGCACGCCTGTAGTTCCAGCTACTTGGGAGGCCAAGGCAGGAAAATCACTTGAACCCAGGAGGTGGAGGTTGCATTGAGCCAAGATTGTGCCACTGCACTCCAGCCTGGGTGACAGATCAAGACTCCATTTCAAAAAAAAAAAAGATAATGTTGATACTTATAAAAAATAAAACTGATCTAAACACATGAACAGATATTTCATAAAAGAAGATATCTAAATGGTTAATAAGTACATAGGAAGGTGTTTGGCATCACTAGTCATTAGAGAAATGCAAATTGAAACCATGATGAGATATCACCACGCACCCACTACTATAATTTTTTAAAAAGGTACAGACAGTGCCAAATGTTGGCAAGGATGTGGAGAAACCAGAACATTCATAAATTGCTGGTAGGCATATATACAGTCACTTTCAAAAACAGTTTGGTAGTTTTAGAAGATTAAACATAAAGTGACTACAACCTAGCAATTCTATTCTTAAGAATCTACCCAAGAGAAATGAAAGTATATGGCCACAAAAAAACCCATACATGAGTGTTCATATTAGCATTATTCATAAGAAACCCAAACTGGAAATAATTCTAAATGTCCATCAACTAGTGAATATATAAATAAGATATAGTATATATATATACAATTTGGAATACTATTCAATAATCAGAAGGAATGGGCTATTAATACATTGCTACAGCATGGATGAACCTCAAAAATATTATGCTAAGCTAAAGAATCCAGTCACAAAAGAATACATATAGTATTATTCAGTTTGTGTGAAATGCCCATAAAAAGGCAATTTTATAGAGACAGAAAGTATACCAGTGGTTTCTTAGAGAAAGAAATTGACTGTGAATAGACTCAAAGGAAGTTTTTTGGCTAATGGAAACTTTCAAACTGGATTGTGGTGATGGTTGCATCATCATTTAAGTTAATTTATTAAATTTGTCCATTAACAATCATTACACTTTATAATAAGTGAATTTTATGGCATGCAAATCATCCCTGAAAGCTGTAAAGTAATAGTGCTCAAAGCATAGTGCTTAAATCCTGTCCTTTAGGATTTAGGACATTTTTTTTTTTCCTGTGTATATGAGTTTACCTATTTGACAACTAGTTTCAAGTCTCTTTTTTATTTATTGTATTTTTCTTTTCTTCTTAAATTCTGAGGGAAGTTTATAATTTTTCTCTTCAATAGTTAATTCAGAAGAGGGAGGATTTTTAATTGGCTGCTGTGGTTTAATGCTAATTCTTCTTAAATGAAAATTGGATTCAATGAGCCATTAAGATCTATCTCTTCCAGCCTCGGGTACATCAAGCAATCTCCCCTCTCTCTCTCTTTTTCCTATTTGAAAATAAGCTTGTGATCCTCCGTGGTAGAATATGTATCCATTCTTTGAACCACCTACACATCAAAACGTGCTGACATTTGAAATACGACAAAATCGTACTTAGCAATACAGCATTCCCATGATGTCATTGTGCCTACACTGGGTGCCAGCATGTTCAGAAAGTGACTCAGAAGGATGTTTCAGTGGTGCCAGAGGAGAATCGGGCTTATGTGAAGACTAAAAAATACACAGGGAGGGAGGTCGTTAAGGGGGCCGAGGGGCCTTCTTCACTGCTCCAAAAGGACCCATTTGGGGGCTGTTTTCGAAGATGTCACATCAACTTCATCAGTTCCAAGTTCTGAGAGAAGGCATCCATGTCTGTCTCTGGTCCTCACCTTTTTCAGTATCTTCCTCAGATCTGAGAATACTTAGCGTGGAGAAAAAGTGCCTTTGAAGTCATTTTAGGTTGTTATCACTATTATTGTTGTTTTTCTCTCTGGGCATTTGAGAAAAAATTTAAGAAGCCAAAAGTATTGGAATATTTAGCAACTCTTTAAAAAATAATCTCTCATTTTGGTAAATTTGGGCATGTAAAATCTAACTGCATCTTCATAAAATCTCAGGATCCCCTCTCACATATGATGTAAAGCACTCAGGCAGAACAAAGTAAACAAATTGAAGAGAAATGCAGGGACGTGTGTAGACGTGAAAGGAAGATGTGGTGTGTGTGAGTTTATAGTTTTCTCCTAGTCAGTTTCTCCAGCAGATTTCAATCCTCACATGAGAATTCTTCCTGGATTGAGTAGTGCCTTGTCTTACTCTTGTTAACTTCAGACTGACTTGAGTTCTCAGCATCACTGGGAAGAAGCAGCGGAGGTCAGAGTGAGTTTATGTGGCGCAAGAGCAAGGGGCGGAGAAGCTTCCCGGGACAGCAGCGGCAATGCTTGTGGGGCCTGAGGAGCCAGTCTGTGCTCCTCCTTTCAAAGCTGCCTCTGTAAGATCACTTTCTTCCTTTAAAGCTGATGCCGTAATTGCTACCACCATCTCATGTCCCGAAGACAATGACAGGCAGAAAACCCAGCCTTTGTCTGTTTTTTTCTATGGCCCTGGGAAAATAACTTTTCATAGCTTGCTCAGAATAAGTCTCTTGATTTGGTTTCATTTATATTTTCCATTGTTAGAATTTCATCTTTCATATACACAGGACCAAGATGAAGGTGGCCCTCACTCTTGGGCTGTGCAGTGCTGGGTTGGTGCCTGAGTGTGAACAAGCACCTCCTCAAATGCCGCAGCCTAGGCACCTCACTTGCCTCCCCTATCCCTTCCCTAAAACTATGTCATAATGTACTGCTGGCCTGAAACAGCTGGCAACTCCAGGGGTTTTAAGATATACTTGATTTTGTTTTTTTTTTAGAGACAGGATCTCTCTATCACCCAGGCCAGGGTGCTGTGATGCCATCATGCAACTGTATCCTCAAACTCCTGGCCTCAAGCAATCTGCCTGCCTCGGCCTCCCCAGTGGCTGAGACTATAGGCACGCACCACCATGCCAGGCTAATTTTATTTTTTTGTAGAGATGAGATCTTGTTATGTTGCCCAAGCACTAGATTCTTACAGTTTGGGTGATACTAGAGATGTCCTGGGCAGTGATAGGAGAGAGGCATGCACGGAGGCTCTAGTCTTTTCCATGAGGTGCGTGGTAGAGAGACTGGGATTTCAGGGGGAAAAAGGAAAGGAAGAAGTACTCACTGTTTGACTTTGGTCACTATTCGCGGAACCCCTTTGCTCTAGTCTGAATGTCTATGTTCCCCTAACATCAATACCTTGAAATCCTAAGCCCCAAGGTGATGGTAGTAAGAGGCGGGGACTTTGGGAGATGAGTAGCTCATAAAGGCAGAGCCCTCATGAAGGGCATTAGTGTCCTTGTAAAAGAGGTCCCAGAGAGCTGCCTTGCTTCTTCCACCTTGAGGATGCCGTGAGAAAGTGCCATCTCTGAGACAGCAGCCTTCACCAGACACGGAATCTGCAGGGGCTGTGACCTTGGCCTTACCAGCCTCCAGAACTATGAGAGACAAATCTTTATTGCTTGTAAGCTACCCAGCCTATAGAATTTTGTTATAGCAGCCCAGATGGACTAAGACACCCTGTAATCCTCCATTGTTTCATCTGTAAAGCAAGGAGTCTGAACTAGAAAGATATCCAAAGATAGTGCACAAACGTTGTGATGATAACAAGCTCTGACAGTGCTGACTATTGTATCTGGTATTCAAGACTAAATGCTAATCACATTTACATTGAATTGTAGCATTATATAATGATCTGCTAGGAACTATATTATTAATTATCAGTGCCTACTTAATAAAGCATTTGCCAGATTTTAAAATTATGTAATAAGACTGATTAAAGTAGGAAATATGCAGCAATCTGACCTTTCACCCCTGTCTCCAAATTCCACCTTCTCTTGTGGATGATTGTGTTGTAAATGCTACAAGCAGTTAATTGGATTGTTTATCTCTCTTTTTGCTTTGTTTGGACAGTCAGAATTTATACTTATAGGCTAGGTGTGGTGGCTCATGCCTGTAATCCCAGCACTTTGGGAGGCCAAGGCAGGAGGATTGCTTAAGGCCAGGAGTTCAAGACCAGCCTGGGCAACATAGCAAGACCCTATTTCTACAAAAAGTTTTTTTTTAATTAGCCAGGTGTGGTGGCTTGTACCTGTAGTCCCAGCTACTTGGGAGGCTGAGGCAGGAGGATTGGGATTGCTTGAGCCAGGAGTTTGAGGCTGCAATGAGCTATGATTGCACTACTGTACTCCAGCCTGAGCCACAGAGTGAGACCTTGTTACACTTATGGCATGAGATTTTCCTTCCTATTGCTCCTTAGGATGGAATGGTGTTCATACTGTCAGAGTGAAAGATGGGCAAAGCCTTCTTAGATATGGTCCCATGTAAGTCCTAGAACCTGGAGCGCATTGTGGGTACAGAAGTTGGGCACAGAGTCAAGGACCCGGGGGGACATATTGCAAAATTAGAAAATGCTAGAACCTGTGATCCTAAGTGTTTCAAAGCAGAATATATGAGATAATATATGTGAAAATGGCTGGGGGGTGGAAAAGTGCTCTGCAGACACAGAGCATTATGTAGAGTCATACAGACCTAGACCAAGACTTAATTTGAACCCAGCTTTTGAGTCTTGTCTGCCACTTTCTAGGTGTATGAATCATTTTTTCTCATCTGTAAACAATGCAATAATAATGTCTATGTTATTGAGAGGATTAAATAATATGTAGAGAGCCCTAGATTAATGAGAGCCAGCAGTTGGCAGGTCTTCCTTGACTCCATCAATCTGCTGTTTTAATTCTCTCATGAAATTAACCAGTGATTTCCTGGGTCTGAATTTACTGTTTGTATTCACTAGTTCTAGGTAGTGAATTTAGTTGTGGACTGTCTATTCTAGACACTACTCAGAATTCAGCATGCATGAGGACAAGGTCTCTCACTGCATATTTAATCAGTTATTGTCTCACAGAAGAAGCAATTGATGCATCATTCACAATGTTTTTAAACCTATATAAAGAGTCATTGATTCAGAACATTTGCTCTGCATGTGAAAATATATGTTTGGTGGTTTCCATGGAGACCACCCTGCTGGCTGTTCTGTGATCACTCACTAGCCTTAATTATACACTGGAATTGCCAGGGATCCTTCAAAGCTGTCTCCATAACAACGCCTCCTTGTGGGTAACATGACCGCCATCCCTGACCATGTCTCCCATATAGGAGTTTCCCTTAAGAGTTGAAAAGAGTCAGCTGGTTAATTTCAGCCTCTTTTTGATGTATCCTTATGAAGATCTCTTAGCTGCCTAGGAATTTTTCTGAGTTTCAACTTCCTATCTCTCCTGCTATTTTTCCAGGTTTCAGGAGCTTGGGTGAAAGTAATAGCAAGGCCTAATGTCTTTCTTTCTTCAGTGACATGTTGACATTGACATGTGTCTTGATCTATTGCCACAATATTGAACTAAGAAGGAGTCTTGGTTATGTCACTTTACTAGACAAAATTAAACCTGTTTGAAATATACGATGAACTCATGAAAGTGTTATCAACAGATGTTATTAAGATTCCATGTTCAGAATTTTAGAATATCTCCAAGACCATTGGTAAAACTCTCGATGTTTCTGGTGGAATTAAGAGAAAAAGATGAATTTTTTTTTAACGTGGAATAATCACACAGATTTCATGACTTCTAAATAATGTAATTTTTTTTTTTTTTTGAGACGGAGTCTTGCTCTGTCGCCCAGACTGGAGTGCAGTGGCATGATCTCAGCTCACTGCAAGTTCCGCCTCCTGGGTTCACACCATTTTCCTGCCTCAGCCTCCCAGGTAGCTGGGACTACAGGTGCCCGCCACCATGCCCAGCTAATTTTTTTTGTATTTTTAGTAGAGAGGGGGTTTCACCATGTTAGCCAGGATGGTCTCAATCTCCTGACCTTGTGATCCGCCTGCCTCGGCCTCCCAAAGTGCTGGGATTACAGGCGTGAGCCACCGCGCCCGGCCTAAATAATGTAATTTTTTACCCTTCACTAATTTTTTGAGATACATTTGTAGGGAAGTTTCAAGGCTTAACATTGACTCATACCTTGAACTTCTGAGGAGGTGACAAGTAAACAAATCTCTCATAGTCTGTAATCATAGTTCTTATAGGTTCAATTTCTGGTACACACACACACACACACACACACACACTACAGGGGAAATCATAGAAGTATGTTTACAAAGCCCATCACACTTTGCTCTCACTAGGTCAAGTCTATGCTGAACAGAGTTGGTTCTCTTCATTTTTCTACTTTGTATTCTATTACTGCTGTTATTTCTTTCTTTCTAGTCATCCTTGCATTATCATCCTGATTCCCACTATCTCTTGGGTGGGGAGCCTGTTACTGTCTTTCTCCACCACCTGGATGGTGAACGGTAATCACAGAAGAGGGGGCTCCTCTCCCCAGTTCACTATTTGAGGTTCTTCCCATCTTAGCTGCTGAGGACACCTCACTCCTCCTTCCCATCACGTTTCGAAGCTCATTTCAGATATAACTTTCTTATAGCAGTTTAGCATTCCTTTTCTTCCTTCAGTTGTTATTCAACACCTTCATATGTTCTGGAAGGGTCTGATGAAAATACATTGTTAAACCACATGAAGCTGTACTGTAATGTAACTTTTATATTGAAAGACCATGCTTAAAAAATCTAATTATGGCTGTTCCCTAATTAAATCATTTTTCTTTTTCACTGTCTCAGCGGCTATGGCAATAAGAATAATTTTTCATGGAAAATTAAAACCTAGAGGCAGCAGCATAATTTCCTTTGCAGACTCTCGCTCGGCAATAATAACAGCATGTCTGATGTCTTTCCATGACATCACTGATGAGGCGACAGGAACATGAAGTGGCAAGTTTGGGAGCTGCCATTCGCATGGAAACAGCCAGCCAAGAAGTTAGTTATCTGGGAGTTGTTTGTTTATGAACAAGGTTTTCCTGCAGGGAACGTGGGAGGGGAAATACAGTTTTGGATTCAGGAAAAATTTTTAAATTCCATTTCCTATTGTCAAAATAATTCATAGAGAAATGAGTGCTATGAGTGGACATTTTGCTGTTTTGAGTAAGGTTCTTGTTTTTTTTTTTAATTTCCAGTTATGTTGTCTTCATTTTTTCCGAGCTATTTTTAATGCCTTTGATCATCACAATCTTCTGTGTTGCAAAAATAGGATAACAATTCTGTTTCACAACTTCTGACTTGAATGAATTCGCTCATTTATCATTTGTTCATTTACTGGGGAGATGTCCTTACTTTCTGTAAACTTCCTGACTCTAAGGTTTTTATGGGTGCCGTTAGTGTCCCAGATAATTTTTTAAAAAATGAAAGTCGTTTTTGCAACATAAAGGCCAGTTAATTGGGAATATTTGCACGGCCTCCTCTAGGGGATGAATTGATGTGTGCTTGGTTTATTGTAGTATGGTGTCCAATAAATGAGTGTGGGGTGAGTACTCACTCAAAAACTGATTTTATTCTGCACACCTTTGCACTCCTGTCAGAAACAGAGAAAGGTGGAATTCTGCATATATCTCGTAAAGTAACTTCATTGCCCCATTTTCCTGTGATATACCCATTCCTTCCTTTCTTTGTGCCATTTATTCTATAGGGGTTCGGTTTTCTTTTTAAAGACCCTCTGTGTGTATCCCTAAAACTAAGTTCCCTAAGGTGTGGCTGAACATAGGGTAGTTAGCAAAGAGCACAGTAAGTTCTGCTGGTGCCCCAACCAGAGGGCGGACAATGGCCAGGACCTATGGCCTGTGTCAGCAGAGTGACTGCCATAGTCAAAGCAGACCTAGATGAAGCAGCTCTTGGGAAATTTGAAGGAGTAGACTTTTTTATGGGAAAGCTAAGTTTGGATGCATCAATGATAGAAAGGCATGACATGTAAATTTGGAAGAATTTTAGCAGATATTTACTTGGTACAATTTTGTGAAAATAACTGTCTGTTACATTGTGCCTTAGAGACATCTTGGTGGCCTGGTACCCGGATGCCTCCTCAGACTTGTTTTCCTGTTCTATCCCCAAAAGTGGAATTTGTATAAAGTGTAGTTATTCACCCATTTTTTTCCTGCTTAAAATTGCTCTCCTCTCTTACAAAAAGTAGTCCAAATTTGCTTTTTCTCCTTCTTGCTTGCTTGCTTTCTTTTTTTTTTTGAGACAGAGTCTCGCTCTGTCGCTCAGGCTGGAGTGCAGTGGCGCGATCTCAGCTCACTGCAATCTCTGCCTCCCAGTTCAAGCAATTCTCCTGCCTCTGCCTGCTGAGTAGCTGGGACTACAGGCCCGTGCCACCAAGCCCAGTTAATTTTTGTATTTTTTTTAGTAGAGATGGGGTTTTACCATGTTGGCCAGGCTGGTCTCGAACCCGTCCGACCTCAAGTGATCCGCCTGCCTGGGCCCCACAAAATGCTGGAATTACAGTCATGAGCCACCGTGCCCGGCCGGCCCCTTTTCCCCTTCTTCACTCTATGGTGGCACTTTGCGCTAACCTGGTCGTTCTTTAGATAAAGATGTTTGGTGTTGTTTTGTTTATGTATAAGTAGACTGTGTCTGATTTTAAGGCCAGACAGTGAAGTACGAGCAAATTGTGCTTGTTTATAGGACTCCAAAATAGCCAGTTAGTCAAGTATGCAACAAGAAAAGTTTTTAAGTCAACAGCTAATTGCTTTGTATCACATAAATACAACTAGCCATGAGACTGAATTTGTAATTTTGGTTGTTTCTGTGCAGTTTGACAGGAGAAGGGTTGAAGGGGAGGATTGTGTGGGGAACAGGGTCTCCCTGGCCACATTTCCATGTCAGTCTTCTTGTGTGAGCTCTGGGGTGGTGTGGGGTGGGGATTGCTGCACAAGGAGCAGGCCCAGGGTTGCATCTGTGTCCAAGAAGAATTCTGTCTTATTTCTTTCCTGCCTCACCCTCAGGCCATTATTCCCTACTTAGGGCTTTATGTGTTTTCCGCACAATTTTCTGGCATGGTTATGGTTGGCCTTGAATATAGTAGGTGATTAGTCAATATTTGATATATCAAATGCCCACCACTTTCCCTTTTCTCCCCTTCAGGAGAAGAAAAGTAAAGGAAAACAGAAAAATAATAATAATCAGGTAACTATACTTCCCAGCAATCCACCTGCTCTATCAGCCTGTGAGCCCAAGGAAGGCAGGGCACATCCTACTCAGGGTTACATCCCCAGCACCTAGCAGAGCACCCAGAGGCATAATTTGAATTGCAAAAGAGTTGGTGATTTTTACAGTACTTCCAAAATTTGTAGTCCAAATGGAATTAGGAGCCATTATTTTCAAGTCTCAGGTTAGTCCTTTGTACGATGACTACCCCTCCACCTCCAGAAAAGAACAAAATAATTTACTTTTTCAATGTTAGATTTATCTTCTTGGAATTTGAAGTCTTCAGTTTCAGTGATGCAGTCAGCAGTTGCTACCTGTGCCTTGCCTTCTGCCCTGAAAGGGAGGGTTTGTTATCTGTGAAAACGTATTTTTTCCTTCAGGTGGGAGTAGGGGTGTTCTGGTAGCTTCAGGCCTTGCATTCCCGCCTTGGGAATTTCACTGGGAGCAGTGTTGATCTTATTATTCCAAATTGCCAAACATTTGCTGCCATTTGGCTGTGCCATTCAGAGCACTTTGCTTCCTTCATGCACTCTTGAAATGTTAGGTTAAGGGAGTACAACACTTTGGCAGTTATTAAATTTCGTCTTTCTTTAGAGTATGCTATATATATTCTGTGCTTCATAGATAGCTAGAACACTCCATAAATCAGAATAGGAGTTCACTTTTAAGCACTGAGAGAGTGCCTTATTTTATCCCCAACAGTTAACCAGCCCAGTTTTGAGCCCATAGGCAGACAGTAGATGCATCTTTGATTGGGTTATTGAGCTATTGCTGTGTGAACCACCCAGATCTGATCAGTCCTAATTATTTGAAGGCTGTATCTTCTATGAAGTCAGCCATGTTTATTATTATTTTCCTCAGGTTATAGTTGGGCTTTTTTAAGAATGTTTACTCTAAGAATTACATAATATATAACCTGGTTTCAATACTTATGCTTTTTATGAAGGTTTTCTTTTCCCTGAAATTTTTTTTTCATATTGCTTTGTGCAAAGATGTTATGTCAGCAAATGTATTCAGCAGGTGTATAGAGTGTCCTATCTTATAACCGGCTGTGGAGATGAGACTATAGAGAGTAGTGACAAGCAGCCCAGCATTTCGGAGACAGAAAGACCTGGGTAAGAATCTCATTCTCTGGCAATATGACCTTGGAAAAATCAAATAACTTATTTATGTGTCAGTTTGCTTATATGTCAAATAAGAATAATTGCATACACTTCACAGAAATGTTGCAAGAATTATTTAAAATAATGTATGTTAAGCAGTTACTGTTAGCTTTTTTTTTTTTAATCAATTTTTGAAGTATCTCAGCGGACCTGATACATCATTTTATCTAACATTTTGGAAGTGCTACACTGGTGTTTAAAGAAAAGGGAAAAAAAAGTCAGTCCTGAAGATTGTTAGATGAGTCCTCTGTTGTTAGGTGAAATTTCAGCTTTCAGTTTATATTTGGTTGGTAGTAAGAGAATGGGGAATTGAGAAAATGTGGTATTAACTCTGATGTGGAATCACACACCCAAAAGAATGGTTACAGTGAAAAAAATTGACAATACCAAATGTTGGTGAGGATTGTAGAATGATATTTATGCTTTAGAAGTACCAAAGCTAAACAACATCTACATAATACAACATCTACGTATTCCCCCTCCTCAGTATTTACCCAAGAGAAACAAAGACATATGTTCACAAGTTATGTTCAGTGTTGTGGAATTAGATGGTGGTGGTAGCTGCATAACTGTGAGTATACTAAAAGCTATTGAATTGTACTCTTCCACAGGGTGAA
The DNA here is from genome assembly GCF_000001405.40 of Homo sapiens. Lineage (NCBI taxonomy): Eukaryota > Metazoa > Chordata > Mammalia > Primates > Hominidae > Homo > Homo sapiens. The sequence continues at coordinate 23,332,258 of NC_000018.10, read as the reverse complement.
TTTTATGGTGTGTGCATTATATCTCAGTAAGCCTGTTATTTTTTTAAAAAAAATACATGTTCAAGGCCAAGTGTGGTGGCTCACGCCTGTAATCCCAGGGCTTTGGAAGACCAGGGTGAGAGGATCGCTTGAGGCCAGGAGTTTGAGACTAGCCTAGGCAACATAGTGAAACCTCATTTCTACAAAAAAAAAAAATTCTTTTTAAATTAGCCAGGTGTAAAGGTGTGTGCCTGTGCTCCTAGCTCTTTGAGAGGCTGAAGTGGGAGGATTGCTTGAGCCCAGGAGTTCAAGACTGCCGTGAGTTATGATCACTCCACCACACTCTACCCTGGGCAACAGAGCAAGACTCTATCTCAAAAAAAAAAAAAAAAAAAAGACATGTTCAAGAAAATCCATGGCAGCTTTATTCATAATAGCACCTAACTAGATGAAATAGTCCATAAATTTCATCTGTCCATACAATGGAATCCTCACTGCAGTAGGAAAGGGCACATGGCCACAGAGGGGATTCGGGATGAGTGAATGGATTGGGAGGAGTCTGCGGAGCCTGGTGCAATGCTGGGAAGGGCCGGTGTCTCTGTCCAGGTGGCAGCTGTGTGGGTGCTAATGGGTATAAATGCTCAGCAAGCCATGTACTTGAGATTCCTGTGCCTCCTACACTACACGGTATTTATGTTATACTTCAGTTTTAAAAATCGGATGTGGATGCTGTAATGGTGCGGCGCTCAGAAAGCAGAGCCCAACGTGCTGAACCTGCCCTCCTGTTTGTTGGCCACTGGGAGGAAAAACAGGCCCGGCAGCTTCCCGAGCAGAGCCCTGGGGCCTCTTGCTTTGTGGTGTCTCCTGTACTACAGGTGGTGGCGGGGGGCAGGTTTCACTTGCTGGGAAAAGGACACCTTGCTGCTGGGGCCTTGTTATTCTGGGCGGTGGCCACCGTTTCTCCTGAAAGTCCTGGTTGGAGAGGGTTTCTAACAGATCTTCAGCTCGGTGCCAAGGTAAAGAAGGTGAGCTCAGACTTCCCGGTAGCATTGCAGAAGCGTTTCTTCCTTTGGTCCTGCCCCACACGGGCGCGCTTTTCCTTCAGGGGCTGTGACTAATTATGGAAAACGGCACACCTGCCACTCTCTCAGACCATGAGGTTTAACTGAGTGAACACCGCTGTTCCGGGGCTCTGCCTCTCGCTGAACGCTCCTGCTGGGCTGGGGCCTCCCGAGTAGCTGGAAGTACAGGTATGAGCCACCACGCCTGGCTAATTTTTCAATTTTTTTGTAGAGATGGGGTCTCGCTAGTTGCCCAGGCTGCCCGTGGGCCTTTTCTGAAAGGCTTCACGTTGGTGGCTCTCCTCTCGTGTGGGTGCTGCTTGAGCGTCTGACTGTGATGGTGGTAAGCAGTCTCCCAGGGAAGGGGTGCTTGTGTCTGGACCCCCCGTGCTTTGCTGCTGTTGCATTTTTCTTTACATGTAACTGTACAATGTAGAAAACACCTCCAGGAAACTGAGAGGCTGGTGGAGACTAATGGAGAACAGATGAACGTAAGGGAAGTAGGTTGTCACGGGAGCCAGGAACTCACTCTGCAGCTCCGCAGAGCGAGCCGGCTGTCAGGGTGCACCTTAGGGACACCTGCAGCCCAACCATCCGGAGAGCTGAATGCCAGGCGTCCCCAGACATGAGCAGGCATGGGCTGGGGTGTGGAAATGCAAATGGCGTGGTTTCCTGGTCAGAGTTTGAATTTTCCTGTAGGTATTTAATGTAGGGGGTATTCACCATTATTGAAGCAAATAACTTTCCCCTTAACTTGTGACTTTAATTTTGACCCATGACATCTCTAGAAAAAAAACCTTAGAAACCATTTAGTCCACTATCTTCATTTAAAAAGTTCAAAAGGCTAATTATAGAACATGTAGAAAGTAAATGAAAAAAAAGCTTATGGGACTCTACCATAATAGACATTTTAGAGTATATTCTTTGGGAAATTTTTTTTATACACACATTCCTGAGGTTTTCTGTTTTTACAGAAATGGGATTGTTCTTCACCTGTTGGGTTTCTTTTTTTGTTCTTTTTTTTTATACTTTAGGTTCTAGGGTACATGTGCGCAACATGCAAATCTGATGCATAGGTATACACCTGCCATGTTGGTTTGCTGCACCCATCAACTCATCATTTACATTAGGTATTTCTCCTAATGCTATCCTTCCCCCAGCCTCCCATCCCCGACAGGCCCCGTTGTGTGGTGTTCCCCACCCTGTGTCCAAGTGATCTCATTGTTCAGTTCCCACCTGAGAGAAAACATGTTGTGTTTGGTTTTCTATCCTTGTGATAGCTCAGATTGATGGTTTCCAGCTTCATCCATGTCGTGCAAAGGACATTAACTCATCCTTTTTATGGCTGCATAGTATTCCATGGTATATATGTGCCACAGTTTCTTAATCCAGTCTGTCATTGATGGACATTGGGGTTAGTTCCAAGTCTTTGCTATTGTGAATAGTGCTGCAATAAACATACATGTGCATGTGTCTTTATAGTACCATGATTTATAATCCTTTGGGTATATACCCAGTAATAGGATTGCTGGGTCAAATGGTAATTCTAATTCTAGATCCTTGAGGAATCGCCACACTGTCTTCCACAATGGTTGAACTAATTTACACTCCCACCAACAGTGTAAAAGCGTTCCTATTTCTCCACATCCTCTCCAGCATCTGTTGTTTCCCGACTTTTTAATGATTGCCATTCTAACTGGCATGAGATGGTATCTCATTGTAGTTTTGATTTGCATTTCTCTGATGACCAGTGATGATGAGCATTTTTTCATGTGTCTGTTGGCTGCATAGATGTCTTCTTTTGAGAAGTGTCTGTTACATCCTTTGCCCACTTATTGATGGGGTGGTTTGTTTTTTTCTTGTAAATTTGTTTGAGTTCTTTGTAGACTCTGGATATTAGCCCTTTGTCAGAAGGATAGATTGCAAAAATTTTCTCCCATTCTGTAGGTTGCCTGTTCACTCTGATGGTATTTTCTTTTGCCATACAGAAGCTCTTTAGTTTAATTAGATCCCATTTGTCAATTTTGGCTTTTGCTGCCATTGCTTGTGGTGTTTTAGTCATGAAGTCCTTGCCCATGCCTATGTCCTGAATGGTATTGCCTAGGTTTTCTTCTAGGGTTTTTATGGTTTTAGGTCTAACATTTAAGTCTTTAGTCCATCTTGAATTAATTTTTGTATAAGGTGTAAGGAAGGGATCCAGTTTCAGCTTTCTACATATGGCTAGCCAGTTTTCCCAGCACCATTTATTAAATAGGGAATCTTTTCCCTGTTTCTTGTTTTTGACAGGTTTGTCAAAGATCAGATGGTTGTAGATGTGTGGTGTTATTTATGAGGCCTCTGTCCTGTTCTATTGGTCTATATCTCTGTTTTGGTACCAGTACTGTGCTGTTTTGATTACTGTAGCCTTGTAGTATAGTTTGAAGTCAGGTAGCGTGATGCCTCCAGCTTTGTTCTTTTGGCTTAGGATTGTCTTGGCAATGCGGGCTCTTTTTTGATTCCATATGAACTTTAAAGTAGTTTTTTTCCAATTCTGTGAAGAAAGTCATTGGTAGCTTGATGGGGATGGCATTGAATCTATAAATTACCTTGGGCAGTATGGCCATTTTCACGATATTGATTCTTCCTATCCATGAGCATGGAATATTCTTCCATTTGTTTGTGTCCTCTTTTATTTTGTTGAGCAGTGGTATGTAGTTCTCCTTGAGGAGGTCCTTTACATCCCTTGTGAGTTGGATTCCTAGGTATTTTATTCTCTTTGTAGCAATTGTGAATGGGACTTCACTCATGATTTGGCTCTCTGTTTATCTATTATTGGTGTATAGGAATGCTTATGATTTTTGCACATTGATTTTGTATCCTGAGACTTTCCGGAAGTTGCTTATCAGCTTAAGGAGATTTTGAGCTGAGACAATGGGGTTTTCTAAATATACAACCATGTCATCTGCAAATAGAGACAATTTGACTTCCTCTTTTCCTAATTGAATACCCTTTATTTCTTTCTCCTGCCTGATTGCCCTGGCCAGAACTTCCAACACTATGTTGAACAGGAGTGGTGAGAGAGGGCATCCCTGTCTTGTGCCAGTTTTCAAAGGGAATGCTTCCAGTTTTTGCCCATTCAGTATGATATTGGCTGTAGGTTTGTCATAAATAGCTCTTACTATTTTGAGATACGTCCCATCAATACCTAATTTATTGAGAGTTTTTAGCATGAAGCGTTGTTGAATTTTGTCAAAGGCCTTTTCTGCATCTATTGAGATAATCATGTGGTTTTTGTTGTTAGTTCTGTTCATGTGATGGATTACTTTATTGATTTGCGTATGTTGAATCAGCCTTGCATCCCAGGGATGAAGCCGACTTGATCATGGCGGATAAGCTTTTTGATGTGCTGCTGGATTCGGTTTGCCAGTATTTTATTGAGGATTTTTGCATTGATGTTCATCAGGGATATTGGTCTAAAATTCTCTTTTTTTGTTGTGTCTCTGCCAAGCTTTGGTATCAGGATGATGCTGCCCTCATAAAATGAGTTTTAGAGGATTCCCTATTTTTTTTTCTATTGATTGGAATAGTTTCAGAAGGAATGGTACCAGCTCCTCTTTGTACCTCTGGTAGAATTTGGCTGTGAATCCGTCTGGTCCTGGACTCTTTTTGGTTGGTAGGCTATTAATTATTGCCTCAATTTCAGAGCCTGTTATTGGTCTATTCAGAGATTCAACTTCTTCCTGGTTTAGTCTTGGGAGGGTGTATGTGTCCAGGAATTTATCCATTTCTTCTAGATTTTCTAGTTTATTTGCGTAGAGGTGTTTATAGTATTCTCTGGTGGTAGTTTGTATTTCTGTGGGATCAGTGGTGATATCCCCTTTATCATTTTTTATTGCATCTATTTGATTCTTCTCTCTTTTCTTCTTTATTAATCTTGCTAGTGGTCTATCAGTTTTGTTGATCTTTTCAAAAAACCAGCTCCTGGATTCATTGATTTTTTTGAAGGGTTTTTTGTGTCTCTATCTCCTTCAGTTCTGCTCTGATCTTAGTTATTTCTTGCCTTCTGCTAGTTTTTGAATTTGTTTGTTCTTGCTTTTCCAGTTCTTTTAATTATGATGTTAGGGTGTTGATTTTAGATCTTTCCTGCTTTCTCTTGTGGGCATTTAGTGCTATAAATTTCCCTCTACATACTGCTTTAAATGTGTCCCAGAGATTCTGGTACATTGTGTCTTTGTTCTTATTGGTTTCAAAGCACATCTTTATTTCTGCCTTCATTTCATTATTTACCCAGTAGTCATTCAGGAGCAAGTTGTTCAGTTTCCAGTTGTGCGGTTTTGAGTGAGTTTCTTAATCCTGAGTTCTAATTTGATTGCACTGTGGTCTGAGAGACAGTTTGTTGTGATTTCTGTTCTTTTACATTTGCTGAGGAGTGCTTTACTTCCAATTATGTGATCAATTTTAGAATACGTGCAATGTGGTGCTGAGAAGAATGTGTATTCTGTTGATTTGGGGTGGAGAGTTCTGTAGATGTCTATTAGGTCTGCTTGTGGCAGAGCTGAGTTCAAGTCCTGGATATCCTTGTTAACCTTCTGTCTTGTTGATCTGTTTAATATTGACAGTGGGGTGTTAAAATCTCCCATTATTATTGTGTGGGAGTCTAAGTCTCTTTGTAGGTCTCTAAGGACTTGCTTTATGAATATGGGTGCTCCTGTATTGGGTGCATATATATTTAGGATAGTTAGCTCTTCTTGTTGAATTGATCCCTTTACCATTATGTAATGGACTTCTTTGTCTCTTTTGAACTTTGTTGGTTTAAAGTCTGTTTTGTCAGAGACTAGGATTGCAACCTGTGCTTTTTTTTCTTTCCATTTGCTTGGTAGATCTTCCTGCATCCCTTTATTTTGAGCCTATGTGCGTCTTTGCACGTGAGATGGGTCTCCTGAATACAGCACACTGATGGGTCTTGACTCTTTATCCAATTTGCCAGTCTGTGTCTTTTAATTGGGGCATTTAACCCATTTACATTTAAGGTTATTATTGTTATGTGTGAATTTGATCCTGCTATCACACAGAGCAGGGACTAGATGCTTTGTCCTGAGCACATGCTCAGTCAGTGACCACCAGAAACATGGCAGGGCCACCAGGCATATTGCTGGTCCCCCAGCATTTTGGAGATGGCTGCACAATCAGCAAATCACATTTTGCTGTAGAGATGAATAAACCGAGTTACTAAGGGGTGCTGCAAGGGGATTCTGAAATGCATACTCCTTGCCTTCAGAAAATGTGTGTGTGCCTTGTCCGCAGGCTTTAAGAGATCTTTATGAAAAGTAGCCACTGATGGGCATTGTTTTCTTCTTGATAGAGAAGGACACTTGATGGGCTCCTGGCTGTACCCACACGGGGTGGGGGGGCCCTTGCCAGCAGCTGACGTTCCTTTTGTGGGACCAGGGAAAGGCCACAATTCATATTTCTATATATTTAGCTTTCATGAAGAGGGGTACTTTATACATTGGAGGGGACAAGATAACACATTTCTTTACTCTGGGTCTTTACATTGGACCTTGATGTGGCAGCTGACAGATTTATTAAATTAAAGGCTCTCTGCTTTCTTTGGAACATATGCTTGAATGTCTGTAACAACATTCTCATGTTAAACTTAGAAGATAGATTAACATTGAATGGCTTCTCCCAAGCATTGGTTTGCCAGAATTTTAGGGACACTCAGTGTGCAACTGATCACGCACCTTCTTTGCTTTGGCTGCCAGGAATCATGCGGCCACACTCAAGCCCCTCCTGTGCACAGCAGCCACCCTGGTGTGGTTTTTGTCCTGTCCTCCCTCTGCCTTTCTCTCCTTGGTTTCCCCTCTCCTTCATGTTTCTTACCTACTTCTGATTGATATTTTGTGTCTGAATTGATCTACCTTTTTAAGCTTCTTGAAAATTCTCATTAGGACAAGTCCGGAAATGAATAAAATCCCCTACTCCTTCAAAGACAGATAATAAGGGAAAGAACAGAATTTAGTCCCTGAGAAATACTTTCTAGATGGTTCCTTTATTTTATAGAGAAACCTGAAATCCAGAGATGGGGATGGGTCTGCCTGAGGTTATTCAGCCAGTTTGTGACCCAGCCAGGGAGCACCCAGGACTCTCCCTGCTGGCTCACTGCTGTCTCACAGACACACACGGGGCTCGGAGACGCTCTCTTGGCATCCATACAGAGGATTGCCCCTGGTCTGCTGATAAAACTGCATGCCTAATCTTCCTGGGACCAGCTGCCCCTCTTCTTTAAATGAATAGGATTCTCCATGGGACTTTTAAAATATGTTGCTAGGAAAAAGGGATTTTAAACTATGATTTTTTCACTCTCTTCGGTTTTCCTTTGGCTTTAGCAGTGGCCTTTAACCACAGCACACTTGGCATTACAGTTTACACTCAGTGGCGTAGACTGTGCTGGGCTCGTTCATGCTGTTCCCCCTCCGTAGACTGCCCTTCCCACTCTTCCTCCCCTGGTAATTCCTGAGTGCCCTTTAGGCTTAGCACAGGACTCAGCCCTAAGTGGGGTTTGTTCCCATAACATTCAGAGTCTGCCCATGTCTTAGCACTTACCCTATGATAATATTGACATTCTTTGCTTTAGCTAACCCAGCGTGGGGTGTTGCGAGGGCAGATCTCGCCTTTCATGTTGCCTCTCTAATGCCCTTTGTGGTGCTCAGTGAACGTAATTTGGCCTCAACTTCATCCCAGCAAAAACCCAAAGCCCTTTTCCTTTTTCACTTCTAATTCAATGAAAGCGTCTTTTGAAACATTCAGCCTTTTTAAACAAACTTTCATTTTTTAAACTCTCCAAAAGAGCAAGGGAAGGTGTCTTAGCTCGATTCCCATGACAAAATATCACAGACTGGGTGGCTTACACAATAGAAATTTACTTTCTCACAGTTCTAGAGGCTGCAATGTCCAAGAGTAAGCCAAGAGCAAGGTGCCAGCAGGGTGGGTGTCGTGTGAGAGCTCCCTCCTGGGGTTTCAGATGGCTGCCTTCTCCCTGTGCACTCAAATGAACTCTTCTTTGTGCACCTGGGGCAGCTGGGAGGAGAGCAAACTCTGGTCTCTTTTTATTTATTTATTTATTTTCTGGTTTCTTCTTTTTTTTTTTTTCTTTTGAGACAGAGTCTCACTTCCTCGCCCAGGGTGGAGTGCGGTGGTGTGATCTCGGTTCACTGCAACCTCCGCCTCCTGGGTTCAAGTGATTCTCCTGCCTCAGCCTCCCAAGTAGCTGGGACTACAACTACAGGCTGCCCAACCATGCCTGGCTAATTTTTGTAGTTTAATAAAGATGGTGATTCACTATGTTGGCCAGGCTGGTCTTGAACTCCTGACCTCAGGTGATCCACCCGCCTCGGCCTCCCAAAGTACTGGGATTACAGTCGTGAGCCAACACACCCGGCCTCTGGTCTCTTTTAATAAGGGCACGAATCTCATGGTGAGGGCTCCACATTCATGACCTCATCTAAACTAAATCATCTCCCAAAGGCCCCATCTCCAAATACTATCACACTGGGGGTTGGGCTTCAACTTGTGAATTATGGACAATTCAGTCCATGGCAAATAGGTTGCGTGGCAAGAGCTGGAAGGTCTTCATGGTTTATGTAAATGTATTGTGCAAGTTTTGTATGTTCCTAAGAAGTTCTCACTCTCTGGTCATGTAAAACTGAGTGTGACCAGACTTGGAGCCAGGGTCCAGTCCTTGATGTCACGTAGAGGGCTCACTTCTTCCAGCCAATGCTCTTCAGGAAGTGTTGAGCTAAATAAAGGAAGGAGGCAGGTGAAAAGCAGGCAACAGGGTTTTACCTAATGGGCAACCACATCTCCTACCTTTGAATGTTATAAGGAAGTGTCGGGGTCTGGGGTCTGGATATTTCTCTTTTGGCAGATCTATTCTTTCACCTCCATTACTGCTAAATGTAACAGTAGTGTGAATTGAAGTTATTGTTATACCAAAAGTTGATGAACAAATCCTCACAGCCTTGGAGTAAGCATAATTATGGTGCTTTTATTGAACGCTCCTTTGAGCTTAAATTCATGTAATTTCTAAAAATAGTCTGCAGAGATTAGATCTGTGCTTTGAGTAAATCAAAACAACTTAGAAAATAAAAACATCTTAACCACATGCCCTTCCTTTCCACAAGCACAGAGTTCTGCTTAACTTGGGAGACTAGTAGAACTTTCTAGCTAGCAGGACAAAAGTTTAAAAAATAACTGGCACAAATCTATCATTCTAAAAGTATGTTGGACAGTAGAAGAGTACATTTACTAAGTTAAATGAAACCAAGAAGTGAAAAGTACTAGAATGGGGAATTAAGAGGCTCCATACCAGGTTGTCACTGATTTGAGTTTGAAGGAAAATTAGGGAAGTCTCAAACTCTCCATTTGCCTTCTACAATTGGGTGTTCTAAGTATGTTGACATTACTTCGCCTTTTATTACTACTTGTAAAAGAAGAAATACTTGGTAAATTTATAGCCCATCTATTTAAAGAAAATTATAATAGCAAATAAAGAAACAACACAATCAAGTATTTTAGAACAAGCTGAAGTGGAATGCCCAAAGAGAAAGATGGAGGAAGAAGTCCTCCAAAGTTTCTGTGAAACTCCATTTCAGCAGACATGCTATGAATATGGCCTTCTCAGAAATGTAAGCACCAGAGAAAAGTTGGACATCCAACCCAGGGAAGAGCTAACACCTTTAGCATAACTGTGCCAGGAAGATTGCAAGTCCAAAAGGCCCACATGTTTCTGAAGTTATGCCTTTGTTAAAGAGTTCAGAGTTTTGGTACTTGAATTCTACTGCCCACTCCACCTCCTTTCTCGGGATATAAACCAAGAGAACATATGGACAAGGAATAGTAAGTGGGAAACAAAGTTGAGTTAAATCAAAAACACTCAACCCTGGCTGGAAGCAGAGACTTTCTGCTCCCCATGCAAGGCACGGCTTCCTTTCCATCCTCCTCCCTAAACCACAACACGTGGAGATGGAGAGTCAAGAGAATGTTATTGCATAGATTCAAGAGAAGAGACTGTGTGGAGTCTGGGTTCCTGCTTTTAAAAAATTAGAGTCTCACTGACTAGTGTAAAATAAATGTACAATCAGATAAACAATTATTCCCCTTGGAATGAACTTGGAAGATGTTGAAATGATACAAGTGAAGGCAGAAGAGTTCCCTCCTCCGTGGGCAGAGAAGGAATCGTGAGGAGAGGGAGCTGAATATTCCTCTCGCCTCCAGCCTGCCATAGTCATTACCATCAATTACATTTTATCTGAAACCCTGTATCCGAAGGGAAAAAGGCTGTGTGCCCTTGATAAAGTTCTGTTGCCCCAGGCTGGGGTATACAAAAACCTAGACTATGATTTTTTTAAGCTAATTAAAATTGTCATAATGAGTTAATAAAATTGTTGCTGAATGGGAAGTTGTTCAGAACAAATGAAAAGGCCAGCCAGGTGTGGTGGCTCACACCTGTAATCGCAGCACTTTGGGAGGCCATGGCTGATGGGTTGTTTGAGCCCAGGAGTTCAAGGCCAGCCTGGCCAACATGGTGAAACCCCATCTCTACAAAATATACAAAAATTAGCTGGGTGTGGTGGCACATGCCTGTAGTCCCAGCTACTCAGGAGGCTGAGACGGAGAATCAGTTGAGCCTGGGAGGTTAAGGCTGCAGTGAGCCGTGATTGCACACTATACTCCAGCCTGGGCGACAGAGCAAGACCCTGTCTCAAAAAAAAAAAGACTCCCCACTTTGTGTCATGATGGTATCCAGTGGCTCTAGGGAAATAGTGGTTGGCTGAGCCTGGTTTGAAAACCAGTAGCTTAGACCATCTCTCTGGGTCTGTTTTTGCACGTATAAAAAAAGGGAAACCTACTTCAGAGTAGACTGTTGTACCTTGTGACAGGCCAGTATCTCAACCGAAACAACTAGGGGAAAAATAAATAAATCGCAAAAATCATATTTTTAAGAAAACTGGAGAGCTGTTAAGCAAATTTCCAGAGAGGGAAGAACCCTTCCTAGCTATACTGAGTAACCAAGCTGTTTTCCTCATGGTAAGGGCAAGGAAGGAGGAGGATAGTTGTTGATTCTGGGTGTAGGCTAAAGATCTGGCTTGGTCCAAAAAGAGGAAATATTAGGGAAAGAGAAACTAGCAGAGTTTAGGCAGTCATATTGACCTGGTTTGATGGACTGGAAGCTAGAATAGCCCCAGAGGAAGTCTAGTTTTTCCCATGAGGCATTTGCTGAGTTCTGGGGTGGTGCAGGAGGCTGCAGGTGTGAAAACTCTCATAGCCTAGGGGTATTTAGGAGACTGCAGCAAAAGCACAAGTCTTCCCCTAAAGACAGTTGCCACGTGTTGAACCTGCATGGATGAGAGGCTAAAAAGCTAAGGTCAAAACCTCTGAAAGGCAGACCTTTTGTGGATGAGGAGGCAGAGATCCACCAAGCTCTTAAACACAAGTCTGGGAGGGCTTACAACTAAGGGACTAGATAAAATAGAGGTGGACTAAGTTACTAGAGCTGCAGGCTATTCCTGAGTCAGTAAATCCCTGGTTGGGTTGAGCTCATCACCCTGTTAGAGGGAAAGGGGAATGCTTCCTGGTAGAAGCTATCCTCTGGAGCTTCTACAGTTCTTCTATACCTATGTCCAGCATGTCATCAAAGACATAGGCATGTAAATAGGCAGGAAAGCATAACTGATAATCAAGTGGGGAAAGATAATAGGAACAGAACTACAGATGATGTTAGCAATAACTTAAAAATGACTGGATAATATGTTAAAGAAAATAAAGGAAAAGATGGATAAAATAATGAGACAATCCAGTGCAAGATTAGAATCTGTTTTTTTAAAAAATCAAATAGCTATTACAGAACTGAAAAATACATCTGAAATTAATAATTTATCTGATGGGTCTAAGAGCCCACTGGGCACGATGTAGCAGGATTGGTGAACTCAAGGTCAGTAGAAAATACTCAAAGTGAAACACAAAGAGGAAAAAAGGATGGAAAGAGCAGAACTGAGCATAAGAGACATGAGGGAAATGTTCATAAGATCTAATATTTGTGGAATTGTAGTTCTAGAAGAACAGGAGAGAGAGATTGGGCAGAAGCAATATTTGAAGGGATGCTTTTGCTGGCTGAGAATTTTGTAAAACTATTCACTGCCATCAACCCATGGATTCAAGAAGCTCCCAAACCCCACATATAAAATACAGATAAAACCATACTTAGGTATATCCTACTCAAACTATCAAATTTATCTTTGAAAACCAACAATAAATTTAAAAATCTTAAAATCAACTAGAGAAAAAGGACATTACCTTAAATCGAAGAAGCAACCACAAAGCCAGTGGCTGACTTTTTACCTGAAACAATGAGTACTCATAGACAATGAAATGACATCTTTATTTTATTTTATGCATCTGGCCCTTGGCTGCAGAAATGACATCTTTACAGTGCTGAAATAGGCAGGGCGCGGTGGCTCATGCCTGTAATCCCAGCACTTTGGAAGGCCGAGGCAGGTGGATCACCTGAGGTCAGGAGTTTGAGACCAGCCTGGCCAACATGGTGAAACCCCATCTCTACTAAAAATACAAAATATTAGCTGGGCATGGTGGCGCACGCCTGTAATCCCAGCTACTCAGGAGGCAGGAGAATTGCTTGAACCCAGGAGGCAGAGGTTGCAGTGAGCCAAGATCGCACCATTGGACTCCAGCCTGGGCAACGAGAGCGAAACTCCATCTCAACAACAACAAAAAATACAAACATTAGCTGGGCATGGTGGCAGCCACCTGTAATCCCAGCTACTCGGGAGGCTGAGGCAGGAGAATCATTTGAACCTAGGAGGCAGAGGTTGCAGTGAGCCAAGATCGTGCTATTGCACTCCAGCCTGGGCAACAGAGCGAGACTCCATCTCTAAATAAATAAATAAATAAATAAATAAATAAATAAATAAATAAAGCACTGAAATAAAGTAAGGGGAGAGATTAGGTCATCTCAACACTGCATTCCCTTCTGACTCTAAAGTAACTGGTTACCAACCTCTTCAAAATTACTATGAAGGTTGGGTGCGGTGCCTCACATCTGTAATCCCAGCACTCTGGGAGGCCGAGGTGGGTGGATCACTTGAGGTCAGGAGGTCGAGACCAGCCTGGCCAACATGATGAAACCCTGTCTCTACTAAAAATATAAAAATTAGCCAGGCATGGTGGCATGCACCTGTGATCCCAGCTACTTAGGAGGCTGAGGCAGGAGAATCACTTGAACCTAGGAGGCGGAGGTTGCAGTGAGCCAAGATCGTGCTACAGTACTCCAGCCTGGGTGACAGAGTGAGACTCCACCTCAAAAAAAAAATTACTATGAAGTATTTGAAGAATTACTAAATAAGGTTTCTAGACTCCTTTATTAAATATATTAATACATGCTTATTAGATCTAATCCTCAAATGTCTACTGAATCACATATCATATCACATAGATGGGTTTATATCACATAGCATGATATTGACTTTTTCCTAACATCACATTGGAAGCTCATTATAAATCAAGGGCAGTAGTACATAATTTGGATAAATCATGTTGTAAAGTAAAATATAATGTTTGAAGATAGAATAAATGAATGGCTCTATGAAAAGGAAACCATGATATATCTATATGATACGTGTATAGTGTTAATTAAGATGTTGGTTGAAATAGTGACTTAGAATTCCTTGCTATGTAAAATATGACCATGGCACATACCAAAAGCATAAGCAACAAAAGAAAAATTAGATAAAGTGAACTTCATCAAAATTAAAAACTGTTGAGCTGCAAAGGACACCACGAAGAAAGTGAAAAGACAACCCACAAACAAATCATATATCTGATATGGGACTCATATCTACAACATATAAAGAACTGTTATACCTCCATCATTTTTAAAAACCCCGATTTTTAAAGTGGACAAGGGATCTAGACAGTTCTCCAAAGAAGACGAACAACTGGCCACTAAGCCCAGGAAAAAGATGCTTAGTGTCATTAGTCATCAGGGAAATACAAACCAAAACCACAGTGAGGTATCCCTTCACACCCACTAGTATGGCTAGAATTAAAAAGAAAGATAACCAGGATGTGAAGAAATTGGAACCTTCTTTGTAGACATTTAAAATTTTCTATAATGAAACACATATGGTTGGGCACAGTGGCTCGCACCTGTAATCCCAGCACTTTGGGAGGCCAAGGAGGGTGGATCATTTGAGGTCAGGAGTTCGAGATCAGCCTGGCCAACATGGTGAAACCGTCTCTACTAAAAATACAAAAATTACCTGGGTGTGGTGGTGCATGCTGGTAATCCCAGCTACTCAGGAGGCTGAGGCACAAGAATCGCTTGAACCGTGGAGGCGGAGGTTGCAGTGAGCAGACATTGGCCACTGCACTGCAGCCTGGGGGACAGAGCGAGACTCCGTCTGAAAAAAAAAAAAGAAATGAAACATATAAAAAGACAAAGTATATCTAATCTACAATGGTAGATCTTCAGATCTTTGGAGGGGAGGGAGAAAAGTAGTTGTATGGGGACACAAGTGACACTGATGCTGTTCCTTGGTTACATACATGTATTCACTCTGTAATCATTTATTAAGGTTTACGTGAGTGCTCTTTGCATGTATTTCTGTGTGCATGGTATATATCAATAAGTATTAAATATTCCATATTTGCACAAAAAAATTGGAACCCTCACACACTGCTGGTGGAAATGTAAAATGGTGCAGTACATGATACCTGCAGTGATGATAAGATGATCGAGATAGTGATCATGATGCCTTGTTTCACCAGGTTCTGGCCTATTTCATTGATGCCATGAAGTGGTTCTGTGATGTTTGGCAATTTTGTGGATACTTTTACTCAAACTAGGAACATAGCAATAATCAGAGATTCAATCCTATCTTCCTATGAGAATTACAAGGGGATCTTTTTAAAAATGCTAAATCCTGGGCTTCAGTCCAAGAAATTTTTATTTGGTTGATATGGAACAGGATATTAGTGGGGTGTGTGTGTGTGTGTGTGTGTGTGTGTAACTTCTCCCAGGATTTTGGATGTGCCATCAGGGCTGAGAACTACTGAGCCAGGATTAAGCAAAGCCACTGTTGAGTGTTAGCTTGGAGTTAGAAAGGAGAGTGCCACAGGACTCAGGAGACCTGGGTTTTAGTTCCAACTCTTCCTTTGTTTAAACTGTATGCTTTGAGCAAGATAGTTCTCCTCTGTGAGCTTCAGTTTCTTCATCTGTAGAAATGGGGCCAAGCAGCCTCCTGTGCAGGGATGTTGTAGGGATCACGTGAGATTTTCTCTGTGACACAGCAGAGCCTGGTGTCTGGGACATTTTATGCCCTCATCACATTTTGGTTACTTTCTTCCCTTATCTTTCATGAACTAGATACTCGTGTCACAGTTTTCTAGTTTAATTCTCTTGTTGATGCTTCTATAAGATGTAGGAGTTTGTTAAAAGTCACCTAAGATTTCTCTAGGTTTAAAATTTATCCTTCCTTCACATGAACCTAATCTCCTTTTGTTCCTCATCTGTGTTCTCAATCCCATTGTGCTTATAATAAATGTTGTTCTGATATCTGGCAAGATTAATGGTTCATATATTTTGATGAGGCAATATTAAATACTGTTAATAGCCATGCCTGGAGTTTAACATGAGTTGTCCCTTGTTAATAATTACCCTGATTGTGGTAATAAATCATAGGATGGGTAATAACGGTTAATTGAAATTTTTTAATGCCGAATAGAGTTATGAGTATAGGCTGTGATTTCTATCTAGTGGACTTGGAATAGTTCTATGGGTTCTAGGAGAAAAAGAGCCTGCTCTCAGATGATAAATTTTATATTAGATTTACTCTTTAACCTGGAAGGAAGACCAGGTTGGTAACATTCATATGTGAGTCTGCAACACAGACAGACTCCAAGACTGTCTGAAATACACCTCCAACTCTGTGGCCTGTGGGAGAGCTGGAGTCCGCCCGTCCCTGGAGAGGTAGCAGTGCAGCGTGTTTGTACACCAGCTGGAGGAAGTCATTCTGGAGCCTTGTGGCTGGAGTTGGAGGGTATAGAAGAGAACTCTCACATGTTAACGTGTATGCATATCACCTGGGCATTTGTGCCAGTGCAGATGCTGTTTAGTAGGTCAGGGGTGGAACCTGAGATTCTGCATTTCGCGCAAGCTCCCAGGTGTTGCTGATGCTGCTTGTCTGTGACCACACTTTGCATGGCAGATAGAAGAAAGTACCTGTTGTTCTGCCTGCCAGCACTTCCCATACCTTCCTCCAATAAAATGTTCCTTCCTTCTTCCAACCATGAAGTTCCTGAGTGAGCTTCCTTATTCTTATATGACTCTGCCTCCCAGGCCCCAGTCAGTTGGTCCAGGAGCCAATTAGAATCGTCCCTGGCATTTTGGGACTAGAATCCAGAGAGATCTAGGCTTAGATCCGCTCTGTGAGGCTCTTTCTAACTCTGTGGAGGGAACTGGTCAAGGATAAGGGGTAGAGAGAATGTCCCAGTGGTTCTCAAGTCCTTGGTTCCAGTTTTCCCAAATATATGAAAAAGGATTAAACAACAAAACAAAACAGCATTGTGACCTTAAAGGTTATATTACCAGCTCTGATTATCTGGTGCAGAAACTGTTATCAGGCCCTTATCACATGCAAGTCTCTATTGCTAGCCCCTGAACGTTCAAAGATGAATAGCACATGCCCTGATTGGGAGAAGACCACATATTGCAAATAGGGTTTGGCATGTGCGATGGCAAGGGGTTGTGGGAGCCTTGAGAGGAAGTGCTTGATCCAGTTGGGTGTGCGGACGGGGGCCAAGTTCAGTAAAAGTTTTCTCAAGATGGATTTTTGAATGGTGAGTAGGAATTATGTCGGCTATATCGGCAGACCTATGAAATGTTTCCAGGCAGAGAGAACTTGCTGAGCAAAAGCAAGATGATGGTAGGAAACTGTGTTTGAAAAATTGCAACCCCTTTAAAAGGGAGGTACATGGCTGTAACTGGGCTGAAGAAGCAGGCAAGGGAGAGTCTTGTATGCATCACTTTTTTCTTAAGAGTCATATGCATTTAAAAACCAATAGAACAATAAACCTAAGTCTCTGATTGTCTCCCAAATACCTGATAATCTGGCAGGTTCCTACTTACAACACCCCCCACCACCACCACCATTTTCCCCTTAAATGGAAAATTTGTCTCAGGATTGAAATGAATGTTTGAAAAACAAACCTGATCTGCTTTAAATACCAAAATCTGTTTAAATAACACAGAGGTTGTGCCAGCCGTTGACAAAGCTAGGAAGTTCAAAGCCCTGCGGCTGACACCTCGTATTGAGTTCTGCTGTTGTTGGCACCCCTCTGCCTGTGGCAGGTCCTGGGGTTTGTTATTCGGGTCTGTGTGTGAGAAGGAGACATTCCTCAGATGACAAGACTCTTTCTTCTTTGGGAAAAATCTGTTTTTTAAAGTGCTTTTTATAAGCAAGTACACCAATTGATAGTACAGGTGATGACTATTTCTTAGGTCTTCTTGAATGGCTAGTTGCAAGAGTAAATTGAAAGTTTTCTCATGGGCAGATTTTAGTCATTTCAAGAGGGTTTTTCAAAAATGTTTATGCTTTTACTAACATTTTTGGAGTACAAAATGTAATGTATGAGAAAGACTCTTGTTCTTTGGTGAATATTATCTCATTGAAGGTGGTGTCAGAGCACTTAGTAGCCCCCCCCAGGGTAAGCACATTGCAGTAGGCTTGTTAACATCTGGAGCATGACTCTCAGCCCTGGAATACTGGGAGCTTGGTTTTATCCCATGACCACACAGTGAGATGCACTGGGATCGATTTCTGTTACTTAGAGGAAAGGATTGCTTGATGCAACAGGAGACCAATCCACTGATTAACTGTGGAGCAAGTGACATGACACCTAAAGCCTTGGAGCATGAGGCCTTTTGCACGCATTTCTGAAGAGGAAGGCAAGGATGGCTAGAATTTGGGAGACTGTCACTCCAAGGTGTGTCCAAGCCTAAGAGGCTATTCTTGTGGAGGCTGGCTCTGGAGCTCTGAAGGTGCAGCTGGTGGGTGCTGTGTGTAGTGTCCGCTGGAGCATCATAGTTAAGTTCTAAACCTGGAAGATCGGACACAGGGCTGGAAATCCAGGCAATGGTCAGTACTCAGTGGAGAGTCCTTCTGGATTATTAGTCCTAGTTCTGTGGGGCGTCAGTCAAGGTTCTAGTCATAAGGCCAAGGTCTGGCCAGAGCCAGGCAGCCTAGAAAGCTCCCTTCCCTGGGTTGGAGATCAGAGTCAAGTGTGGAGCACAAAGAGGGAGACTGGTGTGGCTTGAGAGTCAGGACCAAAGCAAGGTTCCACTCAGTGGACTGTGTGGCCTTGGGTGGTTGGGGTGCAGTGAGAGAGGAGGGGAGCGAAGAGGCAGCTTCAGTGGTTCCATCCTCAGTGCTAATACCTGGGGGCCCTGTGCTCTAGGTCCCACCACCAGGTGGATCACTCAGGAAGCCCCTGGTACAAATGGGAAAAGCAATGCATTCCCACAACTAGTGCTCAGCAAATGATGGGGAGGTGGCAATGATGCTCTTCAAGGGCTAGGCAGGAAGTGAAAACTGGGTAGATTTCACACCTGTGTGTTTTTAGTAGAATTACTGATCATCCTGGATGACCTTGTCACCCAGGAGCTGGAAGTCAGGAATTAAAGTTTTGCTTCTTGTCACACACTCACACCAGTGCATTCCTTTGTAAGCCTCCAAGTGCTCCAGAGTCACAGGGGGCTCCTTTTTTTTTTTCTTTTCCCTATTTTACCCCTTTGCTTTTAAATGCTTGTTTTGGGCTTAATGATAAAAGATTTTGTTTTGTGTGCTGACACTACATGTTCCTACATGTCTCAGAGCAAATTTTAAGCTTTCAAGCACATGAGGAGCCTCTTCCCCTGTGCTGACTTTCCAAGTGAGCAAAAAGGAAGCCAGTACCAAGCCTGTTGCATGTTCATGTGCCCTCCAGGGAGGATCAGAGGCTCAGGTTCTTTTTTTTTTTTTTTTTTTTTTTTTTTTTTTGAGATGTAGTCTCGCTCTGTCACATAGGCTGGAGTGCAGTGGCGTGATCTCGGCTCACTGCATGCTCCCTCTCCCGGGTTCCAGCGATTCTCCTGCCTCAGCCTCCCTAGTAGCTGGGACTGCAGGCGCCCGCCATCACGCCTGGCTAATTTTTTGTATTTTTAGTAGAGACGGGGTTTCACCATGTTAGCCAGGATGGTCTTGATCTCCTGACCTCGTGATCCGCCCGTCTTGGCCTCCCAAAGTGCTGGGATTACAGGCATGAGCCACCGCGCCCGGTTGGCTCAGGTTCTTTCCACCCTTTGTCGAATGTGACTGAGCCAGGCTCTGCGGCACTGACCTTGGTCCTGGGATGGCTTCCAAGTCTTTGACCTTAAGAGTTCACAATGCAGAGAGGGGAGATAGGCTTGTAAACAGATCACTGATTAATAGGACAGTAGTGGGGCATCACGCACGTAGAAACCACGTGCTGGGGAGAGAACACATCATCCTTTCAGAGGAGTCTTGCCTGTACCGAATAGATTAAAAATGGGCCCGTCCAACCCCACAGTTGTCCCACGGTGCAAACAACTTCAGTCTACATTCTCTACAGAAATAAGATAAAGGGTCTCAGGCAGCAGCACACTTGTTCCTTAGGTGATAAAACTTGAGAATTTTGAATTTTGGAAAGGTGACTCAGGAGAAGGCAGGAGACTATACAAACATTTCCAGGAAGTGGCAGACGGCGAAGGCACCGGAGTGGCTGCTAAACCAACCTTCTTTTCAAGTAAGGGCTGGTTTAAAATTTTTAAGATGTGTTTTTTTTGGCAAAAGGTGCATTTCAGAGGAATGAGCAGACCAGCTATCTATCTCACGGCAGACAGGATTCCTCCTAAGCTAAAGAGGCTCACGGAGGAGCAGAGGCACAAATCCCAGGCTGTGGGTATGGTGGGGGACAGGGCAGTTGTCCCTTTTTACCAGCTGGACTGAAAGTCACCTGAGTTAGGCAGTCAGAGAACAAGGAGAGAAGCCAATCAAAGAAGGCCTTGAACAGCGGGTAAAAACAGGCAAGGACAATAAAGACAATGGTGAGGACATAGAAATGACAAGTTGGGTCCTTTATAAATCAAGCGAAGTGTTCCATTATGCGGAGCTGCCAGCACAGCCAACATCCATCAGTGGGATGGAGCCTTTCTCAGCAAGTCCAAGAAATACATCTCCATTGGCACCGTCCCAGGCCATGTCTAAGAAGTTGCAAAAGGAAAGAATGACTAACAACATAGTTAACTTCAGTCAAGACTAATGAAGGGGGTGGGGGGAATGAAGAGAAACATTACAAAAAAGGAAGGTAATCAAACAGGCACAAACAATGTAAAATATTTCTTCAAACAGCTAAATATTAATGAATTGGGAGACCTAGATGAAATACATTTTGAGGAAAAGTGAAAATGGAAAATATGCAACAATGAGAAAGAGAAGACTTGATTAGGCTAATAGCTATTAAAGATCACCCCCAGCTAGGAGATCTAGATCCAGGGGCCTTCAAGTCACGGGTAACTTTCAGAGTCAAGATCATCTATAACTGTTGCAGGATAATAAGCAGAGAAGCTGATGAACTCACTTATGTGGTTAGTACAACATTGTTTCCAAGACCAGACAATTGCATTGAGAGGTAATAACATTTTAGTCCACTTCATTTATGACCATAGATGCAGAAGTCCTAAATTAAATGTTAATAAAAAAAAAAAAAAGAAGGGCCAGGCACGGTGGCTCACGCCTATAATTCCAGCACTTTGGGAGGCCAAGGCGGGTGGGATTGCTTGAGCCCAGGAGTTCAAGACCAGCCTGGGCAACAAAGTGAGACGTTGTCTCTACAAACAAATATTAAAAATTAGCTGGGTGTGGCAGTGTATGCCTATAGGCCCAGCTACTCGGGAGGAGTGCTTGAGTCCTGGGAGGTCGAGGCTACAGTGAGCTGAGATCACGCCACTGCACTCCAGCCTGGGCGACAAAGCGAGACCCTGTCTCAAAAAAAAAAAAAAAGGGAAGAGAAAAGAGGGACATTCATCATGCGCATCAGCTCAAAAGTTGTCATTCAATATGATCTTTGAGAAAAAGCCACCACTAGTCTCCACTTAGAGAAATCTCTTTCCCTATCCTTTGTATTCTTGTAATTGTCTGTCTGGCTGGGCTTCTACTTCTTTATTGCCCCTGAGGACAATACCCAGGTCTTTTTTTGTAATCAAGGTTTTTGCTACAAATCAATAAAGCGAGGCAGAAAGTGATACCAAATGACTTAACTACAAAGAAAAGTTCCAAAATCTCACCATGTTTATATCCTATCATGAGAATTCTGTATTTGTAGTTCCAGACTTCTTTCTGAGATGGTAATGCGTGACGATGAGGTTCATAAACATACTCCTTCCTTCTGCTTGTCTGTCTGCTGCCTTGCTCCCAGCTTGGAGACCCAAAGAGGCCTCCAAGACAGCACATGAAATCCCCTTGAGGGAGATGGTAGCTGAACCTCTCCCAACCTGGCCTACATCCCACCTCTCACTGCAAGAAAGCAGTTTCTTAAGCTTACCTTCCCCATGGAAGCTGTTTTGACCTGCAGGATGTGGAAGACTGGAAGCCAGAAACATCTTTCCTTAAGCAGACATTCCAAGTGTGGACAGAGCGGGGCCACTGGTTCACACACTCTCTTGGTGCTGGGGGGTTCGAGGCACTTCTGGGGTCTGAGTCCTGTGGCTGCCATTCCTGAGACACCTTTCTGGAATTTCCAGCCTTGAGAGATGTGGAGGTAACCTCTTCCCTCTCCTCTGGCTTCTAGATATTTGCAAATAATTAATTAATGATTTAATCACTCCTTTCCCCAGGATGCACCTGGTTTCTTAGAATGTGTCATGGATCAGAAAGATGGGAGCATTAGGTGAGGACGGAGAGATGGTGCATTGGACAAAGGCTGGGTGACAGATAAGTTTTTATCTGGAGGATCCGAGAACAGGTTAATGAGCACATCTGACCTTGGAGACGAGTTCTGCACTGCTGAGACAAAATGGAAATGAGTTTTCTTAATATACCCCTTCCCTGGAGAGAGATGAGGGCGGCCTTGGCTGTGCGCCTCCCTTTTGAAGAATTTGGAAGTTAAATGCTTCTTTGAACATTCTCACCTCCAAAACAGACTAAGACTTAGCCTTTTCTACACCAAATGCTTGGCTCAGAGGCACCGCTAAGTACAGGGGGCTGACTAGGAAGCGTGTGGGGAAAAGGACACGGGAAGTGGAACGAAGTGCCTGATGGCAGGCATCCGAACTCAAGTGAGCTAAGCTTGTGAAAAAAATGACATTGGAGGTTTCCAGAGCCCTGCTGGTATGATGACCTTGTGTTGAAATTATTTCTACAGATAATCACAGCTGGCTTATCAATATTGCTGTTTGATGCGATCCTGACCAGTGCAACCACGGGATGGTAAGTCTTTTGCATAGAGAGATAAAGTGCCAATTAGTTACTGAGTTTCATCAGGATACTAAATTTTGCTCTCAAATGTTGCAGAAAGGGAGTGTGCGTTGGCTGTGTATCTCCATCCAAATGCAAATCTCATATTAGCGAAGCTTTCTTTAAAAAAAAAAAAACTTGTATTGACCTGTAAATACAAATTGGGAAGAGTGCATATATCATAAATATACTACTTGATGGATTTGTACAAACCAACCATTCTGTATACCATAACCAGCATCCAGAGCAAGAAACAGAACATCACCCTCACTCCTCCACCCCAGGGCAGCCACTGCTGGTCAACCACTATGTGTATATATATGTATGTATATGCATAATATGTATAATATAATATGTATAATAATATGTAATGTTTAGTAAACCACTATACACACACACACACACACACACACACACACACACAATCAGCCCTTTGCATGAACAGGTTCCAGATCCTCAGATTAAACCAACTGTGGGTCAACAATGCAGTTTAGGCCTGCAATGGTTGCATCTGTACTGAACATGTACAGACTTTTTTTCTTGTTATTATTTCCTAAACAGTACAGTATAACAACTATTTACATAGCATTTACATTGTATTTGATATTACAAGTAATCTAGAGATGATTTAAAATATACAGGAGGATGTGCATGGGTTGTAGGCAAACACGACACCATTTTATATAAGAGACTTGACAACCCATGGACGTCCTGGAACAGATCCCCTTTAGGTACTGAGGGGCAACTGTATACACACACACACACACACACACACAGAGAGAGAGAGAGAGAGAGAGAGAGAGAAAACACGTGCTGTGTTTGGGTGTCTTTCCATTTCTTTGATTTTTCCATTAACTTTCAGATAAGCTCCAAATGATCCTGTTTAGAATGCACTACCCATTTGCATAAAGACAGCATGCCTCACTAAGCTGTCTGAGCAGAGACCAGAAGGAAGTGAGGGAGTGAGCCATGGGGATGCTGGGGGACAACGGTGCCAAGGGGTGGGGAGGAAGCAAGAAGACCAGGGGCTCTTGCCATGATCTAGGTGCAAGATGATGATGGCTGAGAACTGGCTGATAGCAGTGGAGGTGGGGAGACATGGTAGGATATCTGAGGCACTAGGATTTGAGAGAGGGGAGTCTAGGATGACTTCTAGGTTTGGGTTCCGAGCAATGAAAGAATGAGGTTGCCTTTACTGAGATGGAGAATGTTGTGTGAAGAGCAGGGTTTGGCAAGGTGGTGGTGGAGGCGTACTGGGCATTGGTTTGAATGTATGAAGGCTGAGGTGCCTGTTGGACCACAGAGTGGAGATACAGGAATAGATCGTTCGCCAAATCAGCCTGCGGATCTGGGGAGGGGAGAGCCTTTCTGTGCCTTGGCCATGGCACACATGTGTCTCCTCAGGGCTTCTGGGCCTGTCACTTCGGCCCGGATGCCTTCCTCCCTGCTTTCAGTTGGCCACTACTGCTCATCCCCCAGGCCTTCAAATCGAGGTGACCTCAGAGAGGCTTCCCTGGCCACATCCTGTGCAAGCCCTGCTAGCTTTTTCCTGTCGCCTTGCTAATTTCCTCCCTGACAGTTCTGACTGTTGTGACCAGATTCATTCCTTTCTGCCCATTAGGGTCTGCCTCCCTCCCAGAAGCAGTGCGCAGGACCCTGGGGGTATGCAGGAGACAGTTGGGTGTGGGGTGGTGTTCAGCAGGGCAGACCGGGACAGGCAGGCTCTTCAGAAGGATGGCTGAGCAGGGCAGATGGGGACAGGTGGGTTCTTCAGAAGGATGGCTGAGGCAGGGGCATGGCTGTGGGGAGACACAGTGGGGACTCAGAGTCCCAGGAGGTAGGTGTGGCCGTTGTGATGGTAGCTTCAGGACACACCTCCTGGAAAAGGCCACACTGCCCTGCCCCATAGCCCTCAGAGCCCGTGACTCACAAGGGAGGTTTGGGCCATGAGTAACACAGGGATGCACAGAGAAAGTACTACTGTCGGAGAGGACCCAGCTGTGACCAGCGCCCCGGGCTCGCCCTCCGCTCAGGCCTCGGAGCTCTCATCTGAGACAGGAAACAGGCCTTCTGAACTTATTAGGACCATGTGCCTCTCGTTCAAGGGCCAGTTGGCTATGACCACATGAGGACAAGAATGAAGCGATCGGGTGGGTTTCACCCCTGAACTCTCTACACAAGTCCTGCCCATTGGAGAGTTAAGAATGTTATCTATTCTGATTACTACTATTCAAACCAATAGGTGATTGTTACCAAGGATTTGGGTTGTGGTCTGCAGGGAAGGCGAAGGTGAGGGAGGAAGTAATGGAGAGTTTAAACGGTTAAAACAGCTCATTGCTGATGAATAGGCATG
Organism: Homo sapiens; assembly: GCF_000001405.40. NCBI lineage: Eukaryota > Metazoa > Chordata > Mammalia > Primates > Hominidae > Homo > Homo sapiens. Next base: position 23,307,299 of record NC_000018.10, on the reverse strand, counting down.
CTTTAATTTGGGGAATATATATGTATGTATTTTTAAGCAATAGAGTAATGCATGCTATTTATAAGACATTTAAAACAATACAGAAATATATCAAGTAAAAAGCGAAAGTCGCTCATCCTTCACTCCCTCAAACTCCTCTTGCCAGACGTCACTACGGTTCGGTTGAAGGGTGAGAACAGTGCTGCATTTGGCCAGGCATGTGTAACCCAACGGAGGTGGACTCTGTTCACTGTAGGAGGTGTTAGATCTGGGGGCCTAGCCACAACAGTGTTTCTGAAATGAAACCACACTGAGCAGCCCTCACACACATCACACATAAATAGTCTATTTCTTGGGCTGGTGACAAAGTTTTGTTTCCTTCCCTGTGACCAGGGGCAGCCTGGCCTCAATCCTGGATGCTGCACATTATGTAGAAAAATTCACATTTGTTGTTGCTGCTCACTGGTCTTCTGTCCTTTGTTTTAAAAAGGAAAAGAAGCCTAGGACCACTTTAAGATCATGCTTATTTCTATTCTAGTTCCTATATATTACTTGGCAGATTTTTCCCCCCCATGGAATAGCACTATAAAATTGAAGTGCAGGCAAATTTTGGAATGGGTTTTTACATTTCTTTACCAGTATTATCAGGAAAGAAAAAGCATAGTATTGCTTAGCTTTGCTCAAATAATGCCTGACTCTAGAAAATAAGTATTTTAGCTGGGCGCAGTGGCTCACGCCTGTAATCCTAGCACTTTGGGAGGCCGAGGCGGGTGGATCACCTGAGGTCGGGAGTTCGAGACCAGCCTGACCAACATGGAGAAACCCTGTCTCTACTAAAAATACAAAATTAGCCAGGTGTGATGGCGCATGCCTGTAATCCCAGCTACTAGGGAGGCTGAGGCAGGAGAATCGCTTGAACCCGGGAGGTGGAGGTTGCAGTGAGCCGAGATCGCGCCATTGCACTCCAGCCTGGGAAACAAGAGCAAAACTCCATCTCAAAAAAAAAATAAGAAGAAGAAAGTAAGTATTTTTTTCCATGCCTGCAATCAGAGTAGTCCTAATAGCTGATCTTTCCCCTTCCTTCTTCTTTTTTTTTTTGCATTTGTTTGCAAGTTGGACCTGCTGAGTTGTCACTTGCTTAAGTCAAGGACCACCATGCTGGCTGGTGGGAGTCAGCACTGGTACCCAGGTGTGCCCAGGACAGCCTCCCATCTCCCAGGTGGCCTTGGATGCTGACATAGCCCAGAAACAACAGTGTTATTTTTGAACATCGGTAGGAGATTCATATGGGATAAATGTGAGGGGCAGCACCAGTGGCCCTGTGGAATACCATGATGGGGAGTCTAAAAGGTAACCGTGCATCTTGTGTGGCTTTGGGCTGGAAGGGGTTCCTTCAATAAACAGACATTTACCAAGTGCCTCATATGTGCCAGGAACCATTCTTGGATAAAAGTCAAAAATCACTGCCTCTGCAGTGTCTATAGATGCTCATTGCCCTGCCTGAGGGCAGGTCCATATCTAAATCATCCTAGATGGACAGAAATGAATGGTTTTGCTCACTGCACTCAGAAAATGGGATTTCCAACCTTTCTCAGGAGCGCCAGTGGGGGCATTTCCTGCCCCAAGAAGACAAATGGAAGGAAAAATTAGGAAATGTTCCTACACCTTCCTCTTCCTCCTCCTGCTATGTCTTCCTCTTCTTTTTAATAATAATAACCATTTATTGGGCAACTACTGTGCCTCAGACATTTCTTACATTAATATTATCTCATTTACTTTTATAACACTCTTCCAAGTCATCCATATTTTAAAGATGAAGAAGCTGAGGTCCAGAGATGCTTATTTTCCCAAGATTTTATAGCTACTAGGCAGTTGGACCAGGTTTCAAACCCAGGTCTGTGTGTACAAAGCCCTGTAACCTGCTAGAACTGAATTGAAAAACACCAAGGATTTACAGCAGTGTAGATAATGTACAGGCGGAAGCTCATGAGGGAGTTATAAGGGAAAATGGCTTAAATGTTCCTTGTCCCACCACTGTGATCCTCCCTAAAGAGTATGTAGATAATTTGACAGCAGAGGAAACAAACAGAGCGTCACCCAGGACAAGACAGTCCTAATTCCTGTTCAGGAACTGACCTGCAGACTAAGAATGTCCAGTAGACATTTTTAGGGAGGAAAATCTCATTGTCATAGGTTTTTTATACCATAGCTATAATTCCATAATATCAATCAGTTAAACATCTTTATTGAGTGACTGCTGTATGCACAGTATGTGGAAACCATTAAGAAATATAAGATATCCAACATTTAAGGGGTTATCAAAGGAAGGGCAAATCAGAAAGCTAATTCATTGGATGGATCAGATAGTAACTGTGTTAATGCCCAGTGAATAAGAAGACTGAAGAAGGGAGAGAGGCCAGGAGTGTTTGGAAGATGCCCCTGGAGCTGGTGTGAACTGGGCCTTATGCAGAGGAAGAGGCTTAGCTGGGCTGAGAGTTGGGGGATGGAAGAGGACTGGACCCCTCTCACCTGGGAAGACAGGGCAGCCAGTGGAGACTTAGTGATTTGTAACCAGAACTGGGGCTCTGAAGCAGGGAGCTAATCTTCCTCCCCCCTCTTCCTCTGCACCTGTCCTTCTGGGGAGGGGTGACACAAATGGTAGGCAGGTTGACATCCCAAAATCCAGCTGCCCAGAGAAGAAACCTTTATATCCTGAGATATGTATATGTGTACATGCGTCTCTCTCTCCCTCTCTCTCTTTCTATATATAAAGAGAATATATGTATTTTATATATATGTTATATATAATTGATAGATATATAATGTCATTTATATATAATTCTTGTTTTACATGTTATTATATAACAAGAATTATATATATTTTATTATATTACATTTTATTATATGAATTATATATAATTATATATAATGATATGTTATATAAATATATATATATATAAATTCTTGAGACTTTTCCCCAAATTTCTGTATCCTTAACTTTCATAGTGTTTATCTAAATTCTTTAATTTTTTTTTTTTTTTTTTGATACGGAGTCTCACTCTGTCACCCAGGCTGGAGTGCAGTGGCGCAATCTCGGCTCACTGCAAGCTCCGCCTCCTGGGTTCACACCATTCTCCTGCCTCAGCCTGCCAAGTAGCTGGGACCACAGGTGCCCGCCACCGTGCCTGGCTAATTTTTTGTATTTTATTTTTTTAATAGAGACGAGGTTTCACCGTGTTAGCCAGGATGATTTTTTTTTTTTTTTAATTTAAACACAGGGCCTCTCTATGTTGCCCAGGCTGATCTCAAACTCCTGGCCTCAAGCAGTCCTCCAGCCTCAGCCTCCCAAAGTGCTGAGATTGCAGGAGGGAGCCACCACTCCCAGACTAGCCTAAATTCTTTTTTTTTTTTTTTTCCTGGAGATAGAGTTTTGCTCTGTCGCCCAGGCTGAAGTGCAGTGGCGCGATCTCAGCTCACTGGAACCTCCATCTCCCTGGGTTCAAGCAATTCTCATGCCTCAGCTTCCCAAATGGCTGGGATTACAGGCACACGCCACCATGCCCGACTAATTTTTGTATTTTTAGGAGAGACCAGGTTTTGCCATGTTGGCCAGGCTGGTCTCGAACTCCTGGCCTCAAGTGATCCGCCCACCTCAGCCTCCCAAAGTGCTGGGATTACAGGCGTGAGCCACTGCGCCCAGCCCCTAAATTCTTGACAATATCTTTCTCTCTTACAAGTAAGCCTGCATTGACCACATTTTGTACAGAATTTCAAAATGAGCCAAAGAAACCCAGGTATTGAACTGAACGTGAGAGCTAAGAGTAAGACAGCTCTCCAGTGTGAGGAAATGCTGAGTCGGAATAGTAAGGAAGCAGGCGTCTGTAAGAGGCTGTCTCTGGGCTGTTTCACATCCTGTGAACTTTATGGTATGCCCTGAGAAAAATGGAAAGAAAGGCTGTGTGTTCGCAAATTAAGGAAACAGAATGTGTGATTATTGCAAAAGGAACCTTGACTTTGGAATTTCCTGATTTTTGAGGACTCCTGAGGTTAAAGATGGTGTGTTTTCAGCCTGAAGGAATTTTCCAACCACAAAGTGAACCACCAGAAGAGTGGACTGTGCTTCAGCTCTGTGTCTTGCACAGAGCTGTTCTGCCTTGTCCATATACTAGGCGTGTTCAAGCGTGGCTGGGTGACCAGCTCTCAGAGCCCAGGCAGGGGCGGTGGCTGATCCCTGTGGCATGGGACTTTAAACTGATCAGAAGTCACAAAGGGCAGAGGCTGCAGGCCTATTTTGTTTGGACCTATTGTGTGTGCTGGTATAGTTACTATTTCTTCTCATTTGCTTTTCAAGTTTTAAGTTAGTCATCACCATTTTGAAATCGGGTGATTTCCTCATACAAATCCAGATTTCCAGATTCTTTTGAAAATGTGGAGCAGCTGTTAATGTTGGGCCTGCATTTGCACACAGCAGCAGTTGCTGGAATGAATAGAGGCTGCCTCTTCACGTTGGCGTGTGGTCTCCAATCCACCATGGCCTCCACCACCCTGGCTGGCTGAGACTGGAGGACCCTGCTCCAGCCAGTAGCCTTGCATCCATATATTTGTATATTCGTGCATTCCACCAAAGGGCTGGGCTGGGCTCTGAGACTACAGAAGGAAGCAAGGCACATTCCCTGACTCCAGGGAGATCACCATGTAGGGGATAAGTGTTCAAATATATATGTCATTATCCTCCTCCTTGGATGGACAACAGCTTAGCTACACAAAGTAGGCCATCTGAAGTAGGGCTTCTCACCCAAAGCACTATTAATATTTGGGACTGATAATTCCTTGTTTTGAGGGGTTGTTCTGTGCCTTGTAGGATGTCTAGCAGCAAACCTGAACCCCACTCGCTAGATGCCGGTAGCACCCCCTCAATTGTAACAATGAAAAACATCCCCGACATTGCCAAAAGTCCCACCCCAGTTGAGAATCACTGGTCTAAAGTTCATGGGGGCTAGTGGAGAAAATTCCATTTGAAATTTCAGCAAGATCTTAAGGAACTTGCTCATCGAATGAGAGCTTTGGATCAGCTCAAGTGTCAGGTCCTCAGCTGCTCCTCCCATCCCCTCTGTGTCTGTGTCTGGCTCCGTAGGCACTTGCTGCACAGGTGGCTGGCGAGTGACAGGTGGCTGGCGCCATCTCTCCCACCAGGCTGTGAGCAGCTCTAGGAGAAAGGGTGTGTTTCATTCACCTTTGCATCTCTAGGCCTAGTGTTGAATACTTGCTGAATCAACACTGAGTGGCCAGCCTTCAAAATATTGTATCCAAGAACAATTATAAACCGAAGTACTCAATATTTTTAAAGTCTTTAATTAAAAACAACTGCTGTCATCCAGCCAATTATTATGAAAACAATCTATTTCAAGCCCAGTAATTTAAATATCCAGATTTCTATTTAATTGTTCATTTTTAATTAACAGTTTTATAGTAATATTAATTCCCTCTATTTCAAAATTCAGCAAAGGAGATTTGAAGCATACAAAAGAGAAAGATACTGACCTGAGAGCGGTATCCTTGTCAAGTGGAATTAATTATGGTGACTCCTCTCCTCTCCCGTTTTATAGATGGGGAGAGTCACCCTTCTCTTTGGAATAGTTTAAGCACAAGGAAAGAAAAGAATAACCAAAATGCAACTTCTTTGTTCTAAGGATTCCATGATCACATTTTTCCCTTCGCACATCATTCACTGAACTTGCCATTGATCGCTGTTTATCAGCCATGAGGATCACTTGAACTTGAGCCTAGCACAAACCTCACCAACACTGAGGGTCTTTAGAAAATGATCGTATATAATCTTTGAGTAAAGATTTCTTATCCCTTTAATTTTAAGGAACTTCACGGAGGCTGCCCAAACCTATGTATAGAAAGAATGAATTTAGGGGCAAAGAAAACGTCCCCCCATCACACTCCAAAATGCCTTCAGGATCACAGTGTCTGAAATTTATGAGTTCTCCATTTGAATTAAAAATCTGAAACCTCCTCTTTAAAATTCTACGTAAGAAGGGCCTTCTCAATAACGTTGCTGATTACCTCTCAAATTTTATCATAATTTAATAGATTATGAACTCACTCGGCAGAGCCCCAAGGAATGGAGCATGGGACAGACACATTGCGGTGAGGAAGAGAGAAAAAGGAAAAAATAGTTTAGGACCAAATTATTTTTAGACCAAATAGTTTGGGACTTCTCCCATCTACATAGGTGGCAGAAAGGGGATAAAATATTAACAGTTTAACTATTCATTGAATCGGTATTTATTGAGTGCTGCATTAGGCGCAGGGCCTGCAGCCAGGTAAAGGATGCAGCCTCCATCCTCTGTCTACTAGCTCAACAGGAATTAATTGAATAGCCACAATAATAAATGTAAAATTTAGATGGAGGCTTCGGTCCCTCATAGGAGAAAGAGAAGGGCTGGAGAAGTGCTGAAAATAAACCTCTGGAAGAGAAGCTAGTGATGGATATTTCTGGCCATGTGTGCCCTGCAATCTGATGTTTATGCCTTGGTTACATGAAGTTTGTTCATTTCAGGAATGATGGGGATTACAAGATTTGCAAACAGTTCAGTCAAGCTCTGACTTAAATAGTTGTAATGCTATTAAGATTCCTGGACCCATGTCAGCCTTTCCTGCTGTTTAGAAAACAACATCAAAGCTCACCTCCCTGGCTCTCCTAACAGTAAACCGAACCAAGGTTTGTTTTCATTTTTAGTATTTACTAAGCTGCTTTGGTGTTTCATAAAGTAGTTCAGGCCAAGGGACATAATGCAAGGTTATTATACTCCAGCATTTTTCTAAGGTTATGGGAGTAAAAGTGGCAAGGGGCCAGCTGCTACCCTGGTTTTCTCCCTGGTGATTAAGGAGGATTAGTGGAAAGTGTATAAAATGTCCGAGCCCCTGGTTACATTTGCAGAAATAAAACCCTCCCAAACCCAAAGCTCCGTGCAGCCCTTGCATCCGGTCGTGGTGACTCTGCATTGCCTGGGAACTTGGCAGGGTGGCATACATGCTCTTGAAGGGCTACAAGGGGAACGGCAGTCACTTAAAAGGAAAAGCCAGGTCTTTGGAGGTGAGCCTGCGTGCAAAAAGAACGCCTCCCTTTCACAGTCATGTCTTTTCCAAAGAGGAGAGGTGATAGAACCCCTCAGCATCTGGGGTCCTGAGCTGGACAAGGGACAAGCAGGCTCCCAGCTTCACAAAGCGGCCTCGTTCCCAAATAGGGTCGTTGGGAACTTGGGTCACAATTTCTCACGGAGACAGTGCTGACAATGATGATTACAGATCTAGGGAGGTCCACAGATAGTCATTTGGTTCATAACATGGACATTCGTAACAGCTACATTCTTGTGAGTTAAATAGGAACGATCAACTTAGTTTCACTGTTATAGTTTTATTTCTGTAGGAAAGAGGAAAGTACATCCCAACTTGGAGTAAGGTACTAGGCATCAGTCTCCCTCGGCTCCCTCTCCTCCATCCCCATTGTGAACCAAGTGGGGGACATCCTCTAAGCCCCTCAACCTGACTGACCAGTGTCTCCTGCTGCCTTCCCCCAGAGGCCTTTAATCACCAGAGAGGGGAGATCACGGTGTTTGGGGGATTCTCCCAGTCTCTAAGCTGAGGAAGGAGTACATTTGTTCTCTCTTGCTCCGGAGAGCAGCTTTGGCCTCGTGGGCGGGGTTGTAAGAAATTACTGCTGTAGAGTTAGTGTGATGAAGAGCTGCCTGGGTCAGCGTGGGGAAGGAACATGTCTCAGTCAGTCCCCGCCAACCCCAGTGGCTTCCACAAGTGAGATGCCCATGGAGACGCATGTGAATCCGGTGACCAAAGCCACTCATCCATGGGACAGGCTTGCCTTGCTCAACAGGACGTGCCCCTCACTAGACATCTTCAGGCAGAAGTTGGGTGGCCCACCGGGAGGACCACTGAGGAGGGGATTGCTACTCTCAGAGGGCAGTCGGCTGGAAAATAATAGTAATCCTGTCTTAGTGATTGTCCATCATAGGCTAAACACAGGGGTGGGTTGCTGCTGATGTATTATTTCTAAGCCTCACAGAGACTGTTAGATGCGATCATCTCCTGTGGTACAGATGGAGAGACTAAGGCTGAAAACGTACGCAAGATCACCTGACTAACAAATGCCTGCGCCAGAGCTTGAATTGGCCTGATTCTAAAACATATGGTTTTTATATTCTCACTCATAGTCAGTTCATTCCTATGCTAAAGTGGAAAATGGTGTGAGTTACCTGTATGTCAGGGTCACCCACCAAAGGAACATTTTTCACAGGGTATGTAGCGTGAACAGCCTATGTGTGTGTCATACACTCAGCACCCCAAACGTTCAAGGTGCGAAGGCGCCGTGGCCTGGGCGTGTGTTGCAGGTGAGCGTATGAAGGGCTGGGGTGTTGGGTAGGCAGATGAGAGAGGAAGGGAAGGAAAGGGTCTGACCAAACGGGCTGCTGGCACCTCTGAAAAAGGGGCCCTCCCCATCAGAGACCTACCACCATAGTCCCTTGGTGATGGCCCAGCACAGGCCCCAGAAGACTAACGGGATTCAGATAGTCACCAGACTGTCTACGGCGAGGTTCAAAATAGAAAGTGGAGAGGACTTTGGCTGTATTACATTAGAGGCATGTTAAAATATTCAGCTCTTCTTCCCTCTCTGTCTCCAGTTCTCCCACTGCTTTTTCATTTCAGATCACTGGCCATGTTTCTTTCTGTGCTGGTGGGAAAATTATGATTCCCCACTTGTATTTTCACCTTTAAATGTTCTGTAGTTTAAATGAAATGAAAACTGAGATTGTCACCTTAATTTTAAGAGTGTGGATACCTGTGTGATTTCCTATCCATCAGCCCAATTTGCCAACAGCACCAGAGGCCTCTATGGGATCTCTCCTGCCAGAAGTCTGTGTTTCTGCCAGAGAGCACTAACCCAGTGCATCATCCTCACCTGGTCAGGATGTGTGGGACGCTTCACCTTCTTCCCCAAGGGAAGGTATCGAGCCCGCCTCCCTGCCTTCTCACCTCCCATGTGTACCTGAGGTCTGCCCTGAGGGATAGGAGCGATTCCTGGGCTTGACCTGGAAGCATGGCAGTTCGGGCTGGTGATGAGTCTCAGTTGCAGGATGAGGGGAAGCACCCCTTGCCCTGCGTATGTGGGCGCCAGGCAGCTCAGGGGTCCCGGGGGAGTGGAGAGCTGACCTTCTGCTGTTGTTTGCAGCCTCCTGCTCGGTGCGCTTGGAGAGGCCTTGCTGGTTTTCTCAGAGCGGAAGAGCTCCTGAACAAGACGGTCAAGAGAAAGACTCACAGGCTGCTGCGGGAGAACAGCTTGTACACCTGTGTACGAGCCCCTGGTCTCATAGCTCCCTGTTGGATGTGTCAGAAAGAGGAATGCAAGGACAGTGAGGCCAGGTGGGCAGTGCCATCACCCTCACCCAAGTGAATGTGGTGGTGGCTGATGAGGCCGAGGCCCTGGTGCTTCAAGGAGCACCCTTTCTGGGGGTCTGCAGGTCACTGCAGAGGAGCGGTCTGTTACATCTTCCCATTTGGAGAACCTCTCTCAACCGTGCTGTAGCTGGTTCTGCAGAAACAGGAAGTACAGGATTTCATGGGCTGGCTCTGCTCGCCTCGACTGAGCTTCACACCTCTGGATGCCACATGCTCTCTCCCAAACACTGCTTTCAGTGCAAGGTAGTGGGCCTAAGGGGTTTGGTTGTCTTTTTTTTTTTTCATTTTTAAAATTTTAAATTTTTATTTATTATTATTTTTTAGAGACAAGGCCTCACTCTATCGCCTAGGCTGAAGCACAGTGGTGCGATCACAGCTCGCTACAGCCTTGACCTCCTAGGATCAAGCCATCCTCCTGCCTCAGCATCCACAGTAGCTGATGTGCACCACCAGACCCGTCTCATTTTTTCTATTTTTATTATTTTAGAGATGGGGATCTCACTGTGTTGGCCAGGCTGGTCTCAAACTCCTGGGCTCAAGCAATCCTCCCACCTTGGCCTCAAAGTATTGAGATTACAGGCATGAGCCACTGCACCCGGCCTTTCTCATTTTTATTTTTAAATTGACAGACGTAACAGTGCGCATTTATCACGCACAACACAATGCTTTGGGAATGGTTAAATCTAGCTCACAAATGCATTACCTCACACGGTTGTCATTTTTGTGGTGAGGCTTGGTTGTATGTTTTGTTTCATTCATGTTTTTACATCCTTGGAGTCTCCTCTGGGTCCGTCCTTTCTTTGCTGTCATGCTGGCTTGCCTAAGGCCCACCGCCACCTGCGTACGAGCATTTTAAACTCTAGAGTGAGTGACAGCCTTTTTATGGTTGGTGTTACTATTTATTTCCTGCCTCTAAACTTCTCGTGGTCCTTATAAACTTGTCAGGATGTGTGTTGCGTTGAATTCTGCATGTCCTTTTTTTGCCCACCCTCAGGTTAAGCTGGTACTAACTTATCCCCAGAGGAAACAGGGTTTATGAGCACTGACAGATGTCTTCCCTGGGCAAAAAAAAAAAAAATAGTATATGTATACACACACACATACACATTTATATTTATATTTCTTAAAGCTTTTAATCCCTTTCATTCCCTGATATCTCAGAGATTTCAAATCATTGAACACTGAAGTATATTTTTCAGGCCAGATGAAAAATTGTATTAAAACCCTATTCCTGGTCAGGCGCAGTGGCTCACGCCTATAATCCCAGCACTTTGGGAGGCCGAAGTAAGCAGATCACCTGAGGTCGGGAGTTCAAGACAAACCTGGCCAACATGGTGAAACCCTGTCTCTACTAAAACTACAAAAAAATTAGCCTGATGTGGTGTTGTGTGCCTGTAGTCCCAGCTACTTAGGAGGCTGAGGTAGGAGAATTGCTTGAACCTGGGAGGCGGAGGTTGCAGTGAGCCAAAATTACGCCACTGCACTCCAGCCTGGGCAACAGAGCGAGACAGTCTCAAAAACAACAACAACAACAAAAACCCTATTCCTTGCCTTTGTAGGAGTCAAAATAAATGAACTTCTTTTTTCTTTTTTTTATTATTATACTTTAAGTTCTGGGGTACACGTGCAGAATGTGCAGGTTTGTTACATAGGTATGCACGTGCCATGGTGGTTTGCTGCACCCATCAACCTGTCACCTACATTAGGTATTTCCCCTAATGTTATCCCTCCCCTAGCCCTCCATCCCCTGACAGGCCCTGGTGTGTGATGTTCCCCTCCCTATGTCCATGTGTTCTCATTGCTCCAAAATAAATGAATTTACACAAAATGGTCACTTGTTTCTGAACCCACCAAGAAGGTTTAAGAAAATAATGACTAACTATAAATATTTCTGTTCCTAATAGATGTTTCAAATACCTTACCACTCTGCCAGGTATCAGAGAGTTTGGGCCATTCAGGGTGACCCATGAGTCCTCCGCAAGCAGGGAGCCAGGCCCTGTAGTGTTGAATATCCACGTCATTGATGGAGACCCCCTGCCCATGGCGTCCGGGAAATACGCCTTGTCCATACTCAGCCCCATGGAGAATATAGTCAACTCAGTCGGTGGCTGTTGTTGCCTCTGCATGTGTTCCCCAACTTGTTGAGAAAAGAGAGAAAAAGAAACAACTAGCAATGGATTCGTGTATTTGGAACTTGAGTACCTTAAATTCATGTCCTTGTCTTTTCCTGGTCTCTGCTTGTCATGTAAGGTAAAAATGCTAAGAGTGACCTTAACACATATGGCTTTCAACTTACTTTTGTTGTTGTTGTTTTGTCTTGTTTGTTTCCATGAAAAATATTTATATTATTTTTTTTCTAACCTCCAGCTGATTAAACAGGTACCTTACACTTATTAATTTGGAGGAAAAATAATAGTAGCTGCCTGACATACCTTCTCACTTTGAAGAGTCTCTACTTTTTTAATTTAAATTTTTTTTATTTTTAATTCTGGGGTACATGTGCGGGTTTGTTACGTAGGTAAATGTGTGCCGTGGTGGTTTGCTGCACCTATCCACCAGTCACCTAGATATTAAGCCCAGCATGCATTGGCTATTTTTCCTAATATTCTCCCTCCCTCCCCACCCCCCGACAGGCCCGGTGTATGTTGTTCCTCTCTCTGTGTCCGTGTTCAACTTACTTTTGTTCTTCATCTAGGATGTCAAACTTTCTAGAGACTGAGGGTCAAATAGAAAATCTGGGTTTAGAATTGTCCTTATTCTCTTGCTCCTGTAAAACTCTATACAATGGAGACCAGTTCTTTTCCACTTGCAGAAAGTGGCATCTGTCCAAGTGTCATTTTATACCTGTCTTTCCAAGTGCCATTTAAGCAAATGGAGGTTCTGATGACTGCAAAGAGCCATGCAGTTTAAACCCAGTCCTCTTTCCAGCAGAACTGGCCCCAAAAGCTTTGGCTGAGAAGTTTTAGATCCTTTTTCAAATAGTTCTCTAGCAAGCCTGTATTTGTTTTCGTTTGGTTGTTTGAAACACCTTTCAGAGTCCTCTTTGTTTTTTGGTTTGTTTGTTGTTTTGTTTCGTTTGCTTGAGATAGGGGTTCACTGTGTTACCCAGGCTCGAGTGCAGTGGTGCAGTCACAGCTCACTGCAGCTTCAACCTCCCAGGCTCAAGCAGTCCTCCCACCCCAGCCTCCCAAGTGCCTGGGACTACAGGCACGTACCACTCCACCCAGCTAATTTTTTATTCTTTGTAGAGATGGGGTCTCACTATGTTGCCCCCTGCCTGTTGTTCTTAAAATCTCAGATCTTTTCTTACATTGACACCAGCAAGAGGCAGAGGATAAGGTGTTTTGTCAGTATGCTATCAGTTTCCGTCAGTTTCTATTGGTTCTTGGGCCTTTTTATTCAAGCTTTAACCACCATCTTCTATGCCCAAATTCACGTGCTCAGCGCTGAATGAAGGATGAGCCCACAGACCTGAACAGTGGAGTGGCCCCCTCACTGTAGCCCCAAGCTCTCATTTTCTGCTTAGGGAGTCTCCAGGTAAGCCCACACTCTCCCTTTATTTACCCTTGGATCCTGTTTGGTACCTGATGACCTTAATCCTTGCTGGACCTCAGTCAGAGCCTTGGGATTTGGGTTTTTTTCTTTTATTTCTATAAAGAAAGAACGTGCTTTCTATTAGGAGAGGCAAGGTTGTGTACAATGGTGTATTATTACTAATATGCTGTGGATATAAAGAAAAATAAGGGCCAGTCACGGTGGCTCAAGCCTGTAATCCCAGCACTTTAGGAGGCTGAGGTGGGAGGATTGATTGAACCCAGGAGTTTGAGACCAGTCTGGGCAACACAGTGAACCTCCATCGCTACAAAAATAAAAAATAAAAATTAGCCAGGCATGGTGGCTCACGCCTGTAAGTCCCAGCTACTCAGGAGGCTGAGGCAGAAGGATTGCTTGAGCTCAGGGGTCAAGGTTGCAATGAGCCATGACTGTGCCACTGCACTCCAGCCTGGGCAACAGAGCCAAACTCTGTCTCTAAAAATAACAATAAAAGAAAAATAAATTGTTTATTTTCTTTCCTTTGCCCTTCTTTCTGTTCTCTTCAATACCGGCAGGGGAGTGTTACAGAAAATATTGGTGTTAACCCTGGGGAGGGAGTTCTTGTAGCTTTAACCCAGATCCAGACTCCTCTTTCTGCCCACATCCAGACCACTGAGCTTGAAATAGAGAAGGGCCCACCCAGTGCCTCTAGCCCTGTGCTGTCCAGTGTGGATGCCCCTGGCCATCTATGGCTTTGGAGCACTGGAGTGTGGTTGGGCCAAATTCAGATGGGCTGTAAGTGTAAGAACACACTGGTTTCAAAGACTTAATATTTTTTAAAAAGAATGTAAAATATCACATCATTTTTCTATTGATTACATGTTGAAATAATATTTTTTATATATTGGGCTAAATAAAATGTACTATCAACATTACTTTCTCCTGTTTCCCTTTACCTTTTGTAACGTGGCTGCTAGAAAATTTTAGTTTATAGATGTGGCTCCCATGATATGTCTGTTGGTCATGGCTGATTTATATTCATTCATTCATTCATTTATTTTTGAGATGGAGTTTCGCTCTTGTCACCCAGGCTGGAGTGCAATGGCGCGATCTCGGCTCACTGCAACCTCTACCTCCCAGGTTCAAGCGATTCTCCTGCCTCTGCCTCCCAAGTAGCTGGGATTACAGGCATGCACCACCAAGCCTGGCTACTTTTGTATTTTCTTTTTAGTAGAGATGGGGTTTCACAACATTGGTCAGGCTGGTCCCGAACTCCTGACTTCAAGTGATCCGCCCACCTCGGCCTCCCAAAGTGCTGGGATTATAGGCGTGAGCCACCACGCCTGGCCTTATTGCTGATTTAGAGCAGTTCATCTACACTGGGCCCAGGGAAGTGGCAAAAGAAGGGGGTGTTGGTGGTGGTTGCTGGGGTTACTGACCCAATAATAATATTTAAGATTATAGTTACTGGTGCCTATTTCATGCCAAGCATTGTGCTGGGTACTCTCCAGGCTCCCTGTCATTGATTCTTCCCAATGGTAGTGCAGGGGACATTCTCTTCATTTTACCAAGGAGATCAGAAAGACTCAGTAACTTTTCCAGGCCCACCCAGCTGGGACTCGAATCTAGGTTATTCAAAGCCCATGCTTTCAACCTTCATGCTAGAGAGTTCTGTTGAGAAGGAGAAATGAGGTCCCCGTGTTTCACAGGGGTTGTCAGTTCTCCAAGAAGTGCTGAGGTGTGGATTCCTCACATCTCTGAGGTGATTTGTGACTCTTCCTGAAGGCCATGCTCCTTCCCTTTGCCACCGGGCAGGGTCTGTGGCCTGCACTGCAGCTGCCTTCCCAGAGTGTCCCAGTTTCTTTCCCCAGCCTCCTCCCTCAGGTTCTGTCTGAGACTCTTCGTGAATGGGGTTGGAGCAACCAGGAGCACTGGGGAAATGGCACTGCTCTCACCTGAACTATCACTCTGCGTGTTTCCAGAACCCGCAGCCACTGTTTGTTGGTTCTCAAGCTTGGTTGCAGGCAATGGCATGTTCAGATAGGTGAGGAGCTCGAAGATTGAAGGAAAAGCTTCCAGACCCTGAGAGACAATGTCAGGAGAGGACACCATTCTTTTCACTGGGTCTGCATGCCCAAAAAAGGGAGTACAGTCACAGATTGGGGTGAAAGCACAAGCAGGTAATACCATAAGCAGTTAGTCATACTTGGAACATGACATCTCTATTGAGAAGTTGCCTTGGACAAAGTATTGAAATAGGATATGGAATTGGCTGGAAGTTCAAGTGGCTGGGACTCATTTGAAGTTACTTAATGGTCCTTTGATCCTTGTTCTGGGGGAAGCCAGTCAAAGGGGTGAGACTTTTGGGCTTCTCCTGGCCCCACCCAATGTCCCTGGCTTCAGGCTGTGTCCCTGAGCCCAGCCCGGAGAGAAGCAGTGGTGGCTTGTCTCCAAAGATGCCCCACCTCCATCCCAGTGGTATTCATTCTGCTATACAGTTCTGTTCCTTTCTCTTGGGTCTGGGCTGGCTCTGCGACTTACCTGTAGCCAATAAGGTGTGATGGAAATGGTGCTATGTGACTCCCAAGGCCAGGTCAAAGCAGCCTTGCAGTGTCTGCCTTGGTCTTCTGACAGCCTCAGGAGCCCTGAGCTGTTGTGCAGGAGAGGCCAGGCATGGGTGCTCCAGGAGACAGGCCCCACTGAGCCCAGCCTTGCAGCTGGCTTGCCAAACCACTCAACTCACGAAGGAGGCTATCCAGGTCCTCCAGACCAGCCCATCTGCCAGCCGAGTGCCATCAGGTGACCTCAGTCAGTGCCACATGGGGCAGAAGAATCACCCTGCCCAGCAGTCCCTGAATGAATTCCTGCCACAAAAGCATGAGATATGGTAAAATCATTTTAAGCCACTAAGTTTTGGGACAGCGTGTTATGCAACAATAGAAAATAGAGCTGAGGCCCACCGTCCTGCCCTTTCTGCAAGATGCTAGCATAAGTGGGCTGTCCTCTGAGACCCTTGAACTCTGTTCTTCTCAGGCAGATCCAGTCTGGGCTCTCTGAGCCCCTCCCCTGTCTAGACTCTTATTCTAGGAGCACTGTTCTTCACTGCAGCTGACCTCAGCCCAGACGCTGTCTTCGGAGGAAGATCCCAGACGGTCCATGACTTGTTCAGACCCCATTGCAGGGCAAGACCCACAGCCCTTAGCCATTGGCTCAAAGCACGTCATTCATTCATTCAAAAGATATTGAGACCTACTGAGTGCCAGGCTCTGTTTTAGGATCTGAGGATATAACCACGAATGAGATGAGCCCTCCTGGAACTTACTTTCTAGTGGCAGAGACAGGAACAAACACGGGAATAGAATTTCAAAATGACGGGTGTGGTGGCTCATGCCTGTAATCCCAGATCTTTCAGAGGCCGAGGCGGGTGGATCACCTGAGGTCAGGAGTTCGAGACCAGCCTGGCCAATGTGTTGAAACTCTGTTTCTACTAAAAAATACAAAAAAAAAAAAAAATTAGCAGGGTGTGGTGGCAGGCACCTGTAATCCCAGCTACTTGAGAGGCTGAGGCAGGAGAATCGCTTGAACCCAAGAAGTGGAGGTTGCAGTGGGTCAAGGATGCGCCATTGCACTCCAGCGTGGGCGACACAGTGAGACTCCATCTCAAAAAAAAAAAAAAGAATTTCAGAGTGAGTTAAATGCTTTTAAGGTAATAAGGCAGAAAAGGGAGACAAAGATGGATTCTCCTGAGGAGCTGATGGAAGATGAGGAATTTCTCTTCCAAAATATGCAGAATCACACACACCCACTTAGCATATAGTCTGGGGGTATTTGTTCTCCCTGAAGTCTGAGGACCTCTCTGGGCTGTAGATTTCAGGTGAAGGATAACTGAGTGAGATATGCTTTAGGGGACACACGGGCAAAGTCCAGGAGCCCCACAGGCAGACACCACCCCCTTCCCCGCAGCTGGTTCTGGGAGGCCAGGGCAATCAGGCCCCCATTGGCCCTGGGCAGGCCCTTGCTGGCTGGCTCTGGGATGCTCTAAGTCTGGCACAGGAGAGAAGATAGGCAGATTTGAAACAGACCCCATGGTTAATTTCAGGGGCATGAAACGTGTGGGAGGTGCTGAGGAAGTGCCAGGAGGGAAGGTGCACTCTCCAGCTGTGTGGCCCATCACCGGGCTGGTTGGGGCCTGCTGTGCTTCACCCACGCGGCATCTCACTTCATACTCTCCAGGGGCCTCTGATGGAGGACGTGTATCTTTCATGCGCGTCCATGTGAAGAGACCACCAAACAGGCTTTGTGTGAGCAATAAAGCTGTTTATTTCACCTGGGTGCAGGCGGGCTGAGTCCGAAAAGAGAGTCAGCAAAGGGAGATAGGGGTGGGGCCGTTTTATAGGATTTGGGTAGGTAAAGGAAAAAGGGGGGTTGTTCTCTGGCAGGCAGGAGTGGGGGTCACAAGGTGCTCAGTAGGGGAGCTTTTGAGCCAGGATGAGCCAGGAGAAGGAATTTCACAAGATAATGTCATCAGTTAAGGCAGGAACAGGCCATTTTCACTTCTTTTGTGGTGGAATGTCATCAGTTAAGGCAGGAACCGGCCATCTGGATGTGTGCAGGTCACGGGATATGATGGCTTAGCTTGGGCTCAGAGGCCTGGCATTCCTGTCTTCTTATATTAATAAGAAAAATAAAATGAAATAGTGGTAAAGTGTTGAGATGGTGAAAATTTTGGGGGTGGTATGGAGAGATAATGGGCAATGTTTCTCAGGGCTGCTTTGAGCAGGATTAGGGATGGCGTGGGAACCTAGAGTGGGAGAGATTAAGCTGAAGGAAGATTTTGTGGTAAGGGGTGATATTGTGGGATTGTTAGAAGAAACATTTGTCATTTAGAATTATTGGTGATGGCCTGGATATGGTTTTGTATGAATTGAAAAACTAAACGGAATAAGAGAAGGAGAAAAAGAGGTATTAAAGGTTTTAGAATTGGGAGGACCTAGGACATTTAATTAGAGAGTGCCTAAGGAGATTCAGCATAGTCCTGCCAGCAAAGATTATTTATTTACTTTAAGAGTTAACAGTGGAGGTTTGGGGATAGCACCAGGAGATATCAGCTGTGATGGCTTGGAGAAACAGTGTAAACTGGCAGTGTAAACAAGAGCAGGACATGTATGAGTAGTTGAGAACAGTGAATAGGAGTATGACTAGACAGAAAATAGTAGGGATGACAAGTTTTTTGGGGCACAGTCTAAGTTGGTCTGGTGTCTGGGATGAGACTGGGGCCTAATAAAAAGGAGCGTCCGTACAGGAGCTTAAATGGGCTGTACCTTGTAGCATTCCGAGGACAGGCCTGAATTCTGAGAAGGGAAAGTGGTAAAACTATTGTCTTGTCCTTTTTAAGTTGGTGGCTGAGCTTGGTGAGGTGTGTTTTTAAAAGACCATTAGTCCGTTCTACCTTCCCTGAAGACTCAGGACCATAAGGGATATAAAGGTTTCACTGAATACCAAGAGCCTGAAAACCTGCTTGGCTGATTTGACTAATAAAGGCCGGTCTGCTATCGGACTGTATAAAGGTGGGAAGGCCATACCGAGGAATTATGTCTGACAGAGGGAAGAAATGACCGTGGTGGCCTTCTTAGACCCTGTGGGAAAGGCCTCTACCTATCCAGTGGAAGTGTCTACCTAGACCAAGAGGTATTTTAGTTTCCTGACTCGGGGCATGTTGAGTAAAGCTAATTTGCCAGTCCTGGGGCGGGGGGGCAAATCCCTGAGCTTGATGCGTAGGGAAGGGAGGGGGCCTGAATAATCCTTGAGGAGTAGTAGAATGGCAAATTTGCCAGTCCTGGGCAGGGGCAAATCCCTGGGCTTGATGTGTAGGGAAGGGACGGGGCCTGAATAATCCTTGAGTAGTAGAATAGCAGATGGAACACTGAGAAGTTATTTCCTTGAGGATAGATTTCCACGATGGAAAGGAAATGAGAGGTTCTAAGAGGCGGGCTAGTGGCTTGTACTATAGCATAGCCTGCCTTTGCTGGTGTGTGGCGATTAGGCCTGGTGGAACTGCCATCGATAAACCAGGTGTGATCAGGGTGAGGAACAGGAAAGAAGGAAATGTGGGGAAATGGGGTGAACGTCAGGTGGATCAAAGAGATGCAGTCATGAGGGTCAGGTGTGGTATCAGGAATAATGTGGGAGGCCAGATTGAAGTCCAGGCCAGGAACAATAGTAATTGTGGGAGACTCAACAAAGAGTGAGTACAGCTGAAGGAGCAGGGGAGCAGAAAGTATATGCTTCAGGTGTGAGGAAGAAAATATACTTTGGAAATTATGAGAGCTGTAGAGGGTGAGTTGAGCATAGTTTGTGATTTTAAGGGCCTCTAAGAGTATTAGCGGGGCAGCAGCCGCTGCATGGAGACATGATGGCCAGCCTAAAACAGTAAGGTCAAGTTGTTTGGACAAAAAGGCTACAGGACGCGACCCCGGTCCTTGTGTAAGAATTCTGACTGCACAGCTCTGCACTTCGGCTGTGTGTAATGAAAAGGGTTGCGATGAGTCAGGGAGAGCTAGGGTGGGGGCAGTCTCTAAAGCTGTCTTCAAGGAATGGAAAGAGGAGTGGGGAAAAGATTTAGGATCTATGGGGTCAGCTAGGTTTCCTTTTGTGAGTTTATGTAATGGTTTTGTTAGGATGGCAAAACCAGGTATCCAAAGGCGAAAGTATCCAACCATGCCCAGGAAGGAAAGGAGTTGTTGTTTTGGAAGGGATTGGGGTTTGGGAGATTAGTCGGACATGATCAGCAGGGAGAGCAAGTGTGTTTTTATGAAAATTATGCTGAGATAGCTAACAGATAAGGAAGAAATTTGGGCTTGACTGAAGTAATGGGGGCTGTCTGTGAAGCTTTGCAGCAGTACAGCCCAGGTAATTTGCTGAGCCTGATGGGTGTCAGGGTCAGTCCAAGTGAAAGCGAAGAGAGGCTGGGATGAAGGGTGCAAAGGAATAGTAAAGAAAGCATGTTTGAGATCCAGAACAGAATAATGGATTGTGGAGGGAGGTATTGAGGATAGGAGAGTATATGGGTTTGGCACCACGGGGTGGATAGGCAAAACAATTTGGTTGATAAGTCATAGATCCTGAACTAGTAAGGCTTGTCTGGTTTTAGGACAGGTAAAATGGGGGAATTGTAAGGAGAGTTTATAGGCTTTAAAAGGCCATGCTGTAGCAGGCGAGTGATAACAGGCTTTAATCCTTTCAAAGCATGCTGTGGGATGGGATATTGGTATTGAGCGGGGTAAGGGTGATTAGGTTTTAAGGAGATGGTAAGGGGTGCATGATCAGTCGCCAAGGAGGGAGTAGAGGTATCTTATACTTGTGGGTTAAGGTGGGGGGATACAAGAGGAGGACGCAAAGGAGGCTTTGGATTGGGAAGAAGGGCGGCAATGAGATGCAGCTGTAATCCAGGAATAGTCAGGGAAGCAGATAATTTAGTTAAAGTGTCTCGGCCTAATAAGGGAACTGGGCAGGTGGGGATAACTAAAAGGAGTGCTTAAAAGAGTATTGTCTAAGTTGGCACCAGAGTTGGGGAGTTTTAAGAGGTTTAGAAGCCTGGCCGTCAATACCTACAACAGTTATGGAGGCAAGGGAAACAGGCCCTTGAAAAGAAGGTAACGTGGAGTGGGTAGCCTCCATATTGATTAAGAAGGGGACGGACTTACCCTCCACTGTGAGAGTTACCTGAAGCTCGGCATCCGTGATGGTCTACGGGGCTTCCGAGGCGATCGGGCAGCATCAGTCTTCAGCCGCTAAGCTGAGAAGATCTGGGAAGGAGTCAGTCAGAGAGCCTTGGGCCAGAGTCCCAGGGACTCTGGGAGTGGCTGCCAGGTGAGTTGAAGAGTCCGATTTCCATCCGATTTCCAGTGGGGTCCTGCACAGATGGGACACAGCTTAGGAGGAATCCTGGGCTGCGGGCATTCCTTGGCCTGGTGGCCAGATTTCTGGCACTTGTAGCAAGCTCCTGGGGGAGGCGGTTCTGGAGGAATGCCTGGCCACTGCGGTTTAGGTGTTTGGAAGTTCTTGTGTGCTGGAGATGTGGCTGGGGTTTGTCTCACAGTGGAGGCAAGGAATTGCAACTCAGAAATATGTTTCTGTTTGGCTGCCTCTATTATTGTACACTTGAAGGCGAGGTTAATTAAGTCCTGTTGTAGGGTTTGAGGGCCAGAATTTAATTTTTGGAGTTTTATTTAATGTTGAGAGCAGATTGGGTAATAAAATGTATATTGAGAATAAGACGGCCTTTTGACCTTTTAGGGTCTAGGGCTGTAAAGCGTCTCAGGGTTGCTGCCAAACGAGCCATGAACGGGGCTGGATTTTTATATTTGATGAAAAAGAGCCTAAACGCCGTCTGATTTGGGATAAAGAAAAAGGAGCATTAACCTTGACTATGCCTTTAGCTCCAGCCACCTTTTTAAGAGGAAATTGCTGGGCGGGTGGGGGAGGGCTAGTCATGGAATGAAACCGTAAGCCGGACCCGGTGTGAGGAGGGGAGGTGATAAAAGGATTATAGGGTGGAGAAGCGGAGGCTGAGGAAGAATTGGGACTTAGCCTGGGGAGGAGGGGAGAGGTCAGATAGGTCTGTAGAAAAGGAAGATTAGAAAGACTCAGCGACGTTTGGGGTTGGGACTGAGGGGACAGGCGGAAGGGAAAGAAGGAAGATTTGGGACAAGTTGCATTGGGAACAGAGACTAGGGACGGCCTGATGTGTAAAAGAAAGCCTGGACGTCATGCACCTCAGACCATTTGCCCATTTTACGACAAGAATTATTTAGAACTTGTAGGATGGAAAAATTGAAAGTGCCGTTTTCTGGCTATTTGGAACTACTGTCCAGTTTGTCTCGGGGTCAAGCGGCATTTCAGAAGAAAATAAGACGCTTAGATTTTAGGTCAGGCGAGAGTTGAAGAGGTTTTAAGTTCTTAAGAACACAGGCTAAGGGAGAAGAAGGAGGAATGGAAGGTGGAAGGTTGCCTATAGTGAAGGAGGCAAGTTTAAAGAGAAGGGTAGAGACATGGAGGGAAGGGGTTCAGGGGTTCTTACCCTCCAGAAAAGCAGGACAGGGGTCGGGGCATGGAAATAAGGGGTTGGGGCACAGATAAGAGGTCGGGGTGCGGAAATAAGGGATCGGGGCACAGAGATAAGAGGTCAGGGCTCCTGCCCCTCCCCCAGAAAAGCAGGACTTGCCACTAAGGGTGAAGTCTGGATGTGTGCAGGTCACAGGGGATATGATGGCTTAGCTTAGGCTCAGAGGTCTGACAGTATCAGTATCATTTTGTTGAGGAGACAGACACAGGAGGTCAGCACCTTCCTGAAGGTCCTTGGCTGGCTAGAGGGGCCACCTGCCCACGCATCCCCTGCCTCTTAACTCTCACAGCATTCTGCCTCCCCAACAGGAGGCTGGGGTTTGGAAAGGCTGAGTAGACAGGACCAAGTCAGAGGTGGAGAAGACCAATCATGTTCCAGGAATGAGAGGGAAGGTAGGTGGCACCAGCCAGGGGTATGATTGAGTGTAGGGACGGGAAATAACATTTGCCAGTGTGGTTAATGGAAAAACCAAACTCTGTAAAATGTTTTAAAGAGGTTTATTCTGAGTCAATATGAGTGACTAGGCCTTGGGAGCAGCCTCAAGGGGTCCTGAGAAAGCGATCCCAAGGCAGTTGGGTTACAGTTTGGTTTTATATACATTATAGGGAGACAGATGTTACAGGCAAAGATAAAAACCAGTACATGGGAGGTATTCATTGGTTTGACCAGAAAGGTAGGACAACTCGGAGCAGGGACTTACAGGTCATAGGTAGATTCAAAGATTTTCTGATTGGCAACCCGTTGAAAGAGTTAAGCTTTGTCCCAAGACTTGAAGTCAGTAGAAAGAAATGCTTGCATTAAGATAAGGGGAATTGTGGGGGTCCAGATTCTTGTTATGTAGATGAAGCCTCATAGGTAGCAGGCTTCAGAGAGAATAGATGGTGAAAGTCTATTCTCTTTCACCTACTGGGTACATTCCCAGGAGGCCAGGCATTCTTAGTCACAGGATGAGTCAGGAGGGCAGCACAAGATACAGGTCACAAGGACTTTATTGATTAGACAGGATGCTGTAAAGAAGCTGACCAAAACCCACCAAAACCAAGGTGGCAATGAAAGTGACCTTTGGTTGTCCTCACTGCTCGTTATACTCTAATTATAATACATTAGCATGCTAAAACACACTCTCACCAGCACTGTGACAGTTTACAAATGCAATGGCAACGTCAGGAAGTTACCCTATATGGTCTAAAAGGGGAGGAACCTTCAGTGCTGGGGGAATTGCCCATCTCTTTCCTGAAAGACTCATGAATAATCCACCTTTTGTTTAGCATATAATCAAGAAGTAACTATAAGTATACTCAGTTGAGCAGCCCATACCACTGCTCTGTCTATGGAGTAGCCATTCTTTTATTCCTTTCCTTTTTTTTTTTTTTTGAGATGGAGTCTTGCTCTGTCTCCCAGGCTGGAGTGCAGTGGCACAATCTTGACTCAATGCAACCTCCGCCTCCCAGGCTCAAGTGATTCTCCTGCCTCAGCCTCCTGAGTAGCTGGGATTACAGGCATGCGCCACCACACCTGGCTAATTTTGTATTTTTAGTAGAGACGGGGTTTCTCCAGGTTGGTCGGACTGGACTCGAACTCCTGACCTCAGGTGATCCGCCCACCTCAGCCTCCCAAAGTGCTGGGATTAGAGGCGTGAGCCACTGTGCCTAGCCTACTTTCTTTTCTTTCTTTTCTTTTCTTTCTTTCTTTTTTTTTTTTTTTTTTTTTTGAGACTGGGTCTCTCTGTGTTGTCCAGGCTGGAGCAGTGGTGCAGTCTCGGCTCACTGCAGCTTCAACCTCCCCAGCTCAAGCGATCCTCCCACCTCAGCCTCCTGAGTAGCTGGGACATGCACCACCATGCCTGGCTAATTTTTGTATTTTTTTTGTAGGGATAGGGTCTCACTCAGGCTGGTCTCCAACTCCTGAGCTCAAGCAATCCTCCCACGTTGGCCTCCCAAAGTACTGGGGTTACAGGTGTGAGCCACTACGCCCGGCCTTCCTTTACTTTCTTAAACTTGCTTTCACTTTATGCACTTGCCCCGAATTATTTTTTGCGTGATGTCCAAGAACACCCTCTTGGAGTCTGGATGAGGACCCCTGTCTGGTAACATTACAATCTCTGTTTTAATGTGAATGCTGGTCAGTTACACCTGAATTCCAAAAGGTAGGGGGTATAACAAGGTGTGTCAGACCTCTTTTCCAGCCATGGCTGGGAATTCAGTTTCTCAGGTTTCTCGGGGGTCCCCTCAGTCAGTTGGAGGGCTTAGGATGTTATTTTTGATTTACAGCACCCACCATGCACAGTGCAGGTGCCCCCTATCTGTATGTCACCTACTCATGACCCTTAAGGGGCCAGCACACAGATGAGGCCTGCGAGCCCCTGACAGGGCAGGACACTTCCCCAGGGTCATGCATTCTGCATTTCTAAGCCAAGATTCTAAAGCGGCTTCCAAAACCAGCCCTCCCTCTCACCTCCCCATGTGCCAAGTTGTTCCTGGGCATTGCCCCCCACTCCCACCCCTACCCTGGGGTCACTGGGTTGTGGACAAACCAGAGGAGACAAGCTCCCCACAGACAGCCCTCACTTGGGGGCCCCAGGGTACTGGTGCTTGGCCCAGGCGTTGGCTGCCTGCAGGGCAGCTCCGGATCCTCGGACCCAACAGCAAACCACTGGGGAGGCCAAGCCATTCTGCGGCTTGCACAAGGCTCCCTCTATTCTGGAAACATCTCAGAGATGGCAGACATTCCGTGCTCCCCAGTGAGCCGAGCGAATCTTTGCTCCTGCTGTCAGCTGATTTTCAGTGGCCGGACTCGCAGTGGTTTACCGTTAGTAAAACAAACAATGGCATATAAACCTAGGCCAGTTCTATCCAGGATCAACTGGGGGGGAGTCTGAAGGAACTCCCCTGCCACCCAACTTCCTTGGCAGCAGAGGGTAAAGTCTCATTTAAGCAGTTGCCTGAGGCAAAAGGAATATTTGAGTCATTGATTTCCTGCTCTCTGTGAAAGGCCCGCAGGATTAGCAAAGGCAAAGTGTCTGCACATGTGTCTTCGTGCCCTGATTGAGCCTCGGGGAGCCGCGGAGGCCCTTGGGATTTCAGGAGTCAGTGCAGGCACCACTCACCTGGGCCAGTTGATTTGCATGGCAAATAGAAGTTAAGTGGAGCTGTTAATGAAAAGGGCTCCTCTAAGTGGGAGATGGAACCAGGGTTCTGTCCCAGGCATTCTCACTATCCTGGAAAGTGATTACAATCAGCCGTTCATTTATTTCCTCATTCCTTCTTTCATCAGATACAGATTGGATGCCCACTGGGTGCTGGTCTTTGTTACAGACGTCTCTGCTTTGTCTAGGAGGGCTGTTCTGCCACCTGGCCAAAGCAGCCACTCCTGTTGCTGGAGGCTGCAGGCCCATTGCACTGAGTTGTCCTCGAGGCAAAATCTCTCTGGTTCTGGCAGAAACAACTCTGGTGACTTTCTTTGTGATTGTAGACTTAAAGCAAACACACGCTCCCTGTTCTCAGGGAGGCCCTGTGTCTTCTTAGACACACAGAGATTTTTAAAAAATAACAGCTTTGGCCAGGCATGGTGGCTCACTCCTGTAATCTCAGCATTTGGGGAGGCCACGGCAGGCAGATTGCTTGAGCTCAGGAGTTCAAGGCGTCTGGGTAACCTGGTGAAACTCCGTTTCTACTAAAAATAAAAATAAAAAAATTAGTTGGGCGTGGTTGTGCACGCCTGTGGTCCCAGCTATTTGGGAGGCTGAGGTGGGAGGATCAGTCAAGTCCAGGAGGTCAAGGCTGCAGTGAGCTCTGTTTGTGCCACTGCACTCCATCCTGGGTGACAGAACAAGATCTTGTCTCAAAAAAAAGTAAAATAAATAAATAACAGCTTCATAGAAATATAATTCACATGCCCTAAGATGTACCCATTTGAAGTGTACAATTCAGTACACTTTAAATTCAGTAGTTTTTAGTGTATTCACAGAATTCTGCAACCGTTATCACTATCTAATTGTAGAACATTTTCTTCACCTCAAAAAGAACCCCCATACCCATTGTCATCCCACCCTCCTCCCCTCCACTGACCTAGGCAGCCACAAATCCACTTTCTGTCTCTATGGATTGGCCTGTTCTGGAGATTTCATATGCACGGGATTGTGCAATGTGTGGGCTTTTGTGTTAGGCTGAGGTTTTTAAGTGGTTCATGTACCTCTATTAAAAGCTGCCTTCCCTACCTGGGGGTGGGGAGAGGCGTGGGTGGGAGTCCTCCACGCAGGGCATGGAAAAATTGGGGGTGGGACTCAGGGACCCTGGAAGCTGGAGATAGGTGAGGGAGCTCCAGAAGAGGAGACGGGGGGGCATGGTCAACACTCTTCCAGAAACCTGGTGGCCAGGTTTAAGTTTTATTTTTCAGCTACTGCCCTATGTTATCCTCAGGCCTTTAGTACAGTCTGTTATGCACAACAGTCTCCTGTTGCCTGTGGCCTGTGCTTTGGGGAATAAAGGGTCCGGGTTCCATTTTGTGGTGAAGTTGGACAGGGGAGAGTAAAGTGGTCAGCACTGTGAGGTGGCCCCACTTTAAGCTTTCAGCTCTTGGCAGCTGTCCTCTTCTCCCCAAAGATCTTGAAGATACAGCCAAGTCAAAATTGTTGTATCGTGTTCACGTGTGTAGCAACTACTTCTGAAATATCCACTCTAGGGAAGCGTTCTCTCCTGGCAGAAGATTACAGATATGGCTGGTAGAGGAAGCCACTCTGACAGGACAGATTCAGGTGCACACAGGACATGAGGAAGGGAACCAGGGGACAGAGTGGAGAGTGGCCCTGACAGCTGCCGGCCTCAGCCTCAGTACCCAGCCACAGCCTTGGTCTCACAGTGGAGACCGTTAATAACCTCGCCCCAGGGCAGGAGCAGACCCAATGGACAGAGGTCTCAGAAAGCAGTCTGCTTGTGCTGGGCTTGGTCCCCACCTGTGCAGTCGGCTGCGCGCACACACGCCCACCCCAGCCGAGGCCCGTCTGCAAGCACAAGCTCAGCCCCGCTGCCTGCAGTGCAGGGTCTGGTGCATGGCTCTGGGCCCTGTGCACAAATGCCCATTGCTTATCAGCATGCACTTCTTCCTCTTCCTGAATGGATTCATTTCCTAGGGCTGCCGTAACAAAGAACTATAAACTTGGTAGCTTCAACAACAGAAATTGACTGGGCGCAGTGACTCACACCTGTAATCCCAGCACTTTAGGAGGCCAAGGTGGGAGGATCGCTTGAGCCCAGGAGTTCAAGACTAGCCTGGGCAACAGACATAGTAAGATCCTGTCTCTATTTAAGGGGAAAAAATACATGTGTGTGTATGTGTGTGTATATATGTATATATGTGTGTGTGTGAGATATTAAATATATTTTACACATATATATGTCTCTCTATATAACAACAGAAATTTATTATTACTACAGTTCTGGAGGCTGACAGTCTAAATTCAAGGCCTCAGCAGGGCTAATTCCTTCTGAGGTCTGTGAGGGAGGGGTCTTTCCAGGCTTGTCTCCTTGCCTTGTAGATGTCTGTTTCCTCCCTGTGTCTTCATGTTGTCTTCCTTCTCTGTGTGCCTGTATCTGTGTCCTATTTTCCCCTTCATAGAACTAGGTTTCCACCTTAAGGACCTCATTTTAACTTGATTACCTCCATAAAGACCTTATCTCCAAATAAGGTCACATTCGGAGGTACTGGGAGTTAGGACTCCAGCATATATTTTTAGGGGACTCATAGCACTCAGTAGCAGAAGTCTGATTTTATTTAAGAGGCTATGTATCCAGCTAACAGATTGCCTTTCCCAGCATCCCTTGCAGCCCATGCTGTTTATATGAACAAGTTCTGACTGATGAGATATAAGCAGAAGTTGATGGGGGAGATGTTGGGGACAGTTGCGTAGAAGAGTCTCAGATAGGTAGAAGAGGCCCTTTTCTCTATCTTCTTCCTGCTTCTCACCTGGATTTGAAGATGTGATAGCTAGAGTTCTAGCATCCATCTTGGGCCTTGAGGCAAGTTTGAAGTTGGAAGCTGTGGTCTAAGGATAGTGGAGCAGAAGCTGAAGGAGCCTGAATCTCTGTGAAGACAAAGGCACTGCCAGATCAGCCAGACGACCCACCTCCAACCCTTTCTCCTTTTCTTCTTTTTTAATTTTTTTTTTTTTTTTTGAGATGGGGTCTTGCTCTGTCACCCAAGCTGGAGTGCAGTGGCACAGTCACAGCTCACGGCAGCCTCAAACTCCCAGGCTCAAGCAATCCTCCCAACCCAGCCTCTGAGTAGCTGTTACCACAGGTGAGCCCCACCACACCCGGCTAATATTTTTTTCGTTTTAATTTTAGTAGAGTTGAGATCTCACCATGTTGCCCAGGCTGGCCTCGAACTCCTGAGCTCAAGCGATCCTTTCACCTCGGCCTCCCAAAGTGCTGGATTATAGGCTTGAGTCTCCACACCCAGCCCTAATTTTCTTAATGATAAAAATGGGAGTTATAATACCATGGCTACTTAGATCATGCTAGACATGATTTCACGCGTAGCATTTAGCACCAGCCTCAGCACCTGTCGGAAATGACAGCCATTATTAGTTTGATTACTAATTTATAGTAGTTATAGCCCCTAAGAAACGATGGGTTACAGTAATTATAGCTCCCAGGAAATATAGGATTATAACCCCCAGGAAATGATGGCCATGAATAGTTTGATGACTACACTTCCTAGTAAATTGCTATTCTGCTCCTGGTGTGACACTACACTGACTTCTGAAAGCCAGACTTTTGCTTTTACCAAAGACCAAGTCTCTGACTTATATGCATTGTGTTCATTAAGCTCCCATTGTATTCTCTGCCTTCTTTTGGTCTTGAGAACCTCATCAGCACATGTAGTCCCTAGGTTGTGTGGGTTCCAATTCCCTTCCAGGCGCCTTCTGGGAGGGTTCAGCCTTCTGTACTCAGCCAGGGCACCAGATAAGTCAGGTTGCGGGAGTATGTGGGGCTCTACATTCTGCCCAGTGGTTTTGATCAGTGGAAGAGGGTCTTCCCAAGAAGAGAGTAGGAAATCAATTGATTGGAAAGATAGACCCATTTTTCCTCCCTTCCCTGTGCCCATGCCATTTGCAATGTGATGAAGCCATTCCCCCACTGCTTGGACTTGGGCTAGCCTCCTGACTTGCTTTGGCCAATAAACACAGTAGAAGTGGTACTGCCCGTTTTGGAGTCTAGACCTTAAGAAGTGTTGTATATTCCACATGTTCTATTGGACTTCTGCTTTGATGAGGACTCCATCTTTGATCCAACTTTAGACAGACTCCTCTGAGCCCTCCTCCTCGGAGCCCCAAGGCCTTGTCCTTGGCCTGCTCAACCTAGTTTAGCAAGAATTCTGCCAGGCCAGTTTAGCAAAAATCACCCCCAGTCTTGATGCCTAACAAGTTCCTCTTGATAAATTGACTCCTTCACCCTGCCTGTTGGCTAGAAATCCCTAGTTACCTCTGTGGTATCCAGAGTTGAGTTTAATCTCTCTCTCCTATTGCAGTAGTCTTGAATAAAGTTTCCCTTGCCTGTTTAACTCTGTCTGGTGCAGTTTTTCTTTGGCAGCTTCCACCATGAGAACAAGCCCAGACTAGCCTGCTGAAGCTTGAGAGACCATGTGGAGCAGAGCTAAGTCCTCCCAGCCAAGGCCATCTGTATTAGTCTGTTTTCATGCTGCTGATAAAGACATACCCAAGACTGGGAAATTTACAAAAGAGGTTTAATTGGACTTACAGTTCCACATGGCTGGAGAAGCCTCACAATCATGGTAGAAGGCAAAGAGGAGCAAGTCCCATCTTACATAGATGGCAGCAGGCAAAGACAGAATGAGGAAGATGTAAAAGCAGAAACCTCTGATAATACCATCAGATCTCATGAGACTTATTCACTACCACAAGAACAGTATGGGTGAAACCGCCCCCATGATTCAATTATCTCCCACTGGGTCCCTCCCCCAACATGTGGGAATTATGCCAGTACAATTCAAGATGAGATTTGGGTGGGGACACAGCCAAACTGTATTACCATCCTAGACCAGCCAGCCTTCAGCTGACTGCAGACACACAAGTGAGCCTGGGTGAGACCAGCTGAGCTGCCCAGCAAAATCTAGACTCATGAGAAAAAAGAAATGGCTATTAGTTTAAACCAGTAAGATTTGAGGTGGTTCGATTTGCAGCATTATCATGGCACTAGATGACAGGTAGAGAGGAGAAGAAAAGGTAAGAGGAGCAGAGCAGGACTTTTTGAAGATCTCCTTGCCCTGAGCTCCATGAGTCCTGCAGAGTGCATGTCGTGTGGCTCCTGTAGCATGAGTGAGGGACAGCCCTGTCTCTTTGGCTACCACTCCTGGCAAGGGGAGGCAGGGGAATGGGATTGCAGCTGGCTCTGCGGGTCCCTCCCTCAGTAACCAGGCAGCAAGGAGAGGCAGGGAGGATAGGCGGGCAGGGACTGGCTAGCGCCGGGGTTGACTTGGCGGTATGTGCCAGCTGGAAAATAATTAAGTCCTAGATTCCAAATAACTTCAAGTGCATATGGGTGGGACTGAGCTATGAATAGCAGGCCTGAAGAACTATGAAATACCAGCACCACAACACTGGTGGCAGCAGTCTCTGCTTGAATGTCCTCCTCCCCAGGCTGGGGCCCCACTCTGCCTTGGGCCTATTGTTCTCCCACACAGCCTCTCTAGGTCCCTCAGTCCTTTCTTCCTTTTTCTAAAAAAAAAAAAAACAAAATTCTGGTAAAATACACATAACATAAAATGTGCCCTTTTCTGGCTGGGCGCGGTGGCTCAAGCCTGTAATCCCAGCACTTTGGGAGGCCAAGGCGGGTGGATCACGAGGTCAGAAGATCGAGACCATCCTGGCTAACACGGTGAAACCCCATCTGTACTAAAAGTACAAAAAAATTAGCCGGACGTTTTGGTGGGTGCCTGTAGTCCCAGCTACTCGGGAGGCTGAGGCAGGAGAATGGCGTGAACCCGGGAGGCGGAGCTTGCAGTGAGCCGAGATTGCGCCACTGCACTCCAGGCTGGGCGACAGAGTGAGACTCCATCTCAGAAAAAAAAAAGGTGCCCTTTTCCCCATTTTTAAGTGCACAGTTCAGTGGTATGAAATATGTTCACAGTGTTGTGCAGCCATCACCACCATCCATTTCTGGAATCTTTTCATCATCCGTAACAGAAACCCCAGCCCACTGAACACTAACTCCCCGTTCCTTCCTTCGCTGTCCCTGGTCACCACCATTCTACCACCTGTGTGTATGAATTTGCCTATTCCAGAAACCTCACATCAGTGGAGTCACACGACATCTGTTCTTGGGTCTCTCAGCCCTTTATTCTTACCTAGCATTGTTTTTAGACATCTGAAAAGCAGCCCACCAGGGATGGGAGAGCTACACCTTCTAGAACACCCCATCCCACTTCCTTTGACCCCCTATAAGAGTTGGGCTACATGACCTTGGCTTTGGGGTACAGGTGTCCTTCCACGTCAAGTCCCCAAACAAAGCACAGCACAGCACAGCACAGCACAGCACAGCACAGCACAGCACAGCACAGCACAGCACAGCACTCTTTCTGACCCAGCTCCTGAAGAGGCTGTGAGGACCTGTCCCGCTCCATTTACCTGCTCTGCCTCTGTAGTTCAGCTTGTTCTCGCGAAGCCCCTTCAGCCTCCGGTCAGGTGATGGGGAAGCTGGTGGGGTGAATGATCACCTCGGGTTTGTCTCACCAACCCCCGGAGGGCACGGTTCATGGTCCTTGAGTAGCCTCTAGGTGCCCGCCCAGTTTCAGGTCCAAGGCTGCACCTAGAATTATTGCTTCAATAGCTGAGGCTCTGGCTTGAGGTAAGCTGGAATCAGAGCAGTCCTCTGGGGCCAGAAAAATCTGGAGGCGCCCAAGGTCTGTTGGCAGCCTGGCCGTGTGAGTGCATGAGTTCAGGGAGACAGTGAGGAGAAGGCAGAACATTGCGAAGTTCCCACCCTCTGCTGCCCCTCCCTGCACCCTGCACACACACACACGCACAAGCACTCACACAAGCACACACACATGCACACACAAAAACACACAAGCACGCACACAAGCACACACACACACAAGCACACCTACACAAACACACTCACACACAAAATACAAGCAGACACACAAGCACACACATACACAAGCACGCTCACACACATGCACTCAGACACAAGCGCACACACAAGCACACATATACACTCACAAACACACACAAGCACACACTCGCAAGCACACACTCCCGCATTCACACGCCTGCCGCAGGGACTTGTGTTTCTAAGGCCTGAGGCGATGGGACTGCTCCAGGCCTAAGTTAAAGATGTTTTCCAGGGAGTGTGTGGGGGAGGCTGAGCACTGGAATCAGATGTGAGACTGAGAGGGAGATGGGGCTTTCCCCCTCACATGGAGAACACAGGGCTGCCCTGGCCCTTGCGTGCACTGGACACAGCACCTGGGGCCTGGTGGACTAGGGCAGCAGTGGCAGTGGGGAGGCTGCCTCCAGGGGGCTCAGAGACTATGGGAGTTCCAGTGGGGAATAGGGGAAGGGGCAGGGAGAGGATGGACCCACTGATCAGGCTCCTGTCCAGCACGTATGTGATGGCTGGGGATGGAGACTTTTAGGCTGGCGGGAAACTCAGGCAATATTTGACCACCTTTCCCCACTGTGGGGCACCAGGCAGTACATCTCACCTTGTCCTAAGGCATGGAATTTACTTTCATTCTGTGGCAAAGCTGATTCTTTCTTCTCAAGAATTATCTACCTCTTTATAATCCATGGTCTTTCCCAATCCCTCGATCAGGGAGTCCACAGCTGCCACCGCTGAGGGCTCAGCAGCCTGGGCACGTGGTTCTGGGCTGGAGGTGAATGGCCCATTGAGCCTCAGCTCTCCCATTTTTACAATGGAAATGTAGGGCTGGGAGCCGTGGCTTATGTCAATAATTCCAGCACTTCAGGAGGCTGAAGCAGGAGGGTTGCTTGAGACGAGGAGTTTGTGACCAGAATAGATAACAGAGTGAGACCCTGTCTCTACAAAAAAATTTAAAAACTAGCCAGGCGTGGTGGCGTGCACCTGTGTAGTCCCAGCTACTCGGGAGGCTGAGGCAGGAAGATCACTTGAGCTGAGGAGGTTGAGGCTGCAGTGAGCCGTGATTGTGCCACTGCACTCTGGCCTGGGTAACAGAGTGAGACCTCGTCGCAAAAAAAATAAAATAAAAATGGAAAGGTAATTTAATCCTCTCAAACGTTTGTTGAAACAATTAAATGGAAAAAAATTATAGTAATGTATGTATGTGTTGTGCTTAGCATACCGGCACACAGTAAACAGACAGTAAACCTTACTGTTATCCTTATGACCATCAGCAAGCAGAGCTTTCCACAGTGACTGGCTTTAGGTGGCAGGAGACTTGCGGTGACTGAGTAAATGGAATGTGACCGTGAGGCGAATGACTTTAAAATCCATTAGCGCTTCCATATCTAAGTGAGTGTGGAATATGCAGTCACCCCAGAAGTCCTCATTCATTCATTCATTCATTCATTCAGGAAGTCACAGAACAGGGCGATTGCATTCTCTAGACCTTCATAAGCACCAGTCTCAGTTCTCTGTAACTAGGGAAGTTACAGTTTCCCATGCTGGTTCACTTTCCGTGTCTCCACAACAATTATCCAAACACTTTTTACTCTTCAAACTCCCTTTCTCTTTTTGCCCTTCTCTCACCTCCATGTAGACGGGCCTCCCCTCTTGCTTCAAAAGAGACTGAAAGCTGTCAGGTGAGCTCATTCACCGTCCCAGTGTCATCCATACACACCTGCCCACATTTACGCTTCTCCTTCCTTCTTTTTGCAGTCGAGGAGTACTTCCTCTTCAACTTAACATTTATCCCTCTGATTCTGCTCATTCTGATTCCAACTCCTCCTGCCTTCTCAGAAACCCAGGGATCTCTCTCTGTTGGCTATTTCACCTTTTCCCTCTCTACTGGTTTGAAACACCCTCAAGTCTTTCCCATTTAAAATCAACAACAAAACAAAAACGTGGCTTCTTTCTTCATCCAGTTGGTCTAAGCTGGCTCTCCTCCCGTCATTAGCACACCCATTGACAAGATAAAACCAGGCTGATTGCGGCTCACCGGTGTCATGGAGAACAAAGCTTGGGCAGTGTTTCAGAGCTAGGAAGACAAAGGCAGAATCTATCCCAGATTGGAAGTTTGGTCTGAGGTGGGTCTTTCCATGTGGGGATGTAGGACTGGGTAACCATCAGGATTCGAGAGTCTAGGATTGGTGGAAACTGCAGAGGGTCCAACGCTTCAAGAGCAAACTGTCTGTGGACACTGTGCATTGAGGAATTGGGAAGTTTCTATAGTAAATAATCAAACCGTGTGTTGGGAGACAGTACCAAAAGAGGAAAGAAATGCTAACGAAGACAGTGGTATAGCAAAGTCAGGTTCGTGTAGGCAGTCAGGTGTGGTTTCGCTTCTCTGTGTCCTGGCTGAGTGCGAGGATAAAAGGTTTTGGTTCTTAGCTTCTGATTTCTTTCCTAGCTCCTTCCTCTTGTTCACAACTAAACCTCAAAAAAGCCTCTGCTTGCTGACCCTATTTTCTGATCTCCTACTCATCCCCAAACTCACCAATCTGACTCCAGACACCTTCCATTTTTATTTTTATTCCATTTTATTCCATTAAAAATAAGTATATTTACTTATTTTTAAGAGATGGGGTCTGGCTCTGTTGCCCAGGCTGGAGTGCAGTGGCATGATCATAGCTCACTGCAGCCTTGAACTCCTGAGCTCAAGTGATCCTCCTGCCTCAGCCTCCTGAATAGCTGGGACTACAGGTGGAAGAGACCGACAAGGAATAGGTGGCTTCCATGCAAGGGGTCTCTCTACAGGGACCTGTTGCCTCCACAGCAGTGGCAGCCTTCCTGACTTGCTTGGCACCTCCAGACAGTTCAGTTCTGACACTATCTACCTGGAAATAGCATCAGATCCCACACGTGCAGGCTCAGTCCCACAAGACTGCCCCTTACTTCAGATACCAACTACTTCCAATCAACTTGCTATAAATCAGTGTTCCCACAATCCCCTCATTGTGTTCAATTAATTTGCTAGAGCAGCTCACAGAACTTAGGGAAACACTTTAATTATGTTTGCCCATTGATTATAGGGGATACGGCAAAGGATCCAGATGAACAGCCAGATGGAAGAAATACATAGGGCAAAGTATGGGAGAAGGGGCCTCAGAGTTTCCATTCCCACTCTGAGTGCAAAACCTTCCAGGAAACTCCACATGTTTAGCTATCAGGAAGCTCTCTGAACCCAATCCTTTTGGGTTTTTAATGGAAACGTCATTATGTAGGCATGATTGATCAAACCATGGCCATTTGGTGATCAACTCAGTCTTCACCCACTCTCCTCTCCCCAGAGGTCGGAGATGGGGCTGGAAGTTCCAACACTCTAATCATGCCTTGATCTTTCCAAGCCCCCATCCTGAAGCTATCTAGAGACCCACCAAGAGTCACCTCATTAACATAAACTCAGATGTGGTTGAAAGGGGCTTGTTGTGAACACCAACAGGCCTGTCTATAACTCAGGAAATTCCAAGAGTTTTAGAAGCTCTATGTCATGCTCAGGGATAAAGACCAAAGCTATAATTCTTATTGTATCACAGCCCTCAATGCCAGACCCAGACGAGGATCCCTCACAGGCTTTCCACCGTGGGCTAATGCCAACAACTAGTGCCTGCTGACTGCACTGTGTCAGGAACCAAGTGTATACTTGCATTTACCATCTGTATTAGTCCATTTTCATACTACTATGAAAAAATACCCAAGACTAGGTAATTTGTAAAGAAAAAGAGGTTTAATGAATTCACAGTTCCACATGGCTGGGGAGGCCTTACAATCATGGTGGAAGGCAAAGGAGGAACAAGGCATGTCTCACATGGCGGCAGATGAGACAGAGTGTTTGTAGGGGAACTTCCCCTTATAAAACCATCAGATCTTGTGAGACTTATTCACTATCATGAGAACAGCATGGGAAAAACCTACCCCCATGATTTAGTTATCTGCCACTGGGTCTCTCCTGTGATATGTGGGGATTATAGGAGCTACAATTCAAGATGAGATTTGGGTGGGGACACAGACAAACCATATTATTCCACCCCGGCCCCTCCCAAATCTCATGTCCTCACATTTCAAAACCAATCATGCCTTCCCAACAGTTTTCCAAAGTCTTAAGGCATTTCAGCATTAACTCAAAAGTCCACAGTCCAAAGTTTCATCTGAGATAAGGCAAATCCCTTCTGCCTATTGTAACTGTCCAGTGCGTTCATCTTGCCCACTGCCTAGACAGAACCAATTTGTCAAGACTGGGGAATTGCAGTAAAGAAAGAGTAATTTACACAGAGCCGGCTGTGTAGGAGACCAGAGTTTTATTATTACTCACATAATCTCTTTTGACTCCATGTCTCTCATCCAAGGCATGCTGATGCAGGAGGTGGGTTCCCACAGTCTTGAGCAGCTCCGCCCCTGTGGCTTTGCAGGGTATAGTTCCCCTCCTGGCTGCTTTCACAGGTTGGCATTGTCTGCAGTTTTTCCAGGTGCACAGTACAGGCTGTTGGCAGATCTACCATTCTGGGGTCTGGAAGATGGTGGCCCTCTTCTCATGGTTCCACTAGGCGGTGCCCCAGTGGGGACTCTGTGTGGGGGCTCCAACCCCACATTTCCCATCCACACTGCCCTAGAAGAGTTCTTCATGAGGGCTCTGCCCCTGAAGCAAACTTTTGCCTAGACATGCAGGCATTCCTACATATCCTCTGAAATCTAGATGGAGGTTCCCAAACCTCAATTCTTGACTTCTGTGCACCTGCAGACCCAATGCCATGTGTAAGCTACCAAGGCTTGGGGCTTTCACCCTCTGAAGCCATGACCTGAGCTGTACCTTGGCCCCTTTTAGCCATGGCTAGAGCATCTGGGACACAAGGCACCAAGTCCCTAGCCTCCCCACAGCAGGGAGCCCTGGGCCCAGCCCTAGGAAACCATTTTTTCCTCCTAGGCCTCTGGGCCTGTGATGGGAGGGACTGCCACGAAGATTTGTGACATGCCCAGGAGACTTTTTCCTCATTGTCTTGGTGATTAACATTTGCCTCCTTGTTATTTATGCAAATTTATACAGCTAGCTTGAATTTATCTCCAGAAAATGGGGTTTTCTTTTCTATCACATCGTCAGGCTGCAAATTTTCCAAACTTTTTGCTCTGCTTCCTCTTGAATGCTTTGCCACTTAGAAATTTCTTCTCCCAGATACCCTAAATCATCTCTCTCAAGTTCAAAGTTCCACAGATCTCTAGGGAAGGGGCAAAATGCCACCATTCTCTTTGCATAGCAAGAGTGACCTTTATTCCAGTTCCCAACAAGTTCCTCATCTCCATCTGAGACCACCTCAACCTGGACTTTATTGTCCATATCACTATCAGCATTTTGGTCAAAACCATTCAACACGTCTCTAGGAAGCTCCTAACATTCCCACATCTTCCTGTCTTCTTCTGAGCCCTCCAAACTGTTCCAGTCTCTGCCTGTTACCCAGTTCCAAAATTGCTTCCACATTTTTCGGTATCTTAATAGCAGTACCCCACTCTACCAGTACCAATTTACTGTATTAGTCCATTCTCACACTGCTAATAAAGACATGCCCAAGAGTGGGTAATTTATAAAGGAAACAGGTTTAATTGACTCACAGTTCAGCATAGCTGGAGAGGCCTCAGGAAACTTACAATCATGGCAGAAGGGGAAGCAAACACGTTCTTCACATGGTGGCAGGAAGGAGAAGTGCAGAGGGAAAGGTGGGGAAGCCCCTTATAAAACCATCAGATCTTGTGAGAACTCTATCACCAAAACAGGATGGGGTAAACCACTCCCATGATTCAATTATCTCCCACTGGGTCCCTCCCATGTCACATGGGGATTATGGGAGCTACAATTCAAGATGAGCTTTGGGTGGGGACACAGCCAAACCATATCACCATCTGTGGAACCCTCATCATCTGCTTTGAGAAAGGACCCAGAGTCAGCTTCATTTTACAGCTAAAGTCTGAAGCTTGGAAAGTTTTCATAATTAGCCCAAGCTCATTGGGCCACGGAACGGTGAGGAGATCTGACTATCTCTGACACCACAGATTTTCTCTGAACTGCTCTTGTGAGCCAACTTCCAGCTGACTGCCTAAGAGGGCAGCAATAGTTTAGCTAAGATTTAGAGTCAGTACTTAAACAATAGCTTCATATTTCATTATGGGAAGTAAGCCATGCAAAAGTGCTTTATTGTTGTAGTATGTATACACACACACACACACACACACGCACACACACACGCACAGCAGGCAGACAATGCAAAGGAAATATACCCTCCAGCCGCTTCCTACTAAAAATATGCTGTGATTTGTGGACCTGCAACACGGGGTCCCTAGAACGTCTAGTCCCATCCTAGTCCTGCTGCCCCAGCGTCTGCATTTAACAAGTTTATGCAGATTCCAGAAGCCCTGCTAGGAGCAGCATCTTTGCCTGCCTTCCATGTTCTGCTTGCTACAACCCCTCAACACTTGGATGGCTGTGACTCTCGAACCTTGACTGGAGAAACATCACCTGGGGAACTTGTTGCAAATATGGATTCCTAGACCCCACCCTCAGAGATTCCAGAATTCCCAGGGATTTGCATTTCCAAAGGGCACCCCAGGTGATTCTGCTTCAGCTAGCCCTACTAAGACCGCACTTTGACAAATGTTCAGCAAATACTTCTTTAGTTTTCCAACCAAATATTTGCTCCTGATCTGAATAGTACTGGTCTCTGGAAACTTCTATTGGCAGCAAGAGTAATCTCTCAAAGCCCAGATCTTCTGCAAACAGGAATCCAGATCAGAACTGTTTCAATTTGGGAATGTTTGTATAATAAATACCCATTTCTCCTCATATTCTTCCTCTCTGTGTCTTGACTTTAGTTCAGGACTTATACTTTGATTTAAAGGTGTGGTAGAGACTTCCTGCAAATTATTTTATTCACTATGGAAAAGATAAAAGGCCTGCTCTCTTTTCTGGGATGGCTTGGTGAGGCCAAATGGCTGCAGCATGTGGGCTCTGGGAACCCTAAAGAATGTGTCTCCCAAAAATGAGGCCCCCAGGACCTAAATGACCCAACTGGACAGCTGTGGAATTGTAGGGACTTCCCAAACCGGGTGGCCAGAAGACTTGCAGTTGAATTGAAACCATGGGATGTTGTGTGTGCTGAGAGGGGGACTCTGTTCAGTGCACATGGTGCGGGCCTGTGTGCCAGGGGCCTGAGGAGGCCTTGTGGGGAAAAGGGGCTGTGTGACAAGATGGGCAACAGGACACCCTAGTGCAGCCAGCCAGGCAGGGAGTGGCTGAGGACCTAAGGGAGCGCTAAGGAAGGAAAGAGGATGGGGCAGGGGACCCCAGATGTGAAGCAGAGGTGCAGAGGAACGGGACAGAGTCAGGGCGAAGGGAAGGAGGCACTTTAGGGAGAAGCTGGCTGAGGGCCGACAGTGCAGGGAGTGGGCAGCCGGAGAGCCATGACAGAGGCAGCAGGAAGAGCAACTGTGTGGCACAGAACAAGAGCTAGAGGAGTGTCCTGGGGGGAGGAAAGCAAGTCCCTATTGAGAAGATTGGGGGCAGGAAGTGGGCCGGGGTGGAGGGAGTGCAGAACAACCTAGAGAGCCACCAGGGCTGGCACGGGACAGGTGGAAGGGGCAGGAAGCGCCCGTTCAGAAGAGCCTATAGAGTCTGAGCTGAACTTGAGAGGAGCGTGGGCTTGGCAGTGTGTCATAGACACCCTGAAATTCACCTGCAACCCCCAGTGGTGTCCTGAGGCCATGTGCACGCTGGACAGCGGAAGAGACCGAGGGTGGTGTCAGTGAAGAATGTGGCTGAATCTTACCAGGAATGAGGTGAGGCCACATCGCGTCTCACAAAACTGCCCCCGGTTCCTCAAGTCAGCAGCAAGGGGCAGCCCCATTTTCAGCCAGGCTCTGGTTTAGA
This sequence comes from Homo sapiens, assembly GCF_000001405.40. Lineage (NCBI taxonomy): Eukaryota > Metazoa > Chordata > Mammalia > Primates > Hominidae > Homo > Homo sapiens. The sequence goes on along the minus strand of NC_000018.10, from coordinate 23,267,113 downwards.
GCTCTCACTGTGGGGCGGCAGGGCAAGCACCTTCTTCTGGGTCAGGCCCCATGCAGATGCGGTTTAGGGCAGAGTGTGGGCACAGCTCTACCTCTGTGGTCTGTTGGTCGGATGCTCTGCCCTGGAGTGGGGGGCCTAGGCTAGGTGGGGACACAGACCAGCAGGCAAGGCAGCCCACCAGCCCCTCATCAGCGAACCAGGAGTCACTCCCTGAGCTTCGGCGAGGGAGCCTCTCTGGGGGAGGAGAGTGAGAGAATCCAACAAGCTGCTCTGCAGGGCGGGTGCCGCTGAGGGGGCTCCAAGGGCCACGTTTGAGGGCAGCTGTCCAGGTGAGTTGGCCAGGCGACCTTGTCATCACTGGAGAGGAAGCCTCAAGGCCACAGGGGCCTCATAATCACCCCATTGAGCTGCTCAAGTAAGCACCTGGGGGAATTTGGTTTCAAGAAAGCAGAAAAACACCTGAAGTCCATTTGTTGGCTAATGGCTGTGAAGCCACCTGGTTGAAGAGACCACTGTGCCTCTTCAAGGACATCACCGGTCCCAGCTCCTGCATTCCCTGAGTTGTCACCGACACTCTGCCTGAGCAGTGGGGGACAAGAACGGAATGGAATCTGAATGTATTTTATGGTCCAAATTTGGCCCTAGGCACCTATCTGTGCTCCAATCTCTTTCTCTATAAAGCAGGATTTGTTTTTTTTTTTTTTTTTGCTAAGAATTAAGTTCAATGGAGGTAAAAATAGTAATTGTTTTCATCTATTGAGTGCCTACTGTATGCCAGGCCCTGGGCCAGGGGTTTACTGTGCCATCTTCCAGAGTCCCTCTGATGGGAGGTACTATGACCCCCAGCAGGCATGGGCTGGCCAGTGGCTTGCATAAGGCCGCACGGTCTGCCTAGCTCTGGAACCTTTTCCTGCCTTCCAGTGCCTGCTCCTCCTAGTGTCAGCTGCCCCTGGGCTCCCTAAGGGCTGCTTCTGAGAAATGGCCCCTTCCGGCTGCATATTTTTCCAAAAACCGTTCTGGCCCCAGGCTTCCCCTGAGGCTTCCCCTGAGAGTATCTGTCACTCTCTCCAACACATACTGGAAAGAAGGGGGGAAAGTAAGCAATTCTCATTTGTGTCTTGTTTTTATTTTATAAATAAAAATGAAAATTGATTTCATGGAGAAGGCAGCTGCCTTAGGGAACATGGTATCTGGCTTAGACACTCATAGAACAGTATGTATGCTTCATCAGGGCCTTCTAGATAAGCCTCAGAGGCGATCTGCTTCCTTTTTCTGGAAGCCACGATTTTTAAAAAATAATTTATAGCAAGTGGTTCCGGCAGAGTGTGCCATCCACCCTCTCCAGTGGGGAGAGAGATTTCTTTTTGGTCATCTTTTATGATCAGCTTCTGTTCAGATGACCCTCATAAGAGAACTCCCAAGAACTCCAAAGTCTCAGTGGGGCCACGGCAGCTGTTGGGAGGGGTCTGGGCTGGTGGGAAGTGCCCATTGGGCTGCTTCAAGGCCAGGGTCATTGTAGCCAAACTTTTTTCCTTTCTGGTTTTTTTTTTTTTTTTTGAGAGCCATGTGATATTTTTGACTGTTCCTATCCATTCTTGGTGCTTTGGGGGGACGATTCCTACTGCTTGTTTCCAGAATGCTTTGGGGTTATAGACAACCCCAGATTGCCCGTACTTGATGAGACACCGTTTCCTACTCTGCCAACTGGGTGTATTGGCCAAAGCCACAGCATGAACTTGATGGCTCGTGCATTGGGAGAAATTGAGTGAGTTTAGTGAAGGAACTGTCCAAGAAGGGGTGGTGAGATCCCGGGACTAGCAGGGCCCCTTGGCTGGGGTGGAGGCTGGGCCGTGGAACACACACCCCAGTTCCCGTTCTCCTCCTGCTCTCTCATTTCTGGTCAGTGTCTCTCCTTCCAGAGCCTAACCAGAAGCTGGAGGGCAAGGAAACCTGGGTGCTGGGATCTGCAGAGTCAGCCCTGAGTGAGATGCGGATGTGGCTGGATATTTATCCCCACCCAAATTTCATGTTGAAAAGTAATTCCTAATGTTGTAGGTGGGGCCTGGTGGGAGATGTTTGGGTCATGGGGGTGGATCCCTCATGAATAGCTTGGTGCTGTCCTCACGATAGTGAGTGAATCCTCACGAGATCTGGTTATTTAAAAGTGTAGGCCGGGCACGGTGGCTCATGCTTGTAATCCCGGTAATTTGGGTGGCTGAGATGGGAGGATCGCTTGAGCCCACAAGTTTGAAACCAGCCTGAGCAACATGGTGAAACCTCATCTCTACAAAAAATACAAAAATCAGCTGGGCGTGGCGTGATGCACCTGTAATCCCAGCCTATTTGGGAGACTGAGGTGGGAGAGTCGATTGAGCCTGCAGCAAGCCATGATTGCACCCCTGCTCTCCACCTGGGCAATAGAGTGAGAACCTGTCTCAAAATAAAAAAATGACGGCTGGGCACGGTGGCTCATGCCTATAATCCCAGCACTTTGGGAGGCCGAGGCAGACGGATCACGAGGTCAAGAGTTCGAGACCAGCCTGACCAACATAGTGAAACCCTGTCTCTACTAAAAATACAAAAATTAGCCGGGCGTAGTGGCGCGCGCCTGTGATCCCAGCTACTCAGGAGGCTGGGGCAGGAGAATCGCTTGAACCTGGGAGGCAGAGGTTGCAGTGAGCCGAGATCGCACCACTGCACTCCAGCCTGGGTGATAGGGCGAGACTCCGTCTCAAAAAAAAAAAAAAAAAAAAAAAAAAAGGAATAAAGTGTGGCACCTTCCCACCCCTCTTGCTCCTGTTTTGCTGTGTAGCGTGCCTGTTCCCGCTTTGCCTTCTGGCATGAATAAAAGCTCCCTGAGGCCTCTCCAGAAGCTGAGCAGACACTGGCACCTGCAGAACCAGCAGGCAATTAAGCCTCTTTTCTTTGTAAATTACCCAGTCTCAAGCATTTCTTTATAGCAATGCAAGAACTCTCTAACACAGATGCTGAGCAGAAAGCTGATTCAGAGTTGCAGGGAACAATCCACCCAGTGGGGTAATTTGTTTTGCGATGGCTCATTTAACTCAACCAGTGTTTATTTGGTGAATTCTGTGTACCAGGCCCTGTGATAGGTGCTCGAGTTCATGGTGATGGAATCCAGTCCTGCTCTGCTGAACCCTTTGGTCTACAGCAGCAGTTAAGGACTATGGAGGTGCCTTTCAGCGCACCTGACACATCTGACTAGGGCCTGTGCTCTGCAAGTGGCAGTGAATCAAAGTCTTTCTGTGACATTTGGGGGCTGAGACATGAATAGTCTCAGACAGCTCGTAATCCCTGAACCATTCTCTGTGTGATGTGGCCATCCTTGCCAACTGACCGCCTGGCCAAGGTATGCTTGGCTTAGCCTTAGAGCAAAACAAATTTGCATTTCCTAGTCACACACTGATTAAAGGGACAGCAGCCAAGGAACACGCAGAGCGTAGGGCAAGGAGAATTTGTCTTAATTATAACACATGGTGGAAAATCTACACATGCACCACGAGACACTAGCTGGTGAAATGTTGGTGGACGTGAACACTGGCTGCGTTAAACCTGATTGTGATCTTTTACTTACTTTCAAAAGCCCCTTAGCTTACTTGTTATGGAAGCAAGTTTTCCAAACATTTCATGTTCTACCAGGGGGCTCAGACGTGGGCCCCACATCAAATGTGGAGGCCACTCAGACCCAAGAAGACGATGCTATGGATTTCGTAGCTCCAGATCCCTTCTCCTCTGCAGGGAAAAGGGCCAGCAGTGGCTGGGAAGGGCAGGGAGAAGGCCCTGTCTAACTGAGGGCATCAGAAGACCTCCTCTAACTCAAGGCCATCTCTCCAGCATCTGGCTCAGCCTCGCTTTGGCCCTCCACCATGTTAGTGGCTCTGTTTCATTCTAAGCATGAGGCAGGACAGGTGCTTGGGCTTTGGAATTATAGCTGGGTTTGAATCTTGCCTTTGTCACTTCATAATCGTGTGTCATTGGCCACCTTATGTGATGTTTCAGAGCCCCAGGTACCTCATTGTTTAAGGGTTAAATGAGGACAGGTGCATTAAGTGCCCAGCACAGGGCTGGCGCATGATATCTGCTTGGTGAATATCGAGTCCTCCTAAGCACCAGCCCCTTGTTGAAGACCGTGTCCAAGGCTTCATCTGCCTATCACAGTTCACGTCTCTGGTTTCTCACTAGCCTGTTCTGGTGCCCTGGTAAGGAGTCCCTGATTTCATTCCCACCCATCTTCTTTCCAAGCATCTAACTTGTCAGTTCTGGTTTCTTGGTCTTCACTTTTGGGACCAGACAATTGCTTCATCTTGACCCACTTTGTGATCTGTGTACTCGGCTAATTCCTGAGCACTGATTTCCAACCCTGCTGCCTTGGCCTTGGCCAACCCTGGGCCCACCTGGGGAATCTGTCTCTCCCCTGGAGCTTCCCTTTCAAGCTTCCACATTGAGGCTCATCTGGAGAACAGCCTCACGGCACCTGGTAAGGGTGCCTTGCACCTGCCCCCAGCAGGCTCTGCCCGACATCAGGAAGCCCACAGAACCCAGTGGAAGACACATTTCATAAGCGCTAGGTGGACGTCAATCAGTGTCAGTCCAAGCAAACTGGAGGTCTGCCCATTTGTGATGTCCCCAAGGTCACAGCTCTACAGTCCCCAGCTACAGTAGAGAATTGTGCTCCAGTGCTGTTGGGAACCCTGACTTGCCACCATCCTAACGCTGTATCTGTGAGCCCTGGGAACCTGGGATCCAGGCCTCATCTGAGCAATGTCCTTAACCAGCAGCTGCTGTGATGCACTGTAAGTTAGCTCTGTACTTGGGACCAATATGTTAGCTGTTGCTTAGTCCAGTTTACATCTTTTTGGCCTTGTGCACCCAAAAAATTGTTAGATGAAGCAGCTAGGTAAACACATGTCAAAACAACCTCTGAAGCTGGCACTATTCTTTTTGGTATTAAAGAAAAAAATTTAGATTTTTCTCTATACCTTTCTCTTTCCTAGACAGTTTTATGTCCTATGCTAATACGGAGGAATGGTGCCTCTCAGACTTTAACAGGCATACAAATCACCAAGGAGGAATGGTAAGATGTAGATTCTGCATCTTTAATAAGCCTGTAGGTGATGTGAATGCTGCTGATCCTTGGGCCGTGCTCTTAGTGGCAAGATGGTGGTGAGAGATGGCATATGGAAGCCCCAGCTTATGATGGTTTGACTTGCACAACTGTCAACTTTATGATGGTGCAAAAGCATTCCGTATAAATGTACTTTGAATTTTGATCCTTACCAGGCTAGCCATGTGCTGTATGATACCCCTTGGAGATGCTAGGCTGAATCATCTCACATAAAGCCTATTTTGTAAGAAGGTGTTGACTATCTCATGTAATTTATCAAATACTGTACAAAAGTGTTCTGAGTGTATTTGAGGTAGGAAAGGTTAAGCTGTGATGTTTAGTAGGTTAGATGTACTTTTTTCTTTTTTTTCTGAGACAGGGTCTTGCTCCCTTCACCCAGGCTGGAGTGCAGTGGTGTGATCACTGCAGCCTTGACCTCCTGGACTCTGGTGATTCTCCCACCTCAGCCTCCCAACTAGCTGGGACTACAGGCGTGTACCACCATGCCCAGTTAATTTTTTGTATTTTCAGTAGAGACAGGGTTTTGCCATGTTGCCCAGGCTGGTGTCAAGCAATCCACCCACCTCGGCCTCCCAGAGTGCTGGGATTACAGGTGTGAGCCACTGTGCCTGCCCCACCCAGCCCTTAAAAAACAAAATAGAGACATGGTCTTGCTCTGTTGCCCAGACTGGAATAAGGTGGAATGATCCTAGCTCACTGCAGCCTTGAACTCCTGGGATCAAGTGATCCTTCTGTCTTAGCTTCCTGAGTAGCTGGGACTACAGGTGTAAGCCACCACACCTAGCCGTACTAGGTGTATTGATGTTGTATAGATGATGTGTCATCTGAAGTCAAGAAGTCTGTGTGTGAGGAAGCACAGTACTCGCGAGGCATTTCTTTGTGGTTTTGCCAGTCTTAGGTTTGCAGCCTTTCTGGACTACCTATTTCGAAGTCTAAAGGGCCCTTTATGGGGTGGGGGCTCTTAGATAGCACCCCTTCCCATCCTGGCCTGGGTCCCTTCCGCTGGGCTGTGTGCAGGTGGCAAGAGGACCTTTCCCCTTCACCTGCCATTTTTCTTCTTTTCCAGCTTTGAATCTCAGCTTTGCTTTGCAGCTGCATGACTGGAAGCTGCTTTTTATTGACATTGGTGTTGGTGATGTGATTCCAGATTTACACTCAGTTTACTCCCTGCTCTTGCTGGCCCTCAGCACTGTGCTTACCCAACTGTGCCAACAGCCCCGGGGAGGTGACGTCAGGGCGCGCCCCCATCCCCAACCCCAAAAATCCCCCTTGATTTGAAAGATGTCTTTTGTTGCTGAACAGGTAACAAAACCACCTGGCTCAAATGCACTTCATTCTCCAGCCTCCCCCCACCCCACCCACTTAAGCTTGCAGCAGGGCAGAAAGGCTTCAGGCTCTCAGGAGTCACGGGAGGCAGCCAGGGCTGGGGAGGGCAAGGGGCCAGCTGTTCAGCACTAAGCCGGAAACGTCTGAGTGAGAGATAAAGAACTCAGCAGCCAGAGCATTCAACAGTTTTATTTGCTGTTGGGGAATGAAGGGAACAGGAAGGAATGACATGGAGGGGAAGGAAGCTCCTTACTCCCGTCACTAAGGTAGGGCACGTGGTACAGAGTGGCTTGTGTGAAGCGGCCGCCCCAAGCTGAGCCTGCAGCTGATAACCACAGACACCCTGGCAGGGAAATCTGTGATCGGAACAACAAAATGCCAAGGAAAACAAAACCCATTTGCATTTGGTATGAATTTCCTGTTTAAATAGGTTTTATTAGCGGGCAAGAAAGGAAAAGTGGTGACTTCAAGGTGTCATTGGGCTGGCAAGGGCTCGGGCCCCTGGAGGGGTACAGTGGGGGCTGGGCCACACTCCCTGCTGCCCGTTTCCTCCTGGGGGCAGCTGCAGCAACCTCTTGGCTTGTCTGCTTCCTGTCTCTTACCTAACAGTCAAGGCTCACTAGAGGAGTCCCGGGCCCCCTAGGCTGGCTCCGGGGGAAAAGGAATCAGGCAGAACCGGCTAGTATTATCCCAAGGAGTGTGGCTGGGCGGAGCTTCCCCACAGATCTCTGAGTGTGGGGAGGACTGGAGAGGCCTCAGGGCAGTCCTGAGAGGGGGCAGGGCTTACAAGGGGCTGAAGCTGCCCTCTGTGGAGGAGGTCAAAGGGCAAAACCTCAGAGCCAGTCTACTGCCTGGCCTTCTCGCTTCACAGGCTCAGACTTCCTCCTCGCCGAAGCCCAAGGCTGCGACGTGTCTGGAATGTTCCGTGTCACAGAGGTGCCTCTGGCAGTGACCTGCATCTCTCACCCTCCTCCACTTCCTTTGCCTCCGAAAAGCTCATGTCATGGACGTGCAAAAGGAGACCTCCTGATAAAATGCCTTCTCAGCCCCGACTCCTCACAAATAAATTAAAACCCACAAAACTGTCCATTCCACAAATCCACAGGCCAGGAGACAGTTTAAAATGAAAATGCATCTTTAAAAAGTAATGGACCACTAACTTCATGGGCTCACCTCATAAATGCTAAAAACCAAACAAATCACCCCAAATCCAAGTAAATTAGCCTGATTTTATCACACAGGAAAGGACTCAGGCTTCTCTCCCCACGTCTGGGCTGGCGGCCTGTCATCCATCGGACGTCCCTCCCCCCACCCCACTCCCCAGAGCTTGGCAGGAAATTCGGGGGCAGATGGGCAGTGGGGAGCTCTCTAGACCATTCTCAGATACCACAGGACCTGCTTCTCAGAAAGGCTCTCCCCCTGTAGGCACTGACCAGGAAGGTGGATGGCTTATCAGAGATGCAAGGTGACAGACCCCATGTGAGGAAGGCCAAGGGCATTTTGTAGTTCAGGCGATGGAGGCACCTTGAATATTTTCTCAATTTTGCTTTATAAACAGCAAGTGCCCTAAGTACCAGTTGATCTAGCTTTCGATCAGCCAAAGAGACCACATTAATCATATCCTCTCCCTCCTCCCTCCCCCCACCACCCAAATCACTGTCTTACAACTGATTCTGGCCAAGGAAATTTGTTAGCAAAATATTTAGGACTAAACTCAGTGCAATCTAAGATTCTGAAGAAGCCAAGTATTCTGTTTTGGCCCTCACCAGCTGCTGCTTGAATTTCTCCATCCTCCAAGACTGTCAAGAATCTGACAGCTCTGCTAACGAAAGCTGCAGACCCTCGGTTCGGTTCCATCGCCCTTTCTCTGGGCTGGTGTGTGAAGCTCCGAATCTGTGACCTCACTAGAATCAGTGTGCGCAAGGGGATCAGCAATGCAGGGCAAAGGTGACTGGTGAGACACACGTCTACACAAACGCATACAGGTATACAAAAAGCAACAAGAGTTTAATTCTCTTTTTACATGGCCACAGGCTCTCTTCAGTCAGGGGAACTTCAGCTGGTGCCTCTCTCTTGCAGCTATGAGGCGACAGTGTGGTGACATGCCTCATACAGACTGTCCCAGTAAGCCAGGACAAGTCACCATTAAAATCTTGCATGAACAGCCCTGGGCACGTGGGAATGTTAAGAAAGAGCCACCGCCTCCTTAGTCAGCTTAACCACAGCTCCAAACGCAGTTTGTCCCAGCTGGCAAACGCCTCAAACACCAATCATGCGTCGTGCTCCTATTCTGGGTTTTTATAAAACACTTTTATATAGCGATATAGATAGCACAGTAAATGTGCTTCTGATGCACTCTAACATAGAGGACAGGAATACACACTGTGGGGCGCCGCCCCAGCCATCTCCACAGTGGAGAAAGTGCGAGGGTTAAATACACGTGGCGGGGTGGCAGACGGCAGGAAGTTACAGAGCGCCACGCTCCACGTCCTTCCACGCGACTGACTCATCCAACACTCAGAACTCGCCTTCTTTATCCCCTTGGTGGGTAGGAGCAGTAACAAAACAATGTCAGTCATTTTCTAAGGGTGGAGGATGTCAAACTGTCTGGTACCGAGAGAGCAATTCTTATCCAGAAATCATCTAGAAATAATTGTTGAAGGTCAGCCTGACCCATGGCCCCAGGCTAAGGGCTGCTCTGTAAAGGGCGGGACTGGCTCTGGGGGTCTAGGGCTGATGCAGTATCTCTCAGACACTTGCACATTCACACACCCACACGCCCCAGGGGAAAGTGCACTTCCAATGCTGATACAAAAATAGATTGGCACACTCTTTGACACAATGAGGGTATCTTTTAAAAGTTTTCCCCCAACTTCTGCAGACTCTCTTCCCCCGTATGCTCAAGCCCTTCACACTCCAAGTTGGAACAGATCTGGAGAAGGCCCTGGACCACGCTTGCAAAGTTTGTGAATGCCGGGGAGAAAGACTGGGCTGGGGCAGCTAGGGATTCTCGCTAGTGGACAGAGGGCAGGGCCTCTCTGTTCTCAGCACACACCTCCTCTTCCCGTGCTTGAGGAGTCCATAGCTCATGGCTCCTCTTGGCTACACACCCAAGACTCCTTGGAAAGTTTCTAGTACTGCTTCTCCCCAAACTATGTCGAGAGGAAGAAAAGTCTGGTATTCTGAGTTCTACTTTTTTTCATTTCCAGTAGTAAGTAAGTGCTGCTCCACCAAGCTGAGAAGAAATGGCCCTTGGCTGTCCTCGGGGCCAGTGCTAGGAACTCTGGACCAGCCGTCTGTAGTGGGGCATGACTTCGTGCTCGGGCAAGTGGAGGGCGAATTCCAAGGCCACTAACACCGGGAATTCAAAGGCAATCAGTTCTCGCCTGTTCAGCCGGAACTTCTCTTCCAGTTTCTGCAACAAAAAGAAAATCAAAAGCATGTTCATTTTGAAATTAAAATCCTAGTCTTTCTGCAATTGCAGCTTCTCTATCCACCAGCCAGTGAGTGCTCAGGAGAAATCCACTTTGGGCAAAGCTCTGTGGAGGAAGAAAGGGAGGCACAGGCTGTGCTTCCTGCCTTCGGTCCTGGTTGTGAAGGAGCTGCTCCTTTCCCGAGGGGCTGCCCGGAACCACACATACATCTTATGACATCATTTAATCCTCTCAGGAATATGACATGGTTCATGCTCCGTATCTCTATTTTACAGATGAGAAAACGGGCTCCAAGAAGTCAGAGAGCTTAGCCAGGGTCACATGTGTAGCCAATTGCAGCACTAAGAGTCCACCCTAACTGGGACTCAAACTCTACCTGTGGCAACTAAGTGATTCAGGTTTAAAGGGAAGACTGAAAATAAAGCAAACCGGTGGTGGCTCACGCCTGTCATCCCAGCACCTTGGGAGGCCGAGGTGGGTGGATCACTTGAGGTCGGGAGTTTGAGACCAGCCTGGGCAACATGGTGAAACCCTGTCGTCTCTACTAAAAATAACAAAAATGAGCCGGGCGTGGCGGTGGGCGCCTGTAATCCCAGCTCCTCGGGAGGTTGAAGCAGGAGACTCACTTGAACCCGGGAGGTGGAGGTTGCAGTGAGTCAAGATTGTGCCACCGAACTCCAGCCTGGGCAACAAAGCAAGATGCTGTCTCAAAAAATAAATAAAAATAATAAAGCAAACCACGCACGACAATAAAAACCACGTGGTAAGTTCAGAAGGGAGTGCACTGATTCTATGTAGTTCAGTCCTTTCATCTTACAAGGATCTAAGTCCTCGGGAAGTCTCCACTTTCACAGTGCTACACAGTTGCTGTGTATCTAAACAGGGCTGAGCCTGGTGGCATCTTGCGTGCCCACCCAACTAGAGGGGCTGCTGGAGCTGGAAAGGAAGGAGAACCACCAAGGTGGGGATGGACAGGGAGGGCCTCATGTTTGCTCAGGCACATTCTGCCTTGGCGTCAACCCAGCTTTTGTCTTAATAAAATAAATCCTACCCACAGAGCAGATGTTGACTGCTTTCAGATCATAACTGGGATGAGACCTTGAGTTAGGTTTCTTGCTACCGTAAGTGGCTGGTCAAACCATTACTGTTATATTCTGCATCAATAGTGAGGAAGGCCTCACCCCATGTAAGGAAGGCCAAGGGCATTTTGTAGTTCAGGTGATAGAGGCACCTTGAATAAGGTAAAGTCAGCTTTTGCTGTGTGGTATATTGCTCAACTATGATTAAATGTGCATATTATTTATAATTTTATAAATATCTGTTACATCAAAAGATTCATTAATTCTTGGCCGGGTATGGTGACTCACGCCTAAAATCCCAGTACTTTGGGAGGTTGAGGTGAAAGGATAGCTTGAGGCCAGGAGTTCGAGACTAGCCTGGGCAATACAGCAAGACCTGGTCTCTATAAAAAATAAAAAAAATTAGCCAGGCGCAGTGGTACATGCCTGTAGTTCCAGCTACTTGGGAGGCGGAGATGGGAGGATTGCTTGAGTCTGGGAGGTGGAGGCTGCAGTGAGCTATGATTGTGCCACTGCACTCCAGTCTGGGTGACAGAGTGAGACCCTGTCTCAAAAAAAAAAAAAAAAAAAATCATTAGTTCAGCAGATGTCTGTATAAGCCTACTGATTCTCAGCTCAGAGTTGGTGTCCAATGGTCACTTCTGGGTTCATGTATTTACTGTATAAGCTAGATGATTTTGTACCATTTCTTAAAATCTGTAAAGCGCCGACCTAAAAAATACTCTTTTCAATTGGGGAGTACCTACCTTAGTGCCCTTTCTGCTTTTTTGCCTTTGCCACTGAAGACAGCTAGACAAGTGAGACATATGGGGGCACTGACTTAACCATGTCTTTTATTTTCTGTATTCTGATGCTTTGATATCTGGGGCCTTGCTGACTCTAGAGGGACTGCCCTTCCCAGGGTTAGCCAAATCCTCCACAGTGACCCCTTTTGCTCTTCAAATGCAAACCAACCAATCCAGATGCCACATTCCCACCACCTCCTCCATGGGCCTCACACTCCAGGCCACTATCCACCTGCCCTTATCACCCCAGAGCCAGGCACCAGACAATTAGGGACAGACCCTAGGCCCCACAGCCCATCAAAACTATTCAAACTAGCCAATCCTAAACCCACAAACCCTGCCTTACCTATTCCTTTCTGTGAAAACCACAATCAAGGCTCCCTCTGCCTCCCGACCAATTCCAGGGCTTCCATACACAGCCCCCACAGCATGGCATGCCCCTTGTTATGGGCTGAATGTTTGTGTCCCCCCAAATTCGTATGTGGATGCCCTAATCCTTCATGTGATGGTATTAGGAGATGGGGCCTTTGGGAGTGATTAGGTCTAGATGAGGTCCTGGGCATGGAGTGAAGGGATTCAGAGCCTTAGAAGAAGAAACCAGAGTGCTTGCTTTTTGTCTTTCTCTGCAATTAAGGATGGGCAAGAAGATGCCCATGAGCAAGGAGAGGAACCTCACCAGAACTGAAGCAACTGGTCCCTTGACCCTGGACTTCCCAGCCTCCAAAACTATGAGAAATACATTTGTCATTTCAGCCATCCAGCCTATGGTATTTTGTTATGGCAGCACCAGCCAAGATACTACTCCTCTTGGGAACTGTAACAAACTATCTTCTCAATGGATCTGTCTTCTAATCAGTTGGCTTTACTGTACCTCAAAATTTTCTATTAATATATTGAATTCTAAAACAGGCATTCATGTAGCCATCCAAGGAGATCGATGTTTCCTTGCTTTGCTAGGGCTCTCCTTTTAAAGAAAAGAGATACCACCTTGTCAAACTCACGCCTTTCCCCAAAGAGGAGCCAGCTAAGGAAGTAGGAAGCCAAGGTCTTACTGAAGCAACCTGTTTGACATTAGATGCTCTGTGGGTCACACTGCCTGGGGGAATCCCTTGCAGGTACAGTGGCTTCTATGGCTGTGGGAATGATTGCATCTCACATGGTGTCTGAGAATGGACTTTGAGGGCCAGACCCAATGCTGAGGAGCTTTGGTCTTGTCAAAGTAGATCATCCCTATGTTTTAAGATAGCCTGACTATTCCCACTATGGGAAAGACTTCATAGCCTTCACCTCAATTGCTGACTAAGGATCAGAATCCTTCCAGGCAGGGTCACTGACCGAATCCTTCTGAGAGAGGAACCCCGGACCGGAGCATGTGCTCCTCCAGCCACCAGGAAAAAGGCTACTTACGTCAATTAAATGCTTGACTTCGTGTTTTTTGAGGTCACTTCCAATTTTGGCTGCTAACAGCACACATGCCCCAGCACACAGCTTCCGGTTCTGTTTGTTGAGTTTCCCCTTGAGGGCGAGCTTTTCAAAGTAGACGAAGGCCATGGCCACCGTGGGCTCCTCAAGGCCACAGTCCTCCTGCGCAAGCTTCCGCATCTCTCGTTTCAGACTGGAGAAAGACAGGCAAGAGGGAACAGTCTTGTGAAAACTTAGAGTTTCAGTGGACAGAAAAACTCCCCCATCTTGAATGCTTTTTCTCTTTCTCTTTCCCAGAGGGTGATCTGGACTGGGATTAAGTCCCTGGGAGTGTGAAGGCTGCGTTATGCATGGGGAGCAGATTTACATAGCTGGGCTTTGGCCTCTTCTCTGTTGGTCAGGTCGTATAAAACATGTTTACTTTTTTTGTTTTTCTTTTGAGATGGAGTCTCACTCTGTTTTCCAGGCTGGAGTGCAGTGGCACGATCTTGGCTCACTGCAACCTCCACCTCCTGGGTTCAAGCAATTCTCCTGCCTCAGCCTCCCAAGTAGCTGTGCTTACAGGCGTGCACCACCATGCCTGGCTAATTTTTAAATTTTTAGTAGAGACGGGATTTCACCATGTGGGCCAGGCTGGTCTCAAGCCCCTGACCTCAGGTGATCCGCCCACTTCGGCCTCCCAAAGTGCTGGGATTACAGGTGTGAGCCACCATGCCCGGCTGTCCTTTCTGCTGAATGTGACAATGACTCAATCACTGGAACCACAGGAAGGACCACTGGACAGATGACAAGCTTACGGTGTGTGGAAAGAGGGGTTTGCAGGGAAAGGTCACAGGCAAGTCCAGCCTCCCGTACCTCCTAATTTTGCTGAGTGTCAGCTTAATGTGAGGAAACTTCTCCTTGAAGGTCTCGTTCATGTCCTTCTTGAGATCCGAGGGCTTCACGTAGTCAATCACTGTTGTCTGTAACAGACAGGGGAACACGGATCACTCCTTAAAACAAGGGTCGTATGTAATAATTATGCACCAACTACGACCAACTTACAACTCCCAAAGCCATGAGCAACGGGAAAACTTGCATTGGAGCTACAACAAGGGCTCGGCGGAATCCAGGAGCCTGAAGGGGACTGTGGCCTTCTGGAGGCGAACGGAAAACAAGTCACCACTATTAGGATGAGGTGACACTTAGGAAAGCCGGCCTGTAGACCATCAGAAGTCAGTGCCTGAGAGGGAGGGGTGCCTGTGTCAGTTCCCAGGTGTCAGCCTGTTCACACGGTATGGGGCTTAAGCGCGTGGGGCTTGGATGTGCACAGACCTGGGTTCAATCTCCACTTGACCATTCACTAGTCTGACGGCTTTGGGAGACTTCAAATCACCCCAAATCTCAAGTCCCATGTCTGTAAACAAAAAACAGTAACAGTGCCTACTTCACGCAGCTTTCTGAGAACTGTATGAGAAGTGCCCTGTACAGTGCCTGGCCTACAGCAAGTGCTCAATACATGTTAGCTAATGTTCTTTTAGTTTTTTAAATGGTGGTAAAATACACATCACATACAATTTACCATCTTAACCATTTCTAGGCGTACCATTCAGTGGCATTAAGAACATTCGCATAGTTGTGCAGCCCTCACCACCATCTGTCCACAGAATCTTTTCATCTTCCCAATTGAAACACTCTGCCCATTAAATGCCAACTCCCCATCCACTCCCTCCAGCTCCTGGCAACCACTACTCCACTTTATGTCTCTATAAATTTGCCTTATGTAAGTGGAATCGTCTATTTGTCCTTTTGTCATAGGCTTATTTTATTTAGCATGGAGTCTTTTTTTTTTTTTTTGAGACGGAGTCTCACTTTGTTGCCCAGGCTGGAGTGCAGCGGTGCAATCTTGGTTCGCTGCAACCTCCGCCTCCCGGGTTCAAGCGATTCTCCTGTCTCAGCTTCCTGAGTAGCTGGAAATACAGGCGCCCACCATCACACCCAGCTAATTTTTGTATTTTTAAGAGAGACTGAGTTTCACCATGTTGGCCAGGTTGGTCTCGAACTCCTGACATCAGGTGATCTGCCTGCCTCGGCCTCCCAAAGTTCTGGGATTACAGGCGTGAGCCACCGCGCCTGGCCTACTATGGAGTCTTCAAGGGTCAATCTCATTGTAGCATGTGTCAGAATTTCCTTTAAGGTTGAACAACATGCCACCATATGTATATAATGGTAACCAGTAAGTCTTTGGAAACTTGAGTTTCCTCCTCCCTCCTTCCCTCTTTCTAAATTGGAGAAATCCTTAAAGGATCCTTGGAGTCCTTTCTGAATACCCTGGTCTTCCTTGCTCCTCTGTACCCTGCACTGTGAACTCTGAATTAAACAATTTTTTTCTGGGTTTCCTCCAGTTCATCTCATCCCTCCTCGAGAGTATACTTGCCAAGGCTGGGTCTTTTTTGGCTGACTACACGCCATAATCTTTTTTTATTTTTTTTGAGACGGAGTCATGCTCTGTTGCCCAAGCTGGAGTACAGTGGCGCAATCTCGGCTCACTGCAACCTCCGCCTCTTGGGTTTAAGCAATTCTCCTGCCTCAGCCTTCCGAGTAGCTGGAACTACAGGCATGTGCCACCTTGCCCAGCTAATTTTTGTATTTTTAGTAAATGGGGGTTCGCCATGTTGGCTGGGCTCCTCTTGAACTCCTGACTTCAGGTGATCCACCTGCCTCTGCCTCCCAAAGTGCTGGCATTACAGGCATGAGCAACCGTGCCCGGCCTACATGCCATAATCTTAATCAGTCAAAGCTCAGGAAAGAAGAAATGACAGATTTTGATGTGAAGGTCGATTCCCTGGATGACTCATGCCCGCAAAGCCCATCAAAGGTTTCCTTAACAGCTCTAATGGAAGTTGGTGGCTTTCTCTGGACACCTCCATTTATAGGACACAGGATTTTAGCACAGACATGTACAATGTCTTTGGTGTCAGTTAGTAGCAAGGAGGAGGCAAGCAGCCAGCACATCCCCGTTCAAGTGATCTTGATGGTCCTCTCTTTGCTTCTCTGGTGAATAAAGGCAAAGCACAGCAATATTAACTCCAACAATTCCACCAGACCTGTTCAGAGTTTTCGAACACTTGGCTGGAAGAGGACTTGGTGGATGCAATGCCACTTCTTCCTCCTCTGATACATAGTCTTTCTGGCCCAATCAGGAAGGTCTCCTGACCTGGTCCAGATGTGGCCATTCTGGTCCCGGCTAACCACATGCCCTGCAAGGACCAGGAAAGGGGCAGCCCAGCTGTGCAGGGCCACAGTATTTGGACACTGCTCTCACTGCCAAGGTCCAGCAGAGTGGACCCCTGTGGCAGCCCTCCAAGACAGGTTTATTTCCCTTCTACTTTTAAGAAAGGCTCTATTTCATCTCCAACAAATGTCTCCTCTGGGTTAAATCTCTGGGTTGAAGGGGACGTAAGATTTCATTTTGGAAATAGGCAGTAGAATGGGGGCCACATCTAACATGCTCGCCTCAAGCTGGGAGGGCCCATCAGCCAACCCTCCTGTTTCCCAAGTCATCAGCACCTTCCTCCAGCTTCTCAACCCCTCACCCCCCAATCCAGGCACCCTGAACTCCCAGAGACAGGCCGCTTCTACTCTTCCTCTACAGAGGAAAGTCATGAGGTTTGCAATGATGTGAGCAGGCTCAAGTAAAGTCATCTGCCTTTGTTGGGGGCCTGACGCCCTGTGAGCACCAGCAAGGATATCCTGCTGCTTAACGATCATGTGGATTTTCAGGCTGGGTTCTGTTGAAGTGCCTGTGGGAGGGGACTGGATCTCTCCTCGCAGCAACCACAGCAGCTCTGCTTTGCTCCATCTTATTTGTAGATATAACACTTCCCTTGAAAGAGAGCTCTCACTGCTTAAATGTGCAAATATACAAATGTGTCCCACCTCTGTTTGCAACAGAGGCTCAGAAAAGTGAAAAGGCTCACCCCAGACCTGAGTGAGCCGCAGGCAGGGGCCAGCGCTGGGATCCTGGTCTCCCAGAGTGGCTGCTTCCAGCTCGTGCCCCATGCACTGCCTTCCTGCTTTTCTCTCCTTCATGGTACTGAATAAGCAGCACAGAGTAGCTCCCTAGACAAGGGCTCTCACCAGGATGTCCGAGAAGATCGCTAGCAGTGGAAAGGGCTGTCGGGGGCGGGGGGTCAGGTCCACCTTCAGCAAATCAGGCAACAGGGAGAAAGTCACTCAACCTCCCTGAGCCTCACCCTCATCCTCCAAAACGAGATGAGATGAGAAAACCTGATGGGGCTGCTTCCCAGGTTTATCTTGAAGATCAAAGAGAACAAAACGTACGTAAAAGACGCTGAAAAATTTCATCAGGAGCACAAAGCAGGAGACGCAGCAAGTCTGGACTCTGCTCCAGCCCCACTGAGTCACAGTCTCTGAGGGTGGGGCCTCGCACCTGCACCATGACAAGTTTTCCAGCTGATTTCTATGTGCCAAAGACCCAGGGCTTCCAAATCAGATTCTCCTTGTCTGGCTATTGCCCACTCCTGGTTTGGCCACTTCTGCAGGCTCCTCCTCCTAAACCCCCGGGGCTGAGGCTGCTTCTCCCCAGGACTCGCCTCCATTCTACTCTATTATCTGAACATCCAACCTCCTCCTGGGATGCCCTGTTGTGCTACGGAGGCTGGAAAGCTAACAGTTACACTTCCCTGACTCCTTTGCAGCTAGGATTCCAAAAACAATTCTGGCTCCTCCTATTGGATGCTCTGATATGTGAAGGCAGGGCTGGAGCAAGGGCTGTGGTTCTGCTGTTTCTGCTGCCAAGAGGCTCAGGGCAGGAATCCTCAAGTCCTGTCACTAAGCTTCTGGGTCCTCATTTGGCAGGTGTAGAGCACAGCAGAGCAGCACGGATCTGGAGCCAGCAGCCAGTGCCAGCGCCAGTTTCCCAAGTCCAAAGCCAGAGTCCTGGTCCCAGGCAGCTGCAGCCTCCTGGGTGGCACAGTTCTACAGTGTGGCTTGTGGATCATTCCTGAAATGCCAACTTAGGTTATTCTGTCAGCCTCCTCAATGATTCTAGTAAGTAAGGTGTTTATTAGATACCTTTCTTCTTCTTTTTTGTTGAGATGGAGTTTCGCTCTTGTTGCCCAGGCTGGAGTGCAATGGTGTGATCTCAGATCACTGCACACCCTGCCTCCTGGGTTCAAGCGATTCTCCTGCCTCAGCCTCCCAAGTAGCTGGGATTACAGGCATGCGCCACCACACCCACCCAGCTGTATTTTTAGTAGAGATGGGGTTTCACCATGTTGGTCAGGCTGGTCTCAAACTCCTGGCCTCAAGTGATCCACCCGCCTCGGCCTCCCAAAGTGCTGGGATTACAGGCATGAGCCACCACGTCCAGCCTTTTTTTAAAAAAAAAAAAAAAAAAAAAAAAAAGACATAGGGTCTTGCTACATTGCCAGGTGGGACGCTAAATCCTGGGCCAAGTGATCCTCCTGCCTCTGCCTCCTGAGTGGTCGGGGCTGCAGACCTGCGCCCCTGCACCGGCTCCTCTTTCTTCTTAAACTTGCTAGAGTGGATGCTGCACTTCAGAACTGAACCATGCCTGCTGCACACGCTGTATTCTGCTGATTGCATTTACCACTACTGAAACTGAACCTGGCTCGGTGAAGGCGGGGACAGAGAAAGAGCTTCTGATCCCCATAAAGGCACTGACGATATCCGATCCGTTGAGTCTGAGTCCTGCCCCTGCCCCTGCGCCACACTCCCTGACCCATTTTTATTTAGAGGACCCCTGAGAGCCAACAGCTCAGCTCAGCCTGCGGCTCTGGAGGGGGCAAGGGTGGCAGAGCGCGCCAGGCCCACTCTGGCCCGGGTCTTGCGGGAGAGGCTCTGTCTTTTTTACAAGCAGCCTTGTCCTAGCTCTTGGGGTCTGCAGCTGGGGACTCCGTTTCCTGACAGAGAGGCGGGGAAAAATCCAAGCTAGGCCCTGGCAGGGAGTGGGCAGGGAGGGCCCATGAGCAGATGCTGCGAGACCCTTGGCCCAGGGAGCCCAGTGCTTGGCCCCGCGTAAGTGGGGAATATGTGGCAGCACCAGGAGGACGAGGCTCTCCAGTCATCTTCTAGGTGACAGACTCTTCTGCATCCCGGCCTTCTGTCCTGGCCTCCTGTCTGCTGTGCTCTCTTCAGTCTTGCTTTTGTCCCTGCTTCTCTGAGCTGCGGCTCAGTGGGGAAGAACACAGGCTCAAGAGCCAGAGTCCTGGATTCAAACTCCAGCTCTGACACATGGTGCCCGGCGGCCCAGTGCACACTGGTTAGGAGCTCTGTGCCTCCGTTTGCTCCTCTGGCTTCTCCAGCATCCACTTGATGTCGACAGCGGCAGGCACCTGATCTGTGGGGCTGTTCCGTGTCCTGCTCCCGCTCAGCTGCATGGGATACACAACTGCCACAGCGGACCAGGCAACCCCCAAAGTGGCACTGGCTGCCAGATCCTGGCTTGGAAGGGGCCCAGCACATAAGCTGCATCTTGAGGCCACTGCTCTGCACCAGCCCCACACTGTTCAGAGTATGGAAACTGGACGGATCACTCTGAGCCCAGGGCCACCCTTTCCAGGCAGGTTCCAGAGGGGATGACAGTCCTCGATGTCCTCTCAGCTGCAGGTCCTTCTGAGAAACACTCTCTGGTGTACAGGAGGTCATGATTCTCCGGCACATCCTGTCTTGAGGGAGCCTGATGGTGGCCCTTAGAGGCCGGGCCTCCCAACCATGCCAAGAGATGGCATCCTCTCTTTAGTGCTGGGGGTGAGCTGGGGAGGCTGTACTAGGAGATTGAGCCACGGCAGTGGGATTACCACAGCCCCTCAGCCACTCATTCTTTCTGGTGTGGGACTGAAGAAATGAAAAGTCAGGCCAATGCTTTATTCAGGTTTGAATTGTATGAATTATAAAAACTTGCAAGCTGGGCATGGTGGCTCTTACCTGTAACCCCAGCACTTTAGGAGGCTGAGGCAGGCAGATCACTTGAGGTCAGGAGTTCGAGACCAGCTTGGCCAACATGGTAAAACCCCGTCTCTACTAAAAATACAAAAATTAGCTGGGCGTGGTGGTGCATGCCTATAGCCTCAGCTACTTGGGAGGCTAAGGCAGGAAGAATCGCTTGAACCTGGGAGATGAAGATTGAAGTGAGCCAAGATGGTGCCACTGCTCTCTAGCCTGGGTGACAGAGTGAGACTGTCTCAAAAACAAAAACGAAAAAACTGGCCGGGTGCGGTGGCTCAAGCATATAATCCCAGCACTTTGGGAGGCCAAGGTGGGCGGATCACAAGGTCAGGAGATCGAGACCATCCTGGCTAACACGGTGAAACCCCATCTCTACTAAAAACACAAAAAATTAGCCGGGTGTGGTGGCGGGTGCCTGTAGTCCCAGCTACTTGGGAGGCTGACGCAGGAGAATGGCGTGAACCCGGGAGGCGGAGCTTGCAGTGAGCCAAGATCTTGCCACTGCACTTCAGCCTGGGCGACAGAGCAAGACTCCGTCTCAAAAAAAAAACCAAAAAACAAAAACTTGCAATGCCTGGGTTTTGCCAGTGCATGCTACTGTAAATCAAAGTGCTAATTAAACAAGCAGCGACTCCTTCTTGGCCTGGGACAGTCTGAGTGACCACTGTTTTCTTTTTTTTTTTTGAGATGGAGTCTCACTCTGTCACCTAGGCTGGAGTGTGCAGTGGTGTGATCTCTGCTCACTGCAGCCTCTGCCTCCCAGGTTCAAGCGATTCTTTTGCCTCAGCCTCCTGAGTAGCTGGGACAACAGGTGTGCACCACCACACCCGGCTAATTTTTGCATTTTTAGTAGAGACAGGGTTACACCGTTGGCCAGGATGGTCTCGATCTCCTGACCTCGTGATCTGCCCACCTTGGCCTCTCAAAGTGCTGGGATTACAGGCGTGAGCCACCGTGCCCGGCCGGGACCACTGTTTTCAATGCCACCTAACTCCAGGCCATGGGATTCACCAGATGAAGGGCTCCTTGTGGCCCGCAGCAGGCCCAGGCTGTGTGATGGATGGGGGGTTCTAACCCTGCAGCAGGCAGTTGTGTTTTTTGCAAGGGTGCTCATTCCGCTCATGGAGCGAGAGGTCACTTGAATGCACTGTCGAGCACTTGAATGCCTGGCTGCAGGGAAGCTGTGTGCACAGCTGCGTACAGGGAAAGGAGAAGGTCAGATGGAAGGCACTGTCCACAACACAGATGTCCAGAGATGCAGTTCACAAGGAGGCCCTGCCTGGCCTGCCCTGCTGGAGACAGTCTGGAAGGGCTAGAGTGGGAGTAGACAAATTCCTTCTGAGATAACAGGAAAAGAGAAGACCACAACTTAGTTATCCAGATGAAAAGTCTCCCATATCGACTGCAGAAACACTGATACCTATTTCGCTTTTTTTTTTTTTTTTTGAGACAGGATGGGTGACTCTGTTGCCCAGGATGGAGTACAGTGGCACTCACTGCAACTTCCGCCTCCCGGGTTCAAGCGATTCTCGTGCCTCAGTCTCCCAAGTAGCTGGGACTACAGGTGCACGCCACCACGCCTGGCTATTTTTTTTGTATTTTTTGGTAGAGATGGGGTTTCGCCATGTTGGCTAGGCTGGTCTCCAACTCCTGACCTCAAGTGATCCGCCCACCTCAGCCTCCCAAAGCGTTGGGGTTACAGGCATGAGGCACTACGCCCGGCCCATCCTTTGCTTTGTACAAAAACAAAGTCTTGACTTGTCATGAGAAGAGGGAAGGGGCCTCCATGGAACTGAACTTGGGCCCCATCCTGGCCCACGGTAACAATGCTGTGAAGTGAATGCCCCTCAGGTGGGCTGGGGTATAACGGGAGGGGATGGGAGGTACACACACCTCAAAAACAATCCTGGAGAACAGTGAGGGTCTCAGAGCAGACAGGTTGTTGGTCTGATTCCAACAGAAACAACAGAAAAGGTACTTCCGCTCTAGGGCGGATAAAGCTCCGGCCTCCTTCATTTCCTACTTTCCTGTCTTCAAGTTTCCCCAGGAATTCTTATGAGCAGTTCTAAGCAGATGTGAGCTTGCCGTACACTCGGCCACTGTTCTCTGACCTACTGCCAGCCCTAGTGCTGCCTGCACCCCAGGAGCTAGCTGTAAGACCTGGGGCAGGTATGCAGCCGCTGCAAGCCTTGGTTCCACACCACGCCTGTGAAAGGAAGGAAGGATACAAGGCAATGAGCCACACAGCTCCTTCCAGCGCCAACAGCCACTGCGAAATTAGGCTCTTTTGCTTTGGCCATACTTGTATACCGGCATTCGGGCTCAGCTGGGCACTGGAAAGCAGCTGTTCCGTGCTTGTTAAGGTAATTAAGCAACGGTGGCCCTCGACTAAATCTATCTAACCACCAACAGATGGGCATTTCAGCTGTTCTAGGCATTTAATCCTTTCCCTTAGAGGACAGTAAATCACAAGGAAACTATGGAAATAAACGGGTAGCCTACGCAGCCTGGGGCTGCATTTGTTGCTATTTCTACCCATCGAATTCAAAATACCGAATCCTGGATCAACTCTCCCTCCCACTGAAATGAAAGGGTTTGCACACGGAGAGGAACACAGGAAGAAAAGCTCTCTCTGCTTCAGGTTTACATGGCCATGGGGATTCACTGGGTGGCACAGAGCATGTTCAGTGTCAAATATTTGTCAACTATTTATCTGGTGCTACAGGACTCCTGGAGTAGTGTCTCCATCCACTTGAGATGACACCAGGTGACTGGCCCTGAGATCACCCACACCCAGAGAGTATTTGGATGCACTTCTAAACGCAAGCTGCTGAAACAGTGGCAGTAGAGAATGAGCCAAACTGCGTGGAACGTCATGTTCAAAATCACGAAGTGATTGTCAAAAATCCGAGACAAATACATAGAAAGAGAGCAGATGTTGCAATATCCTGGGTGAAATGTCAAAATCACGAAGCGACTGTCAAAAATCTGAGACAAATACATAGAGAGCAGATGCTGCAAAATCTTGGGTGAAATGTCAAACTCTTGTTTTGTATTAGTTTTTTTTTTTTTTTTTTGAAACGGAGTCTTGGTCTTATCGCCCAGGCCGGGGTACAGTGGCGTGATCTCGGCTCACTGCAACCTCTGCCTCCCGGGTTCAAGCGATTCTCCTGCCTCAGCCTCCTGAGTAACTGGGATTACAGGCACCTGCCACCACACCTGGCTAATTTTTGTATTTTTTAGTAGAGACGGTTTTGCCATGTTGGCCAGAATGGTCTCAAACTCCTGACCTCAGGTGATCCACCCGCCTTGGCCTCCCAAAGTGCTGGGATTACAGGCATGAGCCACCGAGGCCTGTGTTAGTTTTATGAGAAAAAAATGAATTGTAAAAGAGGCTTTAAAGAGGTGAATTGTATGGTGTTGGAATTCTAATAGTGCTGTTAACAACAACAAAAAGACCAAAAAAAAAAAAAAAAAAAAACACCAAACCCACACCCAAAACAACCCTCCCTCCCCCACACAGCACAATCAGGCATTTCAGGCCTTGATGTGAACACTTAACCTAAAGCTGGCAGGATGCTCCTCAGCTACTGCCCAGGCCTGTGCGCCTGAGGGCGCCCTTCAAGCCTCAGGGAAGTGCCACAATAATAGGGAAGTGCGGAGCTACTGTGCTTCTAATGTGATGTGACATTTTCTTAAAGAGGCCCCCTCCTCAGAACTGAATAAGCCTCAGGCACCTTGAAACCTGAGGCCATGGAAAGGGTCTTGCATTAGCTTCCCAACAAATCCACCCTGCAGACAGGTAACAAGTGCCTAAATCATCCAGGTAACTTTTAATGGAAATAGATATATATATAGTTCTATATTCTATATAAATTATAATAAATATATGAGTATGTTATTAAATTATAACTTATCTATATTTATAAATATATATTTATACTGTATGTATATTGGGGGACAGGCAGAATCTAATCACCTACCTCATGGAAGGCTGAATTAGTCTTTCTTTCATTGAGTCAATTACTTCCCACTGCTCAGCATCTCATGCTGTACTGAAAAATTAAGTTCTATGATACATTCCCCCAACACTGGGGAGATGTAGGGGTAGAGGGAGGGCTTTCTCTACAAGTACTTAGATTTTAATATTCGGTAAATAAAAAATAGGCATTTTATCATGGAGATTAATCCAAGAGGTTTCTCTTGAGGTTTACATGCTTATGCATATCATAAACAATGTTAGTCGGTTTTCTTTTTGATGTGAACACAGTGCAAGAGGGATTTCTTACAGAAGAAAAGAATCCAGAAATCCATTCAGGTAACTGAATTTTGTTGGCATTATCTCAGCTCTCCCACTTACTTTCTCCTCTTAATTGCCTTCCACACCCATAAAGAGGGGGAAAAAAACACAAAAACCCACTACCGACCTGGGCTGCCACGTTCTAATGATACATAACCACTCTCTCATGAAGCTTTAATTATATGCCAAGAGGTGCAGAGAGCTGGAAGCATCCGCCCTCCCCTGAGACACACCATCACCCAGCAAGAGTCTGCACGTAGCCAGGTGGCTCAACATTCTCTGTTCTGTGGTCACCTTCTAGAAACTTGAAGACCAAACCACCGGGCCAGCTGCAATTTGTTTTGCACACCTGCCCCAGGAATTTTTTTTTTGAGACAGAGTTTCATTCTCGTCACCCAGGCTGGAGTGCAATAGTGTGATCTCAGCTCACTGCAACTTCTGCCTCCTGGGTTCAAGCGATTCTCCTGCCTCAGCCTCCTGAGTAGCCAGGATTACAGGCGCCTGCCACTACACCTGGCTCATTTTGTTGTATTTTTAGTAAAGATGGTGTTTCACCACGTTGGTCAGGCTGCTCTTGAACTCCTGACCTCAGGTGATCCACCCGCCTCGGCCTTCCAAAGTGCAGGGATTACAGGCGTGAGCCACTGCACCTGGCCCGGAATTTTTTTTTAAGTTCAAAATCTCACCCTTGACCTTCTACAGTAGGTAACAGTGGGAGTGACTTGCATGGATCAAAGTTTAAAAATACAGATATGGGTGCAAGGCTAATTTGAAAAGGGTGCCACTTGCACACTAAATGACAGGCTTCACCTCTGGAAGCTTCCCACTCTAAGACATGTCCTGACTGTGGCGACGAGGGGCCTTTTTATATTACACTTAGGACACACACGCACAAAGATAAACATTCAGCTACATCATGGCTGGTTAATATCACCTACACCAGGACTCAGAAGTCCCACTCCTAGGTATTTACCCCAAGAGAAATTAAAAAGTATTTCCACAGAAAGCCATGCACAAGAACATTCATGGCAGCCGCATGAACAAATATCTATCAACAGGAGGAGGGATAAACAAACTGTACTACATCTTATATCACTGAGCATTTTTATTTTTATTTTTTTGAGACGTAGTTTCGCTTGTCGCCCAGGCTGAAGTGAATAGTGTGATCTCGGCTCACTGCAACCTCCACCTCCCGGGTTTAAGCGATTCTCCTGCCTCAGCCTGCAGGGTAGCTGGGATTACAGGTGCCTGCCACTATGCCCAGCTAATTTTTGTATTTTTAGTAGAGACAGAGTTTCATCACGTTAGCCAGGCTGGTCTTAAACTCTTGACCTCAAGTGATCCCCCCACCTTACCCACCTCGGCCTCCCAAAGTGCTGGGATTTATAGGCGTGATCCACTGCACGTGGCCCACTCAGCAATTAAAAAAAAAAATCTACTGACACACATGACATGGGGAAATCTCACATGTTAAGTTGTATGAAGGAAGATGGACCCCAAAAAGTATATGCCATGATCCTATTCACATGAAGTTTCAGAATAGGTAAAACTAATCTATGGTGACAGAAGTGAGAATAGTAATTGCTTTTGCAGGAAGGGGATGGGAAGAATGGGATGGGGAGGAGAACTTTCTGCAGGGACAGAAATGCTCTATATCTGGATCAGAGCAGTGGTTACAGAATTCATGGAAATGCACACTTCAAACAAACAAGTGCATCTGATTGTCTGTAAATTACTCCTTTTAGCGGCTGCAGCAGGATTTGATGGGTGAAAGGATTAGCTCATCACTTTGAGAGCTGCTTCATTCAGCAGAGGCATCTCAGAGTCTGATTTCCACAGGAACAGGACATCCCAAAACAGGGGAGGACAGTCCCAGGATTTCAGGTGGGCGCCTCTGCTGGGCTGGCCACATTGGACTGCCCTGGGGGCCCGAGGAAGACGGGACAGGCAGCAGGACTCTGGGGCTTTGGAAGCTAATACTAAGGGAGGTGAGCAGCTCTGCATAATTGGCCTGTGACCAACAAGCCTGCTCCTTCCCCAATCACTGAGCATTCCCACCCAGGAGGGAATCTGCCCTCTGTCTGGGCAGAGATCCTCACACTAGCCTAGTGGCCAAATGTGCCCCAGGCCCTCAAAGAGGGCATTCCACAACCTGGCTCAAAGGAGCCAGGGTCTTTGGAGCCAGGGCCTGTTTCAGCGGCAGCTCCCTGTGCCTGGGGCCGAGTCAGTGGGGAGGGAGGGTTTGTCGGCATCATCATTTGTGGGCTCTGCCTCCTGCCTGTGTGTGTGTAGGGGGAAGGGCAACGACTTCTACAGTTAGAAAAATCTATTTTATGCAAAACCAACCCCCTTCCTACTTTGGGGTCTTTCCACTGGGCTCTCCCTACCAAAACCTGGTGGGGCCAACCACTCTCAGCCCTCAGTGCTTGCTTCAGTGCCATTCCTCGGGGAAGTCTTCCTTGAGGCCTACCCCCTGGGGCCCACGTCCAACCCTTCCATCATTTCCTGCCGCTGTTTTTGTTTTGTTTTGTTGAGACAGGGTCTTGCTTTATTGTCCAGGCTGGAGTGCAGTGGCACAATCTCAGCTCACTGCAGCCTCTGCCTCCTGGGTTCAAGCAATTCTCCCACCTCAGCCTCTCCAGTAGCTGGGACTACAGGCGCGCAACACCACACCTGGCTAATTTTTTTATTTTTAGTAGAGATGGGGTTTTACCACGTTGGCCAGGCTGGTCCCAAACTCCTGACCTCAGGTGATCCACCTGCCTTGGCCTCCCAAAGTTCTGGGATTACAGGCGTGAGCCACCATGCCTGGTCTCCTGCTGCTTTTCTAAGATGGTTCCTTCCTCACGATTATGGTGCTCTGTCTCCTTGTTTACTGTTTACTCTCTGACATCCCCACTCACTCCAAGGTGGAGGAGAAGAGGGGTTGTGGCTGGTTAGTTCTCTACTGGGTAAGGAAGCTTGGCTCATAATAAGGCCTCAATCAATACTTGGTTCAACAGGCGAATTCTATACCTGTTCCCCAACACACAAAAATAAAGCAAACACCCCAGCGCCCCCACCCCCAACTGCCCCACTCTGTTTCCTACAAGTTCAATGCAAATGCATGAGAAACGGCCTGTAACCCATGTCGGCTTCTAGGAAAGAAGTCTCCAGGGAGCTGGGGGGTTGAGGCCCTTTGTAATACACAACACACTGTCAAGAACTTAGACGAGAATTCTGAAACGTGGATTTCCCACATTTTATCAAAGTGCCAACATCTGTGGCCAGAATAGGAAACATAGGTCTCCAGGAGCCGACCAGGAAAATGCAGTCCATGCGCAATTCCATTCTCTATAGCATGGACTATTCCCAGAAGCACTGACTGCAGAGCCAATGCAGTGAAATTAAAAATGATCCACTTGGGAACATCAAATGAGGAGGGCAGGACATACATGCTGACTTGGCAAGTCTTCTAGCACAGTCTAAGGAGGAAAAGTTGTATGTGTATACGTGCACACGCACATACACACATACTGCGGCCTGGAACCTCAAGGCTCACAATGAAATCATTTAAAGAAAAAAAAGATCAGATAAAAAAGATCAGATCTAGCACCAGCCCAACACTAGGCCTATAAAAGGAGAGGTCGGCATTATCACCAGGCACGTGTCTGTTAGGACAGCTCCCGCCAACATCGAAATAGTGTACCTTCCTATTCTCTTGGTTACCTAGAAATCTGCTACACTGTTGGCCCAAAGAATGATCTTCATGTCCAACCCCGAGGTCGGCAGTTGTGGGGCTGACTGCTGAGGAATGTGGAATTCAGAGACAGCTGGGCAACGTGAAAACAGCCTCGAGCCAGGAGCTCTAGCCTGGATCCCCCATTTCCTGTCTATCAACTAGGAAAGCCTCACTTGGACTCCCTGAGCCAGTTTCCTGGCCATGTTGCTTAATAAATAAAGTGAATTTTAATAAGTAAGGCAGTGAACCACATAAAGCATCCTTATTCTTACACCAGTTGCTCCCTCCTTGACATCAGGGCAATCATTCTGGTCATTTATTGAACACTTATTACGTGCTTGCCTCTGCCAAAGATGAATATGCCCTGGTTTTTTAAATAAACAGATCATAGAGTGGAAGAAAAGTAATTATACATGACTCTGATTTTGCTTTCTGTGTTAGAAGTTGGGGCATGAGTGAGGGAGAGTGAGGAGAAGCGGCAATTTCAAACTAAATGCCTTTGACTTGAATAAATTCTCCAATGACTAAATGCATTCTGACGCCGTGTGGCATACGAAAATGACCACTGAACTATGTGCCAAAGAACAAGAGGATAAGTGCTGAAAGTAACTGGCAAGGCCCCAAGTTCTGCCTGGTGTTTCTCTGACAAACAGCGGAGAACCCTCAGTTCTGAATGAAGATCTGGGTTTCCTTTGAGTACGGGGGATTGGTTTCCACTCTGGCTACTGCAGACACAAAAGCCGAGGGGAGAAAAAAGACCCCCTGGTTCACTCCTAAGGCTGGGGCTCCAGAGAACAGCTCAGGCTGGGAGCACAGGAGGGAGGGAACCAGAGGAGGAAGCGCTCGGCTGTGCCGGCCCCGCCAGGCCCGGCTCATGGGCCAGGACATGCAAAACGCAGGGAGGTGGTGGGGGCATTCTGGGTGGATGTCTCCCACCTGATGCTGTGCATGGCAGGCCTGGCCAATCGACTGTTCTGAAAGTGCAGCTCCCCCTCCTCCCACAGCAGGCGGGGCTCTGCTTGCCGCAAGAGTCAGGGCAAGTCGGCCCAGAGAAAGCGCCCAGGGCCCCGCCAGGCCCCTCTGGTGTCTGCAGAGGAGATGGCAGCCCTTGGTGGTGGGAAACAGTGGTCAGCCGAGAGCAGAAACCAAAATTACACACAGGGAAAAACAGGAAGAGTCCATGAAATAAAAACAGCAGAGAAAGGTTTTGCATGTAACACCCACAGTGTCCTACTTTCACTTTCCCAGGAGAGAATTCTGTCATCCCCAGCCTGGGGCCAAATGTTTGCTCAGCATGCACACGAAGGCCTGCAGCCACCAAGGAACTCCAAACGGAGCTGGACTTGAACTCAGCGCTACCAGGGATGGGCCTGGTCCTCTCCACGGGGGTTTGTGGAGGTATAAGCTCGGACATCCCCCTTCAGAGGAGAGGGTCCCCCAACCTGAGCTGGTGACTTTGTGGACACTGGCAGCCCAGCCTTGAAAGTGGTGTTTGCAGGCCAGGTGGCCAGCAGGATTCTGGACAGGAGGCAATACTGGTCCTTCCGTGGGCACCCACACCGGGGAGCTCCTCATGAAGGTCCCCCAGGCAGAGCAGTCTTTGAACAAGCCCCCAGCCGGCCACCAACCCAGGTGGGGCAACTGACGGTGCAGCAAACGGAGCCTCCATTCCACGCTACTCACCATGTAGGAAGGGAAGATCAGAACGCGTTTGTGTTTGCCACAAGGCCACTGGGGGTCATCCAAGAGATTTGGGTCATAGTCCATAAAGTCTCCCAGGTCACTACCTGAAGATCACATGCAAAATGCAAAATGATAATTAGCGGCTCCGGACCCTCCCCAGCAGAGACAGCCAGGAGAATGCCAAGTATAGCTGGAATGAAGAAAGGCTGGCTTTAGGGCACTTAGCTCAACGTCACGGCACTCACTGACTTTTATTAGACATCTCCGTGTGCCAGTGAAGTGGATTCTCCTCTTAAAAGGGTTCACCAAATTGTTAACATCCTGACATTTTTTTCCATTTTAGAAAATTATGTCTTAATCTCCCTGGGCCAGGAGAGCAAAAAACTTCACACAGCGTGCAAGATGCAGAAGACACTCTCAGAGTGTGGCCCCGAAGAGGTTCCTTTTTCAAACTTGCAGATCAAATTTGGAGACGCCTGTGCAGCACGATTTGGTGCGAATACTTCCAGGCATGCTATTGTGTCCGTATGAATACAAATCAGAGCGGCCACCAAGGCACAGCTGCGAACGATCAGAGGTGGCCGGAACACTAGGACAGGGATTCAGAACTCAGCACTTGGGCAGACCTAGGGAACTTCACATCCACCTGGAATTTCCCTGAGAGTAGACACGGCACTGCTTCCTAAAGTGTTTTCTCCACGTGCCAGTTCTTACAAAGGTTTGATCAGCAAAGCTGGAAGCATGCAAGTCTTCCTTCAGCCGCCAACTCAGCTCACCCACCAAGATAGGCACAAAGGAAACTCTCACACCTGAACCTGCACTTCAGAGCCCAGATTTTTTTTTTTAAAGTCCGAATTGAGCACCATGAAAATATAGGACAGAACCAGGTCATTGTTGGGGGGAGCTGAGTGGTCAGGGAAGCTGGGAGACACAGCCATCTCTACATGGTGTGCACGGCCTTGGCGTCTCTCCACGTGGAAGCTCAGGCTGTCAACGACTGGGTCATCTGATTAGAGAGAAATCACCTGCGGCTTCATTGCGGGCCTGCATGGCTTGAGATCAGGCTTTCCTAAAAGTCATGTCACCTGCGAGCCCCTGTCTTCCAGTCTGCATCACAGGGAGACTCAATCCCCATGTAAATGGAGGCACCTCCCTCCCACCACGAGCTACCAGACCCAGCCAGGCCAAGGTTACCTGTGTCGAGGCTCCCCTGGGTGCCGCTTGCCCGGCCTATGGAGAGGCTGCGGTGGCTCAGGTTACGGAACTGGGAGAAAGAGGAGGTGGAGTCTATGGTATTTCTCCGGGCTCCAAAGGCATTTGTGGGTAACAGAAATTGGGTATAGGAAACAGTCTAAAAGGTGAAGACAAAAACAGGCCAGTGATTATTCCCAGGCATTGCTAGCTCTGCATTCTGATCAAGCTACAGTTGTCACCCCACATTCAGGTCCACTTTCTCCTATTTGCAATTCTGAAATTCAATGAGATCTGAAAAATGAAATTTGTTTTGGTACTCATTGGTGCCAACACCCAACCTGAACTGACATAAGGCTACAGAGTTTTAATTTATCCCACTGGGTCTGACTATTCCTATTACATGGAAGAAATGTGAATGTATTTGACTATAAGGTACTATCTCAGGACCTGCTGTGGTGTTGTGTAATCCACAAGGCACACGCTGCATTGCTTTTTATAATCCAAGTGCAGAAGCCCAGAACACTTCAGGCCCCAAGAGTCCCTGGTGAGGGCCATGGCCTCCTACCCTGCTCCTCTGGCAGACGCCACATATGACCCTCCACTCCATCCCATCCTTCCTGGCTCCTATGGGAACACTTCCTCGTTAGGGGTGAACAGAGCAAGTGCATTGATTTTCACCTGCCCAGGCGAGCATCTCACATGCGCTCTATCTACACCTTGAGCTCCCAGCAGCCTCATCGGCAAACAAACTACCCCGGGACAGATTCCCCAAGAAACACTTGCGTCATTGCCATACACAGATTTTGAAAGGGTTGATGAGGACCGTCTGGACCCTGCACAAAGGGCAGGGTCATCTTTCAACCTTTCACTCCTGAGACTTCAACCCCACGACTCGTTGCATGTGGATGGAAGAGGAATGTGACCGCCCTGGGGCTCTGTGGTCACAGTGTAAGACTGAGGGTCTCTTAGCTTCCCAGGACCATGGGAAGCTATGACACTTTCTAGTAGCCTGAATATTGCTTGCTGACACCACTAGTTAATAGATGTTCAATCCATTCGTCATTCCATCCTGGAACATGTCTGTGTGTGAGGTACTCAAAACTGTACATTCAGTTGTAAACAGCACTGACAGAGAAATACACATGCTGTGGGAACTCCTGCCATGCTGCTACTCAATCACCGGCTGCACACTAGGGGAGCCGGGCAGGCTGGCATCACATGCCTGGGAATCTGCCCCAGACCTCGAGTCCTCCACCTCAAGAGAGGCTTGTGGGCTGCCCCCCTCCTCTGCTTCCTGACCCTTGTGCCTTCAGCACAACTTGGTGACTGGCAGCCTGGCAGCCTTACCTTCCCATCAGCACCCAGCTCCACACCTTCCAGACCAATGATCTCTTTCAAACTCACTGCACCAGTTGATTGTCTTCCTCCGTCCAACTTCAAGTCCCTGGGAGGACAAGTCAGAGGAAAAAAAAATGCTTTTGTGTGCACCTCAAAGAGCCATGAGGATGCTTACTCCATGAGACAACACAGTCACACCGATGAAAATGACCAGGTGAGCCCTGGTGATGGGACAGCCCGTTGTCCCTCTTCGGGCGCTTGCCAGTGATGCCTTGTTGCAACCACTTTGACATAAATGAAATCCAACTGAACAGAAAGCCTGAAGATGAAGCTGATGGTTTACAGACATCCCTCCCTCTTCCATGAGGCCCCTTATATTCCTAGAGACGGCCAATGAACATGAGGCCAGAGAGCATTCCCTGGGCATCGTGGGACCACAGTTTGCTGGGATCTAGCTGCTGGGTTCTTTCTTTCTTTGTTTTTTTGTTTTGTTCTGAGACGGAGTTTCACTCTTGTTGCCCAGGCTGCAATGCAATGGCACGATCTCGGCTGACTGCAACTTCTGCCTCCCAGGTTCAAGCGATTCTTCTGCCTCAGCCTCCTGAGTAGCTGGGATTACAGGCGCGCACCACCACGGCCGGCTAATTTTTTGTATTTTTAGTACAGACGGGGTTTCACTATGTTGGCCAGGCTGGTCTCAAACTCCTGACCTCAGGTGATCCACCCATCTCAGCCTCCCAAAGTGCTGGGATTACAGGCGTGAGCCACAGCAGCCAGCCTGGGTTCTTTCTAATGCTGCATGAGACCACCTCTCCTTGCTGCTCCCCTTTCTTAGGAGAAATGAATTCTTATCCTAAACACCTACTGGGTTTATTGTTGGTGATGAAAGAATTAATGCCACAGTAGTCACTTCTACCTTGACAGACCACCTAGAAAATGAATATCTTTTAATAGAGGAATAATCTCTAGTAATAACAAGTAATCATTCATTCATTCATTCAGGGATGAAGCCTTGCTCTGTTGCTCAGGATGGAGTACAGTGGTGTGATCATGGCTCACTGTAGCCTCAAACTCTTGGGCGCAAGCCATCCTCCCGTCTTGGCCTCCTAAAGTGCTGGGATTACAGGTGTGAGCTACCATGCCTGGCCAAACAAGCATTTATTTAGCACTTTACTATTTCCAAAGACTCACACATCATTTCTTTGGTTCTTTAAGATGACCCTATGAGAAAGGTACTACTATTTTGATCCAATTTACAGAGGAGGAAACTGAGGCCCTTGGGAGATTGCCAAGGTCACCAGGACGGTAGGTTGGAGAGTTCATCCAATGTCATTTCTAGTACATCACATTGCCGTGGAGATGCAAGATGGACCTATGCTCAGGTGTAACTGCTCACACCTCAAAGGACCACACCCTTCCCCTACGGTAATTTTTAAAATTTGCCACATATCAGAATTGTACGGGGATCTCTGACAAACTGTTATCTGGCTCCCACCCCCAGGCAGTTGGCATGGGCTGTGACCTGGACACCAGGAGTTTTAAACACTCCCCAGGCGATTCTAAACTGCAGCCATGTTTGGGAATGACCAGGTCTTCATGTTCTGACATCCAGTGCCTGTTAGTCAAAGGCACCTCAGACCCACAGCATACTTGCTGTGTGGCCTGGATGGAGGGACCATATTCAGGGGTCATCTCCTACAACCTATGCAAGAACGAATATAAGGCAGGGGCAAATTGCTCCCAGCCAAAGACAAAGTCATCAGGTAAGAAGAGAGGAGGGAGCCAAGCGAGTGGTGAGAAGAGAAGGGAAAAAAGCTATCCTCCAATATAGAAAAAAAAACAGGGATGCTCTGATTCTGTTGAGCCATCATCCTAGTCTCTGGGCATTACATGAATGAGCCGGCTCCCTTATCCTACCCATAATGTGGAGTCTAATTAACAGAAATGCCCAAGACCTTCTGTGCCCAGTAAGTGCTGCATTTCCACAGCAGGCTTCCTGGGAGGCCATGGTAGTGCCACCCTCAAAACATCTCTGGAGTCCCGTTCAGAATCGACACCAAAGTCATGCAGAAGAAAGCCAACAACCAACTCTGTTCACACCCACAAGACCGTCTGCCCTACTGCTGCAGCTGCTATGCAGGCACCCCAGGGCGATTCTCAAAAGGCTTCTTAAAGCAATTAAGGATGGAGATGATGAATGCACAGGGGCACTGG
Organism: Homo sapiens; assembly: GCF_000001405.40. Classification (NCBI taxonomy): domain Eukaryota; kingdom Metazoa; phylum Chordata; class Mammalia; order Primates; family Hominidae; genus Homo; species Homo sapiens. The sequence goes on along the minus strand of NC_000018.10, from coordinate 23,232,499 downwards.
CATAGGGAAGTGCCTACAAAGCAAAAACGTGAACAAGGCAATGAAGCAAAAATACCTGCGGTGGGCAGGGAGGGAGGGGACTGACCACATGCAGAGCAGGACAAAAACAGCAGTGTCTTCCTTTTCATTCAAGGACCAGCAGCTCAGTTCCATGGGCTTCCTACTTTTCCAAAGCCAAAGCCAGCAAGCATGGTCTTCAAATTCCCAACTCCCAAATAATTTTCTCCTTGTTTCCATTTTGCCAGATGGAGAATGTTACTTAGGGCTGAAATTAAGAGAGAAGTAGGGAATATCTTTTTGGAGTGAGTAGGCCAAGGGAAATAAGGAGAATTCCAATAAGCCCATACTGAGAGGGTTCTCAGATGGAGAGCTGGCTGCAGGCAGGGGCAGTCTCAGTCCATTTTCATATCCTGTCTATACAACGTCTGATATGTAACGAACTATTTACTGAGCTGAGCTAGTGTGGCTCTTTGCTGTCTCGCCGGTACTGGTACATGCAGATGGCATGAAACTTGGGTGATTTTCCACTGTGCCCCTTTTCATCTGTCTTCAATTTGCTCACAGGCTCACTGCTTCCCCGGGGCAGCCTTGTCCTGGCCAGCTGTCTGCCTGCCGCCAAATGTGCACATCACACATCACAGTTAACAGAACCAAACCAGTCGCGCCTCTTCCACACTCCCCTTCTTGGCATTTCCTCCAAAGGAAATGAAGCCCTAACAAAAAAAAAATATAGTCATGTGCTCGTATAAAGTCCAAGATTCTATTCCATGAGATAAAACCCAAACCCATTTAAAGAAACAGGGATTCTTAGAAACAGGGATTCCAGTGGATTGTCCAAGCGTCTCAGCGACACTTGGGACCACAAGAAAGACGGGCAAGGCTCCACCAACCCTACCCACAGAACTGGTCCCTCGAGAAATAACGTGACTCACTGCAGTCACCACTTCCCCCTGGCTTTCTACTTACGTCATTCTACTTTCTAAATTGCTAAGGCTAAGCCGAGTAAGAAAATAAGCAAGAATAGTGGGGCCACCCTCAACTGCTACTGGAGACACGTGAGGCTTGTTACAGACCAGTGCCACGCAACAGAACTTCCTGTGATGACGGAGATGGTCCTTATCTACCGTGTTCCATACGATGGTTACGTGTGGCAACTAAGTGCTTGAAATGTGAACAGTTGACTGAGAAACTGAATTTTTATTTAATTTTAATTAATTTAAATGTAAATTGCCACATGTGGCTAGTGACTACTAAGACCCAGTGCTTCCTTGGCAGGACTTTTGCTACCCTTATTTTATAAGTTCCTATGGCAAGATAATATAGTCATAGATACTCAGTGACATGGATTTGGTCTCCCAGTTTTCTTCCCAAGAGTGGCCTATTTTCTGCCTATTGCCTCTGGGGATGTTTAAATTACAGGCCACTGCAGAGGGAGCAGCAGTGCAAGATTCTCCTAAGTCGGAAGGGAAATGACCATGGGGTCCATGATCAAATGGGACCCATGCCTTGCACCATCAGCACCCCAAGAACAGGGCTCCCAGCCATGATAAAGATTCGTAATTCACATCTGGCACAGAGCAGCAGATCTTTTTGCCTGGAGGGGTCACGGGGCGGGTGTGACAGTTTTGGCAGTGCTAGGGCAACCAAAGGAACAACAACCAGCATGTGTTCCCCAAATCCTAGGCATTACAGTAGGTTCCAGGCCCTTCTTTGCACAATACTGGAGATGGGGAGGGAGGAATGCCCAGTGAAAAGTGAGTCTCAATTTCCCCTCAGCCTTGTAGAAGGGGGGTTTACAGTTCATATTAAGTAGATTTAAAAAGAAGAAATGAGGTATTTCTTGTACGCCAAAGCTAGTCACACTTCAAAACTTCGCTGATACAGTAATAAATATCATCTCAGCTCTAGAACACTGACAGCTTCGTGATGGCAGAGGGCAACTTTTCCACGCTTTTCCTCCCTCAGATTCAGGGAGAGGTTATCACTAACTTCAGGGCTACCATTTTGCTGGCCTGGAATTAAGAGCATACACGTACAGGCGTGGGCATAGTCAGCCGTCCACAGAAAACAAAACAGATCTCATTTCTAACAATGTCAGTTTCTTATAGGTTTTTTTTGTTTTTGTTTTGAGATGGAGTCTTGCTCTGTCACCCAGGCTGGAGTGCAGTGGTGCGATCTCAGCTCACTGCAAGCTCCGCCTCCTGGGTTCATGCCATTCTCCTGCCTCAGCCTCCCGAGTAGCTGGGACTACAGGCGCCTGCCGCCATGCCCGGCTAATTTTTTGTATTTTTAGTAGAGACAGGGTTTCACCATATTAGCCAGGATGGTCTCGATCTCCTGACCTTGTGATCCGCCCGCCTGGCCTCCCAAAGTGCTGGGATTACAGGTGTGAGCCACCGCGCCTGGCCCTTCTCATAGCTTTTTAATTTGTATATGTTAAGACTCTTGGGATCTAAAAAATACATCTTTCACAAAGAGGCTGACAAACTTTTCCGGGTTCATTCTTCTTAGGTAAGGGCTCTGATCAATGTTGCTGGAATCTTTCTGATATTAACATGAAACATGAAATTGCTGTTCTTTGGTCGTACTTGACCCCCATAAACAGCAGTTTCACATTGTGCCACATAGCTTAACAGCTCAGGCAACTGCTCAGTCTTTATGTGTGAGTGAAAAGCAGGCAAGACCCATGGTCTTTGCTGTCCCTCTCTTTTGGAAGCCTAGAACGTTGGAGTTGCATGCAGAAAGGAACTCTGAATGGTGGAGATTCGCTCCAAAAGAATCTTTTAAAAACTCCAGTGAGAAAGAATGAAGCAGAAGTCCCAGTGGAGTGTGATGAAATCTTGGTATTTTCTAAGATCATTGTTCTGAATTCTCATTAAAATGGTATATTAAAAATAGAAATATCTGTTTGGCTGAAATGCCAGCACTAACTCTCCAGCACCAGGAAATAGAGCTAGAGAATGTCGAACTGCAGCTGAAAGTAATTAAAAGCAAACTGAAGTTGAAGTTTTCACTTTCTTTGAAAGAGCCAGATTTTTCCCAGACACATCTAGTGTTCAAATACTAATTTATTTTTTAATAATTTTTGAGATGGAGTTTTACTCTTGTTGCCTAGGCTGGAGTGCAGTGGTGCGATCTCGGCTCACTGCAACCTCTGCCTCCCAGGTTCAAGCGATTCTCCTGCCTCAGCCTCCCGAGTAGCTGGGATTACAGGCGCCTGCCACCACACCCGGGTAATTTTTGTATTTTTAGTAGAGATGGGGTTTCACCACGTTGGCCAGGTGGTCTTGAACCCCTGAACTCAGTTGATCCGCCCTCCTCAGCCTCCTAAAGTGCTGGGGTTGCAGCCGTGAGCCACCGTGCCTGGCCCTACTAATTTACTTATATTCCACTTCCTTTTAAAAATGGCATAGAGGCAAGTTCAAATACTACACATGAATATTGTCTAAAGTTGTGTATATTAGGTTAAAATGTTGCAGCTTTTACTCAGAGGTGAACACGGTTAGTCAGGTTATAGGAAGTGATCTCATTTCTACAGACACCCTAACTGAACTACTGGCAAGGAACTGTGGACGATGCAAGGTTGTCATTCCTTCTCTCTACAGTCCTGGGTAGCGCTGCAGCTTAGCCACATGTACCTAGAGGAGCTGCTTTCACATTCTGTGCAAGTTTGTGAACTTCTGCAGAGGCTGTAGGCAACAAGCACACTGAAAATCCAGCACAAAGATATATACTTTTTTTTTTTTTTTTTTTAAACAAAGGCTGACATTTAAAACTGGCCCACGGGGGTGGGGGAGTGGGAGTGACTGGAGGGGGTAAAAGGGAGGGACTCAGAAGATGGGGGTGGGGATTAAAACAGGAGGTAAAAGCACATTTGGGGAGACAGCCAAGCAGCAGTTATACCGTTAAGCAATGAGCAGAAAAACAGGCTGGTTCATTTTGGGAGTGTAAACTCATCCTTCATAGGATGGCACCAAAATTAATTTAATGTAGCTCTCCTTGAATGCCTGTAATTTCACTGTTAGAAACCCCTGGACCCCTGTCTTAGTTTTGGCTTCTTCAGCACAAAGCACACATGCACAGCTGTGGAGTCACCTGATCAAAGCAGGTGGCTAATCTAGCTATCTTGGGGCCAAAGGGGAATACCTAGGTCATTATTAATCATAAAACGGCCGACTCTGGACTTCATCTTTTGTAAAAGGCAAAATGATTTTTAGTTTCCTCTTCTGTGGCTCCCTGGCAGAGGCCCAGCCAGCTGCTCACTGAGCCATAATGCATGAAACAGATTCTGACAGGAAAACAAGATTCCCTATTAGATAACAAGAAGTTCAAGCTATGGCCCTTTCCTCAGGGAGCATGATCAATGAACTAATTAATATTACTCTCTTAAAAAAAGACAAGACTTAAATATCTAACACCTGGAAACTAGATGGAAAAAGTGTGATCCAATTAACTAGGTTCCAAGGCTTTCTGCTTCCAAAATGGAGTGGTCCTGACTTCTCTCCACCATCCTTTCTCTAATGGTGCTCTAAGCCCAAGAACTTGGAACACCTGCCAGGAGCTCCACTAGGCGCTAGCTCTTCAAAGGACAACAATAGGTTGAACACTTTGATGTGTCAATAATTTAAAAGCCAATTAAATATTAACAGGATTTCCAGACCCTTCAAAGAGAATAAGGAGTGAGAGATTTCCTGCACCTAAAGCAAAGCCTGAAAGCTGGATTACGAAAGGAAATACCACTTGTGAGCTAAATTTTAATTAAGAGATTACACATGGGCCGGAAGTCGACGACACAAGTCTTCCCCTTAGCTTAAGAGTCCCGTTTGTTGCCCTTCCGATACAGTGCAGCTGCCATCTTGGACCAGGCCTGCTTGCTGACATCAAGCAGAAGGTGCCTCCAGAGTTCAGAGACAATGGAACAGGGTCCACAGTTGATGGACAAAAGTGAAGTCAAAAGCAGCTTTTAGTCTAGAAGTCCCTTCCCACTCCCACTCAGGACTCCATCGATAAGCCATAAGCCATCCCCTGCAAGGGCAACTGGCAGACAATGAAGGGGTCTTAACGTAGCTTATGACCAAATCTTTGTCTAAAGGCAGCTCCTATAAACAGCCAGATAATGGCATGAGTCATCCATGAGATCATTCCAGAATCTGTCTCTGTGTGGGAATATGCTTGGTGTGAGGAAAGAAACACAATTTGTGAATGTGTAATTTTCCACAACAAAAATTTTCTGGGGAAAGTGGGTGGGGAGGAAGGGGGCATGGGCCTGGAGCCAGGCAGGGAGCATTTAGGCTTGAAGGCTCTAAGAATAGAAGACGCTGTTCTCTGTGTCGCAAAATGATCAACACTCAGGAAATGGACCCAAGCGGATGACCTCATCTGAATGCCCCCAATGCCAAAAGTTAAGGATATAAACACCATGTGGAAGCTGTTGACAATTTAAAAACACACCCCCCAGAGGCACCTTGCAACTCCACTGGGAAGCCATCTTCTTCATCACATGGTCTCTGATGCATCTGTAGTAAGTAAGTGACTCCTGCGACTATCATACAGTCAAGTATGGTTATCTTAAGGGGTGTGAACCTACACACACATCACAGAAACTCTTTTTGCTGGAATCATCTAGTTTGGTGATTTCACATAACCTCCAATCTCAAGTTTACTAGGTTCTCTCCTACTTTCTTCTGGTCGGATCCATGTGTACAGAAATACCAACCCACATCCAGATCTCAGGAAGTAAAGAGCACTTGGTGGCTGGTGTCGGTTCCCTTATGCATAGGGACAATTCTAGGACTAGTTCTCCATACAACACCTGCAGTCTCTCACTCACCAGTGGGTCGTGCTCTAGAAGCTCCTGGGCTGGCAAGTTGGAACTCAGAATGCATTTTTCATTGATGCAGTAAGTGGAGATTAGCCTACCCAAGGCTCTCTGAGCCTATAATGTAACTGAATCAGCCCAAAAGCAAAAACAAGAGCTCGGGTCATAGAAGCAAAAGGTCAGAGGGTGTATGAGGGTAAAAAAATAGGAGGAAGTTGAGTCTCTCCTCTTGGTTTCCTGGTCCAGGCTTGACCCTCAGGAACTTTTTTTTTTTTTTTTTGAGATGAAGTCTCACTCTGTTGCCCAAGCTGGAGTGCAATGGCACGATCTTGGCTCACTGCAACCTCCACTTCTCAGGTTCAAGCAATTCTCCTGCCTCAGCCTCCCGAGTAGCTGGGACTACGGGCACATGCCACCATGCCCGGCTAATTTTTGTAATTTTAGTAGAGATGGGGTGTCACTATGTTGGCCAGGCTGGTCTTGAACTCCTGACCTTGTGATCCGCCCACCTCGGTCTCCCAAAGTACTGGGATTACAGGCATGAGCCACTGTGCCCAGCTGAGTAACACTTTAAAGGTCAAGTTTGTATTATTTCACCTTCTTCTCTGAACTTCCCTTTCCTTCTTAGGACTCCAGGACCCTTTCCCCTAAGCTATTCCTGTTTTTCACAATTCCTTCCCTCTCTCTACATGTAAATCCATAAATTCCTTTGCAGGGCCCAGGTTTCCCACTCCTGGCCCTATGGCGGTGGCACAGTAGCCCACAATGGGGGCTGGAAAGCGAGGGGAAGAGAAGTGGTCTTGGATAGAAGTGTTGGACAAGCTGTTTACTAAGTGGGGTCTGCCTATTTAGGAAAGTTGAGAAAGTTGCTTGCAACTCATTTTGTGAGCTGAGGGTCACCAAGCCAAACCACAAATCCACACTAGAAAAGAGAAGGCCGTGACTAATGTGGATAAAAGGCAGAAAGATTCAGGCTGGCCTTGGCAAGTGTTAGTTGAGGAAAAAGGAGCTGGTTTAAGGCTGGGACTCTTCCCAGAAAATGGCATAATTTACAAGCTTCATCTGAGAAGAGTGTTTACAGCTATGGGAAGGTTTGATGTTACAGTTACAGTGAAAAAGCTGGGCAACATCTGTTCCTCTTCTCTGTAATGGGCTTGTTTTGAAAGGTAGGATTTAGCAAGAAAGATCAAAGCAAAACAATGGTCTCCTCACGTTCCATAAAGTGTATGCATTAAGAAAAAAAAAAAAGACTGGAAGGAAATAGACCAAAATGTAAATGGTGGCTTTGTTTAGGAGGTGAGGCTCAATAATTGTTATCTTCCTTTTACTTTTATACATTTTTCAAATAGTCTTTAAGAAACATGTACTATTGAGGAAAAAAAGACTGAATAAAAGCAGATCTCAAGGTGAATCCATTATTTGTAGAATTGCACCACTGACAAACTCACTGTGAACCTGACTGGGAACTGCTAAGTTCAAGTAGATCTAGAAAGAGCAACATAATAGCTCTGTGATGGCCGGGCACGGTGGCTCACACCTGTAATCCCAGCACTTTAGAAGGCCGAGGTGGGAGGATGGCTTGAGCCCAGGATTTTGAGACCAGCCTGGGCAGCATGGTGAAACCCGACTCTACAAAAAATACAAAAATTAGCTGGGCGTGGTGGTGCATGCCTGTCATCCCAGCTACGCAGGAAGCTGAGGTAGGAGGATCGCTTGAGCCTGGGAGGTCAAGGCTGCAGTGAGCTGAGATTGCACTACTGCACTCCAGCCTGGGCAATACAGTGAGACCTTTCTCAAAAAGAAAGAAAAAGAAGGCCGGGTGCGGTGGCTCACGCCTGTAATCCCAGTACTTTGGGAGGCTGAGACAGGCAGATCACGAGGTCAGGAGATCGAGACCATCCTGGCTAGCATGGTGAAACCCCGTCTCTACTAAAAATACAAAAAAATTAGCCGGGTGTAGTGGCGGGCACCTGTAATCCCAGCTACTCAGGAGGCTGTGGCAGGAGAATGGCGTGAACCCAGGAGGCGGAGCTTGCAGTGAGCCGAGACCCCGCCAGTGCACTCCAGCCTGAGCAACTGAGAGAGACTCTGTCTCCAAAAAAAAAAAAAAAAAAAAAAAAGCTCTGTGACTGGACAAAAATGGAAGTGAAACTAATGCTTAATGAATATCTACTACAGCTTTCACATATAATATTTCATTTACTATTTCATTCATCTCCCTGAGGTGGACATTATAGTCCTTTTACGGAGGAGTGAAGCTGGGGTCAGTAAGGCTAGTTCATTTCCCAGGACTGAGGCTTCTGCCTGCCAGCTCGTTCCCAAGCACCACACTGCCTCCCTGGCCGCCGGTGCCCATGGGTACACGACAGCAAGGATGGGTAAGGGCTGTGGTTTTCCTAATGGAGGCACCAAAGGAGGTGGATGGCAGGAGTGGGGATGAATGGGCTACTTGTGCCCATTCCTGATTCTCCAGAAGAGCTCTCTGTTTAGCTGTTTTATTTATTGGAATTCTATGTAAACTGATACTGGAAGAATGGCTTCTTCAGCTTAAAAAAAAAAAAAAAAAAGTGGAAGCCGACAGTCTCCAAGTTCCTTCCAGCTTTAAAAGACTATATTTGAGCTGAAGAGTGCTCCTTACTACGGAACTCATTTTTGGTCTGGCATTACCTTTACCTTAACTATCTTCCACTTCACATACCCTTTAATGAATTAGCTCAGGGCCACCCCAAGCAGAAGTGGCCGTGCAATCTATCCCTGGTAATGATTAGTGGGACTCTGGGATCAACAGCTGTGTTATTTGAAAGGCGTGGGCACAACCCATACCCAGTCTTTATTCAATGCATGCCAGTAAGTCCTGACAGCTTCCTAACACATGCACCTGATTAGAGATGGCCATGCTGGGCTTCAGAAGGGCCTGGCAATAAGGAGTAGATTGTGTGTGGATGAGTGCGGGTGGGTGGTGGCGGAGAGGATGCAGGCAGGGGCTTCAGTCCACCCTAGACACAGAGAGGGGCTCCAGGGACAGGATAGAGCATCCCACTCTCTACAGAACCGAGCTTGGGAAAAATGCCCCCCCGCCAACTTTTTTTTTTTTTTTTTTTTCTGAGACGGAGTCTCATTCTGTTGCCCAGGCTGGAATGCAATGGCGAGATCTCGGCTCACTGCAACCTCCACCTCCCGGGCTCAAGAGATTCTCCTGCCTCAGCCTCCCGAGTAGCTGTGATTTCAGGCGCCTGCCAGTACGTCCGGCTAATTTTTTGTATTTTAGTAGAGACGGGGTTTCATCATGTCGGCCAGGCTGGTCTCAAACTCCTGACCTCATGATTCGCCCGCCTCGGCCTCCCAAAGTGCTGGGATTACAGGTGTGAGCCACCGCACCCAACCAAAAATGCCCTCTTCTTACTCTAGGCTAGATGCAATCTGAATATGTCCTGCTCAATATGGGGCTGTGTGACTTACATGTTGCTCACATGCTGCTGGTTTGGAGATGTTCAGACAACCTGAGTTGGTAGAGGACTAGATAAACCTGTCAGCCAAAAGCCAGGGAATTCCAACAGGGCTCGAGCAAAGACTGCAGAAGCCAGTGTGACCTTATCTAAAGGCCCTTGGCATCCTTGGGCTTAACATTCAGGGTGCAAGTATTTGTAAGCGGCTCTGTAGGTGCAGAGCACTCGTGATCGGAGAGAACTGCACAGGCTGCGAGGCTAATGCGGGGGGAGTCACCTGGCTAGTGGGTGGGAGGGGCCTCGCTGGGGCTTAGCACTTGCATCTGGGTGCAGCTCGACGCCCTCTTTTGTCACTTCAGGCTTAGCAACTTTGACTTTCACTGTGGGTGGGACAGAGTCACTTGGAGAGAAGCAGGACCCTGAGGTCCATGTCAGCTCATCCGTGTTAGCACCTTCTGGGCCTTCCTTATGGCCAACCATCCAACTCCATCCTTTTATGGAGGTGCCCTCAAGGATGAGGTGCCAGGCTGAGGGACCCTGAGAGATGCACTTGCTTCTGCTGAAGCAGTCCGGCTGTCCTTTGTTGGGGCAATATATATCTATATCTATATCTATATCTGTGTATATATCTATATATCTAATTATATATATCTATATATCTAATCTATATATATCTATATATAGATATATATAGAGAGAGAGACAGAGAGAGAGAGAGAACGTGAGCACTATATTCATAAACATAGCAATTCTCGAAAGTTTCAGAAACCTTGCTTCTACTCACCCAACACATAAAACCAGAGTGACCACTACTTTCTGTGCACAGTGCTGCAGATACCTTGAGGATTAAGATGCAATCCACACCCACAAGTGAAAAATAAGTTAAAATGTATATTATAAGCCCTGAGACAGGAAGGGGCTCTTAGTGGAGCTGGGGGTGGGGGAACAGGTGCTGGGGGGCACTGAGAAAGCTGCCTGGAGGGAGGGCTGAGTATCCCCAAAGGTGAGGAGAGCCTGATGCATTAAGGAACTATGGGTAGCTTGCTAGGGCTGAGAGAGGAGCTGTGCTGAGAGAGGGCTGGAGAGGAACGCCAAGGCCAGAGCCTCAAGGGCCCTGTTTCTGTTAAGTCTGGGGGACCACAAAGGAGGTTTTAAGTTAGGCCTGACTGAATCCAGAGCTCCTGGGCTTTGGAAATCCGTTTGGACATCTATGCAGTCTCACTAGACACTGTCTTGTCCTTAACAGGAGCACACCTATGGGGAAGGAAGGCACCTTCTAAGCTTCTTAGCGACCCGTGGTTCCCTGAGGGCTCCCTCCTCGGCCAGGCTTGGATCAGGGGCTTGAGTTCTCCCTGATCTGGGGTTCTTCAGTCTCCCCAGGTTCAGTTTGGGGACAGGCAGATCTTTTGGTGAACCACTGTGGCAGAGACCATAGACTAGCTCATGATACCCAGGTAACTGTTAAAAACTACATTTTCCAGGCTCCCACAGGGGGCCTAGGTTCTGCTAAGTGGAAGCACTCATGGGAAACCTGGAGGTGGAAGTAACACCTGGGGAGATCAGAACTTCTGGCAAGCCTAAGGTGGGGGCCCCAGATGGCAGCGTCAACAGCACTTCCATGGGAAGAGCCCCAGGGTATGGCTGTAAGTGGGTCCTGGCTGTGTTACCCTCACTGTGTTGGTCCTGGGTGTCTGTGCTGGTTTCTGTCTGTCCTGGAAATCCTGTAAGGTACCTGAAAACCACAGCCCCACACCCCAACCATCAGAGGGGACTCCAATGTCTGCAACTCAGGACACTGAGCATACACTACCCTCTATTCCACGCCTCTGTGTCTCTCAGAGCCACTAGGGGTTCATGCTGCAGGCAAGACTTTGAATTCCTAAAGTAAAAGAACATGAAGACGGACAGTTATCAGAAGCATCTCATTATATCTAGCAGACGATTTCCTATCGAATTCAAGCAAACTCTGTAAATCAAACAATATTTTATGAGCAGTTTAGAAAGCTCTGTGGCCCTGCCACAAATCCTTTTGTGAAGTGAAGACATGCCTGGTACTGTGATAAGGAATCCTCTAATGCAACAATGCTGCACCCTTTCTCAAAGAGAAGCGTTCTTCATGTATGGTATCAGGACATGAGAAAGACCCTTACTGCTCCCTAAATGGCTTCCTGAAGGTGCTCAGGGGGCAACTTGGGTGTATCGGGGAAAAGGTGCCAGGGAGACTCGAGCTGGCAGCACTTCAGGGTCATGAGCCAGGAACACCCACACCTCTGCAGAGAGCCAGTGCATCAACACCATACAGACACCAGGAGAATTTCACCAGCTCCACACACTCCACACACCTTCCTATTCTAAAGACGACAAATATCCAGATGGGGAAATTACACAGATTATTTTTCACTTAAGACTCCACCCAGAGATGTCTGGTATTTGCCTTGGGAGCATCCAAGTCTGCAGGGTGAACCAGCAAGCTCCAAAGCCTTCTGAAAGCTACAACCCATCAGCTCAGCAGCTGGTGTCCCCAGAGGGCAGCCCGTGTGTGGCACACCTATGAGAGCTGTGACCTCCGAGCTCCATCTTCACCAAAATGCATACCAGTCAGCCAGTGCTGCCTGCCTGTACTGGTCCCGAGCCAGCACACCCAGCCCCAAAGGCGCGATCATGAAGGGAAACACACTTGGTTCTCAAGTGTGCATTCCAGCTTCCCGGGCTGAACCGGCTCCACAGCAGCAAACACAACAGGGCAGATCTGCGGCCACACTGCCTGCCCCCACCTACCCCCACCTACTGCCACTTGGGCAGTTGCTAAGCCTTTCTCAGCCCCTAGCCTCAAGTAAAATGGTAATACTGGCACCTGCCTTATGAGGCTGTTGGGCAGATGAAACGAGTGAGCGCATATAAAGCATGTGGACCAGTGCCTGGGATGCCATACACTGTAAGCACTATTCAGGATGTTTCTATTATTACCTCTATTTATCACATTCACACACATGCTTGACTGCACCCTTCGTTAATCCTAGAGAAATGTGCTTTTCTCTCAAATATCCACACCCATACATCACGGTAAGGAAGAGCATGCTGGAGACTGCGGTGGCTGTTAGATACTCGGGCAGTCTGCTTCAAGCAGCAGCTCTAGAGATCACTGTGAGGCCGATCCCTTATCAGCTTGGTCTAAACCTGGTGGCATGCAAAACGACCCCAAACATTTTCCAGTGTTCCCAAGCCCAGGGTGATGAAGCCCCTAGCCTCGCGGCCCACACCAAGAAAAAATGTGCCCAATACAGTGGCAAGAAGCCACCAGATCTGCCCATTTTTAAAAAATCTCAATTTTAAGAAACTCAATGAATATTAATATTCAGGTAGGTGCTCGAGAAGTTGCTGATTATTGACAGATGGGGAGTGTGGACAGTGTGTTTCATTCATAAATTCCTTGTTCAACACAACTTACTGCTTCTGCATCAGCAGCACTGACAAGAATGAGAACAACCTTTTGCACTCACAGGGTCCTTGTAGTATCTGGTTAAACATCCCCATTTTATAGATGAGGGGTCTGAGACTCAGGAGGGCTAAGTGATGGGCCCATATGTCAGAGCTCACTCCTGTCCCCAGCCCTCTCCCCTGCCCCTCACTACAGTGGTCTGGATGCTGAGTGTGGCTGGGAAATGGGACTCCAGCTTGAATAAGGCATCACTAAATCTCTCAACAGGGCAGGCCCTGCCTGAGAGTTCACGAGGAGCTGGATCATCCGCTGGCATCCTCAGAAGTCAACGCTGAGGATGCAATATCCTTTCTCATGTCTCTAAGGTCTCACACTTCCAAGTCTAACTGAAGAATCGCCTTCGCTGGGCACTACATCGGATCCTGCCATCTGAATTCACCCAACTCCTTCCTCTGCTCTAATCAGACATTGCTTAGGACTCAATGTTTTTGCTATTTTGTTTGATGATTGGTTTACTAGCTTATTCCCGTCTCCTACTCAGACAGAGGACCAGAGGGATGGCACGGAGAGTAGGCTCCACACACAGAGAGACATTTTCTCTTTCACCAGTGTACCCAAGGCAGGATGGCAGTGCCCAGCACACAGTAGGTGCTCACCAGGCTGCAGGTGAGTGAATTCTGCTGTACAATGGTAGCCCCTAAACCTCCACATAGGTGGCATGCTGGTATGGCAAGGCACTTGCGGGGGGGTGGGGATAAAGAAATTTTACATAGCAAACACCCTGCTTTTACTTAACACTGTACATTTACTATAATTGTGGGTGTTGGTCAGGATTTGTGGGCAGCTCCAGTGTTCTCCAGTGCCTCCCTGCCCACCCTCCATTGTCTTGGGATTGGTAACTCATTCCTCCCCACCCCTTCCCCAGCCTCCATCAGGGCCTTAATTCGCTGGGAGCAGAACAAGTGACCTAATGCATAAAAGAATGAATGAATAGGTAGTATTATAGAAAGCCCTCCTAAGGTTGGTCTGTCTGCTTTGATCAACTAATGTCAGAATCCACAATCAGTGTTCAAGTTAAAGCCAAGAACAAAATGTGGAGGCCATGGTGGGAGGCAGGGCAAGTGAGGATGCGGGAGCCAGGGCAAGTGAGGATGCGGGAGGCAGGGCAAGTGAGGATGCGGGAGCCAGGGCAAGTGAGGATGCGGGAGGCAGGGCAAGTGAGGATGCGGGAGGCAGGGCAAGTGAGGATGCGGGAGCCAGGGCAAGTGAGGATGCGGGAGGCAGGGCAAGTGAGGATGCGGGAGGCAGGGCAAGTGAGGATGCGGGAGGCAGGGCAAGTGAGGATGCGGGAGGCAGGGCAAGTGAGGATGCGGGAGGCAGGGCAAGTGAGGATGCGGGAACCAGGGCAAGTGAGGATGCGGGAGCCAGGGCAAGTGAGGATGCGGGAGGCAGGGCAAGTGAGGATGCGGGAGGCAGGGCAAGTGAGGATGCGGGAGGCAGGGCAAGTGAGGATGCGGGAGGCAGGGCAAGTGAGGATGTGGGAGGCAGGGCTGGGAAGCTTGAGTGCAGCACAAGTGGCCAGAAAACAAACCCAGAAAGTTCAGGCCACCCCGACAGATGCTTTCCATGGGAAGGAGGCTCAAGTACCCAGCAGACGAACTACGAGATTCCTGTTTTTAGAACTTTCTTGTGATGAAGTTGGAGCTGCACATTAGCCCCTTAATCGGTGGGGTGGCGGGGGTGTTGTGCTTGTTTGGAATAATCAGGCCCATGTGGCTGGGTCCATGTGCATGAGTACAATGGAAACATGGAGGCCAGAAAGCATGGCCCGGCAGGCTGGGGCAGCCCGGGTCCCAAATTCCGGTGTTGCTGACTCTGCCAGGTGTGGGGCTGTGGGTGAGCTTCGCCCCACTGTGCCTCAGCTGCGAAGCAGGAAGGCCTTTCCACCCCTGAAATTCTATGACTTACGTCCCAGTCACAAAAAGAACTTCAGCGTAAAAGTAAAGGAATTTTCCACTGTGGAAAGGCATTAGTTAATATGTACATGAACTGAAGTTGTTTAAAATATGTGTGTGTATATATTTATTCGTATATTTACTAGTAAACTTTTACTAGCATATACTTACTAGTACATTTTAATTTGAGCATAGTTGTTTCCCAATTAGTAAAAAAAAATTTAAAAATCATAATTATGGTTAAGTGGGTTGTTTATAAATACAATGTCTGCTCATTGAAAAGTTTAAAAAGCATTCTGCTTCTTAATCCTGCTGCTACATCACAATATTTGGAATTGTGCTCAGTGTTTCTTGGGTGAGTACAGAGGTAGACTGTGCTGCAGAAACGAACATGTTCTTTTCTGTTAGGTCTGACAAAGGACCTGAAGATTTTTTTGTTATAGAAAAAAATCCTCTTCTAGCTGGGTACAGTGGCTTACACCTGTAATCCCAACACTTTAGGAGGCCGAGGCAGGAGGATCACTTGAGTCCAGGAGTTTGAGACCAGTCTGGGCAACATGGCGAGATCTCATCTCTACTAAAAATTTTAAAAATTAGCTGGGTGTGGTGGCGCGCGACTGTAGTCCTAGCTACTTGGGAGACTGAGGCAGGTGGATGGCTCGAGCGTAGGAGTTCGAGACTGCAGCGAGCCATGTTTGTGCCACTGCATTCCAGCCTGGGCAACAAAGCAAAATCCTGTCTCAAAAACAAACAAAAACAAAAAACAAAACAAAAAAATCCCTCTTGTGCACCTTGGTTTCCTCATCTATAAAATCTGGAGGAATAGTGGATTTGAATCTGTTCACACCTAGGATGTAAAAGGTGGGATCCCACACACTCATTTTGCTTCTCTGTCCAGGGCCAACACAGCAGCCAAATCTGCTGAATATCCTATGCAGTGGCCCTTTCTGCAACACAGGAGGCCTTCCCAAGCAGCAAGAAGGAGACCCAGGCATGAACAGACACTGTTTCCTAGCACCAACTGGCTGCCACCTAGCATTTCCCTGAGATGTTGAAGAGTGGAGGGCCACGCATATCCACAAGGATGTCCAGTGGAGATGGTCTGAGTGCCCTCTTCCTGGGTAATTTAAGTTAAAACAGCTTCCTAATGGCTTTGCAGAAATGTCGTTATCTTCAAGTTAATGGTGTGAGGTAGAAACTTCCCCATTCTACAGAGGAGCCAATGGAAGCTCACAGAAGCTAATAAGTAATAAAAATTCTAAATCTCCCAAGTTCTTCACAATGATTCTTTTTTACTGTCAGAAATATGGGGTCCTTGCTGAGTGGGCCCTAGCACTTCTCTGCATGCCACGTGCCATGCTGGAAACCTTGGATCCACTCACTCCTGGGAGCTACAGTTAACCTCTGGGAGGCAGATACCAGAAAAGCTCCATTTCGCAGCAAGGTTTCTGCAGATACAGAACTTATCTTGCCTGTCTGCCAGTGTGGGTCATGGAAAAACTTACGGCTGAACAGACTGGGGATTAAACCCCCATTCTGGCCCAAAGTTGATGTTTGAGATTTCAACTCTTAAGGATGGATCAGTGATGTCATCTACAAAATGGGGATGAGCACTTGGGTACCACAGTGAGGGCTACCCTACCCCAGACCTTGGGGAATAAAACGAATATGGACACTTCAAAGACAAGTGTGGAGAAGCCAAATTAAAGAAACAGAATGAGTCTTCAGCCAGGAAGATTCAAGGATTGCTTGACTGGGTATCTCCAGCATGTATTAAAAGTTGTAGTTGGCCGGGCGTGGTGGCTCACGCCTGTAATCCCAGCACTTTGGGAGGCCGAGGCGGGCAGATCACGAGGTCAGGAGATCAAGACCATCCTGGCTAACATGGTGAAACCCCGTCTCTACTAAAAATACAAAAAATTTAGCCTGGCATGGTGGCAGGCGCCTGCAGTCCCAGCTACTCAGGAGGCAGAGACAGGAGAATGGCGTGAACCCGGGAGGCGGAGCTTGCAGTGAGCCGAGATCGCACCACTGCACTCCAGCCTGAGTGACAGAGCAAGACTCTGTCTCAAAAAAAAAAAGAAAAAAAGAAAAAAAAAGTTGTAGTTAATTGTGTGTGTAATTTTAATGTGTCTCCCCTGCTAAGCTGTTCAGGGGCACACGAACCCAATCCATCCTTCTCTGCCTTTGTCCCGGGCACCTGGTCACATGACAAGCACTCAATAAATGAATGAATGAGATGGAGCTAAGGAAAGAATGTGTCAATCAGAGAGGTCAGCCAGGGAAACCCAGAGAAACGAGGCTGATGTCACAGTACCATCCAAGCTCTGGCCAAGAGAGGACCTGCTGGCAAAGAGCCTGCTACTGATAATACAGACACCCTGGAGGTGTATGCCCAGGCTGGTCACACTCAAACATTCTGGGCCCTTCGGCTACTACTTGTAATAAGATGAATTAACTGGCCTCTGGGGTCACACCAGGTCTATGAGCTGGTATGAGCTAATTTTGTCAAGGAATGAGCCTGCTCTTCCAATGTAGCCAGACCCGGGGCCACAGCAGGTAGGTCAGTCAAAGAGAGCTGCCCGAAAACATCTCTCTGGGCAGCCCACTGGCCACTAGATGGTCCTTAAACCTCCGAGCTGCAGGATTTGCTGCTACTTTTTCTAGAACACCTACTTTGCAAGGTTTGGCTGTAAGGATGTAAATAATGAAAAAGACGAGCTCAAAGTGTGTGCCTAACAAACAGTGCCATGATTATCGCTCCTTAAGGCACACATCTCATCAATGACTGAGTCAGGATTCCATGAATATAGATGTGTTTTCTGTCCCATGGAGCTGACAATGAAGAGTGCAGCTAAGGACCTTGGTGAATCGAATAGGCCGTAAGTCTAGCACATCTACAGGGGAAAGGGGAGGTCATGGTGAGCAGGAAGGCCTGGGGTAGAGCTCACGGAGATGGTGGAAGATGAACACATGGCGAATCAGCACCAGTGGCCATACGGCCCTCCTTGGGACAGTGGTCACATGTCTGTGGTGTGGCTGGCACAATGACCAGACGCCACAGCCAACATCCCATGATGCTTGACTTCTTACGCAGTGAACTGTCCTGACTTCGATACCGGTGGCAGCCTGATGACAGACACCGGATGCATGAAAAGGCAAAAGGAGCACAAGGAGGAAGGAACACGGTGTTCAGGGATGGCGATGAAGAGCGGAGGCTTTGCAAGGACGGACCCTCAGGTACTTACTTTTTTTCAGAGTGAAAGGAGGGGCTTGTTGATCTAGAGAGGGAAGCATTCCTCTGGCCTGTAGCTAGTTACCTAATCTCTGGTCCTGGAACCCTTTTGCTTTGATGTTTCTCTGTGGTGGCAGCTCCAGCTTGCTGGTCAGTTTCCAAACCCAAGCCCAAGATGCAAGGAGGTGGAATGGTCACAGGGTTTGTTCTGATTTCTTCCTTGACCTACCTTTTTTCCAAAGGTTGGCATGGCCCTGTGGAATATGGTGGGCCCCATAATGTTCTTGCTAAAGCAAGTATTGGATAAGGTAACAAAATGTAGATTTAGAAAGAACAGGCAATAGGATGGGACACACACGCACACACACAACGAGGAAGCTTTCTGGCTGAAAAGAAAGTGGAACATCTTTTTATCATTCCAGTGTACAAATACTGAATTTGCAGTATCAAAGCAAGGCAACTTCTTGAAAATGGAAAGGATGGCCACATTATGTACATTGGTGTGAGATCTTTTCACCCAGAGAACTACAAAGCATGCATGCATATACATACCCGACTTGGGTACTGTCGCGATACGGCAGCACTGAAAATATACTACAGAAGGATCTTCTGCCACTGATAAGGACTATTCTAAAAAATAAAAAGAAGAACAAACAACAAACACACTAAATGCAAAGAATCAAACTAAAAAACAAAATCTATAGCAATTAAGCATTCATGGCATTCATAGCAGTATTTGCACGCTCCCACCACCTCCTCTGGCAGATGGTATTCTGCTCTCCTTGCAAAATGCAACCCCAGCGTGGCAGAAGTGGGCTGCCTCTCCTCATCCCAATATTAACATGTGAGACACCAGCAAGGGTCACTAATGAGTACACCTGCACCCCTTCTCCTGCAAGACCTGCTTGCTGTGGGCTGCACATGCAAGAGGGAGCAGACAGATCTGAGTCCAGGGTGGCCAGGGCTGGGTGAGCAGTCATGCCACATTTAAACCATTGATTTCTATTTTGCAGTAAACAATGTGAGAGCAATAGCACCAGAAACTATGAGCAGGAAAGACACTCAGAGGCCATTATGATCATTAGGTTTTTCATCTGCTGGCAACATGTTAGGTTCTGAGAATAGATTAAGGGAACAATTACATAATCAGTCTTAGCCTCCATTCCTGCTATAAAGATACTACTGGAAACAGCTCTACATGATGGTCTTATGCAATCAAAAGCCACTTAAAAAAAAACATTAAAACAAAAACAAAAACCCTCAAAAGCACTTATCCTGGCATCTGAGAATAACTTTTGCCAAAGGGAACTGCTGATGAAAAACTGGAGAAATGAGTGGAAGAGATTTAAAAACAACATTCTTTGTAGCACAAAGTCAATATCACATCATATGGGGAAGCTTATTTACTTTTGTCATCCTTTCTTTCGACAACCATAAGACCAGGGAAAATGGTTCTACTACTACATGCATCAGGGTTTGGAGATTTCAACTTTGTTGTAACACTATGAAATTAAATCGTCCTGGGATGTAGTCCGGTTCCCTGGCACGGCAAACCAGGCCCTGTGTCTCCTGCTTTCTGTCTCTCCAGTTTCAACACCCACAGAATTTCCCTGATTTTACCGTTCTACCCGTGCTGAAGTACTTACAGCACCCCCACCTTAACAAAAAATCCTATCCTGCTGTTTTATACTTGTGTTCTTTGCATGCTATTTCTTCTGCCTATATGCCCCACCTTGAAACACCCAATGAACTCCTATTTATTCTTCCAAACGTAGCTCAGAAGTACCCCCTCCACGGAGTGTTTCCTGCCCCTCTTCATGGAGTTTTTTGTTCCCTTTTTGGTGCTGTCTCCAATTCCCCATTCAGACGTCCAGGAGGGCACGGATGTGATCCACACTGCTGATCATTTGCCTCCCTCCTTTACTAGAGGGTGAGTCCGGGCAGGGGTTTAGTGCGTGGTGGCCCCTCCATCTATGCATGGGTATTAGATGTCACTGAAATGCAGTGTGGGCCTCAGAGCAGCAACACTTGAATATCCGTCATGGGAGGGCAGGGCTGCAGGCATCCTATGCAATCAAAAGCCACTTTCGGCTTTTGGCACTTTTGGTGTCAATTCCATAGCAGTTCATATCCCCAGTGGTTAATGGGATGGGACCAAAGTAACACACTCAGCTTCGAACACCAGCTGTCACTTTTGTTTGACCTCGGTCAGCTTACTAACACTTCTGAGCCTCATTCTGCCCTTCTAAAAAATGGGATAAAATTAGTAACTATCTTATTGGAATGCTGTAAGAGTACATGAGCCCATACTTGGAGAACCCTCAGAAGAGCAGCTGGCAAATAGTACACACTCAATAAATATGAACCATCTTTACTGCAGACCAGCTGCCTGGGTTAGGATTCAGGTTTTCCAGCCTAGTCCATGGACTCAGAACCTCTTCAGACCTCTGTGCTAAATACCCAGGCCTGCTCAGACCTGAAAGGCAGTGCTGCCAGGACAGCTGAAAGACCCCATGCATGGCTGTCTACATCGGAGTAGCATGAGATGTACACAGAGATGCTACTGAAGGGAGATGCTGCTCATCAGATACCACGGGCCCGGACGCTGGTCACTGTCAAGGACAGAGCATCATGTCCAGAGTGGACTGTCAAGGCCTGAAGGGCCAGGGGTTACATGAATCATGAGCACACCCTGCTGAACACCAGCCAGGCTCCTTGGGCTTGCCTGCATGGAGCCCAGCAACAGAGCTTCTCATGCTGCAGTGCCCCTGTAAATTTACCTACAGAGACGTAACAGCCAATACTTATTAAGTATCGATTACGTGCCAAATTCTAAATGCTTTAACTGATGAGGCACGTCGAGTTGGTGATGTGCCAAAGGAGATGCACCAGCAGGTGGGGCAGGGTGGAGATTGGAACTTGAGCTCTTTACCACTACGAATGCTCTTCCCTAAACCTTACTAGAAAAGCCTGCCCCTTGGGGGCGTGACTGGGTACCCACGGACTTTTTGGGTACTAATAAGTCTGCCTTCATCCAGATGTTCTAGGCCGGCTTTCCAGCCTGGCCTGTGGGTCACCATGCCCAGTGCAGGGAGGGGCAAGAGGGTGACAGATCACACACCCCTGACCTTGGAGCTGCTGGAGCCAGGGGAGCCCTGCTCAGCCTGGACCCCTTCCCAGATGGAGGGGCAGAGGCTCTCCACACCCTCACTGCCACTCCCTGCCATTTACCCAGGACAAAGGCCAGGAGCAACTCATTCATGTGTCACTGGGCATCGATGTCCTCTGCAACACAGTGGCAGGAATGTGTTGAACAAACTCCACTGGCTTAGCGATGCTGCATTTTCCTCACTACTCATGCTAAGGTGTCCTTCCTTCCCACACACTAAGTTTGTTTGGACGTATTTAATAGAACAAGAAAATGAGAGAATATAAATGCAAGTGCAATCCAAGTCTTCTTTCCCATCTTTCAACCACAAGGTGCCTATCAGTAAATGGGCTGCTTGTTCTATTAAGTGAGCGCTCACTCTGGGTGGTCCGCACCACTATATCTAGGAGAGGCTGACAACATGCTGCTCGTTCCAGAAAAACATGTTATTTTACCGCATAGGTCAAGTTTAGCAACTATGAATATGGACTGTTTCAACAATTCCAGTAGGGTTGCTACTTCCCTGGTTGGCCAGTCTCAAGCGGCTGGAGGGAGGAGGGAGTATCACACCTCCTTCCCCTCCCTTCTCCAATCATTTCATAGACCCTCAGTTTCTGCAGGGGCCAGAGGAGGAACTCACAGCAGAGACCCGCACAGAGGCTCTGCAGACGGTTTGCCAATGGAGCTTCCAAGAACACATCATACGTGTTTCCTGAAGTAGTTCTGGCATCTGGGAGGGACTGCAGGCGTGAACCACAGCAGGCAAGTAGCAGCAAGTGATGGCTCCCGTCTTCTTGGCTTCTTACACTGGGAAACCTTGAACAGTATGGTTCTGATAACAGGTCCCATGTGATCAACCGTTATGTTTAGAACCTGTGGGGTTCATGTGAATTTGCAGCTTTTCTCTTTATAAACATTAGGGAAATGTCCATGGTAATGGAGATACACAAGAAGAGAATCAGATGTTTGCCTCCTGGAAGGTACCTCTATTATTTGAGAAATAATTCAATCAGATGACATAAACAACAAGCACAGTCCACTTCCAATGTCAGACATTGACCACCCTCATGTCTTTGCCTCCAACCACGGCGGTTCTCTTCTCTTACACTCAAATGGCATGCAAAAAGCCCAAATCATTTCCCCCACCTGTGACATACAACACTTTACTTGGAGTTGAGATGACCAGAAAATATTACGTGAAAGATTATGACTTCAGAAGAGGAATTAATTCCAGGGAGATGGATCTTTAAGGAATTAAAGGTCACATTTCCACATGAACATCGGCCAGAGGAAAAAAAATAGCAAAGGAAAACATTCCCTGGGGCTATAGCCCACATGGACAAAGCATCTTGGGTACACAATGCTTCCTGAAACTTCCAGGGATCCTCATGAGTGCTCGGAAGCTAACGGAGCACCGTCCAGCTTTCTTTTTCACACAGCCTCATTGTCATGCTCTTAGGAAAGTGCTTCTGGTATGAGGGATCTTGCAGCTTCAGACCACAAAGCTTCCACAGCCACAATTAGCTCACAAGATGCTGAGTGTCCAGAACAGCCAGGAGATGCACAAGGACCGCCCCCCCGCAAGGTGACAGAGCACCACGGGCCACTTTTCACCAAATCTGTTTTTACCCCCTCAGCCCAGCACTGGCAATGTCTCTCACCAGCCACGGTCCTCAAGTATTTCCTCTTTTGCCAAAAAACCGGAGCCTTGTTCTATTTCCAGCCACCTGGGGAGTCTCTGTTGGTTGTGAGAAGGTCTCATCTCTTACAGGTGAAATGTTCCATTACAACAGAAATATTCTCTTAAGGACATGAAAACAAGCAACCAAGTCCAAGAGGCAGAGGAAAGAAAATCACATCTGCAGTAACGGCGGGGTGAATACAGTGAAGCCCAAACACAGCCCAGGGGTGTCCACAGCCCAGGGGTCTGTATTAGGCACTAGGCACACATGCAAAAATTCTGTGGTTCATTCCCTCCATGCCCAGGAAGCAAGAAAGAATACGCCTACAAAGCTGATGTTGTGGGTTCAACTGTGCTCCCCAAATGACATGTTGGAACCCTAAGCCCCAGTACCTGTGGTTGTGGCCTTATTTGTAAGTACAGGTGTCCCCCCTTATCCACAAGGGATGTGTTCCAAAACCCCCAGGGGATGTCTGAAACCACGGATAGCACTGACGCCTGTATGTACTATGTTTTTTCCTTTGCAGTCATTTCATATAGGGCAGGTAGCGAGACCATGTAGATATGCTGGACCAAGGGCTGACTCATGTCCCAGATCAAACAGAGTGGGAGGGTGAGAGATTTCACCATGCTACTCAGAATGGCATGCAATTGAGCACTTATGAATTGTTTGTGGAATTTTCCATCTAATATTTTCAGACCATGTGGTTGACTGTGGATAAGGAGGGACTGCTGTAGTGTCTTTGCAGATGTTATCAAGTAAGGATGAGGTCCTACTGGGTCAGAGTGGGCCTTCAATCCAATGGCTGGTGTCCTTACAAGGGGCAAGAAATTTGGAGATACCTACACATGCACGAAGGGAAGAAGGCCATTAACAGTGGAGACAGAGATGGAAGTGATGCAGCTACAAGCCAAGGACACCAGGGCTCACCAGCACCACTGGAAGCTGGAAGAGTTGAGAGCTGATTCTTCCCCTGGGGCTCAGAGGGAACATGGCCCCCGCGCTTCCAGTCTCCACAACAGGGAGAGAACTCCTTGTTGTTGTCTTAATCACCCAGTTTTGTGGCACCTTGTAGGGAAGCCCTGGAAAGGGACACAGCTCTCCCTGGCATGGCTCTGGGCCATGCACCCCAGCTCAGCAGGTCCTCTGCACACCACACTATGAGTGCTGTGCACAGAGACGGTGAAGGCATGAAGGCCAATGTCCGGAGACAAATGAATATTATGAAATTTGGAAAACTCATTCTCTTCCCAGCTCCACTCTGACCCCTTTTCCCACAGCCGTTCCTTCCTCCTCTCACAATGCTTTATTAAAAGCTGGAAGAAGGGGACTTGACCCCTTTCCGTCTCTTCTGAAGAGCTGGCAATGGCATAATGAGAGCTGAACGAAAACACCACCACCACCAACAAAATGTTCTTGTTTACTCTATTTAAATGCTCATGAGCTATTGGGGGGACGCTTTTCCTCCTTAGGAACAACTCCCCTCACTGTTGGATGTGCCTCATCTGAGTACAAGGGCAAAGTGGAGAATTGGTAGGGGCTCCAAGAACATTCTTCACAGAGCGATCTGTTCCTTTCTGCCTGGAGTTGGAAGGAGATGCTAATCCAGGGCCGGAGCTGGGAAGAGAAGGGGTCCCGTGGACAAGAAGGCACTAGAACAAGGAGCCTGAAAGTGCTGGGGCTGGCCTAGGAGGAGGAGGCATGGGATTGTAACAGGTGGGAACAGGAGGAAGGGAAGCACGGCTTAACCCTGTAAAGTGTGGAGCTGCACAGGGCATCTGGAGCCAGGGAACTGGGGGGCATGAGTTAAATGGTCTGATGCATCTGAGAATCTGTGCTAAGTAGCCCACAAATACCACATGGTGGTACTGTTACTGGTGGAGGCATTAGTCTTCTCTTCATGACTATGACTGCCACCTCCACCACCACACTTCCATGACCACTAAGATCACTGCTACCACAGGACATACTGCAGGCAGGCCTCCCCACCTGCTAAGGAGGCACACCTTATCCTACAACCTAGGGAGTGGCAAATTTCTGATAAACAAGTTACATAATCTTCCTCTCCTCCCTCCCTCCCTCACACAAATATTTTCTGAGCACTTAATCCATGCCAGACATTGTACTAGGTGCTGGGGATCTGATGATGAATGGCCCAGCTAAGAGCTCCCTCCTTGCAAAGCTTAGGGGTGGTTGGGAGATACCTCCATGCAGAGGTGTAAGTTCTCTGATGGGAACTAGGGGGCGCTACTGAACACACAGGAAGAATAACCCAGCCTAAAGGAGGCAAGGTGGGCTTCCTGGAGCAAGTGATAACTGAGACCTCAGGGATAAGTGGCAACCAGTCTACAGTGAGAAGATATGCTGGCGGGAAAACTGGCATGAGTCAAGGTTGGGACAAAGAGCATTCAGCCTATTCAAGGAACTGAGTGAATAATAAATGTTCACGGACCTCCACGTGCCTGACTCACCAGCGTTTCCACTCCCCTCTGTACAACGCTTTGACCAACACCCCTGACTCACGCAAAACTCGGGCTGGCAGGCTGTTCGCCACCAACCCCCACTGAGCTGTGCACTTACTAAGGGTCCCTTATATATGACCTAATCCTGTTTATGTCAGTTGTATTATCATTTATATTTGTACTTGTTTATTAAAGACTGTGCACTGCTGGGCACCGTGGCTCACATCTGTAATCCCAGAACTTTGGGAAGCCAAGGTGGGAGATGACATGAACTCAAGAGTTTGAGACCAGCCTGGGCAACATAATGAGACCTTGTCTCTACTAAGAAGAAAAAAAATCAGCTGGGTGTGGTAGCACACGCCTGTAGTCCCAGCTACTCAAGAGGCTGAGGTGGAAGGATTGCTTGAGCCCAGGAGTTCAAGGCTGCAGTGGGCTATGATTGTGCCACTGTATTCCTGGGTGACAGAGCAAGACCCCGTCGCAAAAAAAAAAAAAAAGGTGCACAAACTAAAGAATGTGAAAATGAACAGAAATGCTGTTTAAATTTTTTGTTTAATACTGGATGCTTTAAAAAATATTCACACAAGGCAAGTCATTGAAAAAAATTGCAGTTGAAATAGGAATGACCAAGACTGTAAAAGATTAGGAAAAAATTGTAAAAATCCAAACAGATTTTGCACTTAGATTCTTGGGCCACTTTTGAGAAGTCCAACGTGGACATCCCAGCAATGGGTGGGAACAATGAGGACATAAGGAAGTCGATGCCACAGACAGACTCTGATCTGTGGACCCCCACACAAAGGAAAGGCATGGCATGAAAAGCTGCAGAATGGACCATCACTCATGGGCCTTAAATGCCAGCACAACATCTAAGCTGTGTAGGAGATTTCTGTGGGTATTTCCTTTGGCATTTACTAACCTTTTCCCCAACCAAGCGATTACTGTGAATAATTCAGCGTAGCTGAGGGTGGCATGGGGGAGAAGCATGAGTCCAAATGTGAGGCTGGCTGGAGAAAGGCCTCCTGAGCCCTGTGGGGAAGTCGGGGTTTGGGAGTCCCCAGCTTAAGGTGGGGATTGCAGCCATGGTGTGGAGGAGCACTCACAGGAGTGGAGTGGGATGAGGAGCGAGGAGGGTCTGGGACGGGGCGGGAGGACGGTGGGCAGGGAGGAAGGCAGGCAGGCGCTGTCAGATGGGCAGAAAAGCTCACGAAGTCAGAGCACCACAAACTGGGTGGCTTAAACCACAGAAATGTATTGTCTTACAGTTCTGGGGGCCAGAAGTCCAAAATCAAGGTGTCAGCAGGCCCATGCTCCATTTGAAGGCACTGGGGAGGGGTCTGCTCCAGGCCTGTCTCCTGGCTACTGGTGGCTCCATGGCTTGTGACAGCATCACTCCAATCTTCACACAGCATTCTCCCCGTGTGCCTCTGAGCCCCAGTTTTCCCTTACTTCAAGAGACTGGGGCTTTTGCTCCATCACCTAGACTAGAGGGCAGTGGCATGATCTTAGCTCACTGCTGCCTTGAACTCCTGTGCTCAAGTGATCCTCCTGCCTCGGCCATCCAGAATTGCTGGGACTATAGATGTGAGCCACGACACCTGGCTTCAATTTCCTCTTTCTATAAGGATATCGGTCGTATTGGATTAGGGCCCGTCCTACTCCAGTATAACCTCATCTTAGTGAATTACATCTGCCACAACTCTGTTTCCAAATAAACTCACATTCTGAGGTACAGGGAGTTAGGACCTCAACACAGGAATTTTGGGGGCTAAGGTAAGGAGAAAACAAGAAGAGTTTGGTGTCACAGAAGTGAGAATGTCCGGCCAGGTATGGTGGCTCAAGCCTGTGATCCTAGCACTTTGGGAGGCCGAGGTGGGCAGATCACCTGAGGTGAGCAGTTCAAGACCAGCCTGGCCAACATGGTGAAACTCTGTCTCTACTAAAAATACAAAAATTAGCTGGGCGTGGTGGCAGACACCTATAATCCCAGCTATCCGGGAAGCTGAGGCAGGAGAATCACTTGAACCCAGGAGATGGAGGCTGCAGTTGCAGTGAGCCAAGATCACACCACTGCACTCCAGCTTGGGTGACAGAGGGAGATGCCGTCTCAAAAAAAAAAAAAAAAAAAAAAAAGTCAGGAATGAAGTCCTTTTGGAATTCCCTCCCCTCCTGCTCAGCCAGAACAGCCCTGGTAGCTGCATCCTGAAGTGTGGTCCAGCCCTGAGTCATCTGCTAGCTATAATTACTGTTTTCTTCTCAATGTGTTGCAGACCAATGGTGCAGACCAAGGACTGATGTCTCCTCTGGGCTCCCAGGCTAAGCAGAAGATTAAAACAGAACTGCCGATAGGGTTTGGCTGTGTCCCCACCCAAATCTCATCTTGAATTGTAGCTCCCATAATTCCCACATGTTGTGGGAGGGACCCGATGGGAGATAACTGAATCATGGGGACAGTTTCGCAAATACTGTTCTCATGGTAGTGAATAAGTCTCAGGAGATCTGTTGGTTTTATATGGGGAAACCCCTGTTGCTTGGCTTTCATTCTCTCTTGCCTGCTGCCATGTAAGATGTGCTTTTTGCCTTCCGCCATGATTGTGAGGCCTCCCCAGCCGTATGGAACCGTGAATCCATTAAGCCTCTTTTTCTTTTTTTACTCAGTCTCAGGTATGTCTTAATCAGCAGTGTGAGAACAGACGAATCAGCAGCGTGAGAAGAGACGAATTGCTCAGTCTCATGTAGGTCTTTATCAGCAGCATAAGAACAGATGAATACAACCGCCAAGGGAAGGTTCTGTCCAATCTGAAACAATTTCCAACTCTTTTACCTTTCCTCTGTGACTGCTTTTATTTCTTCAAATCAAACTGGTGGAAAAGCAGCAACAAGCACCCACAGGCTGTGAGCTTTTCAGTCGCAAACCCGTACACAAGCGCGAGGTACTGAGCACAGCTGCTATTGATTCTGTTGATTGAAAATCATTTATCTCAAAAGCCTCATGCAACACTACAGAAGCAGCCAGCCTCACCTCCATGCTATTTAAAGAGGCATGAATAATAAAACCAGGTGCGTGTGGTGCTGACCCAGCACACCGCCGGGAACTGGACACCAGTATTCTCAGTGCCGAGTGACTGCCCTGCATGCCAGCTTCTCTCCCCGCTTCCGCCACTTAGTGCCAGGTGAATAAAGCCAAGGAAATGCGATGGTGAGACTTGTGAGCAGCTCTGGGGACCATCTCAGTGAAGGAAGAGCCTGGAACCGGAGCCCCAGTGAGGTCTGGGGAGTCCTGGAGGCGTCTTCAGGCTGTCCACTCCCTGTCCTCCTAGACTGGGGTTTTGTTAAGAACTGATCATAAACACCGATGATGACAAGGATAAAGATGCTTCCTGCCGCCTTCTGCCACTGAGGGGATGGCAGGTGCTAGCCTTTTCACAAAAACAAAATCTCCGAGAGGAAAAAAAGCCAGCTCAGGAAAGGGTCCGTGTTGCAAGGTGCCCCACAGAAGATGCTTGACTTCTATCAAACTGGACGGGTTCATTTTAGGGAGAAAAAGCAATGACATTTTTCTTCTTTCAAAAAGGCCAGTCCGGGGCTGGTAACGAGCCGTTTTATTTTTTGAAACATGCCACTTCCTCCAAGTCGTTTTTCAAACTAAATTAGGCCGACAGCTTGGAACTGATGAGATCACAAACAAGGTCTTAATTTAGTTATGACCCATCCCCTTTTTCCCTCCAAAATGTTTTGGTGCAACAAGGAAAGGCTCCAGCTTGACTTCAGTCACTGTACTTTTACCATCTTCCTTTAAAATGCAGATAAAGGGTGCTGAAGTCTTTTAACGTGTTTCTTTCTTTTTTTTTTTTTTAACATATCCTATTGGTTCATACTTTAAAGAGAAAACACTCTGGCTCAGTTCTTTATCCACTTCCATCTCAAATCCTTTTACATCTCTTTGAAAATTCCTCCCAAGGGAGGAGATAGCTCAGTCGACTTACTGCTGAGGACATTTCTCTACCTGTTCACAATGAAATGATTCTTGAAGCAGACCCAGGAGGCGGCACTTCCAGGGCACATGAAGCCATCTCCTGCATGCCATGCCAACATTCAACACCCAGATGACTTCAAAAGGACACCCAGTAAAGCCCATGCAGGCACGTGACAGAGGGAGGAGACACCCACATGAAACGAGGGCTCTGTCGCTCTTCAAGACAGAGGTTCATGAGTCTCAAGAACTGGGAGCACCAAGACGAAAGGTCCTTTCTTAACAGGACCGTGAGGGTCACTAGACATAAATGTCACAAAAGCCACTGAGTGTCTCCAGTCTTTTTTTTTTTTTTTTGATGGAGTCTTGCTCTGTCTCCCAGGCTGGAGTGCAGAGGTGCGATCTCGGCTCACTGCAAGCTCCGCCTCCCGGGTTCACGCCATTCTCCTGCCTCAGCCTCCCGAGTAACTGGGACTACAGGCACCCGCCACCATGCCCGGCTAATTTTTTTGTATTTTTAGTAGAGATGGGGTTTCACTGTGTTAGCCAGGATGGTCTCGATCTCCTGACCTCATGATCTGCCTGCCTCAGTCTCCCAAAGTGCTGGGATTACAGGCGTGAGCCACCACGCCCTGGCCGAGTGTCTCCAGTCTTTATACTCAGAATCTCTGCTGTCCTTCTGATGCGTCAGTCCTTCCTGGCCAGCAATGAGCGAGGCTGTGTAAATGTCTGTCTTCTTCAAGGGTGTATCTAATGGCTGGGAACTGAGATTTATCTTCACTTCTGTTTAGCCTCCACTGTGGCACACAAGTAGGGTTCTCAGTGAAGATGCAGGTTAGAGCCCATGGTGACTGGCTCTCCTCTTACAATAAGCAGCAGGTTCCACTTGCCAACTGCCCTCCTCAGCAGGAGGTTCAAAGGCCCGTTCCAGATGCTGTGGCACTGGGCCGCCAGCCACCTCTCTTCTTTGACAAAAGGCTTGCTTGGACATTTGTGACCAGCTTTTCAAAAAGATCTTGAGTTGCTTTTGAACTTCATATCCAAATGAACTCTTTTAGAAGATAATACCCACCCACCCTCTCATTTTCTACAGGGAAGATAAGTTTACCAAAATGACCCGCAATGCCCACCCCTGACTTTTGGTCACCCAGAGTGACTGTGTTCCAAGGCGAGTCAGATCACTCGTACCTCTGCTCAGCACACTGCGTGGTTCCCACCTTGCTCACAACCAGACGGACCTCCGCAGTCACCACCAACTTATCAGAGCTCATCTCGCCTTCCTTCCTTCCTTCCTTCCTCTCAATCACCTCCACCATGCGGGCTTTCCTAAAGTTCCTCAAACACACCCCGGCCCTTCCGCCTCAGCGTCTCCATGACTGCTGTTCCATCAGGGCGCATGCGCTTCCCCACTGGGATAGCCCCAGGGCTGGCTCCCTCACCTCCCTCACCTCCCTCACACCTCCACTGTCAGGTCTCCCCATTGCCCCAGAGTGTCCTTCCCCAACCCTGGCTGCCTCAGTCTCTCTCCATGGCACATTATCTCATCTTTCACCTGTGCACATGTATCATTTCCCTCCCTATTGGGATGTAACCTGTTTTATTCATGGATACATCCCAATAGTCACAGAGTAGGTGCCAGCAAACATGTGTGGGGTGGACCGAGGACACATGTTCCTACAGTGCATGTAGTTAAGGAACTGCCTTATTATTGGGCACCTTGTATCTGGAGAGTCATTAAGCAATAATTCCTCTTGCCCTAAACCCTGGTAACCTCTTATCTACTTTCTGTCTGTATGGACTATTCTGGTTATTTCATATAAATGGAGTCATATGACATTTGACCTTTCGTGATTGGCTCATTTCACTCAGCTTATTTTCAAGGTTCATCACAACTCCTTCCACAAAGTCCACTGCTGGGGGACCATCCTAATACACATCTAGCTTTCTATGACACGACATGCATGCTGATGGCAACACCACAGATGGGACCCGCCCTGGTTGGGTGCAAAGGCGACACCAGCCTTCTGTGATACTAGCCTTCCATCAGGACAAACTAAATTAGCTCCCTCTGTATTGGCATTGCATTGTGAGCCTGGGGTGGAACACACTGTCCTAAATGCCAAGGTATTTTTCATGTGTACTAAAAAATCTGTATCCTGCGCTATAATCAGCAGTCCACCTGAATTACATTTCTCCTTGCTCAGTTTAATCTCAGTGGACTGGCTCTAGCATTTCCAGTGAATGAAGTATCTGCATCTTGGTTCTCATCTGTAATGCTCCTTCCTGCTTCTGCTCTCCCTGCTTTTAGCTTTCCACATGGCTGACTACGAGGCTTCTGGGCCTTTACGCCAATCACTCAAATCACTCATCTATGCTGCAGGAGATAACTGGCTGCAGGAGATAACGCTGGCGGGAATACCACATGCTATTCTATTCAAACTCGCCCTCAGGCTGATGATGGTCAGCTGACAAATTTCAGCCACCTGCAGAAACTCCAGCTTCACAATCACCCGGCCCTTCTCACTGCTCTATCCACAGGGACATGCGATAGTGAGGAATAAACTGACATTTTGCCGCAATCTAGATATGCAATGTCCATGGCACTTCCTCACTTAACTAAGTTATTCCATCAATGAGGAGTCGAAGTTGATGGGACATGACATTTTCTTAGTGAACTCACGTTGACTGCTAGCAACCTCCACACAAACCGTCTGTTCTCAAACTGCTAAGCATCAGCTCTAGGCTTGCCAGTCTATGATTATTAAA
Source organism: Homo sapiens (assembly GCF_000001405.40). NCBI lineage: Eukaryota > Metazoa > Chordata > Mammalia > Primates > Hominidae > Homo > Homo sapiens. The sequence goes on along the minus strand of NC_000018.10, from coordinate 23,200,575 downwards.
ATCTACCCTCTCCTGACCGGGCACGGTGGCTCACGCCTGTAATCCCAGCACTTTGGGAGGCCAAGGCGGGCGGATCACAAGGTCAGGAGATCGAGACCTTCCTGGCTAACATGGTGAAACCCCGTCTCTACTAAAAAAGTATAAAAAAATTAGCTGGGCATGGTGGCGGGTGCCTGTAGTCCCAGCTACTCGGGAGGCTGAGGCAGGAGAATGGTGTGAACCTAGGAGGCGGAGTTTGCAGTGAGCCGAGATCACACCACTGCACTGCAGCCTGGGAGACAGAGTGAGACTCCATCTAAAAAAAAAAATCTACCCTCTCCCATTACCCTCACACTTTTTTCCACTGTAAGGCAATCTTTGCTTGGTATCAGACTTAAAACTTCATTCATTCTCCATGGCACTTTAAAGATCATCTGTATTTCCAAATTCTTTCTATTCTCCAGGATCTAGCCCTGATGACTACAATTCACTTAAAAGGCCTCTCTGTTTATTCAACAAACACTTGCTGAGTGCCTACTGTGTGCCTGGTACGTGGCTTTGTTTAGAGTCTGCACTTCCAGTTCTACTTGGTGAGGAAGTTAAAAGCAGGCCAGCAGCTGACATCTGCTGAACCCGTACCATCATCCCAGGAAATTCGCCATCCTTTCCCTTCTGCTTCTGACCATTGTCTTAATAGTAATAGCCTATGGCTATTACTGGTGTTTTATTTTATTGTGGGAAAAAATATATACACATATATAAAACATAAAATGCCATCTAATCAGTGTGCTATTCAGTGTCATTAAGTACATGCACAATGTTGGGCAACCATCATCACTGTGTATTCCTAAAACTTTTCCATCACCCCTAATAGAAACTCTGTACTCATTAAGCAATAATTCCCTCTTGCCCTAACCCCTGGTTACCTCTTACCTACCACCTTCTGTCTCTATGGACTATTCTGGATATTTCAATTAAATGGAGTCATATGACATTTGACCTTTTGTGACTGGCTCATTTCACTCAGCTTATTTTCAAGATTCATCCACATTGTAGCATGTATCAGTACTGATTCCTTTTCATGGCCAAATACTACTCCATTGTATGGATACAGCACATGGTCTATCCATGCATCTGCTGAGACACTGGGGTTGTTTCCACCTATTAGCTATTATGAATAACACTGCATTGGTGTATAAATATCTGTCTGAATACCTATTTCAATTCTTCTGGGTATACAACTAGCAATTAATTGCTAGGTAATTAATTACAACTAGCAATTAATTGTATCGTAATTTTATGTTTAACTTTTTGAAGAACCACCCAACTTTCCCACGGTGTCTGCACCATTTTATATTCCACCAGCAATGTATGACAGTTCCAACTTTATTTTCTTTTTAACAATCGAGTTCATCTAGACTTTAGTCTCCCTCACCCCATTCTTGTAAGTTTGCTTAAGCCATTTTAAAAATTAATCCTTGGCCTTAAGCTAATGATTTTTAAAAAATCAGAATGCAAGAGGGAATTTTCTTTAAGTCCACCATGACACACTATCTTACTGCATATGGATTTTCATCTCCCACATTCTCGTCAATGGAGACAATGAACTTTGCAATCTGATGCCTGGATGTGAATTCTACTTCCCACTCTCGGGATCATGAATGTTTTAGTTTCCTACGGTTGCAGAACTAACTGCCACAAAGTTAGTGACTTAAAACAACACAAATGTATTATCTTACAATTCTGGAGGTCAGAACTTGGAAATGGGACTCATGGAGCTAAAACCGAGGTGTTAGCAGAGCTGGTTCCCATGGGAGGCTGTAGGGAGAATTGGTTTTCTTGCCTTTTCCAGATTCTTAGCAGCTGCCTGCATTTCTTGGTTTATGGCTCCATCCTCTACCTTCAAAGCCAGCAAAGCCAGAGGAGTCTTTCTCCTATTGCATCACTCTTGACACTGACGATCCTGCCTCCTTCTTCCGCTTTTAAGGGCTCTGTAACTACACTGGGGCCACCTAAATAATCCAGGATAAACTCCCATTTAAAGGTCAGCTTATTTGCGCCTCAGTTCCCCTTTGCCATGTAACCTAACACAGTAACAGGTCCTGGGGATGGGATGTGGATATCTCTGAGGGCCATTACTCTGCCTGCCACTAGACAGTAATGCCCTACTCAGGCTGTTTCAAGGATTATTTGTATTTCTAAATTCTTTCCATTCCTCGAGATCTAGTCCTGAAGACAAACTCATTTAAAAGGCATCTCTACTCATTTATTTGACAAACACCTACTGAGTTTTGAGTTAATGAAACAAAGCATGTTTATATTTTGGGTTTTTGTTTTTGAGACAGGGTTTGCTCTGTCACCCAGGCTGGAGTGTAGTGGTGTGATCTCGGCTCACGGCAACCTCCATCCCCCAGACTCAAGCAATCCTCCCACCTCAGCCTCCCTAATAGCTGGGACCACAGTCGCATGCCACCGTGCCTGGTTAATTTTTGTATTTTTTTTGTAGAGACGGGGTTTCACCACGCTGCCCAGGCTGGTCTTGAACTTCTGAGCTCAAGCGATCCACTTGCCTCAGCCTCCCAAAGTTATCGGATTACAGGCATGAGCCACCATGCCTGGTCCAAAACAATGCATGTTAAAAACTTAGAGCCTGGCACCCAGCAAACAATCAAGGCATCTATTACCATCTTATCATCCTTGTAACTTTATCATCTCTTCTGGAAATATGCTCCAACCCAGAAGAATCTACTTCTTAGTCTAAACTTTCTGCGACCGTGTTCCTAAAATCCAGTGTTCTTTTCCAGCTATGAAGTCCACAACATGACCTCCCTCCAGGTCCTGAGGACTGGTCTGCCTTCTCTGTTAAGGCAGAATTGTTGCTGAGAGCAGCATCCCTCATGGCTTTCCCTACCTGCTAGGAGACGAAACACCCAGCAGGGCCAGCCAAGAGCTCCTGCCACGCTCTGGTTCTAGCAGTGGTACTGACATTCCCTCCGCTCCATCTGGCTGGTCTGCGATCTGTTGGGCACTGTCCTCCTTAGCCTCCACCTGGCCCAACGATTTGTAGCATGACCCCAAAGCACCCTCAGCTTGGCTCCTCCGCACTGTATCTGCACACCAAGCCCTCTAGAAGGTCCCAATGCCAGACTCACGGAATTCAGACGCCAGAGAGATGAAGAGAGTTTTTACAGAAGGCAAACTCCATCCTCCATCGCAACCACGTACTTCCGCGGAAGGCGTTCACTTCCACTTTGCATGCCGGCTGGGATTTGTGGTCCAGTGTCACAGGGTGAAGTGATTCCTCACGGGTGAACATGGAGCTGTCTCAGGCCCCAAGGTTTATTTCTAAGCAGCTACTCTGATATTGATCACGAGGTATATTTAAGTTTTTTGTTTTGTTTTTTCAATGCCACAAGTATTGTCTTTTATTATATCTGGTTCTCAGTTTTAAAAGCATGTTTTCCCCTTTCTGTCTCAAAATGTGCTTGAAACTCTTGGTTAGGTCAGACGTGAGTATCACAACAGAGGCTCCCTGTTCATTTCTTGAGCTGCACTCTGGTCCTTGCTGAGATGAGAAGTCCAAATCCTCCTCAATACTGGGGCCTCTATCACACGGTCAGCAGGTCTGGGGACGCGGGAGCCTCCATGCCAGCGTTTTCAGGGTCAGAAGAGCAAATCAGCCGTGGATCTGGCCCGCAGACTGAGAGCCTGGGCTGTGCTCATCAGGGGTCCCAAGGAGACTCAGGAGCTGGGCACAGCCCAATGCACAGATGTGACTGAGGCTGCGCAAGCAGGGAGGGAGCCTGCAGGGGCCTTGGGGAACGTGCAGGTGCCACACACTCACCTCCCATTTCTGAGGTGGGGGGATCGGAGACCCCTAAGCCAGCACAGGGGTCCCTCCCTCTGAGACCATGACCAGAACCCCTCCTACCTGTCATTTCAGGGACTGGGCTCACCCAACGCCCCGGCTGCCTCCAGCAGGAGATTCTGCTCCTGCTGCCCAAATGCTGTGGGGCAGAGCTTCTGCATTCCTCTCTCGAAAGGCTGGGTCATGTCCTCTCATTCATCAGCTCTCGACTACAATTTCCTTCTGTCACCTCAGAAATCGTATTTTCTTCCTGGCTTCCTCCCAGGCTCTCACTTTCATCTGTCTAAGGACAATCCCTCCTTGCTAATAAACCTCAAGTGGGAGGGCCAGCCCCTCCTGCCGGCCCTTTCATCTGCCCTTTGCACAAGAAAACCAGCTCTCACCTGGGCATACGACCCGCCGTGGCCTCAGCCTACAGCCTGCGGTTCCCACACAGGCCCTAGAGCTTTCTTTCCTGCCCTAAATTCCAATTCTCAGATATTCAGATAAGCTAAGAATCCTCTTGGCTCCCCCTGAAAACTCCCCAGCAAAACTGCCAGCAATTGCGGGCTTTGCTGTTTACGTTCTCTTAGGTCAAGAGTGTGCTGGGGAAGGTGGCTCCGTAATGTTCTTTGGAAATCTCATTAATCCAAGTCTTTTATTAACTGTATCCTCTCACTACCTAACCATGCTGGGGTAATTGTCTGACTTTGTGCCGTGCCAGCTAGCATCAGAGGTGGGAACACTACTCCTTGACCCATTCCTTTGGCTTTGTCATTGATTTCATTGAGAAATTAAAGGCTTTCTACATTTATGTTACGGTTAAAGAGATCATGAACAAAAACATAAATGTAAACCAATGGTAGATAATTACACTAAAATGGCATGAGTAAGCTCTGTATTCTGTAAGTAAAAGCCTCAAAAGAAAACAATAGCAATGGTTAAATAAAGCACAATAATTCTTAAGTGTCAGCGAAAAAAAGGGTGAGAGAGAGAAATTCAGAGTATTCGATTTAACAAATAACTTGGTAAATTTAAACTAAAAGCATTGTACTTAAAATATGAACATATACTGACGATGTAAAAATCATTTGGAAAGCTCAATTTTGCTATTCTGAAACCACTGCAACTGTTATAAAATCATGTTCCCTGTCCTTATAAGGCTTTAAAACTAGGCATAAACTTCAAGATAATGAGCCTGTAAAAACTGTAATTGTTGTGGGTTATTATACAGGCTGTACAGGGTACTTTACTCGCGACTTACAGTCATGCTGGGCCTTAATGAGTCTAACTAAAAGACTTTTTAGCAATTTTCATTTTGTATGGATTAGAGAGTATTAGTGGGGCCCATATGGTCTTCTATAAATTAGGAGATCAAACAAGAGAGTCTTCTGCAGCAGGACCTCAGCTCTGGATGGCGTCTCTAACTCACCCATTCAAGTCAGTGGGGAGCAACTGCCCCCAAGGGTTACACAGCACCAGGGACCCCAGAGGTCTTGGACTCTGTCCCCATGCACCATTGGAGCTGAGATGAATGGACTTAGCCATCCAATCATGAGCATGCTGGCAACAATGATTCTGATCTATCTGTTGTCTGGAAGGTTTTAATATCACGGTCATATAAATTTCAACCAGTTTTATTTAATGGTGCTTTCCAAACGAGCAGCTGAAGAGCTGGAGAAACACATACTCCAGATGTTGGCTGGCCCAGGAAGCAGGATCAGCACTGAGGAAGAATCTGCCAGCAAAGTAATGATTCTACTCTCCTAAAAAGAGAGTTAAAGCCAGGACCCAAACTAAGTTCAGGCGCATATCTGGGAGGGCATTTATTGACCAGAGCACACAGTGGTAGTGAAAAACGAAAACAAAACCAACAAAGCAGATAAACAAATAAAACTCCCCAAAACTCAACTGTTTTTCTGTTCAAAGGTTTCTATAAAAATCCGTTCATGTGTTCTCAAAAACTCAGTTTGTTTCTGTTCTAAACATCTCACTTCGCCTTAGAGAGCATTCATTATTCTCTACAGATTGCTTTTGGTGATTCTGGCATGAGTGGGGTGGAAATTGTCGGGGAAGGTTCCATGAGATCCTGCTCATCTTAAAAGTGTGGGCTTGCGTTTGCTGAGTTTTGGCCACTAAAACTGTCCCCTCCTCCAGTCCCTGTCTCCACCCACTGGTGCTGGCAGCCGCTTCTGTGTGAATGTAGTACCTGCCATTCCTGGTATCGTGTTGCCGCATGTTCTTGATAAAATGAATCTTCTTAAAATTCTTTGGTCTGGGTGAACCTGAGAGAGTTCGACATCTGAAAAATAAAGTCATTTCAAAAACACAGTCAGTTGCCTGCTGGACAGCTGAGACGTCTCCACATAAAGACAGGAAGGAAGGACCAGACAAATGGCTTGAGTCACCCCAAAGCAGGCAGGAGTCCGCGAGGATAATGAAGACAACACGGCTGGAAGCAAGGAAGCTTAAAAAAGGCCCAATAATAGACAACTTCTTGATAATACTGTTATTATTTTACATGGGTCTCTAAAAAGCCAACTAATCAAGAATATTGTCCCCTGCATTAAAAAAAACAAAAACCTATGCAGATTCCAAAGACATTATTCTTTATTGTTGTCTTAAAAAGAATCCTGCTGTATCAACGAAGGGGAAGGGAACCAAAAACTGTACATTTAAAGGGGGTAGGGAAACATCGGAAAATTCAGTTCAAAAACAAGCCTGAATCATTTTTCTTCTGCAACAAGATTTTGGCCTGAATTACCTGGACAGCTGTCTTAAGTTTCAACTTGACCTGCTATGCCTGGGAGGTCACAGCTTTACACTGAATGAGAAATCAGAGACCCAACTAGTTGCTGTTTTTGTTTTGTTTTGTTTTTAAGATAAATTTTAAATAAACATTTGTTGAGCTAAAATGGCTTGGATTCAAGTTTTTTTAAAATTTTTATTTTGCTGGAGTATATAGCATTTGCCTGTACTATAGGACTGGCAAAATAGACCATAGGCCAAGGAGACCTTATTTGTGTGTAGTGTTTTCACCTGGCAAATTTTAAGTTACAAAACCACAATCACAACGACAGAAAAGCAAAATGCTCAACAAACAAGAGTCTCAGTTTATTCTAGATAAAAGGGGCTGTGACTTTTCGATTTTGGGTTTTGCTACCGAAAAACCTTTCTGACCTAGGCCACAGGAGCCAGCTCCTGCCATGGGACATGGGTGCCTGTGACCTGATTCTTGACTCTAAAGAAAGATTCTGGGCTGGGGCGTGGTGGCTCACGCCTGTAATCACAGCACTTTGGGAGGCCGAGGAGGGTGGATCAACTGAGGTCAGGAGTTCCAGACCAGCCTGGCCAATATGGTGAAACCCCGTCTCTACTAAAAATACAAAAATCAGCCTGGCGCGGTGGCAGGTGCCTGTAATCCCAGCTACTCAGGAGGCTGAGGCAGGAGAATCGCTTCAACCCGGGAGGCCGAGGTTGCAATGAGCCAAGATCGTGCCACTGTGCTCCAGCCTGGGTGACAGAGTGAGACACAGTCTGGAAAAAAAAAAAAAAGAAAGATTCTTTTAAAGGCTTGCAGAACCCTGTTTGAGGACATTTAGTAGATGCTTCCTGTGGCTTTCAGGAGGGGTTAGAGTGGGGTTGGGATTGACACTCCCCCACCCAACTCTAGGCCTCCAAACCCAGATTTTTTAATTTTTTAAAAAGAAAGACAAGGCCTTGCTCTGTCGCCCAGGCTGGAATGCAGTGGTGCCATCATAGCTCACTGCAGCCCCAAAATCCTCCCACCTCAGCCTCCCAAAGTGCTGGGATTATAGGTGTGAGCCACTGCGCCTGGGCCACTAAACCCAGATTTAATTGGCTAAGGTTCAAGGAGATAGGGCCTCACTCTGCCTTTTGCTCTCTGAGAGCAGACCCAGAACTCCAAACAGCCTCATTTCTTCCTCCAGAATGACTGCTCGAATCTGCAGGCCACTCAAAGTTCCCACCTGTCACACACACGCAAAGAAGGTTCTTGAAACATGGAGTCACTGGAAAGAGGAGAATCCCTGAAAGCATAAAGTGGTTTCTAGATAGGGCCAAGGGTTCAGAAGCATCCTTATACCACTTCCCTGGCTTCCTTTCCCAGGAGCAGAGCTTCCTGGGCCAGTCAATCTGAGGGCAGCAGGCCAAGAGCTAGACAGTGTGCGGGTTCAGGCGGCTCGCAGATCCTGCCACCTCAGCAGACTCTGGCTCCTTCCTCCCACCTCCCAGCTGCAGGAAGCTGGGACTGACGCCAGCACAGACGAAGGATGGCCTGAGTTGCTCTCTGCAGAAAGAGGGGCCCCAGATTCCTCAGCCTTCTTCTGGAAGTGGAAAGCCACAAAAGGGCCACAGGTGGCTGTCTGTACCAGCAAAGGAAGGAGCTGAGGCTGTGATCACTTTAACAGCTGCGGCCACCAGCATCCATCCACCCAGTCTGGAAAACCAGGGCAGGTGCCGATGGCAGCCACGTTTGCTGCAAACAAATAGAGGTTTTTCTTGACAACTAGTAGAGACGGCTTAACTCCTTATTTTTGGACACCAGGTAACCACTAGGCAGGTGCAAAACTTCTCAGTCCAAGTCCTCTCATGACGCATGCTCAGTTCTTGGAGTTACAGGTAGATACAGGAAATCCACTAACAAACCACGATGTGCTAGAGGAAAGTAGGACTTTTAACAGGGTAACTTAACAAGATGTTTTATTTCCATATCAGCACCCAATTCTAACTGCACATACACCTTACTAATCTAGCCCTTCATTAAGCAAGCTGTTTGTTGTGTTGCCTTTTTTTTTTTTTTTTTTTTTTTTTTTTTTTTTTTAAGCATTCAACCAAATCACCAGGGAATCTAAGAAATGCTTTAAGAGAATTGTGGCGTTGGCAACAATTGCCAAGGAACTGGAATACCGGGCGCTCAGGTTGGCAGGTTAAGCGAAGAATGAATTAATTTCACAGCCGCCTGCAACAGCGTGTAAACATCCATTTAAAAACATACATTTTAAGTGATGCAAAATTAAATTAGCATAGAATTAAATTAAAAACTAATTTAATGAAAGATTAGCTCTTTCTTGTTAGCACTGATTACAGGATATACTTAATTATGCAAAAGGTTTAATAGATTCCTTGGAGCCATTTGTTCTTCTGCTAAGCTTAAAAGCAAGTTGGGCTAATAGCCTTCCACCCCCACAGTTCCCAAAATACTTCAGCATCATTATTGGTGTTACCATTTCACAGACCAGAGAAGGCTTCAGCGATCAGCCAATTGGTCTTCCCATTTTATAGATGGGAAAACTGAGGCCCCAGAGACACTAAGTCAATTTACAATGCTACATACCCAGTTGGAGTCAGGCTAAGAACTCAGGTTCCCAGGCTCTCAAACTAATGTCTCTTCTTCTACATCATGCTAATATAACTCCTAGGAATAAGTGAATGTCTAAGTAAATATGAGAACAGTTATGCTTTTTAAGTTCTCTTTTTTTTAAGTTTTCTTTTTTAAGAAACTCCAGGCTAGAGTGCAGTGTTGAGCATAGCTCATTTAAGTCTTGAACTCCTGGGTTCAAGCGATCCTGTCGCCTCAGCCTCCTGAGTAGCTGGAACTACAGGTGCACATCCATGTGCCTGGTTAATTTTTTTTTTTTTTTTTTTTTGTAGAGATGGGGTCTCACTACATTGCCCAGGATGATCTCAAACTCCTAACCTCAAGCAACCCCTCTGCCTCAACCTCTCAAAGTGCTGGGGTTACAGGTGTGAGCCACCGTGCCCAGCCAATATGAGAACCTTATTTATTTATGTATTTTTGTGTTGACTGATTGATTGTAGACATGGGGGTCTCACTACATTGCCCAGGCTGGTCTTGAACTCCTAGACTAAGCAATCTTCCTGCCTCCACCTCCCCAAGTGCTAGGATGATAGGTGTGAGCCACTGCACCCGGCTGAGAACTTTTTTAAATCAAAAAAAGGTCCTTTAGTGGAATAAACACTTGATTTCTAAAACTCTTCTGATTTCTGACATTCTTAGAATTTTATAATAACAAGATTTGAGGTTCAGTGCAGTATTCTGTGAACGCTGGTACAAGTCACAGTTGAGGCCAACAAGCATTTTTACTGCATTCATTTGTGCTACCACAAGGCTGAGGACCAGTCTGGGTGGATTCCGTGAAGAGGGGTGACAGCGCACCAACCAGGAACGCAGAACCCACGTCCTCCTCCAGCCTCTCCTCGACACCTCGAGACTCAAGGACACTGCATCCCGAGGCTCAACAGCCCTGCCTGGGAATTCCTGAAGAGGGGAGAGCCCTCTGTAGCCGGTACCCCGAGTCACCCGGTTTCCTTCGGCTCACAGTGGCCACGTTGTTCCAAGGACCATGGCTTCTAGTAGCCTCTCGAAACTCCAGGGGCTTCTCAACGTTATTCATGGATTTTCCTGTGGCAGGAGTGAGGGAGCACCTCAGTCAGATCGCGATGTCACTCACTCTAACACCAAAGCCAGCCACTCAGTGCGCCTGCGAACACCTCTCCTGCATGCTCGCTGAGTATGTGGACCAAGGCCAGCTCCCTCATTTGACTTTCAGCGTAGCTTTCTGTATGACTCCTGCAGGGAAATGGCCTTCTCCCACTGAACTGCTCCTCACAGAGTAACACTTGTTCCCAGGCCGCGTTTGCCACACAGCCACATACCACACATCCTAGGAGGCACCTGGAGGTTACCCACGCTTTGAAAAAGACTCCAAAAGTGGAGATGGGACTATTCAGCCCTTTCTCTTTGGGATGATGTCAGTGACAAAGTTCACAGTTGCCGGACACTTCCCCTCTGACCCCAGGCTGTCTGTGCTCACTCTGCCCTCTGTTCTTCATGCAGGCGGAGCCTACAGACATGGGCTCTGCCCTGGGAGTGAAGCTTCAGGTGGGGAAGGAGCCAGATCCAGGGGGAGGCCATCTCCTACAGCAGCACCCTGCCAGGCTCAGAAGGAAGAGCCAGGCGCTCCCAAGTCCTGGCCTGGCCAAGGCACGCACGGTGCAGATGCGGGTTCGAGGAGGAGCTGATGGAAGTCCACAGGAGCTCACCTCCTCCCGATGCCCTCCCTGCTGCCGCCTGCCCTGCAGTCCCCGGGAAGCCCCTGTGCCCCATCTTCCTGGCTCACTCCCACATGCTGCCCCACCCAGCTCAGGGCTGCAGTGAGGATGGAAGGGGGTGCAGTACACCTGAGTGCACTCTCGTCCATGAGGGCCTGGCTGGGTTAGAGGAGAGGAACCTGTCAGTCACCGGCACAGCACAGCACAGCTCAGCAATGGCCATCACCCAAAAAGACGCCTTGCAAGCACTCTTCTAATCCCAAGGGAGAAACAGAACACTTTCAGACCCCAGAGAGCACTCACAACTATCCTAATTGGGCTTCCCAGCACCTAGCCAGGGAGCGACATCGTGGTTACCTCCTGAGGAGTTCTTGTTGCCCCTCCTGCTGAGAATGAAGTCCAGGACTGTACCTACTGTGTGACTGCACCTGGGGGATAGGCCGGGACAATGCTGGGCTCTTGTTCCATTAAGCAGCAGTTTACAAAATGAAGAGGCGCCACGGAAAGAAAAGCACCCAAATCTCCATGCAAATTGGGCTACTCCAACACCTAATTGGATTTAACGTTGTTTAGTTCTAGTGGTCTTCAGAGGTGGGTTAGACACTAGGAGATGTCCCATAGTCCCTGGAGTTCAGATGGTTATTTTTAAATTTAATTCTATAGATCAAGAAGTTAAAAAACCAAAATCAATCTCTGGCTGTCATGGTGTACTGTTTACATATACATAAATGAAACAGAAAATTACCTCCGGAGAGGGGCGTTCTCCTCAATATCTTCCAGGGTCTCCAAGGAAGATCTCTGGGAGATGAGGCGCCGTCTGCAGAAAGAAGGAAAAAATCTGGGAGTTAAAACTGCATTGCAGAACTGATCAGACATTTGTGCAAATCTAAAACTACCCTAAAACAAAAACATGAAGTCCGTTAAGAAAAGATCAGACAAAAGCTGTCTCTAAGAGGCTGCCATGTTCCCACCCTGCACGCCAGGCCCATCTTGCTGGCTGAATCCTGAACATTCTCCCTGGTTAGAGGGCCTCTTTGTGATGATTAAGGAAGTGACTGATCCTTTTGATGCTGACACTTCCCCCAAGGACACACACACACACACACACACAAAGACAAGGTGCCTCTTGTAATATACAGGATAACTTGAGCGCTGTGTGCAGCTTTTCTAAGGCATTAGCTAATACTGTTAAGTATTCCACTATCACTGATTTGAACCCGGTAACTGATAAATATTAAATCTGAAACCCTATTAAAAACAACTTCAAAATCATTAGGATGCAATAAAAAGGTTATGCTCCCTGGATGGCCATGATTTCAAAAGCAACTAGGAACAAGAAAAAAATTATTCCTTTGGGAGAGTTTCTCATAGACCGGGTAGAAAGAATAAATATATGGCATGATTACGCAAAACATTAACTCTTCTGGGCTGCTAAGGAATTGCAAACTGCCTGCTAAAACCTCTCTAGTCTACCAGTTTCTTTTGCTAGGCTGAAATAAGAACAGGTCCTAGTTAACTAAGAATATCAGGTACAGGGAGCAGGGTAGGGTGGTGGTAAGTTTACATAAATCTACTTGAACAAAGACCATCATTTGATAGTAAATGATTTGGCGGAGCAGGGATGGATTGAAAAAGTTTGGGTTGTTCCTTAAAACGGAACTAAAAATATTAAGATAAGTCTATTTTTTACTACATTTGGCAAAACATAGCCTAGGAACATGCAGTCATAACCATGTTCTAATTTGCCCTAATGAACAAAGAATGAAATGACTTTTTGGTGTTTTTTTGTTTTTGTTTCTAATTTTGTGTGTACTTTTTCTGACCAACTACTCTGATACCTTTGGCTTGTTTGGCTTTTCTAAGACAATCAGAAAGGTCATTTTTGTAGCAAACTATTCAACAGCTTCATCAATTTTCCACCTTTCATAATTTTTTGATGCTCAAATCCTTTAAAAAAAAAATACTTGTGGCCAGGCACGGTGGCTCACGCCTGTAATCCCAGCACTTTGGGAGGCCGAGGCAGGCTGATCACCTGAGGTCTGGAATTTGAGACCATCCTGGCCAACATGGTGAAACCCTGTCTTTACTAAAAATACAAAAATTAGCCGGGTGTGGTGGCGGGCGCCTGTAGTCCCAGCTACTTGGGAGGCTGAGGCAGGAGAATGGCGTGAACCCGGGAGGCAGAGGTTGCAGTGAGCTGAGATCGTGCCACTGGACTCCAGCCTGGAGACAGAGCGAGACTCCGTCTCAAAAAAATACTCATCATACAGCCTCCTTGTCTCTTCTCCAACTGTAAAACAGCAGAACATAGAACACTCTCAGCTCCTCACTCATCAATGTGTGTGAACCAAGCACACACATCGCCCTCTGTGTTCATGACATACCGGACTTTCTACAGAAACTGTAGTTTCACTCTGCAATTAACTAACAGTGAATTTCCATTTCAGTAATATTGCCAGATTTCTAAGAGTCAGCCAGAGCTATGGAGGAGGCACCAGTCTTACCTGAGAGCAGTGCAGAGGCGAGCTGAGGAGGTGGGGAACTGATTTTACAGGTAGCCAGTTCATGAGTAGACAGGACTTCCCCGCACAGCCCCGTAACTCAGGGGACAGAGCTTGCCTAGACCCCTGTGACAGCACTTGCAGCTGCAGCTCTGAAGTGCCTGTGCTATGGGTTGAGACACAGCCCTCTGAAATCCCAGTTAATCCTAGGAAAGCAGGCAGCGAGCCTAGCCTCTCTCCAGGTGCTGAGTCCCAGGCTGGACTGGGGGAGACTCACATCTGCCCATTGCAGATCTCAGCAGCAGAAACCCCATGTTACCCATCCAGGGTGGTGTAATTCTACACAGGAGAATGCCTAGGGCCTAGAATCAGACACTGAAATTGCAATCCTGGGGTCCAAAGGCTGTGGGGTCTGAGAAAGCTCCTTAATCCGGCTGGGCATGGTGGCTCACACCTGTAATCCCAGCACTTTGGGAGGCCGAGGTGGGTGGATCACCTGAGATCAGGAGTTTGAGACCAGCATGGCCAACATGGTGACCCATCTCTACTGAAAATACAAAATTAGCCAGGTGTGGTGGTGCATGCTTGTAATCCCAGCTACTCGGGAGGCTGAGGCAGGAGAATCGCTTGAACCCAGGAGGCAGAGGTTGCAGTGAGCCGAGATCAAGCCACTGCACTCCAGCCTGGGCAACAAGAGCAAAACTCCGTCTTGGGGAAAAAAAAAAAAAAAGAAGAGAAAAGAAAGCAAGCTCCTTAATCCTTGACCCTCAGTTTGTTCATCTATGAAATGGGAAACAACAATTAACTGAGAAAGGGACACATGTGAAGTCCCAGGCCCAAGGCAGTTCTTAATGAATGGGAGCTACTGGGCTTTTGATTGACACTCCAGTTTCCTTCACTGAGGCTGCACCCTGACCTGCACCCCAGCTCAGCTGACCAGGAGCAGGCTGAGTGTCCCAACTCTAGGCTCTGGCCCCCACTCAAGGCCTTGCCAGTGGCAGGGTCACCCCAAAATGCCTTGTGCCTGAGCCCACCCAAGATGCGTACATGTTCCTTCCACACCTATACCCACTTCAAAGCACAACTAACTCTGTGCATGTACACAGTGGGGTGCACTGAGAAGCACAAGTCATACTCACTGATGTGCTGGCCACCTATAAAATTAGTGGCCCCCATGTCTCCTTGCACTGCTCTCAGGTCTCCCTACAGCCAGAAGGCAGTGATGAAAAGATTTACTGTTTATCTCTGTATGATGCTCTGAGCTTTTAAATCCAAAGTAAAACACTCATTTAAGTATTTACTTAAATTAAGTATGCACATCCAAATTGTCATTAGGGATAACTTCCACAGGCAGAAATAAATGTATAGGCTTCGGATCCTGAGAATCTCGACACGTTCTGTCACACTTTGGCCTTCCTTTGTAGAAGAGCATTTTCAGGTGACCAGTAAATAGGCAATTGATGTTTTGTTCAATCTGCACCCAGGCAAGTGAGGTGATCATGCAGAAGAAGGGCTGAAGGCTGCCCTCCTTCAGGTACCCTAAGGAGCCCTGGGGAGGCCCTGGGTGGGCTCTTCGGGCAGCACAGATGCTGCCCAGGCTCTGGCAGAGCCCAGAGCCCAGACAGGCAGGTTCACCTCTCCATGCATCCACCCCCACCCACTCAACAATGTGACCGTGAGCCCTGTCAGGAACACACAGCTGAACCAGGCTTGCCTCCTGTCCTCAGGGGCTGAGAGTCACGTGGGGATCCATGGGACGGCCACCAGGAAGTCCCATTAACAGTCTCTGAAGCCCCTGCGTCCTTCAGGGCTGTGGTGTGGAGAACACTCCAGCTGAGTCCCACAGTGAGCACAGAAGGCCCTGCTAGGAAGCACAGACTCCTCCAACATCCACCAGTGTGTTTCACCCTAGAAAATCAGGCCCATCCACAAAAGCACACGACCCAATAACTCCCCTCTCACAAAGCCGTAGCCACCTCTTCCTGCACCAGAAACGAGAAAGGCTCATTTGGAAAAGAACCAGATGAGAATATACCTTTCTTTACAGTTATAAGGGTTTTTCTAAAACCCAGCATATTCGGTAATTCCCCTCAGGAGCTGAACAGGTGTGAATTCACACACACACATTATTACAGATTAAACATCTGTGTCCCCTCAAAATTCACGTGTTGAAATCATAACCCCCACTGTGATAGTATGAGGTGGTGGGGTCTGTGGGAAGTGATCTGTCATAAGAGTGGAGCCCTCATGAATGGGATTAGTGCCCTTGTAAAGGGGACCCCAGAGAGCTCTCTAGCTCCCTTTCTGCCATGTGAGGACACTACAAGTTGGTCATCTGTAACTGGAAGAGCCCTCATCTGACCCCAACCATGCTCGCACCCAGATAGTGACCTAGCCTTCAGACCTGTGAGAAAATACATTTCTTTACTTTTTATTTATTTATTTTTTTCTGAGACAGAGTCTCGCTCTGTCACCCAGGATGGAGTGCAGTGGCACAATCTTGGCTCACTGCAACCTCTGCCTCCCAGGCTCAATCAATTCTTGTGCCTCAGCCTCTCGAGTAGCTGGGATTACAGGTGCGCGCGACCACACCCAGCTAATTTTTGTATTTTTAGTAGAGACAGGGTTTCGCCACATTGGCCAGGCAGGTCTCGAACTACTGGTCTCAAGTGATCCGCCTGCCTCGGCCTCCCAAAGTGCTGGGATTATAGCCATGAGCTACCATGCCCGGCCGAGAAAATACATTTCTATTGTTTATAAGCCATCCAGTCTTTGGTACTTCATTATAGAAGTCTGAACTCAGACGGACCTACACACACACACACACACACACACACACACACACGTGCCAGTATGCAAGGGCACACATTAGCACGCATGGGCACTTCTGATCAGGACTCCTTAAAGGGGAAAAAATCCACGCCCAAATGCCCACCTGTTCCTTTAACTTCAGCAGATGTACTTCCCTTCTTTGTGAATGGAACCAACCAGTATATTCTGAGACAAAGAAGAGAACTTGGAACTACCACCAGTCACTGTAAAGAAACCATCCTGTGGTACCAGCAAACAGCAAAGGATGCCTGCCCTTCCAGCCAAAGATGAGGACCTGTTCCCTGCCTCAAGGGTTGCCCTGTGAACTGGTAGTGTCACTCAGCAGCGCTCATCTCTGCCCCACCCCCACACCTTGCTGGATCCTCCCAAGGTATGTCGTAGTGTCTTCTCCCTCACCTTCTAACCCCAGAAAGCCTGTAATAAACAAAAAGCCTCAGGGCGGGCGGCCAATCTTAAACAGCCACTTTTCACTCTGTAATTTCCCTCATAAATTAAGTCCATTACTATGCAAACTCCTTATCATTATAGACTTAACAAGCAGAGGTCTTTGCATATTTTAATGACTGACAAAGAACACTTAGCCTTGGACCAAAATAGCAGGCTGACCAAGTAGACATATGGTAAGAGACTGGCAGGGTTCAAAGCAAGAGTAATATGCACTGACATCATCAGATGGAAGTGTGTATGTCTAGTCTTCAGACTGAATGTACACTCAGGGCTCCCAGACTTGTCTGACAGTTACAAGTTAGATCCTTCCACACTGGCCACACTTTGGAGTTCATGCTTAATGCTCATGCGTAAGGCAGCCTCCTGAAAGCACCCACGCCTGTTTTACAATATCCTTGGAATGCTAAGCAAGGAAGTCATAATCCATGACAACACGACTGCACATCTGGATATTCCTACGTGGACCAAATTAATCCACTCATCATGAAGGGAAAACGGTTCCTCCGTGGGTGCAAATCACTGTATACTCCCGGGACGCAGGGCTGGTCACAAGGGTACTGTTAGAATAAGTTCACTTACCCTGAAAGCTTAAGGAAAGGTCACTTGGGGAAGAAGAGAGGGGAAAGAAAGTACACAGAAGAACCTGTGGCTGGAGTGACAAAGCACTGGGAGAGGCAGGCCCGAGGGCCAGTATTTCTAAAGTGACTTTTATGCAGAAAAGGGTCATTGGACCTATTTCCAGGCCAGGAAGAGAGGCCAACCATCCACACTGATGAGGGGACGCAGGCCCAGAGGCCTGACCATCCCGAAGGCCCTCCTCACTAATGCTCTGTCGTCATCCTGATTTGCAGCGACTCTGAGGACCCCGGAAAGTGAGAGGCAAAATGGAGCTGTGTGTGGTCCAGGTACCTTCCTCAGCTCTGTTGGAGGTGTCCTCTCTCCTGAGCCTGGTAAGCAGAGTGCCCTGAAGAAAGCGCTGAGAGACAGGTGAGCGCCTCACTGCTGTCCCTGCCAACCAGTGAGGGTGCAGCAGTGTCATCGTGGGGCCTGGTGGGGCAAGCTGATCAAGGCCAATCCCCTATGCAGTCACCTGGGGCAGCAGCTCAGTCCGAAGGACAACGTGAGGCAGTGGGCACCCAGGGGAAAGCTCTGGCCCGAGAGTTAGGACCAGCCCACTTCGTGGAAGGTGACCCTTGGCCTCAGTCTGCTTCCAGTATGAAATGAGAAAGTAGCGTAGATTGATGCTCTCAACGCTGTCTGCACATCAGAATCCCCAGGGAGCAACAAAATCACCAAAGCCTGAGCCCACCTTGAGATTCTGATTTACTGGTCCGGGTGTGGCTGGATAAACGGGGTTTTAGACACTCCCGGGGGATTCTAGTGAGAAGTACAGTTGAGTCCCATTGAATAGCTCCAGTGTTCTGTGCAGGCCAAAGGCGGGTGAGAACCTTCTCCTAACATTCCACTTATTTACCTTACTTTCCTGCATCAGCAAACTTGGGATGGAAATGATCATAACCAACCTCCAGATAATAGGTGGTCTCCTTTATCCTTGAATGAGGAACTTTTAAGGTTCAACAAGCAAGAAGAAAGAGAGCTAGTTAGCCTGGAGCACTGAGGCCCGCAAAAGACCAAAAGGCTTTCAAGTATAAACAGGTGGATGATATGTATAATATATGCACATTACATGGGTGTGAAGAACCAGTTCTGTGTTCTCTGAGAGCAAAACATGAGCTCTGAGAGCAGAAAACGACTTGGGTAAATACCTGGGCCAACCACCTCTCTACTCACAAAAAAGGCAATTTCCTTAATGGCTCTAGTGTTCCCCATGGGTGTACCCCCCTTCCTGGCTGCACGCTGGGCCACTGGATGGCACAGTTGCTTCTTCACAGGTGTGGAAGAGGTGAGAGTGTCTTGGATACCTCAAGTACACAGGTGAGGAAGGAGCTGAGGTCATGATTACTTCACATCTGTCCAGACAGTTATTATGACCAAATAAACCCCAAGCATAGAAACAACTTATTAACACAGTCACAAGACACCCAAAAGCTTGTCATTATTT
Organism: Homo sapiens; assembly: GCF_000001405.40. Classification (NCBI taxonomy): domain Eukaryota; kingdom Metazoa; phylum Chordata; class Mammalia; order Primates; family Hominidae; genus Homo; species Homo sapiens. The sequence continues at coordinate 23,181,812 of NC_000018.10, read as the reverse complement.
GCTTTGGTACTTATGTCTTTCTCTCACTCACCAACCTCCCTCTCCCAAACAAAATGGAAACACCCTAGAAGTGAGCTGCTTGGGAGGGGCCATGCTGTCACAGCCTGTGTGTTCCTAGGAAGGGACCATGCTTGGCCAACAGCAGGTACTCAATCATGGCTGGCTGAATACAGGAACAAATTCCCCTCACCAGGTAGGTGGGTATTCCTGGACTTTTCCCAGAGAGCACCTGACCTTCTGACCTTCCATTCAATGCTTTTCTATACACAATTATTAGTGGGCATCTTTTTTTTTTTTTTTTTTTTTTTTTTTTTTTGAGACGAAGCTTTGCTCTTGTTGCCCAGGCTGGAGTGCAATGGTGTGATCTTGGCTTACCACAACCTCTACCTCCCGGGTTCAAGCAATTCTCCTGCCTCAGCCTCCCAAGTAGCTGGGACTACAGGCGCATACCACCACATCCGGCTAATTTTTTTGTACTTTTAGTAGAGATGGGGTTTCACCATGTTGGCCAGTCTGGTCCTGAACACCTGACCTCAGGTGATCCACCCGCCGAGGCCTCCCAAAGTGCTGGGATTACAGGCGTGAGCTGGGATTACACCGCGGCTGGCCTAGGGCCGCTTTCTTTAATACATGCATTCCCAGTCTGGTCAACAGAGTCCAGAAATCCTCCTCAGCTTCCCAATGCCCCAGGACAAGGAGGTTATGGGTAAGGAGTCAGGGCTGGACAGCAAGAAGTCCCACTTCAACCTTATAGACTCTGGGAACCTACATGTTCTAGCCTCCTTTACCGACTTAGTCACCAAGCCTCAAGGAGCCCAATCAGGACCCAGCAAGAAAAGGCTTGGGGCATATTAGCCTAGAAAGCAGGGTTGGCCCTTGAGGCAACTAGAAAATCCCTTTTTTGTTACAGAATCTCTGACTTTCTGGGCGGAAGCCTCCATCCCCTGCTTCTTGCATCCCTCCATCCCCCCACCACAGACATAATCTTTTGCTCTTGAAATGGTGTTCAGCTCATGCAGAAAAGGTGTCCTAAAAAGTAGGGTACAAATCTGTAGTTTGTAACTGTTTGACTATGGAAGCCTACTACTTAAAGGAGCCCTAAAATGAAAAACTATATATAAACCCAAGAATTAAAATCAGCTGCGCTTAGTGGCATGCACCGGCAGTCTCAGCTACTCAGGAGGCTGAGGCACGCTTGAACACAGGAAGTCGAGGTTGCAATGAGTTATGATCGCATTACTGCACTCTAGCCTGGGTGACAGAGTGAGACCCTGTCTCTACAAATAAATAAGTAAACACATAAGCCCAAGAATTGTACTATCATGTGTATGTCATTTGTGAAATGCTGGTTTTCAAATACTAGGCTCTCTTAAAGGAAAATGCCCCTCCATCACCCTATTGTTATTTCCTTCATTTCCCTAGCAGCATCTTAAGCTGTTGACTGCCACAGCACCATCAGCCTGCTCCTCACATTCATCAGATAAGTGATGATAACATTGTTCGTGAGTTGGCAAACTTCAATGCCAAGATTCCAGATGCTCCTCCAGCAGAAGTCCAATCAGACTGCGCTCACTTAAAAAAAACAAACTGTTGGCCAGGCGCGGTGGCTCATGCCTGTAATCCTAGCACTTTGGGAGGCTGAGGCGGGTGGATCACGAGGTCAGGAGATCGAGACCATCCTGGCTAACACGGCGAAACCCAGTCTCTACTAAAAATTAAAAAAAAAATTAGCCGGGCGTGGTGGCGGGCGCCTGTAGTCCCAGCTACTCAGAAGGCTGAGGCAGGAGAATGGCCTGAACCCGGGAGGCGGAGCTTGCAGTGAGCCAAGATTGCGCCACTGCACTCCAGCCTGGGCAACAGAGCGAGACTCCGTCTCAAAAAACAAAAAACAAAAATAAAAACAAAAACAAAACAAAACTGTTTCACCCTAGTACACGTGTTCACAGATGAAGAAAAAAAAGTCAGCTGCTACCTCTTAACAGAAGATACACAGACCCTTAAAGCAAAACGGCCTTCCCTTCAGCCTGAGGACACATCCATTAGACACATGCTTTGTTTTGTTGTCCACGGATCTAAAGCTTTGTCCAGCAGCAAAAGTGCCGATGAAAGTAAGCATGGCCCTTACTGCTCACCTGGCAGCAGCTGCTTGTTAGACCCTGGAGGAACTCCAAGAGGAGAGCCACAGAGTCTGACACTACAGTGGCATACTGGCCGGGCCAGGTCACCAGGCTGGGGTGACTGGAGGAGCATTTGGTCTTGACCAGTCAGCCTGATGCCATCCATACCTCTGAGCACTGGGCACACAGCTGGCTTGGAAGGAAAACCTCCTCCCCGAGCCTCAACTAACACGCTGAAAGCCAGATCCATATCCAGAATACAGACCAAAGGAATTCAAAATCCCTGGGGTGGGGGAGTCACTGGGATTTTTCTTGTAAAGGAAGGAAGACAGGATTATCTTTAAGAAAAGGAGGGATGGTTAGATTTTTTTAAATTAGACACAATGGGAAGAAACCGTTTTTTCTTTATTTTTTTAGACGGAGTCTCTGTCTCCCAGGGTGGAGTGCAGTGGCGCGATCTCGGCTCACTGCAACCTCTGCTTCCTGGGTTCAAGCGATTCTCCTGCCTCAGCCCCCTGAGTAGCTGGGATTACAGGGACCCGCCACAATACCCGACTAATTTTTGTATTTTTAGTAGAGACAGGGTTTCACCGTGTTGGCCAGGCTGGTCTCGAACTCCTGGCTTCAGGCAATTGGCCCGCCTCGGCCTCCCAAAGTGTTGGGATTACTGGTGTGAGCCACCACGCCCGGCCAAGAAACTGGTTTTGAATCTGGCTATGTTTTAAAGTCTCCAGCTGATGAATCAGGCAAAAACCAAATTAAAATCAATACACTAGAGTTGCCAATCAGCTTGTTCAAATAAGGTCTGTTTCTACATTTTCATAGGCGGGTCAAGAAAGCGACTCTCTAAATGTTTACAGAGAATACAAAAGGCTCTTGGCTTGCCTGAGTTTACTTTTGTTTCAAGGGCTCTCATCAGACTTGCCAAATCCTGAAAAATCAAGGTGTGAGGTTATCTTGGTATATGGGGCTATTTAGAGCTGACAGGAACTGCTGCTAGGATTTAATAGCTGGCCAGAAATTCATCCCCAAAGATCTCCCAGTCTACCCTGCCCACTGCTGTCCTGCTAATCTTGAAAAACACTCTTTCCCTCATGTCAGTCCCTACTTGAAGATCCAGTGATACCCCCTGGGAACAAGTTCAAACTCTTTTGACAAAGGGTCTAGAGGGAAGGTCAGAACACAGCAGCAGACACAGCACACCTGGCCGCCATGAAGGTACATGCCCAGGGTCCCTGGACAGCCTTAGGGTATCAGGACATCAGGCGGCCAGCCCAGGGTCCCTGGACAGCCTTAGGGTATCAGGACATCAGGCGGCCAGCCCAGGGTCGCTGGCTCAGTGGCAGTGCTGCATTCTAATTCATACTTGGCCTCGTCCCAGAGGGAGGGGCCCTGCCCTGCTGCTGTAGGGGCACACAATGGAATACGCAGAAGGGTAGAACCAGGAGAAGCAGGTACTGGGTACTGGTTGAAAAAAAAAAATCAGGATCCGAAAAGGTTTTGTGTGGCTGATGAGATAAACCGCTTTGATCTTGCTACAGAACACATTGGATACTCATGGAGGGGGTGGGGAAGAAAAGTGGGGGCCCAGCCAGGACAGGATATGGGTGGGAAGGGAATATTGGAAAGGGAAAACCACTAGAAATAAAAGGGCCAGCTTCACCCTAGACAGAAATGCGCCCTATGCATCTAAGTCCAAGGAGTTTGCGGCCAACTTACCTATGTTCTGAATGGGCGTCAGGCTCCAAGGAATCAAATCCAGGCGTTCTCTGCAAAGGGCTTCCCTGAGCCGGGCAAGGAGGGTGGCTGGGAATGCAGCACCTGGTCCCATGGTTTAAGGATACTGTGGAGTGTGTCCACACCTGGAGGCCAAACCAGGTGTGGAGTACATGGGGGAGCCAGGGAGAGCCAAGGTTTTAATTGGGAGAGGAGAAGAGAGTACCTCTAACAGAGGGAGCAGGCAGGCCATGGCAGGGGGCCTGAGGGGCTTCCTACATGCACCTTCCCAGAGCCCAACAGGACAGGACAGAACTGGGACTCGGTGAGGCATAGGAAGAATTCCTCCCAGCAAAGTCCGGCCCCAGGAAAAGAGCCCAGCGGGAACCAGGAGACAGACAGGCTCGCAATCAGAGGGCCAGGCTTGGCTCCAGGAGGACCCGGACAGAGACCCCAACAGCCAAGTGGACAAGCTGACCACACATAGACCGGCGGGGCTGGGGCTGGTATCACAGCACAATGAACGTGTGTGTGTGTGTGTGTGTGTGTGTGTGTGTGTGTACACATGTGCTCACACATAGCACCTTTCAGTCTCACACCCGAACACAGGAGGTACAGGGCTACGAACACTTCAGGGCTTACATGGGTGAGCAAGTGTGTGGTGCAGGGGGCCAGAGTTACCTCCTTAGACAGAGGCTGAGCAGAACTCGTTCCTGAGACTTGGTCTGACGGGGCCCCGAGCCTGACAATGGCCTGTGCTGGAGCCGTCTCGCTTCCTCCCCAGTCACTGTGAGGGCTCACTGGTGCTTTGGAAGAATGCCTTTACCTGCTGAAGACTTTCTAAGCCAGATACGCATTTATTTTTCCTTCGAACACAAGACAAGGACCCTCTGTGCCTAGCTCTGTGGGATTTGAAGAAGGCGAGGGAGAACCGAACCTTGCTGGAGGGACACACTCCTGTCCCTTCCTCCACAGTCAGGAGAGAACGGAGCTAACTTCATTAGAACCAGCAGGGGCTCAGGCGGGGGTCCTCACATCCAAGCTGGTGTTTACCGGACCCTTCAGAGGGCTGCCCTCCTAGGGAGGACGCCAGTAAAACGCTCCCTGGAGTCTCCCCCTTGGTGTCCAGCATGACCTTCCTCTGTTCTGAAGGGCCTTCAGCAGGAGTGGATTTTGACAGCTCAGAAACTGCATGCAATTATCTATAGCAAAATCGGATTGATGGGGCTTTGTGAATCCTTATTTTCTAGGAGTTTTTCAGGTTAACTGTGGCCCACACTCAATAGTGGTTTATGGAAACAAAGACTGATGCCTCTTCCTTGTCTATCCGAATTACCTCAGATTCCTTTCTGGAAGCCTGCTGAAAAAAATGCCTGCTTCTCCTTGGCTACCCATGTTTATTCTCTTCACTGGAAGCTGAATGGGGATTGGGTACAGCTAAATTGACGGCCTCCAAATAAAGGGTTTATGGCATAAGGCAGGGGTCCCCAAGCCCCAGGCCATGGACAGTACTGGGGTCTTACGGCCTATTAGGAATGGGGGCCACACAGTAGCAGGCAAGTGGCGGGCAAGCAAGCATTACTGCCTGGGCTCTGCCTACTGTGAGATCAGCGGGGCATCAGATTCTCACAGGAGCGCCAAGCCTATTGTGAACTGTGCACTCGAGGGATCTAGGTTGCACACTCCTTTTAAGAATTTAATGCCCAATGATCTCAGGTGGAACAGTTTCATCCCGAAGCCATCCCCCCACCCCCAGTGCATGGAAAAATTGTCTTCCAGGAAACAGGTCCCTGATGCCAAAAAAGGTTGGGGACCACTGGCATAAGGAATGCCCAAATGTGGCCAAATCTCAGTTCAAAAGAAAATTCAGAATCTGCCTCACCCTCTCGTCATCCACCCAAATCCTACCTTCCTCCACCTGCTCTATGAAGCTGTCCCTGACATTTTCTGAATTCCTACAACATTTGGTATCTTTATTACATTTGGAAATATTCATATCTAAATACTTGTAGATTGGTTGACTTTATTCTTTTTTTTTACATTTATTCATCTCCAACCTGACAGCAGGTATCTTGAGGACAAATAACTATGTCTTTCTTTCTTTGAAACCCCTTCAATGATTAGCACATTACCTGGTACATAGGAGGTGCTCAATAAATCCTTAAGTATAGCAGGAACAACTCCACAGGGTTGGCTCAGGAGGAACAAGGGTGTACCTTAAAAGCTCCAGGGGACCAGTAGCAGTGGCTCATGCCTATATTCTGAGACTTTGGGAAGCCAAGGTGGGCAGATGGCTTGAGCTCAGGAGTTTGAGACCAGCCTGGGCAACATGGCAAAACCCCCATTTCTACAAAAACTATGAAAATTAGCTTGGTGTGGTGGCGCATGCAGGAGGATCACTTGATCCCAGGAGGTAGAGGCTGCAGTGAGCTGTATTTGCACCACTGCACTCCAGCCTGGGTGACAAAGTAAGACGCAATGCAAAAAAAGAAAGAAAGAAAAGAAAAAGCTCCAGGTAGTCATTTTACCATTTTTACTCCAAGACCTTCGGCAAGCCAGCAGAAGCCCAGGAATGAGGTCAAAAATGAAAGCCAGGACCTTAGAAATAATCTAGAACACTGATGTTCAAACTTCTGAGCAGCAGAGTGCTTTTTTCTCCCAAATTAAACCTTACACCAAATCCCAAAATATAAATCAGATTAGAACAATTATACATTTTATAAACTTGAGAGTATAATATTGACTTATATCTCAATCACTGTTAGAGCAGTGTAGCTGTTTTGAGGTACAAACAAATCTAAAACCAGAAGCTCTTAGTGACATTTCTAGTCTAAGGTCAATCTCAGAATCTAATTTGTTTCTTTTGGTCTTGGTTGTACAGTAAGGATATAATCACCATTGAAAGAGATAAGTGGGTGCCTGTGGTAACCATTTTTAAACATGTCAAGGCCCAATTCAATTTAACGGATGTGGCAGGTGAAGCGTAACTGCAAAAAATCAACTTAGGCGGCAGCGTGAGTTAACTAATGCATAATTAGTTAATTAATGCATAAGTCACCAGTATGTCAGGCTTTGCTATAGAAAGCTATCGAGTTTATTTTACTGCAGTTTAAAAAACATATATATATATATATATATATATATATATATATATATATGGTGTAACATGTATATACATACAAATTATATTCCAAAATGTTAAACACAGGCCGGGCGCGGTGGGCTCACACCTGTAATCCCAGCACTTTGGGAGGCCAAGGTGGGCGGATTACGAGGTCAGGAGATCGACACCATCCTGGCTAACATGGTGAAATCCTGTCTCTACTAAAAATGCAAAAAAATTAGCCGGGTGTGGTGGTGGGTGCCTGTAGTCCCAGCTACTCGGGAGGCTGAGGCAGGAGAATGGCGTGAACCCGGGAGGTGGAGCTTGCAGTGAACTGAGATCGTGCCACTGCACTCCAGCCTGGGCGACACAGCGAGACTCTGTCTCAAAAAAAAAAGTTTTAAACACAGAGTCACCCCATATGACCAACAATCCCACTCCTAAATATAATCAAAGAAAGATGCCAAGATACATCCACACAAAGACATATACAATGTTCACAGCAGCACTGTTCACAATAGTCAAAAATGTGAAAACCCAAATGTGATGAATGAATGAAATGCAGTATTATTCTGCCATGAGAAGGAACGAAGTACTGATACATGCTACAACATGAACCTTGAAAACATTATGTTAAGCCAAAGGAGCCAGTTACCAGAGACCACGTCGTGTATGATTCTACTTATATGAAATGTCCAGAGTAGGCAAGTCTATAGAGAGAGAAAATAGATTCGTGGTTGCCAGAAGCTGGGATCCGAGAGGGGGAGGAATGGGAAGAGACTGCTAATAACCATGGGATTTCTTTTTGAGGGTGAGGAAAATGTTCTAAAATTAGATAGTGGTGACAACTGCACAAGCTTGTGAATGTACTAAAAACCACTGAACAATAACTTTATTTTTTATTTTTATTTTTCGAGACAGAATCTCACTCTATTACCCAGGCTGGAGTGCAGTGGTGCGATCTCAGCTCACTGCAACCTCTGACTCCTGGGTTCAGGCGATCCTCCCACCTTGGCCTCCCAATAGCTGGGACTACAGGCACATGCCATATCACACCCGGCTAATTTTTGTATTTTCTGTAAAGACAGGTTTTGACATGTTGCCCAGGACAGTCTTGAACTCTTGAGCGCAAGCGATCCACCCACCTCGACCTCCCAGAATGCTGGAATTACAGGCATGAGCCACTGCGCCCAGCCAAAATAGTAACTTTAAATGGTTGGTATGCAAATTATATCTTAGTAAAGCTGTTAAAATATTTATATGATATATAAAGTTTACATATGTAGAAAAACATATGTTGGGAAAAAATATACAGTAATAATGAAGCACCAAATCCCAAAATATACAACAGATTAGAACTGTTTTTAGACCTGCTAAGCCCTTGCTAAGATCCTTAGAGCTCCAGATAATACAATTTGAAAACTATGGATCTGGTTCAATTTCCTTTTACTGAAGCTTTGGAGAGGTTCAGACATGTCCAGGGAAGAGCTGGATGGTTGGGAGGGCAAGAACTGGGGACCAGACACTGTCATTTCAGAGCCATTCCCTTTCCTTTCAAATGTGGGTTACAGAGGTCCCGCAGGTGTCTGTGCGCAGCAGGCAGCAGGTTAGGCTTGAAGGCAGAGACCTGGGCAAACCCTCCCAGAGCAGGGCCCGCTCAGCACATCGACAGATGCTCCAGCACAGGCTACCTGGTGCTCCATCCCCAGCCACCCATCAGAGCCGCGTGTCACTCAGCACCTGCTGACAGCCACATTTCATCCACCCTCTCTCTCCATCTCTCCAAAAAGGAAACCTCCTTACTGCACACATCAAGGTGCCGTTTGGAGCTCTGAGACTTCCATTTCCATAACCTCCCATCTCCCTAACCTTTGGCGTAAGACATCCTTGCAAATTGCTCCCTTTTAAAAAGCCTGATCCAGTTTTCAGGAGAACTCACAAGCACTTCAGTTATCCAAACGGGAAGACAATACCCCAATCCGAGGTGCTTCCATCGGCCTTAGCAGAGGAAGTTTAATTTTTTAACAGCTCGCTTGGAAATATATTATTAGTGCATCTGCCTCACCGTATTCTTAATTAGCCACCACAGTTCTAATTACCAGGCTGTTCAGGAAGGCTTTCCAAAGTGAATTTGCAGCATGAGAGCTGTGCTTAAAGCCACGTGAATATTCACTTGGATGCAATGTGGATTCCACTGCTATTGGACTCTTCAAAAAAGTCTATGTCAGAGGTCTGAATGGACCCTTTATACCAAAGCTTTGGTTACTGTGGAAAATAATATATTCTTAACAACTAGGGAGGGTAGGGGAGACATGGTTTTCAACCAAAGTTTTCAGAAAGTGACTGGGTAAAATAAATGCAATTGACTACCACTGATTTTCCTAAGGGTGTTTAATGGTGTCCTTCTTTAGAGCAAGATCCTTCAACTGGGATCTCTCGACCTCTTGGGGATCTGTGGACCTTCTAAAATCAGATGCAAGGTGTGTGTAAGTGTCCATTTCCCCTCTTATCTAAAACAGAGTGTATGATCCCAAGAAAAGATTAGAATCCACTGTGAGAATGCAAAGGATGGAGGATGGGTTAGCAGAGGTAACGACAGGAACAGGGAGGGCAGGGTTCAGATCCAACTCTGTCTCTACCGTGTTAAGATGTCATTGTCATCACTGTCACTATCATTACCTACATATGAGTATTCAGTCCTAGGTGTCACAGATACAAAGAAGTAAAAGAAAATGTTCCAGCCTGGGCAACATGGCAAAATCCCACCTCTACAAAAAATACACAAAAAGTTAGCCAGGTGTGGTGGCACATGCCTGTAGTCCCAGCAACTCAGGAGGCTGATGTGGGAGAATCACTTGAGCCCGTGAGGTCGAGGCTGTGGTGAGCTGTGATCATGCCATTACACCTCAGCCTGGGTGAGACTCTGTCTCAAATAAAACCGAAAAAAGAAACATAAGGCTTGGTCCCTGTTCTAGGTGGCTCATGGTAGCTCAGAAAGGTTAACCCTTTGGTCAACACTCACAGGCCAGAGCTCGGAATGCAGGCAAGCTCTGAGCTGCCTGGTTTGGCAGGGATGTGAGGCTGATGGGGTCACGGGGAAGCAGAGTTCCTCTAAGGACGCAAGTCGTGGGTGAGTGACCTATGAGCAGCTGTGGACTCTGTGGCTCCGTTAGATGCGAGGGTTATCAGAGGGTGGCAGGGGTCTTGGAAAAAGAGAGACAACAGTCAAAGCAACATGAAAGAAGAGAAGAGGTCCTGCTCTGAAAAACAGGCAGATTCCTAAAGATCTCAAGGAGAAATACCACCACTTTATCAAAAAGAAAAAAAGTGTTACAAAACAGACTTTGTAAAGCTTTACCAAGACATGAGGCATGGCTAAGGATAAGCAGGGCTGATGAGAATGGTGCAGACCATGGCAAGGCTCAAGGCACATGGCCCCTCCTTATCCTCCATCACTCTGGGACAGAGCTCGTCACATTATAAACTCACTCATTGATGCATTCAGTCATCCACCCTTCATTTGCTAAGCACCCACTACAAGGCACCGTGGAATCCAGGATGACTAGAGCAAAAGCCTTGCCTTTAAGAACAATCCGGTGAGGAGACACACTAAGAGTTCATTATAAAACAAAGGCGCACTGACTGGTGTTACGGGAACAAGAATGGAGGACTCCCACCCAGGATAGGGCCATGAAGGAGATGTGGCCTGGATCTACAGATCACGTTAATGAAACCCATTAGCACTCCCTCCCCAATAACTTAATCTCTAAAGGAAAGAACAGGCCGGGCGCAGTGGCTCACGCCTACAATCCCAACACTTTGGAAGGCCGAGGCAGGCGGATCATGAGGTCAGGAGTTCGAGACCAGCCTGGCCAACACAGTGAAATGCTATCTCTACTAACAATACAAAAAATTAGCCAAGTGTGGTGGCGGACGCCTGTAGTCCCAGCTACTCGGGAGGCTGAGGCACCAGAATCGCTGGAGCCTGGGAGGCGGAGGTTGCAGTGAGCCAAGATTGCACTACTGCACTCCAGCCTGGGAGATAGAGCAAGCCTCTGTCTCAAAAACAAAAACAAAAACAACAAAAAAACAACCCTCAACCTTCTTTGCAGCCAACACTGTGGGAAGTCAGTCTTAACCTATTCTTTCCAAAGCAGACTTTCACAACGCCCTTTGAAGCTGAAGCTGTCAAGAATCAGGAGGTGAAAAGCTCATTCTGAGGCTGAACTGCGACTATGAAATTGGCTCTGAGATGTAATGCCTCATAGTCATCAAGAGCCCATTTTCCTGGGTTCATAAAACCCCAGCAGTCTGGCTTCTGCTATGAGACCAATAAAAAGCATAAGGGGCATAAATGGACCCAACGCCCATGCACACGCTGCTGGAGATGGCTAGGGTGTGTGGTCTTGGAACCCAGAAACACGTCAAGCTCAGAAGCAACCCTGCTACCAAACCCTCCAGAAGCCAGAGGGCAGGTGTGGATGGAAGGGGACTCTGTTCTGTGTGTGGTCAGACATTCCTTCGCACAGCACGAAGGCTCTTAGGAAGGACAACAGGCCACGTCAAAAACAGGCAGGCCCTTGTTACATGTTTATATTTCCTTTTGGGAACAATTTGCGCCATGCACTCTGCTAAGGGCTTTACAAACATCTTGGCATTCTCACAACACCCTTGTACATGAGTACTATGCTGACTCCTTTTGCAGATGGAGAAACTGAGGTTCCAACACAATATGTACATCCACATGGCCGGGGGATGGAAGATATGGATAACAACGTCTCTGCTAGACATTCTGAGGTCCCGCTCTTAGAAGGACAGCAGTCTGGCATCTCTGCCCTTCCAGAGCAGGGGGAGCTGAGAGGGATAGGGCATTGCTGGGCAATCCTACCCCCTCCCACGCGGCTACAGCTCCCACCAAGTCCAGGCAAGCATGAGCCACCTGCCCTCCGGCTGCCCATGACCCCACACAGTGGCGGACTCCAATTACGGGAAACACGAGGTTTTCAAAGGAACCTCAGGAGAGCCTCAGCAGCTCACACACACCACTTCAGACCCCTCATCCCAAGCAACAGGGCACCTATCCCACAGCCTTTCAAATTCTGATGAGGTCTCCAGAAGCTTGTTTCAAAGGAAGTGAGGCTCTTTCACCGTTTCTGCTGCTGTGTTAGAAAGCAAGCTCTTTTAGCTTCAAACAGCTTCAAAGTTTATTTTCAAATGAAAGTTATCTTGCCAAAGAAATAAAGTTTTACCCACTGGGGAGGAATGACTTGGGTTTAATGCCTTGGTTGAGCTGGGGGAAGGGGCTTCCCTCTTGGCACCATTAACATAAGAAATAACTGCTTTGCTGACAGACCAGGCACTTCTCTGTGAAATGTCTGGTGTTTCATGTCATATGTTTAACCATAATAGCGGGTCTTCAGGTGGCTGGGACCTAGTGGACATAACATATCATGCATACTTACATTACTGGAAAAGAGTCCTGATCCAGACCCCAACAGAGGGTTCTTGGATCTCGTGCAAGAAAGAATTCGGGGTGATTCCAGAAAGTGAAAACAAGTTTATTAAGAAAGTAAAGAAACAAAAGAATGACTACTCCCTACACAGAGCAGCCCTGAGGGCTGCTGGTTGCCCATTTTTATGGTTATTTCTTGATGATATGCTAAACAAGGGGTGGATTATTCATGCCTCCCCTTTTAGACCATATAGGGTAACTTCCTGACGTTGCCACGGCATCTGTAAACTGTCATGGCGCTGGTGGGAGTGTAGCAGTGAGGATGACCAGAGGTCACTCTAGTGGCCATTTTGGTTTTGGTGGGATTTAGCCGACTTTTTTACTGTAACCTGTTTTATCAGCAAGGTCTTTCTGACCTGTGTCTTGTGCTGACCTCCTACCTCGTCCTGTGATTTAGAATGCCTTAACCATCTGGGAATGCAGCCCAGTAGGTCTCAGCCTCATTTTACCCAGCTCCTATTTAAGAAGGAGCTGCTCTGGCTCAAATGCCTCTGACACTTAGAAGAATTCTGCAAGGTTCCCTATTAGTACAAATGGGCACTCACACAGGTCTGATTGCTCTTCTCCAGCACCCAGGGCCTCATCAGCAGGGACATGGAGCGAGGAGCTTAACAGGCCTGAGTAGCTCCGGAGGGAAGGAAGTGGAATGGCCGCAGGACCCTTCTGCCAGGCTCCACGTCCACCCTAGCCTGGGACGCAGCTTTGCTCCATGCCCTGTTTTTGTTTTTTATTAAAATGGTAAAAGATACATAGCATAAATCTACCATTTTAAGAGTATACAACTTAGTGGCATTGACTGCATTTACATTGTTGGACAGCCATCACCATTATCCACCTCCAGACGACTTCATCATCCCAGGCTGAAACTCTGCACCTAGTGAAGAATACTCCCCATTTTCCCCTGCCCTCACCCCCAGCAGCCATTATTCTACTTTCTGTCTCTATGAATTTGACTATTCGAGCAGATTCCACTCACAGAAGTGGAGGCACACACTGTTTGTCCTGTTACTGGCTTGTTTCACTCAGCAGGTTTCCAAGGTTCATCTGCGTTGCTGCATGTGTCAGAATTTCTTTCCTTTTTAAGGCTAAATCATACTCCGTTAAGGGTGTATACGTCATTTTCGTGTATCCATTCATTCCTCAGTGAATACTTTAGACTGCTCCCACCTTTTGGCTATTGTGACTAAGGTTGCCATGAACATGGGTGTGCAAATTCCACACCTGCTTTTTCCCTACTCTGAAAGGGCAAACTAGTGTCCACCCCATCAGCTGCCCTGGGGTTGGAGTTGCCCTCAGATCGCCCTGAGGGGCCTCCAGCATGAAAGGAGTAGGGTCAGTCCCGGGAGTTCCCACCAGTCCTGCCCACACAGCTGCTGGCATCACCTTGAGAGCCGTCAGCTCAGCTCCATGGAGTTACAGCAACCTGACTGCTGCATTTAAGCGTGTGCATGAACCGAAGGGCGCGAGCGCCTGCATGCCCTGTCTCCTTCCATGCCAATCTAGGGCCCCTCCCCCAAACATCTGCCCCTTCCCTCCAATGAGGCAGAGCTACCTGCCGAGGCCCCCAACGACCTGCAGCAAGCCTGGCTTGGAACCACCGCTTCCCACCCACCCCTCCCTGCTCACAGACCCCTCCTTGCTCCCATGGCCTCCCGGGCTTCACTCTGTTGCAGCCTGGTACTGTCAGGTGGATTTTCTTGTCTGGCTCTCCCTCTTGATTTAGAGCTCCCTAGGTCCAGGGCTGTAACTCATATTAGGTGCACAGTAAATGCTGCTGAATGTCTGAACAAACCAAAGCACAAGGTACTCCCCCCAATCCCCCAAAATAATTAGCACCTAATCAACACCACAGAAATTAGAAGCAACAGAATCTAACTAATATGATTTCCATATGGATGACATCTTGTTAGCCTTTTACAGTATATTTTGAATGAGCTAATGAAACTGCAAAAAGAGGCATGTGGTGAAACAGACCTTGAATTTCCAAACAGCTTTTGAAAAAACTGGCCTGTAGCTGGACCCTAGGGAGCCTGATCATTCTCCACTGGGGGAGGTGAAGAGCGTGAGGGGCCGAGTTCCTCCAGCCACATGAGGAAAAATCCAGGAAGTCTCCCAAAGCAGCCTGGAAAGTTTTCATTTTTTTTTTAAATTTAATAAAAAAAGATGCAGAATTGAAATAACCATTAAGCAAACATAAAAATATTAAAGCACACTCCCAGGAGATTAGGGGAAATAATTTCCGCTGATGATGATCTTGAGATTAGTTTTATCAAGTGAATGAAGCACAAGGCAGTGAGTGAGTGATCCGGTTGCTATTTCCAGCTTCCCCTCATCCTGGTTAAGTTGTTCAGAGCTGGCTTCCACTCCTTGCTTGTTTTGCTATAAAACGGGGGAAATGCCACCCTTCCTCCTCTGTTACAACCTTCAGCAGAGAAATCACGCGCATCACAGAAACTGCAAGACACCCCAACTTCTGATGAGGAGCCACCCTGGGAATTCCGTCTGCTCTTATGAATGGAGCACTCTGCACTCATGGCCACCTGCTGAATGGGGTCTGACGACAA
This sequence comes from Homo sapiens, assembly GCF_000001405.40. Classification (NCBI taxonomy): domain Eukaryota; kingdom Metazoa; phylum Chordata; class Mammalia; order Primates; family Hominidae; genus Homo; species Homo sapiens. The sequence goes on along the minus strand of NC_000018.10, from coordinate 23,166,800 downwards.
GGGAGGATGCTCACAATGTATGAGTTAGTGAAGAAACGACACTGATAACATAGTACATGCTGTTTGATCTCTAATTTTAAGAACACTAAATATGTATATATACGGCACAAAAAATTATAACTGACAGAACCTAACCCACCTGTGTGTGCGTGTCCTACACTAAAACATTAACTGGTCATCTCTGGGTGATAGGTTTATGCGTAATTTGAATTTCTCTGTTATTTTTCCTAAATGTTTCATGCAAGTATTCCTTTTTGTTACCAGAGAAAGAAAAAAATACATAGTTTAAAAAAATGTTGGCCAGGAGCGGTGGCTCACGCCTGTAATCCCAACACTTTGGGAGGCCAAGGTGGGCAGATCACCTAAGGTCAGGAGCTCAAGACCAGCCTGGCCAACATAGTGAAACCCAGTCTCACACTAAAAATACAAAAATAGCCAGGCATGGTGGTGGGTGCCTGTAGTCCCAGCTACTTGGGAGGGCTGAGGCAGGAGAATCACTTGAACCCAAGAGGCGGAGGTTGCAGTAAGCCAAGATTGCCCCATTGCACTCCAGCCTGGGCAACGAGAGTGAAACTCTGTCTCAAAAAAAAAAAAAAATTGCATTCATATTATACATAGAGATATAAATACATATATATGTATACTGTTATGGTATTCTGGTTAGTATTAAAGAAACAGTTGACAACATCATTGAACATAATAGGTAGAAGGCCATGAAACAATAAAAGATTAATAAGATGACTACTTGCGATTTAGTAACTTCTTGGTCCTTGCCTGCACACCCACACCCTGCTAGAACTGCTGCTTTTCTGCGCACAGAAGATCACTCATTTCCCTTGAAATGGGAGTGTCCAGGCATCATGTTTGATGAAGGAATCACTGCATTCAAGTCAGCCATCCCTTTCCCTTTGTAACTCACCCCTACATGAGAGATCGCTTTCTGATAGATGGGGGAGGAGAGGACGAGTTTTAGCACACTGTGCATCTATGCTCATAGCGGCATCATTCACAAGAGCTGAAAAGTGGAAGCAACCAAGTGTCCATCGAAGAATGAACGAATAAGCAAAGTTTTGCATATACAGATAATGGGATAATATTCAGCCTTAGAAAGGACATTCAGATGTGTGCTACCATATGAAGGACATTATGCTAAGTGAAATAAGCCAGTTACAAAAGGACAAACTCTGTGATTCCACTTAGATGAGGTACCTCCAGTAGTCAAATTCATAGCAATAGAAAGCAGAATGGTGGTTGCCAGGGACTGGGGGGGCAGGAGGAACAGGGGGCTATTTAACCCGCACAGAGTTTCAGTTTTGCAAGATGAAAAGGGTTCCGGAGAGTGGATGCAGAACAATGTGAATGTATTCAACACTATGAACTGTACACTTAAAATGGTTAAAAGGGCCAGTCACAGTGGCTTACACCTTGTAATCTCAGTGCTTTCAGAGGCCAAGATGGGAGAACTGCTTGAGGCCAGGAGCTTGAGACCAGCCTAAGCAACATAGTGAGACCCCTGTCTCTATAAAAAAATAAAAAATTAAAATTAAAAAATTAGCTGGGTGTGGTGGCATGCACTTGCAGTCCTAGCTACTTGGGAGGATTGCTGGAGTCCAGGAGTTTGAAGCTGCAATGAGCTATGATCACGCACCACTGCACTCTAGCCCAGGAGGCACAGTAAGACCCTGTCTCTAAAAAAGAAGAGAAAAAAATGGTTAAAAGAATAGTTAAGGCCGGACATGGTGGCTCATGCCTGTAATCTCAGCACTTTGGGAGGCTGAGGTGGGCAGATCACCTGAGTTCAGGAGTTCGAGACCAGCCTGGCCAGCATGGTAAAACCCTGTCTCTACTAAAACTACAAAAAGTTAGCTGGGCATGGTGGTATGAGCCTGTAATCCCAGCTACTCAGGAGGCTGAGGCAGGAGAATCACTGGAACCCAGGAGGCAGAGGTTGCAGTGAGCCAAGATCATGCCACTGCACTTCAGCCTGGGAGACAAAGCGAGACTTTGTCTCAAGCAAACAAAAAAAGAATAGTTAAGAGATAAATTTTTATATGTTTTATCACAACATATCAAAGATAAGCTTTGATATGTTTCATCAAAAATTTTAAAAATTAAAAAAAATTATCCTGCAAAAAAAAAAAAAGCTTTAGTGTGGTGGTCTGTACTCTCTGCTCAATTTGATTTGCAGATGCATGGAGCAATATCTGGCACACAGAAATCCCTTTTCCTGACATCACATCATGCCTGTCTTTCAGTGGGAGTGTGGTCTTTGGTTACACTTAACATAGGAAAAGAATTGCATTTCCACCTGTGTAACTGATAACATGGGCCCAGACACTTAAAAAAAAAATACCAAGGAACACACTGGCTGGTGTGCCTATACGTGGCCCTACACTGGGGGCTGATGGCGGGGCCCTGGGAGGACACCATCAGGGTCAGGCTGCGGGCCTTGTGATGATGGGCACTGGCCCACGTCGACCCGAGGAGGGACCAACCAAGATTAACACACTGGCTCCGGATGACAACACTCTGTAGGCTACGGAGAGCTAGGTGAATCCTAACTTGCAAAGTGAAATTAATCACTGATGCTGTCTCTGGATGCTACATAATAAAAGAGCCTTTAGATACTTCAGGGGAAAGTGATATTTTGAACTGCATTAAGTTTCTGAAACAATTATACTTCTTTACAAAGGGGTGTGATGAAAGATCACCACTGTGGCCACAGAGTCCTAAGCACAGCATGGCACAGTAGTTAGGAACCTGATCCTGGAACCCACATAAGTTCTCAGTGCTGGGATTTTTGATAAGCTCGATAACCTGTCTGTGCCTCAGTTTGCCCATCAGTAGAATGGGGATAACAGGGCCTACCTTATAGGCTATTATACAGATTATATATGTTAATATTTTTTAAACTCTTACTTTTAAAATACTAATGAACAAAAACATTTACACAGCAAAAGCTATTTGGGAGAGCCACGCTCCTCCATGCGGGGAAGGAAGGTTCCAGCCTCAAGGAACTCCCTCCACTAAATAACCATAAACCTCTTCCTGGTGTTAAATGACCACAGAGTCAAGTAGTTTCATGTCACTATAAATCCATGCTCACCAGTTAAAGATGGCCACTCCTCAGTGCCTGCCAGCCTGCTATATTTCTGTATCCACTCTCTGTCCATGCTCCCAAAATGCTACTCATCCTTTCTTCTCTCTCCTCCAATCCTCTCCCCAGCCCCTCTTCCATCCTTTCTCTCAGCCCCCCAGGCTTCCCTGACAGCACCCTGTGCCTGCTTCTCCTCCCACATCCAGGCTACCCTGTCCTGGTTTTGTTGCTAGGTGCTCTTCTACTCAACCTCTCGATACGGAAGACCCTCCAGGTTGGACTTTTCTCATCTCTCTGTCCCCGCTCCCTGGGTGATTTCCTCCTCACCTTTGGCTTTGAACATCATCTACATACTGATGATGCCTAAACCTGTTTTTCCAATCCGCCTTGCTCTGAAGCTCCAGGATCCCACATAGCCAAGTGCCTTCCTTAAATCTCCACGTGGCATCCTCACAGGCAGCTCAAACTTCACTGCCAAACTCAACCTCTTCTTCTTCCTCCTCCTCCTCCATATTAAGCCAGCCCCCTTCAAACTGCCCCATCTCCATGGTACCAGTGATCTCCAAGAAGCCAAGTCACAAACCCAGGAGTCCTTTTAGCACCACCCTGCACCCCACAACACAGCCACCTTCAGTCCATCACCAAGGACTGTTGTCTATTTCTGAAATACACCTTAATCCTTCACATACCTGCCCACCAGCCCAAGCTGCCATCGTCTCTCCTGCCTGGTCTCCTGAGCAGCCAGAGTGAGCTAACTCTAACTTGTTGCTCTGTCCCTCAAACCCACTATCTTCTCATTGAACTACGAAATACAAACCCTTGGATGAAGTCCACAGGACATGAACAGCTTTGCTTCCCTCTTCCCGCTGCTTATACTCCTCGGCCACACTGGCTTCCTCCCCAAAGGGACTCTTACACCACATGGCCTTGGAACACGTCGCAGTTACCTCTACCTGGAACTCCTTCCTACCCACTTCTCAGGTGCTGGTGGCTTCTCCTCTGGCAGCCTAAGACACCACCTCCAAGAAGCCTTCCTTGACTTCACCTGCTTGTTCTCTCCTCCTCTGTTGTTCTTTTGAAATACACGTTCTTTTCTTCCACGGCACTTAACCCAACTTTACCCATATTTTTGTTTGTCACCTACAAGGACTGTAAGTTCCCTTAAGGTGAAAACCAAGGATATTTGGTTCAACCCTCTATACTCACCCCCTTGCACATGGTGTATGCTTGATAAACATCTCCCGAAAGAATGAACTGAATGAAAAACACGGTCAGGTACTGTCAGATTTATGCCTCCCTTCAGCTGCCTAGGTTTATAAAAGGATATCAGGACATCAAGCAACTGGCTGTCTAAGCTAATAATGAATGTCTTGGTTAAAGAGAACACAGCATTTTATTCTATACTAGAAAAACTTTCTTACGAACAATTTCTTGAAGTTTTCTTGGTACTTTAAAATTGTAGGCCTTTATGCCTTATGTGAAAAAGAAACAATTCATAAACACCTGTAAAGCATGATTCTCTTTGTTGTTTTTTTTTTGAGACAGGGTTTTGTGCTTGTCGCCCAGGCTGGAGTGCAATGGTGCAGTCTCGGCTCACTGCAACATCTGCCTCCCGAGTTCAAGCGATTCCCCTGCCTCAGCCTCCCAAGTAGCTGGGATTGCAGGTGCACGACACCATGCCCAGCTAATTTTTTGCATTTAGTAGAGACAGGGCTTCGCCATGTTGGTCAGGCTGGTCTCAAACTCTTGACCTCAGGTGATCCACCCGCTTTTTTTTTTTTGAGACGGAGTCTTGCTCTGTCCACCCAGGCTGGAGTGCAGTGGCACAATCCTGGCTCACTGCAAGCTCCGCCTCCCGGGTTCACCCCATTCTCTTGCCGCAGCCTCCTGAGTAGCTGGGACTACAGGTGCCCACCACCACACCTGGCTTTTTTTTTTTTTTTTTTTTTGGATTTTTAGTAGAGACGGGGTTTCACCATGTTAGCCAGGATGGTCTCGATCTCCTGACCTTGTGATCCACCCTCCTCGGCCTCCCAAAGTGCTGGGATTACGGGCATGAGCCACTGCACCCGGCCCCGATTATCATTTTTAAAAGAAGTATACATAAATGCAGATACATACGTATGTTAGGCCTCAAACTCCATGGGAACACAGCTGATGTTCATCTCGTGTGCCTTGGTCCAGTGTTGGTCACACAGTATGTGTTCAAGAACTATGGGAGGGATGGATGCAAGAAAGAGGGAGCCCACCCTGGGAGTCAGTGCACCAAAATTCATCAGTGATGTGATTACAGATGACTTGATTCACTACTTTTTAATTGTCACTCACTTTTAACACAACTGTAATTTAGATACACTCTTTCTGGAACACAGCACCCACAAAACACCAGTAAAGTGTTTTAGAAGAAGATAGAAAGGCAAGACATGATAAAGAGAGTTGTTTTTTAATATTTTCTTTCTTTCTCTTCCTCTCTCACTTTATTCATTTATTTTGAGAGACAGAGTCTCCCCTCTGTCACCCAGGCTGGAGTGCAGTGCTGATGATCATAGCTCACTGCATCCTCAAACTCCTGGCTCAAGTGATCCTTCCTCCTGGGCCTCCCAAAGCACTGGGATTACAGGTGTAAGCCACCATACCCAGTTGTTTTCACATTTTCTTCTCTCTTTTTTTTGAGTCTCACTGTGTCAGTGTCACCCAGGCTGGAGTGCAATGGTGTGATCTTGGCTCACTGCAACCTTTGCCTCCTAGGTTCAAGCGATTCTTGTACCCTAGCCTCTCGAGTAGCTGGGACTACAGGCATGTGAAACCACGCCTGGCTAATTTTTGTATTTTAGTAGAGACGGGCTTTCACTATGTCGTCCAGGGTGGTCTCAAACTCCTGACCTCAAGTGATCTGCCCGCCTTGGCCTCCCAAAGTGCTGGGATTACAGGCATGAGCCACCATACCCAGCCTGTTTTTGACATTTTCAGAGTGAGACTTTGATCACAGTCTGTAGGCCAGTTTTTATTTAAAAACCCCTCCCACACAGGGGAGTCTCACAATAAAGACCAGAACATGTGGACTCCTGCAAAGTACATCAGGGAACAGTTTAGGGGAGAATGACCACGATCACCTCCCACCAGGCCAGGCTTTCTGCTGTAATAACCTCAAACAACAGACATGCTCAAGGTCCCTTCAGGAAGGGACCCTGGACTAATAGGCGGGCCGTGAGGCAGGCGCTGCACACAGGGTCTACCCTCTGTATACCATGTGCCCGGCACTGCACCTGCAGGGCAGAGCCTTGCAGAAGACAAACTGCCTATGTGTTTTCCATTGCTAAATTCAAGACTCTACTAATCCATCACCTACCAAAATAGCTATTTGAAAACCAACACGGCTAGGCGCGGTGGCTCACGCCTGTAATCCCAGCACTTTGGGAGGCTGAGGTGGGCAGATCAGGAGTTTGAGACCAGCCTGGCCAACATAGTGAAACCCCATCTCTACTAAAAATACAAAAAATCAGCCGGGTGTGGTGGCGGGCGCCTGTAATCCCAGCTACTCGGGAGGCTGAGGCAGGAGAATCGCTTGAACCTGGGAGGCGGAGGTTGCAGTGAGTGGAGATCGCGCCACTGCACTCCAACCTGGGTGACAGAGTGAAACTCCATCTCAAAAAAAAAAAAAAAAGTTCTTGCTTGGGATAATTTTATCTTATTTGGATAATTTTATCTTATTTAGGTAATTTCAAAGTAGCCATAGACAAGTGTTACTTATGATTCTTCGGAGAGACAAGAGCCCTACCACCTTAACGGTGTAACTTGCCAACAAGTTTAAAAAAAAAAAAAGAAAGAAAATCAATTTATCATTTTCTCTACCTAAATTTTTATCTTTAGATGAAATGGGAAAAAATACACAACAATAAAATTCTTTTGAGGAAGATATAAAGAGCTTCTGCAACAGCAGACTAATTTTAATCTTGCTAGGAGCAACAACTTTTGTCTGTGCGTGTGTGTTAATTATTAATTTTAAACTTTAACAGCTGTCTTTTATAAGCTCACACGGTTGGGATCATCTGACTGGAATCTATTTAGCAGTGTATCTCGTCCCGTCGCCTCGGGCAGAATCAACACAGACACAGAAGAAAGAATCACTTGTTCACTGACAAAAAGTTTATATGGTAGAAAACACCATCTAGGGTAAAAGGTCCACTTAAAACATGTCACAAAACACTTGTTTATAGGAAAGGTGCCTTTCTCTCTCAAGAAAACAGGAGTTTTCTAACAACAGCACTTCAGCAAGCTTACATTATCAGTGCAAGCAGCTTAGGCGAAGCAAAGCTTAATATGAAGACAACAGGGCAAATACTCATAGGAACTCTGGGCTGCAATTTTTTTGTAAGAAAGTAACAGAACAACCGCTCCACCTCCCACTCCCAGCCTAGAAGATTCTAAGACCCTGACCAGGCCGGGTGCAGTGGCTCACGCCTGTAATCCCAAAACTTTGGGAGGCCAAGGCGGGTGGATTACTTGAGGCCAGGAGTTCGAGAGCAGCCTGGCCAACATGGCGAAACCCTTTCTCTACTAGAAATACAAAATTAACCGGGCGTGGTGGTGTGCCCCTGTAATCCCAGCTACTCAGGAGCCTGAGGCAGGAGAATCGCTTGAACTCAAGAGGTGGCGGTTACAGTGAGCCGAGATCGCGCCCTGCACTCAAGCCTGGGCAACTGAACGATACCCTGTCTCAAAAACAAGCAAACAAACACCAACCCAGTGGGGCACATGACGTTTGCTAGCATCTCTACCAGATGCTAGGTAGCAGAAGGAAAGGAAGGGAAATGGGCAGTTTTAAATACACTTTAGTGGCTGTTGAGATAGTGCTACAGGGGTGGCATGATCATTTGCTCTTCACCCAATTACGCTGCTTTGCGGCATCTCTTTACATCTCATTTTCTGTTCCTTAAATCCTCACACGTTCGAGGCAGGGACTATTCAACCCAATAGGTGCCCACAAATATCTGTTCATTGGCTTAGCGGTCTACTCATCAAAAATGACACAGACTCTGACAAAGGTCTGTTTAATCTGCTCACTGCTGACAGTTAAACTGGATAAATAAAGCTCCAAAACACTTTCCAGGCCCAAACTATGTAACCTAAACAGATGAAAAGAACTGGAAAATTACAAAATCCCTTACTGGCTGTGTACGATGCAATGACAACCGTACTATATATTTTCCTAATTTATTTGGGGTCATCACTGATGGCCTCAACATGCATTTCCCAAGTACTGATCACACTAAATGAAAACCATGGTTGAAACACACAGAAGGTCTACACGCTACAGGGTGCCGGGCATGGATTCAAGCACTAAATATAAATTCATTAAGTCTCATATTAACCTCAGATGTTTGGTGTTATTATCATTTTTTGAGACAGGGTCTTGCTCTGATGCCCAGGGTGGAATGCAGTGATGCAAACACAGCTCACTGTAGCCTTGACCTGCCAGGCTCAAGCAATCCTCCTGCTTCAGCCTCCAGAGTAGCTGGGACTACAGCAGCACACCACTACACCCAGCTAAATTTTGTGGGTTTGTTTTTTTTTTTTTTTTTTTAATAGAGATGGGGTCTTCCCATGTTGCCCAGGCTGGTCTCAAACTCCTGGGCTCAAGTGATCCACCTGCCTCAGCCTCCCAAAGTGCCGGGATTACAGGCATAAGCCACTGAACCTGGCTGTTATTACTATTTTTATTTACAATTAAGGAAACCAAGGATCGGAAATGTTTTACTTTATTTATAAATTGCCCAACGTGGAGAATAGCAAAGCCAGGATTCAAACCTGGGCAGTCTGGCTCCAGGATTTACACTCCAAATCACCATCCTATGCTGCAGTCTATTTTATTTTATTTTTTTAGACAGGGTCTCGCTCTGTTGCCCAGGTTGGAGTACAGTGATCCTCCCACCTCAGCTTTCAGAGTAGCTGGGACTATAAGCACGTGTCACTATGCCTGGCTACTATGCTGATTTTCATCTAATTAAATCATATAGAAATTATTAAGAAGAGATAATAATATTTCTTTTTAAATGGTATTAAAATATGATGTCAGCATTTAAATTCCATCATTTAAGGCACTCTTCCTATCTTGCCAGCACAGCCTGGTGAGAAGGAAGAGGCCTTCAGAGCCTGAAATATTCCACTTTCCTTCTGCCATATGCCTGGGTCACACTGGCTCTCTGATTCTTGGCTTCCTGATCAACAGGGAAGAGGACAGAAAGCCAGCCCTTCCCACCTCAAGGGTATGAGGAATAAGTGAGATGGGCTGAGGCAGGCCTTTGTAAAAGAGAAAGCAGATTCTTTCCAGGACCCCTCAATCTAGAGAAGCCACCGCCCCCCCGCCTTTACTACCTGGATAAAGTACAGCTGATCCTCATTATCCCCAGGTTCTATATTTGCAGACTTGCCGACCTGCTAAATTATTTTTAACATATATATGTATTTCTAAATAAAACAGAGATGGGGTTAAGCCATACTGCCCAGGCTGGTCTCCAACTCCCACGCTCAAGTGATCCTCCTGCCTTGGCCTCCCAGAGTGCTGGGATTACAGGTGTGAGCCACCGAGTCCAGTCCTACTTGCTAAAATTTATTTGTAACCCCAAAATGGACACTCATGGCACTTTCATGGTTATTTCGCTGACATGAGTGTGTACAAAGTGGCAAAAAATTTGAGTCACCCAACACACAGATTCCTAGTTGAGGTGACCAAGGCTACATGCCTTCTCTCAGCTCATTCTTGTCTTTTTCTTAGCATTTTTAGTGCCATATTTTTTGCATTTTTGTGCTTTTTGCTGGTGATTTCACTGTTTAAAAGGGTCCCAAGCACAGTGCTGAAGTGCTGTCTAGCATTCCTAAGCAGAAGCAGGCTGCAGTGTGCCTTACAGAGAAAAAACATGTTCAAGAAGCCTTATTCAGGAATGTGTTACAATGCCGCTGTCAATGAAGAGTCAATAATATATATTAAATTAGGTGTCTTTAAATGGAAATGCACCTAGGACAAGGTATACATTGATCAGATGACGGAAACGTGTGACCAGAGGCTCACAGGAACATAGCTACCCATGTATTTGCCTCCGGAGCAATGGATCAGTATTTCCTAATTCAGTGCTTGCAGCAACTTTATAAAACAAACTACTGGGGGTAATGAGATTTGACTATATTAGCTAAAAGTTGTATAATGAAAATTCACTCCCTCCGAGTAGAGGCAGCTACTATAGGAGGACAAAGCACAGGCACTGACGTCCAGGGTCCTGAAGCGAAACAGGAAACACACAATCTTGGTGCCCGCTGGGCCTCCAGGTCTCCCTCCCTTTCACAGCCAAGCAGCCTTTGGCCAGCATCAACCCAGAGAACAGAGACAAGGGCTCTCGTCCCTCCATCCAAGGTCTATGGAGCTCAGAAGCACACGGCAGGCTCACCTCCCAGGGCCTCCGAGGTTCCTTCTTATCCATGTGAGAGCCTATGGCCCAGCCCCTGTAGGAAATACCAAGGCTGGTCTTGGGGGCTGGAGGACCCTCCATGGAGCCCCCCCTCTGTTCCAGATGACCTCATGCCATTCACACCACCCTCCAGCCCCCGCTGCTGGCCCACATCAGGACTGACATCCCGCTTTTCCAGGCTGAGCCTCAGAGATCAATTTCCAACAAAGACCGTCAGCATCCAAAGGGGGGAGCCAAAAAAACAGACTCAGCTCTCTGGGTCACCCAGGCGATCCTCTGACAACTTACATGGGAAAATCAGCATATATTCTTGCATGGCAGCCCCTCTTAGAAAGCATTCAAGGAAGGAGGCAGAGGCTTCAGACCACTCCAAACTCATTTTATGAGTCATTCAAACACCAGGAAGAAAAATGGCCTGGAGGCTAAGCAAGCACTGTTGAGACCAAACCTAAGACTCAAAATGAAAAGCCATTTTCTTAAAGCCATAGGGGAAAATATGTACTGCCACCCCGTGATTCTAGGATCCTGCCACGTGGAGACCACATGAGGTCCTGCCGCCCCAGACAGAAATACCCTTGTGTTTCTCCCTGAGGTTGAAGGAAAATGGAAATGAAGCTACCAGCTCTGGACACGGCTCAACAAGGCTGAACTAGCTCCCATTGTAAGCGGGAGATGCCAATGCTAATAAAATGTCACCTCCATTACTTTTGCCAGGGTTATAAAAAGAAACTGGAGACTTCCTCACTTGGGCATCTTCTGTTAATTGCCATTTACAAAAGTTCTGTTTGCTAGGTCTATAATATGCATTATTTTCCCTTTGAAAACAAAAAGAAACTCCTAAAATATCAATCAGCCTTCCAAATGGCAAAGTGATTTGTTTCCCAACTCACACTCTGGGATCAGCTCAGGAGTCTGTCTGAAATGCAGGCATCTGGTACCAATTTGTGACAATATAAAATCAAAGCTGAACTCCTATGTAAATATTTTTTTTATTCCAGATCTCACCAGCCTCCATGTATCTTATTCATTTCCTTATATTTCAGCCTTGACTTTTATTTTCTTGGCTCTAACAGAACTGAAGTTACGCATAACGAACATTGCACTTCTTAATAAGCTCTACAGGCTAAATTATTTCTGGCTCTGTGAAATGCTGCTGCTCACAGAGTACTGGATTGAAATATATTGTTCCTATTGCTTCCGATCTGCCAGGCCCCAATTATTCAATTACGTTTGTAGCAAACAGGGTCAAATAAAAAAGTCTGGTTTAGTCATTCTGTACACACATAGCAGCTTCCCACCAACAGGGGCTGGATGGGTAAATGACATGAATATCAGCGTATGTTCTTAGACAGTGCAAGTGTTGAACAGTACAGGTGTCCAGAAACACTGGCCCATCCTAAAACAACCTGTTTTGTTCAGGAAGGTCACAAAATTTGTTTAGATAAAATGTCACACGTGTCAAAAGGCAAGAGAGCAGAGTGGGAGAGGATGGGCTTCCGTTAGAAGGGATCCCTGCTCTACATGACTTGGTGAGAAAACTCAATTCTCTAAAGTTCAAATCCCTTGCTGACATGGTGACATCAGCCCCTACAAAATCTGTACGGCACCAACAGAGTATATGGGATACAAGAGTCCCATTAGATATTTACTGAGAACTATGTTCTAGGTACTGTAAGTGCCTTACAGAGATCTCAGATTTGCTCTTCGCAGTCACACTACGAGGCACCCGATTGTTAAATATCGTCTCCCCCTCTTTACAGATGATAACAAAGGCTCAAGAAGATTAAGGAATCGGCAGATGTGGGATGTGCAATTTCCCTATGGCTCGGTAGATGATCAAGTTAAACAGGCACGCTATTATGAAAAACCACCAATAAAATGGGAGAAAGACATAACTGCTGCTGTATGTGGAGACTGCACCTCAGCCTTAATTTGACTTGCCGAGCAAGAACAAATGGACAGCACACCGGGTGCTTGTTTAGTTACCGCGGCACATGATTATGAGGTTTCCAGAAGGCATCTTCTTCACATGTGAGATCACTCAGACTTCAGCACTTGGCAATCAGATACAAACATGTGCAAGTTGAACTAGAAATTGTTTGAAAAAGCTAATGATCTTGCTCTAGATTTTTTTTTTAATTAGAAGACTATATGTGTTCAACTGAAATTGAATAAATGAAATCTGATTTGGGACATTTCTACAATTTTTTTTTGAGACAGTCTTGTTCTGTCACCCAGGCTGGAGTGGGTGGTGTGACTTCGGGTCACTGGAACCTCTGCCTCCTGGTTACAAGCAATTCTTGTGCTTCCGCGTCCTAGGTGGCTGAGATTACAGGTGTGTGCTATCACACTCAGCTAATTTTTATATTTTTAGTAGAGATGGGGTTTTGCCATGTTGGCCAGGCTGGTCTCAAACTCCTAGTCTCAAGTGATCTGCCCGCCTCAGCCTCTCAAAGTGTTGGGACTACAGGCATCAGCCATGGTGCCTGGCCTATTTTTTGTTTTTTGAGATGGAGTCTTGCTCTGTTGCCCAGGCTGGAGTGCAGTGGTGCGATCTCTGCTCACTGCAACCTCCACCTCCCGGGTTCAAGCGATTCTCCTGCCTCAGCCTCCCGAGTAGCTGGGATTACAGGTATGTGTCACCACGCCTGGTTACTATTTATATTTCTAGTAGAGACAGGGTTTCACCATGTTGGTCAGCCTGGTCTAGCACTTCTGACCTCAAGTGATCTGTCTGCCTCAGCCTCCCAAAGTGCCGGGATTACAGGCATGAGCCACTGCACCCAGCCCCAGCCTATTTTTTTTAAATTGTTGTGTTCAAAATTAATCTTAAAAGGTAATATTGCTGGTCATAGTGGCACATGCCTGTAATCCTAGCACATTGGGAGGCTGAGGCAGGCAGATGGCTTGAGCCCAGGAGTTTGAGATCAGCCTGGGAAAGATGGTGAAATCTCATCTCTACAAAAAAAATATAAAAATTAGCCAGGTGTGGTAGTGCATGCCCGTAGGCCCAGCTATTTGGGTGGCTGAGGTGGGAGGATTGCTTGAGTCCAGGAGGTCGAGGCTGCAGTGAGCCAAGGTTATGCCGCTACACTCCAGCCTGGGAGGGAAAAAAAAAAGTAACATTAAAAATTTTAGACCAGCCAGGCGTAGTGGCTCACGCCTGTAATCCCAGCACTTCAGGAGGCCAAGGTAGGCGGATCACAAGGTCAGGAGTTCAAAACCAGCCTGGCCAACATGGTGAAACCCTGTCTCTACTAAAAATACAAAAAACAGCAGGGCGTGGTGGTGGGCGCCTGTAATCCCAGCTACTCGGGAGGCTGAGGCAGGAGAGTCATTTGAACCCGGGAGGTGGAGGTTGTAGTGAGCCAAGATCACGCCATTGCACTCCAGCCTGGGCAACAAGAGCGAAACTCTGTCTCAAAAAAGATAAAAAATAAAAAAATTTTAGACCAAGGCCTGGCATGGTGGCTCGAGCCTATAATCCCAGCACTTTGGGAGGCCGAGCCAGGCGGATCACTTGAGGTCAGGGGTTTGAGACCATCCTGGCCAACATGGTGAAACCCCATCTCTACCAAAAATACAAAAATTAGCCGGGCATGATGGCAGGTGCCTGTAATCCCAGCTACTCGGGAGGCTGAGGCATAAGAATCGCCTGAACCCAGGAGGCAGAGGTTGCAGTGAGCCGAGATCTTGCCACTGCACTCTAGCCTGGGAAATAGAGTGAGACCGTCTCAAAAAAAAAAAAAAAAAATTAGACCAAACGATTATAAACTTGAGATGGTATCTAACCATAAATATCATTCTCCACCTTGGGAGAAAAAGGAAAATCTCCATACGTAAATATTCAATCAACAAGTTACTTAAGACCCTACAGATATATTACCTCAAGCCATTAGGACAGTAACGGCAAGGATTAGGGGGAGAAATAGGCAATGAGAAGAAATAGGGTCATCTTTAGTTACACAATTTTTCTGCCAAGTAGCATTTTAGCTCATTCATTAATTTTTTTTAAAGACAGGGTTTCACTATGTTGCCCAGGCTGGACTCCTGGGCTCAGGCAATTCTCCCACCTCAGCCTCCAGATAGCTAAGATTATAGACACAGGCCACCATGCCTAGCTTGGTAGCATTTTTAAACTCATAACACTGGATCAAGCTAATACTCCTGTCTCAGAGATGGCACTGCTACCCAATCAGTCCATAGGCCTGAAACCCCGGAGTCTCCTCAATGCCTTCCACTCCCCCTGCTCCGTATCTAATCCATCTCCATTGTGCCTTTCATCTCTGTTGAGTCCGTTCACTTCTCTCCACCCGCTTCGCTACCACTGTGGTGCAAGTGGCCCCCATGTCCTGCCTGGCCCACAGCATCAGCACTCTCGTTTCTTCAAACCCGCTGCTCCTCCTGCCTGCATGAGCCCTTCTGGCCCTGGTCTGCACCAGCTGCTCTTCCTGTCTGCCCCAATCCTTCTAGCCCTTGTCAAGTCCTTGATACCTGTCCACTCTTAGACCTTAGTTCAGCAGTCACCTCCCGAAGCAAGCCTTCCTCAACCTGCCACAGTGCAGTCCAATCCACCATCACTTATCACAGGCCAACAGGATCAAGGCTGTCCCCGCTCTGTGACTCACCCCAGGCCTGCAGTCTTCCATCTGTCGGTGGATTACTCAAGAGCTTCTCTCCAATTAGACAAAAGCTCCACCAATGGCAGGGAACATTCAAGTTCCCTACAAGTTCTATCAGCTCTACCTCCAAGACGCACCTGCCATCCACCCACCCTTCACCATCTCTACCTCTGTCCAGGCTACTGTGTGTCTCAGCAGGAAGCTCTCGCCTAAAGGCAAGAGGCTGCCAGAGGTCTCACATCCATGTCTGTCCTCCTTCAATCCATGGCAGTTAGCGGGACCTTAAAACGTAGGCCAGGGAGGCCCGGCACAGTGGCTCACGCATGTAATCCCAGCACTTTGGGAGGCCGAGGCAGGCGGATCATGAGGTCAAGAGATCGAGACCATCCTGCCTAACACAGTGAAACCCCGTCTCTACTAAAAAATACAAAAATTAGCCGGGCGTGGTGGCGGGTGCCTGTAGTCCCAGCTACTCGGGAGGCTGAGGCAGGAGAAGGGCGTGAACCCAGGAGGCAGAGCTTGCAGTGAGCCGAGATCGCGCCACTGCACTCCAGCCTGGGCAACAGAGCGAGACTCTGCCTCTCAAAAAAAAAAAAAAAAAAACGTAGGCCAGGGCACTGTGCTCCCCAGCGGCTTCTAATAAAGACAATGAGAGCTCTTAGCGTTATGAGGCATCCGCCCGATTCTCAGGTCAGCCCCCTTGGCTCCCCGAGTTCACTATGCTCCAACCACCCTGGCCTTCTTCCTGCAACAGATCAAGTGCATCGGCATCTCAGGACCCTAGAACACACGGCTCCCCATGCCTGAAACCTGCGTCCCATCTCTCGGTGGTGAACTGCTTTCTCATCTTCCCGAGAAAGCCTTTCCCAGTCACAACACCTAATAGAAGTTCACAGACTCCCACGACCCTTCACCGAACCCTCCAGAGTTTAGTCTACTTATAGTTGGTTTGGTTGCCTCTTTTCCCCATTGCCAGCACGAGCCACTAAGGTCTGTGGTGGCAGGGGTCCCACCCCTCCGGGGCTCCCCCATATCCCAGTGCTTGGCACAGGGCAGAGGCTGTCCACAAATCTGCTTGGATACTTGAAAAACTACTACGACCTGGCTGGGCGTGGTGGCTCACGGCTGTAATCCCAGCACTTTGGGAGGCCGAGGTGGGCGGATCACGAGGTCAGGAGATTGAGACCATCCTGGCTAACACAGTGAAACCCCATCTCTACTAAATACACATACACACACAAAATTAGCCAGGCGTGGTGGCGGGCACCTGTAGTCCCAGCTACTCGGGAGGCTGAGGCAGGAGAATGGCATGAACGCGGGAGGTGGAGCTGGCAGTGAGCCAAGATCGCGCCACTGCACTCCAGCCAGGGTGACAGAGCAAGACTCCGTCTCAAAAAAAAAAAAAAAAAAACAAACACCAACTACTATGACCTTAAAATAGAGGTGGAGAGGAAATGCTTTAGGACACAGATGAGGGAACATATACCCCAGACACAAGGAGGCAGGGAAAGCCAATGCAAAAGGGAATCATCAGAGCCAAGCCTAGAAGTTCACCAGAGACAGAGCATGGCCGTGTCGGGACAGAAAAGGAGTGGCGAGCCTAACGGTGGTGATGCCAAGCCTCAACCTCAACCCTGCATTACCTGGATAGCAGAGCCCCCACATCAGCGATAACTTCTGTCCATTTGTGCTAGAATAAATAAAATCTTTTCTGGAGCACTAGACACTGTTCACATCTTCCAGAAGGTCCAGTAAAGCTGGAGGTACACAAGGCTTTGTCCACAGTGGCTGCTCCCAAGCCTGAACGGGCGACAGGCGCAAGTTGGGGCCTTGTTGAAATAGATTGCTGGGCCCCGCCCCAGAGCTTCTGACCCAGTGGGTCTGAGGCTGGGCCTGGGGATCGTGTTTCTAACAAGTTCCTGGCCGCCGCTGGTCCAGAGAGCACATTCTGAAAACTACTGGGCTAACACGCCAAAGAATCAAACAAAAACAGACGTATCCAGGATAGAGTTTAGCTTTTTTTTCCAAAAATTCCATGGCTGGGCACAGTGACTCACTCCTATAATCCCAGCACCTTGGGAGACTGAGGTGGGTACACTGCTTGAGCTCAGTAGTTCGAGACCAGCCTAGGCAACATGGTGAAACCCTGTCTCCACTAAAAATACAAAAATTTACTGGCAAGGTGGCACATACCTGTGGGTCCCAAGTACTGAGGAGGCTGAGGTGGGAAGGTGGCTCAAGCCCTGGAGGCAGAGGCTGCAGTGAGCCAAGATTGTAGTACTGCACTGCAGCCTGGGCAACAGCGAGACTCCATCTCAAAAAAAAGTAGACAAACTTCCTAAAAGTAAAAATTTTGGATGAGTACAGGTTGATTTATCTGAAGAGACAATTAGGATGCCAAAGGGGTTAAAAACAAAAAGCATGAGGCCAGGCGCAGTGGCTCACCTCTGCAATCCCAGCACTTTGGGAGGCTGAGGCAGGTGGATCACCTGAGATCAGGAGTTGGGGACCAGCCTGGACAACATGGCAAAACCCAATCTCTACTAAAAATACAAAAAAAATTTATCTGGGCATGGTGGCACACACCTGAAGTCCCAGCTACTCAGGAAGCTAAGGCAGGAGGATTGCTTGAACCTGGGAGGCAGAGGTTGCAGTAAACTGAGATCACGCCACTGCACTCCAGCCTGGGCAGAGAGAGCAAGACTCCATCTCAAAAAAAGAGCACTGCTATAGTTTCCTTCCTCCATTCAACCTGTCACCACTTTTGAAAAATCCAGCTCTGCTCACACCTGTGCCTATTCAAAGTCTTCCCGTTTTCCTCTGGATTAAACTCACCGTCTTAAACCAAGCATCCAATGTGCTTTGCCACAGTGCACCCACCGTGAGGTCACAGCTGACCTGAAGGCCCAGTTTCAAGGGCATCTCCAGGACAATCACTGCTCCTACTGCAGGAATGGTGGCCCCTAACCTGTCCGGCTGCCCCAGAGTCCAGCTGCCTTGTGCTGGGCTGTCCTCTTCTGGAATGGGCACTGGGCCCCATTTATCTCTGAACAAGGCCACACTTGCCTGGCATGCAGATGTGTGTGCAGAATCGACATAGAAGTCCCTGCTGACCCAATGCCAAATGGGATCCCTGGACAAAGACCCAACTCTGTTTAACCATGGGGTCAAGGAGAGGAGGTAGAAGCCATGTGCAGAGGGGAAACGGGGCTGAAAGGTGAGGCCAAGGCACCCACGTAGCACCCAACTCAACTCCACATCATGGCCACACAGACCCTGAGGAGCCCTCACACGGGAGAGGGTATCCTGCTTAGAAATGGGGGCCAAGCGGGCCAGACGTGGTGGCTCACACCTGTAATCCCAGCACTTTGGGAGGCTGAGGCGGGTGGATCATGAGATCAGGAGATCGAGACCACCCTGGCTATCATGGTGAAAACCTGTCTCTACTAAACATACAAAAAATTAGCCGGGCATGGTGGCGGGCGCCTGTAGTCCCAGCTACTCGGGAGGCTGAGGCAGCAGAATGGCGTGAATCCAGGAGGCGGAGCCTGCAGTAAGCCGAGATCACGCCGCTGCACTCCAGCCTGGGCAACAAAGCGAGACTCCGTCTCAAAAAAAAAAAAAAAAAAAAAAAAAAAAGGAGGCCAAGCAGGCAGCACGCAGACCATGGAATGAGGGCTATAGCTCTGATAACGAGTGACAAAAGTTGGGTCTTCTCAAATTGTCTCTGGAGGTAGCCCTCCCCCAGCATGTGCCCCACGTGGGCTGCGGGACCCTCCAAGTAGGGCAGCGTCTTCCTGGGCCTGGGTGTGGGCAAAACCGGTTGTTGCTCTTCACCTCACAGCCTCATTGCTCTAAAGGTACAAGGATGAACATGTGAATTCCCCCTACCTTGCTTTATTTTGGCAATAGAAATTGTCACGATTCCAGCGTAAGCAGGGGCAAAATGCAGCACCAAACAGAGGGGTACTGTTTCTCTCTGCTGCTCTGATTTCACTACTACTGATGAAACTAAAACAATGCAGCAAGGTAGCTGTTCAGGATCAGCTCCTCACGATCAGAGCAGACCTTGTCAAATTTCTCAACGGCTTCTTGGACAGTGTAAGGTGCAGTGCAATTGTGAATGGAAATAACAGCTACAATTTTCCTGCTCAATCACTAAGGGCCAAACCTTTGCTAGGTGTTTAGTGTTGCATTCTGCATTCTTATTTTAATATTTGCAACACCCCAAAAGTACTGGAGTCCTTATCCCCATACTACAGGTGAGAACGTGAGGTTCAGAGTGGTTAAGCGTGTTGTCCAAAAGGTGCCGTTAAGCGGCAGAGCTATGGAGCTCCAAAGCTGGTCTTTCCACTCTTCTGCTCACCCATTTTGCTGAGACAGAGGCCTAGCGGCAGGGGTGCAGGAAGAAGAAGGAGCTTACTCCCTGCGGGAGGAACTGATACCAAGCTATTAATATTATCTGGAGAGAGCTGTTGTTATTGGGAAAATTTTCCATGACTCTGGACCCAAATCAGGGTTCTATTGGCCTGCCCGAGGTTATCACGTGAAAATCAGCATGCTCGCTTGATGAGAAGGCGCTGGCTTGCCAAAACTATAGCACAATATTTCTTTGTACTTTAACATACTGACCTTGACTGACTCCAGCCCATAGGTCTTAAACAGATGAGGCCCTAGCATTTTGGTTAACGAACTCACAAGTAGAAGATTTGAGACTGGAAGGAGAATAAAATTCTACAGTACTTAGTTGATTCTTTCTTACGTTTTTCTTAAAATGGTACAGCTACGATAGAGTTTTTGTTTTGAAAACTCTCAACTTAGAAAATGTAAATGTTAAAACTCTAGCTCTACCACATAGTGACTTTCAAATCCATAAAACAGCTACCACATTGCCTTTCTGAAATTACTTGATTTTTAAAAAAGTACTTCTTAAGCTGTTAAGCATCAAACAAATAAACAGAACTTATAATACTATCAATCGTTTTGTGATGGATAAATGGAATCCTACAATTGAGACATTTGTAATCTCATCTTCCTTCTTCACTACTCACCCTCCAAAAACAAACTTTATTCAACTCAATAAATAAAATAATTCATCAAGAACTACCATTCAGGCTGGGCAGGGTAGCTCACGCCTGTAATCCTAGCACTTTGGGAGGCTGAGGCAGGCTGATCACTTGAAGTCAGGAGTTCGAGACAAGCCTGGCCAATCGCTTGAACCCGGGAGGCAGAGGTTGCAGTGAGCCAAGATCATGGCATTGCACTCCAGCCTGGGCGACAGAGCAAGACTCCATCTCCAAAAGAAAAAAAAAAGAACTACCATTCAACATCACATCAACCGTTTGTCCCCCTAACATGCCAGTTTTTGTCCTTAAGCAAAAAACTTTAGACTTTGAATATCTTCCAGCTCCTTACATTTGTTCCTCTACCCCGCCACCCAGCCCTTCTTAAAACTATCGAAGTAGACATTTTGCTTTATAAATAATTTGGTCAATGAGTAAAGTGCTTTAAAATAAAAATCAACGTGCTAGGCACATAAACATTTTTGGCATTTTTGAATATTTTACTAGTATCTGGTTGAATGGTTTTTCTTCTGTTTATCGTAAAACCTAACTTAGATTTACATATACCCTGTGCTTTAAACCAGGGACAAGATTGGGTCCCTCTTGCACACACATATCATTACAATATTCTAAAGTCATAAGCCCCTGGTATTTGCACGTTCTGCTTTACAAGCTCTTGTCTGTGACCAAATGTGCAGTAATAAGCCCCAAACCACAATGAATGATAACCTCATTAAATATGATCTAGTGCGTAGCCATCCAAACTACTAAAACAAAGAGGAAAAGACAAACTAGCAAACTCCAATTAATTATACGTTCTTAGAGGCTTTTCAAAATCAAACAAACATAAAAATACAACATTACACAGTTGGTAAAACAGGGTAATAGCTAATGATTTCATGATTCCCGTATGTAATACTAAGTGGTCTGAGCCCCAGAATCTGTGAAAAGTTTGGTGTTTAAATGGTACACAGGCTGAAACTTGAGGGGGACAGATATTTTTCTAAAGTGGAAAAAATGGATAATGGTGACCCTGGGGAAAATTTACATCATTATGTTAAGCAGCAGATTCTTATAAAAACTTCTGGTTTTCAACATGCTTCCTTTGATAGCGACATTTTGCACAGCCCCCAAAG
Organism: Homo sapiens; assembly: GCF_000001405.40. Lineage (NCBI taxonomy): Eukaryota > Metazoa > Chordata > Mammalia > Primates > Hominidae > Homo > Homo sapiens. The sequence goes on along the minus strand of NC_000018.10, from coordinate 23,145,419 downwards.
AGGAGAACAGGACAAAAAGGATGTGTGAGCCAGGCACAGTGGCTCACACCTGTAATCCCAGCACTTTGGGAGGCCGAGACGGGTGGATCACAAGGTCAAGACAGGCAGATCACGAGGTCAAGAGATCGAGCCCAGCCTGGCTAACATGATGAAACCTCATCTCTACTAAAAATACAAAAATTAGGCCAGGCACGGTGGCTCATGCCTGTAATCCCAGCACTTTGGAAGGCCAAAGCAGGCAGATCATCTGAGTTCAGGAGTTTGAGACCAGCCTGCCCAACATGGCGAAACCCCGTCTCTACTAAAAATACAAAAAATTAGCTGGGCATGGTGGCAGGCACCTGTAATCCCAGCTACTTGGGAGGCTGAGGCAGGAGAATTGCTTGAACCCAGGAGGCGGAGGTTGCAGTGAGCCGAGATTGCGCCACTGTACTCCAGCCTGGGCAACAGAGTGAGGCTCCGTCTCAAAGAAAAAAAAAAAGAAAGAAAAAAAAAAAGGATGTGTGGTAAAGCCTTAGGTGCACATGCTGATAACCAACTCTCTGGAAGGGGAAAAAGAAAAACCTTGACTTACAGCATTGGCCGATTCCTGTGGTGTAAATATTCCCACCACAACCGATTTCAGCAACCACCTCAGATTCCTCAGTCGTCTCCAATAAGTGGGTAGGAGTCAGCTCCAAGACACTACAGGGTCTGCAAGAAACCCAGCTTAGAAGCCAGGAAAACTAAAGTTCAATTCTAGCTCTAGATTCCAGCTATGTGGCCTTAGACAAATTTCCTTAACCATCCAGCCTCAGTCTTCTCAGCTCTAAAGTAGGCAACCTGTTTCACAGACTGCCACGCAAATAAAACAACATACGTGAAGGATGTGGCACACAAGAGGTACTCAGAACTCCATACAAGTCACCTCCCTCCTGAGGGTGGGAGAGACAGGCTCAGGTAGGGTGGGCTGGGTGGTGCAGCCTCCACAATCTGTCTCACCTTAGCCCCATGACAGATTGTTTTAGCAAATTAAGAGTCAGGAGCAACTGCTGGATGAAAACAAAGACCTAGAACGTTGTGGGGTGGGGGAACAGAATCAAATTTTCCTCCTCTTACTGTTAGGGAATTGGAGTTTCATTTGTGTTCCCTATGGAGGAGAGATGTGGTCTGTTCCACCAAAAGCTGGCCCCAGGGCAATCCATCAAGCTCTGACCAGACCACGGAGGAGGGGCCCTCCAGTCAGACCAGGGCTGAAGCACAGATCCACAGGGAAGGAAGAGGCCCAGCCAGGAGCGTGTACGAGCATGGGGAGAGCAGCGGCTGGCTCTGTGGCTGACGGAGCTGGAAGGAAGGGGCCTCTTGTGGGAGGCCTTGCCCCAGGAGAAGCCTGAGAGTGCCAGAGCCTGGGGCACGGAGCAGCGTGGGTGCCCTCTGTAAAGACAACACAGTATGGCAGCAACAGGCCTCAGAGGGTGTGTGGGAGCGGGGGAGGTTGCAGTGGCAACCAGGACCCAAGCCAACAGCTGCCTCGCCTGAAATACCAGGAATTTAAGACTGGCAGGATCAGATGTGGGTTTCAGAAGGGTCCCTCTGACAGCCCAGGGGGGGAGGGATTGACAGGGGTCCAAACAGAAGCCAGGAGCCCCTCGGGCCACCACATTATCCAGGCTGTGAAACAAGGCAAGGAGGGTGCAGGCAGGCAGGAAGGGGCCAAGGGGACCTGCACACTTCCTGGGCACAGAGCACTGGGCTAGGGTGGGGGAAGCACAACCACTCTGTGACAAGCCAGGGAATAGGCCATGTGGTCTCTGTCGCAACTACTCGATTCTGTCCTTGTAGCACAAAGGCAGCCAAAGGCAAGACTTGCACGAGTGGGTGTGGTTTTTCCAAGAAAGTATTATTTATAAACAGCCAGAGGGGCAGTTGGGGAAAGGGTGATGCTGAGAAGATACAGCGGGAAACCCGCCCAGGGCGGAGGTGGTAGTATCATTCCCATTTCACAGACGAGGACCCAGCAGAGCTTTAAACTTTAGGAGGCCAGGTTCCTGTTGCTAATTGTACCATGCTCTATATAACACAAGATGTGTAATGTACCAGGTGAGTCAGAGAGGCAATAAAGGTGTCAGGGATTCAGCTGTGGCCAAGAAGAGAGGAAGCACAGGCAGGCAGAGGGCGGGAGTTAATTGCCAGAGTCACAGGAATCCCTATTTAAAACCTGGCCTGTCCTCTGGGCCCAAATGCACAGAGGTCTTCCCTAGATGACAGAAAAGTGGAAACTGAAACAAGGAAATCACAAGTGATCGGGAACCCTTGAGGCCATTTAGGTCAACTTCTGCTCAGTTCAGCTGAAGCCTATTTAACAAGCATGCATGAGCCTGACCTGTAAATTGTAGCACAGCAGAGGGAGGTGGGTCAGAGCACAGGACCCCAGACAAGTTACTTAACTTCTCTGTGCTTCCAAATGGAGGTGAAGGTAGTACTGTCTCAGGGTGTTTCTAGGTATGAACTCAGTCCCATCAAAGTGCTTAGAATAATGCCTGCCACATATTTGTTAAATAAAAATACCGTGTCCAAGGCCCTGTGCCAGCTGCCACAGGGAAGGGTGTGAAACGTCCCTGCACCCCTCCCCAGGTGGGGGGAGTTCAAACAACAAGCTCACCTCTAACCACTCACTCACCACTCTACCAACTTGCCCGTTTACTTATGTCACCCAGCACAGACAGGGACCATGTTTTATGCCTCCATCTCCCATGAGTAGGACAGCGGTGACTCATGATTGATACTCATTGTGTTCAATGTTTGTTGAATGAATAAGTGATACAAGGCATTAAGTCTCAATACCAAGATTTCCTTTTCTACATAACTGACAGATAACACTGCAACCTAAGTCACCCCCTGGTCACTCTGTGACCTTGGACTCCTGCCCCTCTGTGGTGTCTGGGGTCTGATATCAACATGTACAACAGTACTTTGTAAACCTGAAGGCCCTTTAGCAATAGAGGTTACTACAGATCATGTCCTTGGTGTGAGGGTAGTTTCATCTGGGGGACTGACTGCCTCCCCAGGCAGTGGCTTCCTGCTTGGATGGCCTCCTAACATTGTCAGTCCAGCTGCGATATTGCCCGTGCCTGAAGGAACACAGCTGAAGGTAGTTTTTAAAGTTCTCCCTTACTCTGGGGCAGCCCTATTCATTCATCCATTTATTCCTTCATTAGTTACATGTTCTGCCCATCAGAGCCACATGGAACAAACTTAATGCTACTTTGTACCTGATTCTGAGGTTGGATTATCCACACGTCCCCAGGCTAAACATGCCCCCAGACCCTGCAGCAGGCCACAGGACCGAGACACGTGGAATGGTGGACCCAGAAGGGGTGGCAGGCTCATCTGTCCCAACCGCTGAGTTCCATAAGGAAACTAAGACCCAGAACCCAGGAGTCTCAAAGTCCTGCTTTGACCTCTCTTATGCCACATCAGGTCACAGCACAGGCTCAACTGCACTGCCTCCTATTCTACCCTCCAGAAAACCTGCCCTTGGCTCTCTGCCACCTCACCGCTATCTTTCTGAAGAGAGAAAAAAAGTCCAGGCATCGGCGCTTCCTGGGAAAGCTACTGAGCACGTGGCGCAGAGCCATGTGATGGCTTCCCCACCCATTCAGAGAGCAAAAGCTCACCCTTGAGCTCACTGGCCTCCCCAGGCACTTGCCAGCAGTGAGCAGGCTTCCTATGTATTTCTCCTGAGCTCGCCCACATTGCAGGCTTTGTGACTGCAACAAGGGCAGCAGGGAAGCCTCAGACTGCGCCCACCATCCACAGGCCCCCGCCTGGCCTGGGGCTACAACTCCGACCTCCAAAACCCATGGTTGCTGGAAAAATGGCTCAGCAATAACTTGTGTTTGCTTACTGCTGAGATCAAAGTTCTTTACAGACTTCTGAAATCCTGAGGGGTCAGGTGGCTCACAGCTGGGGCACACACACACAGACTGGCGACTTGCCTGATGTCACAAAGCGGGTGGTGAAAAAGCTAGGAAACAGCATCCATCTCCCCTTTCTTACCCTGATTCTTGATCTGTGGTGGGCTCACATTTTTCTTTTCAGTCAAGACATAGATTACAATTACAGCACAAGCCTGGATTTCCTCCAAAGAGGGGCAATGCAGCGGGAGGGGCAGGCAGAAGCTCTAAGTCAGCTGAGCAATAGTGAGCCTGAGCTCTGCTATTAATTGCCAACTGGCCTTGGGCAGGCCACTTAACATCTCCTGAGCCCTGGGTTCCTTGGCCTGACAACAGGAACAAATCATCATAGTGGGTAAAGCCTCCCTCCTCAAAGGGTGGCCACTCTGCATTCCAGGGAACTGGTTAGAAATACAGAATCTGCTTTTAAGAGATTAAGTGACTCTAAATGCATTTACATTTGAGAAGCCCAAATCTGAAGCATTTAGCACAAGCCCACATTCAGACCTCGATTATAAATGTAAGTGCATTTTACACTAGAAAGGGCCTGAGACACAAGCCAAGGTTCTCAGGAGGAAACAGACCCAGAAGGCTGATTAACCCACCGGGGTCAAACGGCTGTCACAGTGGCACCAGCATCTGAACACAGGACTTAAGGCTCTTCCGTACCACAAACCCACAAGGCATGATGCTAACCCAAGTGTTCTCAGAGGCAAAACCCTCATGCTATTTTTTAATAGTACCCTGGGTGGGGCGCGGTGGCTCACACCTACAATCCCAGCACTTTGGGAGGCCGAGGTAGGTGGATCACCTGAGGTCAGGAGTTCGAGACCAGCCTGGCCAACATGGCGAACCCTCATCTCTACTAAAAAATACCAAAATCAGCCAGGCGTGGTGGCGCACGCCTGTAGTCCCAGTTACTCGGGAGGCTGAGACATCAGAATTGCTTGAACCCAGGAGGCAGAGGTTGCCGTGAGCCGCGATGGCGCCACTGCACTCCAGCCTAGGTGACAGAGCAAGACTCCATCTCAAAAAAAAAAAAAAAAGAAAGAAAACGAAAGAAAGAAAAATAGTACACTGGTCACCATGCACCCCTCCCATCAGCACAGTGGTTCACCTGGGCTCAACTTCATGTCCTCCTGGGGAGCTGTCCGCTAGCCAGAATCTCCGGGAAGTAGAGTAACACAGGGCTGGGGCCAACTGCTGGTTGCAAGGAAGTTTTTGAAGTGAATGGAAGCCTTAATGTAGGCCTTATAAATTCACACTCCCTTTCACCTATTAACACCTTCCAGATGCACCATTCACCGCCAGAGCAGAGAAACACGATAGGCATGAAGCTAAGAGGCATCTTCTTGGTTTCCCACCTCTGACACTGCACCTGACAGCAAACCCAGCCTGTTGGCTTCCCAGTGCTGGAGTCCCGTCTGTGAGGCGGGGAGGAACCCAGGCCCACCATCCTGGGTTCCCTGGACACCCCAACAGAATAGAGATGGTGAAATAGCAAAGCTAGGGGATGCAAACGAAGAGGCTAAATTTGGGAGGATAACAAATGGGGTGTTGAATTATACCAGTACGACGGGACAGTTGTATAATACACAAACATTTACAGCCAACAGCTCAAAAATTATCTATGGGCCTATTGTGTGCAAGGCATAGTGACATGGTAGAGTGGCAGAGCTTGGACATCAATGATCCAGGTTCCTATCCTGGCCCAACTAAGTTAGATTATCATATGTGCCTCTCAGTAGCTGGGAGAAATTACTCAACCTCTCTGAGCCTATGTTCTCCTCACCTGTGAAAGAATCTATACTCAGGGTGGCTGTGAGGGCTAAATACAATAGATGTCAAGAATCCAGTCCAGTGAACAGAGGTGGTGTAATCATTGCCTCCACAGGCATTTACTGTGCACCTTGTGCCAAGGCTTGTGCACAGAATTTTCCTCCCTGTGTGTTGTGAAGTTTGGAAGTCCAAGCAATTATTTGTGATTGGTTTTACAAGTGTTCCAATGAAAGTAACCAAGAAGAAAGGGTTTCAAGATTGCAGATTGGGAGACATTCTAATTTTTTTTTTTTTTTTTTTTTGAGATGGAGTTTCACTCTTGTTGCCCAGGCTGGAGTGCAATAGCACAATCTTGGCTCACTGCAACCTCCGCCTCCTGGGTTCAAGCAATTCTCCTGCCTCAGCCTCCCGAGTAGCTGGGATTACAGGGGCACAACAATACACCCAGCTAATTTTTTGTATTTTTAGTAGAGATGGGGTTTCACCATGTTGGCCAGGCTGGTCTTGAACTCCTGACCTCAGGTGATCCACCTGCCTCGGCCTCCCAAAGTGCTGGGATTATAGCCGTGAGCCACCACCACACCCGGCCCGACATTCTAATTTTTATATACCCAAAACAAACCCAATATATAAAACCTCAAATTCATTTTTTTTAAAGGGCAGATTTCAGATACACTGTGGCAACACTTGTCGAAATTTAATTTGTATACAAATCACCTGAGGATCTCGTTAAACTGCAGATCTGGACTCACGTAGTCTGGAGTAGGGAAGAGTCTGCATTTCTAACTGCTCCCAGTGAAGCTGAAGGTGCAAAGCCCACATTCTGGAGCAGCAAGGTGCTATGGAATTCCACTAATGGCAAGAAATGAATCCAAGGAAAATACAATTTGATATGAAAACATCCCAGGAGACCATCCGTGAGGTAACATGTACATGGAAACACACAGGCTAGCAGGGAGGCACACCAGGAAAGGTTTCCACAAATGGAAACCAGAAAAGCTGGCCTCGGGCCTTATTCAAGTGAGTCTGTGCTCTCAGCACACTTCAACTAGGCAGGTGCAAGTACTCTAGTGATAAGACAAGCGGCGTGGTGTTGGCAACAAAGCATCCTGGGATATTTCAAGTCTGCAGCCTCTCCACAGCTAAGCTAGCCTTTCCGCCTTTCTTAAATCAGTGTAACCTATTTTTCCCCTTTGTACCCAAAATTTAAGCTGTTTCTGTTCACAGCTGTAATTTTATAAAAGCCTATCAGGTTGCCAGATACGGATTATTCAGAAATAGGATGAAAGTGACTGTCAGGTAAAGAAGCATCTTCCAGTGATTAATTCATCTTAATGTGTGTGCCGAGGTGAAAAGGATCAATAAAACGCCTAAAAGATTCATATTTATAGGATTGGAGGTGGCGTTCTGGATATTCTTTGGTTCAGAAATGCGAACACACAAGATCTTCCATATCCCCTGAAATGAGTTTCTTGGAGAAAGCGTGCGAGGTAATCTGATCTCCAGCTGCCTTTAGCATGGAGGACACATCTGTCCATCAGGAGACACAAGCCAGCTTTGCACACTGGCTTAGAATAACACGTATGTTTATTACAATTCCTGTCATAACCCTCTTGACTGCTGGGCTTAGGCTGCAAGTCTGGAGTCACCATGAGCCAGTGTGTGATGTCAAGCGGTAATACTGAGCTGCCCAGAAACGCTGAGTTTGCAGGACTCACCCAGAAACAAGGGATACCACCTCCCTGCCCTCACCTGCTGCGGGGGAGATGCATGCTCTGACAAGAAATACTGGAGTAGGGCTGTCACCTGTGCCCAGTGTCGCTAATTCATCCATGCACTTATGAGGCTGCTTCCCCGGTTCCACACCCCTGGCTTGCGGGCCATGCGCACTCAAACAGCGAGGCTACATAACTAGCACCCTCATGATTTCACCCACTTCGGAAGAAGTACACTAGGGGCAAACTTGTGGATGAGGCGGGCCTGTTCTTCCCCCATTTGTCCATTGCGGGAGGAAGTTAAGTTTTCCCATAGGCACCTTCTTACTTGGGCCAGATCAAGCTTTCAGGTAAGCATGATAGGAGAGAGAAATTCTAGCAGAGAAAGTCATTCTTTCCCAGAAGGGATAACTGAGGCCCCAAGAAGTTAAAACAACTTTGTCAAGGTAGGGTCTATGCTATTGCTAACTTCACAAGAGGCCTTATTAACCAACAAGGGAGGGCACTCCCTAGGAACGGATCTGCATTTCCCCACCTGTTCCCGCCTACTCGCCTACTTCTTTTGCAAGCTTCAGTTCACACAGTCCCAACCTCCGACTGCCCCTTAGAATAATACATGGTGACAAACTCTATTTCCTGAACAATAAGCAAACGTCCAGCGTTTCATGTTTTTGCTAAGACGCCTAATGCCGCCAGATAACTTCAGCTAACAAACAAGTAAAACAAGCGTTTAACGAACTCAAGCAAATTCATCTTGGAATAGGAAAAAAATCCCTCAAGCCCTATTTCCTCTTTGTTCCCCACCCCCCTAGGCCTAGTTGGAGGCAATGTAAGAAGGACTTTCCATTGCTCAGGAAAGCAAATGGAAAAAGCCAAGTTTCCCCGGGCCGCAAGAAGACTTGGAGCGCAGGCAAGAACTTCTCCGGAGGGTCACGCGTGTCTGCTACAAGTTCAGGCTCACACGCGCCGCTCAGCTGCCGGCCTGCACTGCTCCACTCTGCGCCCGGCCGAGTCTCGCCCCACGCGGGGAAGAGTGCGCCTCCGGGTCTGGACCGGGTTTCAGGAAGTTTGTGATCTCGTGTGGGGAGGCTCGGACGCCGCTTTCTACTGGGCTCCTGCAACTCCCAATTCCCGACCCACTGCACAAGCGCGGTGCTCCTCTGCGAATGCTGGGCTCGTGCAAACACGTGTAACCCCGCACTCCCTGGGGACGCCCCCTCTTTTGGGTGCCCTCGTGGTTTGGGATTCGGGCCCGGAGCACAGGATCCGGCAGGGCGCGGGAAAATGGGAGCAACCCGTGTCCCGTAGCCCAGAGACCGCGGGGAGGCTGGGAGCGCCGGGCGGGACGCAGGGTTGGGTGCGCGTCGCATCCCGGATACTCACCGGGACCTCTGCAGCTGCTCGAAGGCGCTGGTGCTGCCGCCCTGGCCTGGCTGCTCCAGGGAGCAGTAGTTCTGCGAAGTCGGCCTGGAGAAGGCGATGGGCAGGATTCCCTGAGTGAACGAGTTGAGGCGTCCCCGACTGCCGCTCCCACTCCCGGGGGTCCCGGAGCCCAAAAAGGCGGCCGCCGGCACCTGCACGCTGATAAAGGCATCGTCCTCCTCCAACTCCTCCTGCCCGGCGGCCCCGGACCCGTCGAGCAGCTGCAGTTGGGCACAGGCGGCGAGAGGCGCCGGCCGGGGCGGCTGCCACTGCTCCCCCGACGCCCGGCCGGCGCCCAGGGGACTCGCGAACCCCCGCGCCACCCCGGGGCCGGACACGGTCGCATGGCCGCCAGGAATCAAGGGCGGCAGCGACGAGGGCTGTGGGAGGCAGGGGCCGGACCCAGCGGCTAACCCCGCAGCCGGCGTGCCCGGCGCGGCGAGCGCGATGCAGCCGCCCCGCTCGGCAGCGGCGAGCAAGCTGAACCGAGTCCTCGCGCCGCAGGCGCCGCCGGCGCCCGGCTTGGCCGCGCCGCCCTCCTCGCCACCGCCCCACTCCGCGTCCTGCGGCGGCAGCCGGCCGTCCAGCGAGATGTTGGTGAGGAAGGAGAGGGCAGCCTGGCGGCGCCGCGGGTCCATGCGCGGCTTCCGGGGGGGTTCGGGCGGCGGCTGGGCCGGCGCGGCGGCCGCGGGCTGAGGCTGGGGCTGCGGCGGCGGCTGCTGCAATCCGCTGGCGCCCGCGGCGTCGGTGCCGGCGCTGCCGCTGCTGCAGGCGGCCGTGGTGGCGGCCGCCGCCGCCGCCGCCATTGTGTCCGTCTGCGGCGGGATTTCCGCGATGCCCGGAGAAGCGAGCGGCGCCCGAGCGCTAAGCGGCGGGCGCGAGCGGCGGCGACCCGGGCTGGGTAGGGCGCGGGGATCGGGCGGCGTGCGCGGCGGTCCAGCCCCCCCGCGGGCGGGCCATGCTCGCCCCTCGGTGCTGGGGATGGGGGCGCCGCCGCCCCGGCCCACGCGCACGCCTCGCTACCTAGCTCGGCTAGTTCGGCTCGCTGGCTGGCCGCCCGCCGGTCGCCTGGCCGCTGGCTCGCGGGCTCCGGGGCCGGGTGTCCGTATTTATAGGTGCGCGCGCCCCGCGCTCGCGCTCCAAAGCCCTCTTTGCAATAACACGGAATCACGTGTGGGGAATGCGACCTGGGAGGAAAACAAAGCCGCAGGCGGCGGCCGCAGAGGCAGACGGCGGGAGGCAAGGGGCCACGGGAGGAGGAAGAGGAGGACGCGAGAGCCGAGCGGGTGGTGGGGCGGGGGATCGGCCCGGCTGTCCGGGTTGTCGGAGCTGCCTGCTGGGAGAGTTGGCGACTCCCGGGGCCGCGGAAGCCAGGTGCGGGAGGCGAGCACGTTTCCCCCGCGCGCTCGCACTGGGAATTGGGTGAGCGAGCAGAACCCGGTGGGTTAGGTCCTGGGGCTGTGCTCCTGGGAGAGTTGTGGGTCTACAGGACGGTTATGTGGAGCGTTGCAGAGTTTTGGACTGCGAGCGAGTTACTTGGACCCCGCAAGGCCGTTGGTCCCCGAGAAGTAAATAGATCCTTTTCATAATAACACGGGTAAGTCCACAGCCCCTATGGAGACTGTCCCACCGTAAAGCTATCGCTAACAACCATTGCAGTTGGGTCTATTCATTCCCAGGCCAAGGATGCAGCCCCCGGGATAAATGCACGCCTTGGGATGCATAAGAGCCCAGAAGCACGAACATCTTACATGTGGCCAACGAACTCACGCATCCCCAATCCATGGTATTGTCACTTTTCATCTCTCTCTTAGCAAAGGACAACGCAAATTTTTTACTTTGGCTCTGAAATGTGCTCCATTTTCTGTGAAGACCCAGGTGGGCTAAAATGACCTTACACTCTTTTCCCCTGGTCACCTTGCAAATTTTTGTAGATTATGATCTCTTCTCCCTCATAAACTGGGACCAATGTGGACAGTTACCCTGTCGTTTATCTCATAAGCACGTTTGGCACCTACCATGTCTTCTATAAATACGGGTTCCTGACGGCCCTCCCAGAGCAGTAGCTCTGAATCTGGGAGGAGTCGCAGTCCCCACCCACAACGAATGCTTGTTTTGGTTGGGGGTGGGGGCGGGGGCGGGGACAGGGTGGAGGAGTTCACCTGGAGGGATCTGAAAACGTGTGCGGGTTTCCCCAGGCGGTATGGGCAACTTAACAAATGCAGTAAGGAACAATTGCCACACTGAATTAAGCTCTGTGACACCTAAGAAACCTGCTGCACTTTTGAGGGAGAAGCAATGTGTTTCAGATCAACGGATTAATTTAATTAAAGGTTTAAATTTAGCCCTGGAGCTAATGGGTAACTCTACATTGAAATTCCACTCCATTTCAAGTTCAGGAAAGTAAATTGAGTAATGGAGAGCAAATACACCGTCCAGAGAGGTGCCGCCAACCCGGAGTGCCAGACAGAGAGGGTTTCAGGTTACATTTGCTCAGGACAGAGATGGCACGTGGCCCTTTACATGAACAATCGTTGTTATATTTTATTTTGTGCTGTTTTTAGGCCTTTTGAAAACATGGAGCCTGGTGTCTGTTTACAGCAGCCTCATGTCAGTGGAGTCAAAGCTCAATGGCCAGCTCTGTGAAATTTCACCAGGATTTTAATTATTTTGGCTAACTACCTTGAAACTTCCAAGCCCTTTTATGACAATTGACTTAATTTACATGACCACTGGCCTGGTTGGGAGGCAGTGTTAAGTGAAAGACTCCAACGGTGCTCCTGTAAAATATATTTTCCATCATTCAAAAATGATAAATGTTAATTTCAGAACATAAGATAAGCAAAGAGGAGCAAAAAAAAAGGGGGTATCACTAACAATATCTTCTGTGGAAATAACGTAAAACTTAAATTTTGATTTCTGTTTTGTATTTTCATATATTTTATAGAGAGATATGTATATATATTCTTTTAGCCTGTCACCCAGGCTGGAGTGCACTGGTGTGATCATAGCTCACTGCAGACTCCTGAGCTCAAGCGATTCTCTCTGCCTCAGCCTCGCGAATAGCTGGGACTACCGGCACCCACCACACCTGGCTAATTTTTTTAAAAAAATTTGGCCTGGCACGGTGGCTAAAGCCTGTAATCCCAGCACTTTAGGAGGCCGAGGCAGGCAGATCACGAGGTCAGGAGTTCGAGACCAGCCTGGCCAACATGGTGAAACCCTGTCTCTACTAAAAATACAAAAATTAGCTGGGCATGGTGGTACGTGCCTGTAATCCCAGCTACTGGGGAGGCTGAGGCAGGAGGGCAGGAGAACGGCTTGAACCCAGGAGGCGGAGGTTGCAGTGAGCCGAGATCGTGCCACTGCACTCCAGCCTGGGTGACAGAGCAAGACACCATCTCAAAAAAAAAAAAAAAAAAGAAAAGAAAAAGAAAAAATTTTTTTGTAGAGATGAAGTCTCACTATGTTGCCCGGGCCGGTCTGGAACTTCCAGCCTCAAGCAGTCCTCCCATGGTGGCCTCCCAAAGCACTGGGATTACACGTATGAGCTGTCATACCTGGCCTTGGGTGTGTTTTTAAACAAAAGTGAAATCGGCTGTTTTGTTTTGTTTTGTTTTGTTTTGTTTTTTTGAGACGGAGTCCTGCTGTCTGACCCAGGCTGCAAGCTCCGCCTCCCGGGTTCATGCCAGTCTCCTGCCTCAGCCCCCCCCGAGTAGCTGGGACTACAGGCGCCCGCCACCACGCCCCGCCAATTTTTTTGTATTTTTAGTAGAGACGGGGTTTCACCGTGTTAGCCAGGATGGTCTCAATCTCCTGACCTCGTGATCCGCCCGTCTCGGCCCCCCAAAGTGCTGGGATTACAGGCATGAGCCACTACGCCCAGCCAGGCTGTTTTGTCTCTTGTGATTTTTGCCTGCTGTGTTGTGATTATCTTTCCATGTAGAATATTTTTCTGCATGGAAGAATTTTTATTTTAATGACTACATAGTGTTCAATTTGATGGAGAGACTGTACACTTTTAAACCTGTGCATTTAATAAATTTGTGGTTTCCACTTTTGCTCTTATAAAGCAATGATGACTTCCTTTGTTTTTCTAAATCTTGCTACCACCCAATATTATTTTCTTAGGTTAAATAGATGCTGGGGCAAATGGCATTTCGTGTTTTTAAGGTTTTCATCCTTAAAGGTTGTTCAGTCTGCTTTCTTACAATTTTGCTGGGTATTGAAATGTTTCTATCATCCCCCCAAAATATTTACAACCATGATACATCGATTAAAAAATACCAAAAAGTTTCCATCAGTATGCATTTTTTATAACCTTCATTTTCTATAACCTTTTGTCTACTGTAAGTGTGAAGTATGAAACGAATTTCAAATATTTATTAAAGCATCAAACAAGAATCAATGTCTAATCTCCAAACTGCCTCTGTGACCCCCTTTTGGGGATCTTGAGATATGGTTTATTGTTCACCTACTGTATGCCAGCCACAGAGTATTTCTAATCTTTATAACCACCCTGTGGTGTTGGTGAGAGCATTATCATCGATATTTTACAGACGAGGCTCAGAAGAATTAAATAATTTGCCCCGACTCATCTACCTCTTAGCTGGGGTGGGCCAGTATACAAACCTGACTCGAAGACCCATGCATCTTCTTGCGCCCTCTGCTGGTGAAGATGTTTAATGGTAGAGAATAGTGTCCAGATTTACTCTTACATCCATACTTGAGGTCAACTATTACGGAATAATACAAGCTTTGGAGTAAGAGGATCTGGGTTTCAAGAGCAAGCTACTTACCCTCTCTGAGTTAGTTTTCTCTGTGGGTTATTGTTAGGTACAAATGAGACTACCTGAGGAACATTTTACAAACTTTAAAGTACTTTTTAAAATGTCCGTTGTTATTTATACCATCCTAATCTACTTAGTCCCTGAATTATTCCAAATTCATTTATTTTTCAACTACTTAGTCATTGATCAAGTTTTACCAAGCAACTTCTACATCCACAGTACCATCTGTGACAAAGGGATAAAAAGAAATGTGGCCCTTAGCCCTTGTGACCTTGATAGTTACAACCATGGAAAACACATTTAAATGAAAATGCAAAGCCAACCCTGATTAAGTTTCAAATGCGCAACTGGACTATAAGCATTATCAGAATATGGAAAAGAAGTTTTTTGTTTTTTTTTTTGAGACGGAGTCTCGCTCTGTCGCCCAGGATGGAGTGCAGTGGCACAATCTCGGCTCACTGCAAGCTCCACCTCCCAGGTTCACGCCATTCTCCTGCCTCAGCCTCCCGAGTAGCTGGGACTACAGGCGCCCGCCATCACGCCCAGCTAATTTTTTGTATTTTTAGTAGAGATGGGGTTTCACCGTGTTAGCCAGGATGGTCCCGATCTCCTGACCTCGTGATCCGCCTGCCTCGGCCTCCCAAAGTGCTGGGATTACAGGCCGACCGGAAAAGAAGTTTTTTATTTGCAGTGTGGGGGAAGGCCTTAGGCAAGAGCCAGGATTTGAGCTGATCTAGGAGATTCAGGAGGCCAGGAGGAGGATCCTTGCAGAAGAGGAAGTTTGGCATACAAATTCCTCATGCATAGCAGGCCTGGAGGACTAGAACTTGAAACGTGATTCTACTTGGTCAGCCACGTTCCCCCTTCTCCCCCTTCCCTTTTATATTGCCCCTTTCAAGTGCCCATTCTGAAACTTTGTAGCACACATGAATTCAAAATGCATGTACTGTTTTGATGGAGACATATTGGAGGTTAGTTTTTAAAAAGAAAGGAAAAAACAACCTACATGTAATCACTGGCCCTTCAAAAAAATAATTCAGCAGACTGAGAAGTCTGAAAATTAGCTTAGGCTCCTAGAAACATGCGACCTTGTAAGGTCTCCAGTTTGTGGATATTACAAGCTTTGTTCCTTGGTGGCCTCACCTACCTTATCTATGGATGAAGGTAGGTTTTGCAATATTTTACCTTGCAGGGTTGTGAGGGTTACCAACAATATAAATTATGTAACTAGCAGAGTACCTGTAGTTCAGTGGGTAGCTATTATTAGAAAAATGCAAAATACAGAAGGTGAACATTAAAAAGGCCAGAATATTTTAGGTTCTAGGTTTTTATAGTTTTCACTGATCCTGAGACCAGTGAAATATTAGCATGCCTTTCCAGGCAGGAACATGAGAAGCTTCAGCTGTTAGCTCCTGCTTAAATCAGATTATTTTACGGTATTTTCCATGAAAGTACAGGCTGGCACTGGACTGTCGATCTAACAGGCATAGTCTCCCTGAGAAACCTGCTGCTTTCCTTAATCCAATGAAAGTTAAATCCTGGCTAGGCGCGGTGGCTCGTGCCTGTAATCCCAGCATTCTGGGAGGCGGAGGTGGGCGGATCATGAGTTTGGGAGTTCGAGACCAGCCTGACCAACATGGTGAAACCCCCGTCTCTACTAAAAATACAAAAATTAGCTGGGCGTGGTGACGCGTGCCTGTAATCCCAGCTGCTCAGGAGGCTGAGGCAGGAGAATCGCTTAAACCTGGGAGGTGGAGGTTGCAGTGGGCTGAGATCACGCCACTGCACTCCAGCCTGGGCGACAGAGTAAGACTCCGTCTCAAAAAAAAAAAAAAAAAAAAAGAGCTGTATGCACAGAGTTCAACTGGTCCCCAGCCTACCCCCTAGAATAGAGGCTTTTTCAACTTTTGTCCCCAGGGCCAGCCATCTAGGACACCCTCTTCTCCCTACACAGGAGAAAATGCCAAGGGGACATGGTGTCCCTGCTACTTCCTGCCAAAGTTCTGTCCTTCAAGTCTCCTCTTCCTGCCCGAGAACCTGCCCTTCTCTCAATGATTGGCACCAGCAGCCCCTGATACTGTCGTATCATAGGCCCAGACAGGATTCTTTTTGTCTCTGGACCTCTGACACTATGTGGAAGAAAGAGGAAGAGTGATATTTTACTGCAGTTCCTTCCAGCTTTTATAACTTGTGTGAGAAGCCGAGAGAAATAGGCGATGGGGCATGTCCTTGGGACTGTAGGGATGGTCATATAAACATGTGTCACTCATTATCAAGGACAATAGTTCAAGCCAAGAATGGATGTAAGTACCTCGTCAATCTGGGAAGAAGTGTCAATGTTCCAGATAACCCTTCCTCATCTCCACTGTCTTTTTAGAGTATATATCCAAAAACAATAGTGCAAATGCATTTATTCTTCAAGTTTCCTCTGAGTCATCAAAAGTCTCCCTTCCATGCAGCTCAGCCAATCATGGAGGAGAAGGGGAGGCATTGGGAATGGAATGGTCCATTCAATAAGCTCTCCAAAAGAACGTCCTGTGCGGCACAAGGGTGCGGCTTGGGTTTGTCGATCCAACTTATCACTAGCTCTGGGACCTCTAGGTTTCAGCTTCTACATCTTCAGACTAGAGCAAATCCTATCTACCTCACATGGTTATGATGCAGATTAGAAACAAGGCCTGCATAAAACTCCTAGCAAGTGTTGAGTACACAGTGGGTACTCGTGAGTGGTGGATATTACCATGATTCAGAGGCCTGCTATTGACACTGAACCCCAGAGGACCAAGCTGCTCAGCAAGTGAGTGGTAGACGTCCTGTGACATTTTTAATTTTAATTCTTAGTTTTGAGACGGGGTGTCACTCTGTCACCCAGGCTGGAGTGCAATGGCAGGATCATGGCTCACTGCAGCCTTGAACTCCTGAGCTCAAGCGATCCTCCCACCTCGGCCCCCCAAGTAGCTGGGAATACAGGTGTGCACCACCATGCCTGGCTAATTTTTGTATTTTTTGTAGGGACAGGGATCTCGCTCTGTTGCCCAGGCTGGTCTCGAATTCCTGGCCTCAAGCCATCCTCCTACCTTGGTCTTCCAAAGTGCAGGGGTTACAGGTGTGAGCCACTGTCCCTGGCCAAGATATCCTGTTAAATGTGAAAAACTGTTTTTTTCTACTCACACAGAATGCTTCTGACACCAAATATGTGTGGGGATTTTCCTACACCAGCCAATGCTCGGACTCTCAGACACCAGCTGAGTGTCCTACAAGTCAGCTCAATTCTGACACCATCTCCCTGGAGTGAGGGTCAAATCTCACAAGCGAAGGGCCTTGTCCCACAAGACTGCCCCCCAATTCAGATGCCAGTTGCAGGTAGTGGGTGCCCAAGTTACACACACTTCTGTCCAACTTGGCTGCAAATCGGGGCCCACGAGCCTCTCCCAAGATTCGATCATTTGCTGCAATGGCTCACAGAACTCAAGGAAACACTTCTGTTGACAGGTTTATTAGAAAGGAGATGACAAAGGACACAGAGAACAGCCAGGCGAAGAGGCACAGAGGGCAAGCTCTGGAAGGGTCCCAAGCTCAAGAGTGCCTGTCCTCGAGGAGCTGGGGGTGCCACCATCCCAGCATGTGCACGTGTTTACCCACAGGGAAGCCCTCTGTCCTCCGAATGCTGGGGTTTTTTTTGTTTTTGTTTTATTTTGTTTTGTTTTTGAGACGGAGTCTCACTCTGTCACCCAGGCTGGGGTGCAATGGCGTGATCTCGGTTCTCTGCACCTCTGTCTCCCTGCAACCTCCGTCTCCCAGGTTCAAGTGATTCTCCTTCCTCAGCCTCCCGAGTAGCTGGGACTACAGGCACGCACCACCATGCCTGGCTAATTTTTATATTTTTGTTAGAGATGGGGTTTCACCATGTTGCCCAGGCTGGCCTCAAACTCCTGGCCTCAAGTGATCCGCCCACCTCAGCCTCCCAAAGTGCTGGGACTACAGGCACGCACCATCACCCCTGGCTAATTTTTGTATTTTTAGTAGAGATGGAGTTTCACCATGTTGCCCGGGCTGGTCTGGAACTCCTGACCTCAAGTGATCTGCCCTCCTCAGCCTCCCAAAGTGCTGGGATTACAGGTGTGAGCCACCGCGCCCTGCCTGAATGCTGTCTTTTAGGGAATTTTATGGAGGCTTCTTCACATAGCCATGATTGATTATTAACTCAATCTCCTTCCCGGGGGATGGGAGCCAGGGGAGAAAGTTCCAAGCTTCTAGTCATGGCTTGGTCTTTCTGGTGACCATCCCCATCCTGAAGCTACTCAGGAGCCCATCAGGAGTTGTCTTGTTAGAACAAAAGACACTCCTATAACCCAGGAAATTACAGGGAGTTTAGGAGCTCTGTGTCAGGAACCGGGATTAAAGACCAAATATTAGAACAAAGGATGTTCCTAGCACCCATATCAGCCAGGAAATTACGAGTGTTTTAGGAGCTCTGTGCCAGGAACCGGGGGCAGAGACCAAATATATATTTCTTATGTCACGCTGCTAAAGGCATTAACTACCGTGGAAGAAACCTGGCATCAAAACTGTGTTAGGAAAATACATTTCAGATGCTTCCATGAGCTGTCCTCAATCTTCCAAAAAGGGATCGTTCATGCCCAGAATACCACTTCTGATCCAACTGCAGAATTTATATGATATTGGCATTTCAAAGGAAATGAATAAATCTTCTTTGTTATATTACCTTTATTCTTAAATCATAGCAAACTCGTGATTTTATTTTCTTTGAAATTAACCTGGTTTTATATTCTTTGAAATTACGCTGAGATGCATGAATAACCAGCTCAGGGACAATGAAGAAACCACCCCTAGTGTAATTACAGCTCATAAACACGCAACTTACAGATGGCCTGTGTGCATGAACCTCCGGATGCTGGCTCCTCTAGACTCTGCACAGACAGGCAGGGCAGGAGGCAGTCCCGCCTACAGGGCTCTCTGTCTCCCAGTATAACAGCACTGTTTTATAGTGATTGCATTTGTTTAGATATTCTCACATCAGAGTGGGATGGATGTGGCCAGGTTCTGGGGGAAACATCACCACTTTGCCTGCCACTGGGCAGTTCAGCTGGACTAGTTAGTGGGCCATGGTGACCTTCGCTGCCCACGTAGATGAGCAAACTACAGGAAGAGACAACTCATAGAAGGTGAGAGCAAATGCCTGGCAATCACTAGGAGAAGTGAGAGTGATGGGCGTTCTTATACTGTTGGTGTAGCGTAAATCGGAACAACCATTCCAGGAAGTCATTTGGCAATATGTGTCAGGAGCCTCGAAAAGTTCATGATTGACAGCATCAGCTTTGGAGGCAGACTGAACCAGGTTACATTTTGGCCCCACTCTCATGGCTTTGAGCACTTTCAGCATGTTCCTCTACTTATTTGTGCTTCAGTTTTGTCATCTGTGCAATGGGAATGATAATACCTCCCTGATAGCAGTGTTATAAAAATTTATTGCAGTAACATTAAAAAAAAAATGCTTGGAGGCCGGGCACAGTGCCTCATATTTGTAATCTCGGAACTTTGGGAGGCTGAGGTGGGAGGATTGCTTGGGGCCAGGGGTTCAAGATGGCAGTGAGCTATGGTCGCACCACTGTACTCCAGCCTGGCCAACAGAGCAAGACCCTGTCTCCAAAAAAAAAAAAAAATGCTTAGAACATGGTGAGTACTCAAGAAATGTGATTAAAAATTCTAAGGAGCTATTGAGAAACAAGATCAAAGATTTATGCACAAGCATTCATTGCAGCATTGTTTAAAATAAAGAAAACTTGAAAAAAGAGACCCTAAATGTGGAACAGTGAAAAGATAATTATGGTTTACTCAAACAATGGGATATTGTGTTTCCATTAAATATAATCATTTTTGGCCGGGCGCAGTGGCTCATGCTTGTAATCCCAGCACTTTGGGAGGCCGAGGCAGGTGGATCACTTGTTTGAGACCAGCCTGGCCAACAGGGTGAAACCCCGTCTCCACTAAAAGTACAAAAATAGCTGGGCATGGTGGCGCATGCCTGTAATCCCAGCTACTGGGGAGGCTGAAGCAGGAGAATTGCTTGAACCCGGGAGGCGGAGGTTGCAGTGAGCCAAGATTGCACCATTGCACTCCAGCCTGGGCAAAGAAGTGAGACTCCATCTCAAAAAAAAAAAAAAATCATTTTTACCAAGCTTTCTTAATGATGTGAAAAATGTTTTTGAAACAATGCTAACCAAATAGAATAGAAACTAGGTTGATCACAGTATCTCAACTTTGTAAAAAAAATAAAAAAGAAGAAGAATGAAATTGTTCTAAATACTCCTATGTGTTGAAAGGCTATATATAACCAAAAGGTTAAAACACTGGCTAGGCCGAGCGCGGTGGCTCATGAGTGTGTAATCCCAACACTTTGGGAAGCCGAGGCGGGCAGATCACAAGGTCAGGAGATCAAGACCATCCTGGCTAACACCATGAAACCCGGTCTCTACTAAAATGCAAAAAATTAGCCGGGTGTGGTGGCGGGCGCCTGTAGTCCCAGCTACTCGGGAGGCTGAGGTGGGAGAATGGCGTGAACCCGGGAGATGGAGCTGGCAGTGAGCTGAGATCGCGCCACCGCACTCCAGCCTGGGCGACAGAGTGAGACTCCCTCTCAAAAACAAAACAAACAAACAAAAAAAACACTGGCTAGTAGGGTTATGGTGATTTTTATTTGCTTCTTTTTGTTTATCTAAATAGAAATACGTGCATGGTCATGATAGGAACTGCTTCCCAGTTAACACTTTTTGAAATTTTATTTTAAATGTATAGAAATAAATCTTGGAAGAAAATATGTCCAGATGTTACGTGGTAGAATTATTGGGGACTTTTTTTCCATTTCTTTAGGAATATTGGGAGATAACTAGCTTTCTCTGCCACGGACGGTAGGACGTGGCTGGGAAGAGAGGAGAAGGAAAATGCCCTTGGCAGGGGGCCTGAGGATGAATGCTGGTGCGAAGATAGGGATGAGAAAGGAAAAGGGGCTGGGCACAGTGGCTTACACCTGTAATCCTAGCACTTTGGGAGGATGAGGTGGGAGGATCACTTGAGGCCAGGAGTTCGAGACCAGCCTGGGCAACAGAGTGAGACCCCTGTCTCTAAAAAAGAAAAATTGAAAA
Organism: Homo sapiens; assembly: GCF_000001405.40. Classification (NCBI taxonomy): domain Eukaryota; kingdom Metazoa; phylum Chordata; class Mammalia; order Primates; family Hominidae; genus Homo; species Homo sapiens. Next base: position 23,124,615 of record NC_000018.10, on the reverse strand, counting down.
AATTAGCTGGGTGTAATTGTGGCACTTACCTATAGTCCCAGCTACACTGGAGGCTGATGCAGGAGAATCAATGAAGCCCAGGAGTTTGAGGCTGCAGTGAGCCATGATTTTACCACTGCATTACAGTCTGGGTGACAGAGTGAGATCCTGTCTTTAAAAAAAAAAAAAAGGGTGGGGCATGGTGGCTCATGTCTGTAATCCCAGCACTTTGGGAGGCCAAGGCGGGCAGATCACGAGGTCAGGAGTTCGAGACCAGCTTGGCCAACATGGTGAAACCCTGTCTCTACTAAAAATACAAAAATTAGCTGGGTGTGGTGGTGCATGCCTGTAATCCCAGCTACTCAGGAGGATGAGGCAGGAAAATTGCTTGAACCCGGGAGGCAGAGGTTGCAGTGAGCCAGGAATGCGCCATTGCACTCTAGCCTGGGTGATAAAGTGAGACTACATCTCAAAAAAAAAAAAAAAAAAAAAAGGGAAAGGGCTTTTTGGAGGTAGCTGACAATAATGAATGGACCTGCCAGGACAATTAGATTAAAAGGATTGTAGTGATGAATAACAGGAGATTAGTCGAAAAACTGTATCTCGGGCCAGATTACCAGGGCCTTGAATCTAAAATTTAAAAGTTGAACCTATAGGTACTAGAGAAGCATAGATGATTTTTAAACAAGAAGTTAACATGTTTGTCGAAAGTCAAAATGAAGAGGCATTAGTTTGGCAAATGTGCATAAAGGATTGAGGAGAAAGTCTAAAGGAGTGGAAAAGGTTTTTCTGATTCATTCCTCCATTTATGTATTTATTCATCTGACATTCATTGAGTGCCTACTCTGTGCCATGCTCTCTGCTAGGCACTAAGGGCAAGGCAAGGTTCCGGGTTTCAAAGAGTTAACAGCCTGCTGAGAAAATAAGACAAAGTGAACAAAGGGGACAACGGTGGGTTACCATTTATGTGCAAGCCCTGAAATGATCATTTCTTTTTTTTCTTTTAGAGACAGGATCTTGTTCTGTTGCCCAGGTTGGAGTACAGTGGTGTGATCATGGCTCAGTGCAGCCTCCAACTCCTGGGCTCAAGTGATCCTTCTGCCTTAGCCTCCCAAATAACTGAGACTACAGGTGTTCATCACCATGCCTGGCTAGTTTTATTTTTTTATTTTTTTGAGATGGAGTCTCGCTCTGTCACCCAGGCTGGAGTGCAGTGGCGTTGTGCAATATTGGCTCACTACAACCTCTGCCTCCCAAGTTCAAGCAATTCTCTTGCCTCAGTCTCCTGAGTAGGTGGGATTACAGGCACCCGCCACCATGCCCAGCTAACTTTTTTTTTTTTTTTTTTGAGACAGGGTCTCACTCTGTCACGCAGGCTGGAGTGCAGTGGTGCAATCTCGGCTCCCAGCAACCTCTGCCTCCTGGGTTCAAGCGATTCTCCTGCCTCAGCCTCCTGAGTAGCTGGGATCACAGGTGCCCGCCACCACGCCCAGCTAATTTTTGTATTTTTAGTAGAGATGAGGTTTTACCACGTTAGCCAGGCTGGCCTTGAACTCCTGACCTCAAGTGATCTGCCTGCCTCTGCCTCCAAAGTGCTGGGATTACAGGTGTGAGCCACTGTGCCCCGTGCCTGGCTAGTTTTAAACTTTTTTGTAGAGACAAGGGTCTTGCTAATCTTGACCCAAGCTGGTGACCCAGGCTGACCTTGAACTCCTGGCTTCAAGCTATCCTCCCACCTGGGCCTCCCAAAATGCTGGGATTACAGGCATGAGCCATCATGCCCAGCAAGTGGTCATTTCTGTCTACACAGTTTCATTGAACTCTCACCACAACCCTGCTGTTTATTCCATCTGACAGATAAAGAAACTGAACTCCGTGGAGTTAAGCCTCAGGTCACATGGCTGATCCCTGGATAGTTAACATCTGAGATGTTAGTGACTATGGACGGTGACTCCTGGGGACAAAGAAGCCCCACGGAGAGGGCAATATTTGAATTTAGATTCTAGTTTACATGTGAAACGGCATTTCAGGCCGTGCAGAGGCATTAACTTAGGACTCTATTACAACAATTCAGGCCCGAGACAATAAAACTTGGACTTGGCAGAGAAAATGGAAAAGAAGGGTCAAGTACCAGAGACATTATGAGGAAAAACTGATTTCCAGATCTCCAGTCTAGGGGGCAGCTGTAATTCCTGAAAAAACCAAAAGCACCCTAGGGAGGAAAGAACAGATTTGAGGGTAAAACGCTGGCTAAATTTGGGCCCGAATTCCTGTTCTACACCCTTACACGTGGGCGCCCAGTGAAGAGGGTAAGAAGTCCTCATTTTGTAAAAATCACAATTTCACTTGTATTTATCAGATTGAAAGAGAAGCAGGCTTTGAGTTTGTACTGACACAGTCTTCCAGTTTGGTGACACATAACTTCCAACAGTGAGTGGCTGAGAATGCCAGCCCCTGGAGCCCCAGACCTTGTCCATAATCACACTCCCTTTGCCCTCTGGGACACCATTCAGCTGCTGAACCAGCATCCTGGCCCACTTTTGTGATACACCTAAGAGAAGACTTTGGAGGCTGAACATGGTGGCTCACACCTGTAATCCCAGCACTTTGGGAGGCCGAGGCAGGCAGATCACTTGAGGTCAGGAGTTTGAGACCAGCCTGGGCAACATGGTGAAACTCCGTCTCTACTAAAAATACAAAAATCAACCGGGAGTGGTGGTGGCATGTGCCTGTAGTCCCAGCTACTCGAGAGGCTGAGGCAGGAAAATCACTTGAACCTGGGAGGTGGAGGTTGCAGCGAGCCGAGATCACATCACTGCACTCCAGCCTGGGTGTCAGAGTGAGACTCAGTCTCAAAAAATTTAAAAGAGAGAGAGAGAAGGCATCAGAGACATATCATTCCAGGATGAGGGGCATCTCAGCTACTTTCTAGGACTCTGATTGCAGGTGACAGAAACCGAAGTGAAAGCTTCAGGAGAACTCAAGGATGTAGGAGGGTCTCAAGGAACACAGAGATGGGAGTACACAGCCTGAGCCCCGGCACACCTGACAAACACGGACGTGGACACCTGGGAACTCTCTTTTTCTTGTCCCCCGACTTTCTCCCTATGCCTAAATCAGGCTCCCTCTGCAGGTTAGGTTCCTCTGCTTCTCTGGCCCATGGGGCAGGAAGTGTGGCCCCTGATGGATTCCCACCTTTGTAATTGACAGACATTGGACCCTCTTGGTTTCTTTTTCAGATTTACAAAGAAAGGCTGTGATTGGTAAAGTCTGTGTTGAGCAGGCCCTGGACCCGTAAGTGGGCGGGGTCTCAGCTAACAGGTATTCCCGCTGGGAAGCAGATGGATGGTGTGTGGTGGGGAATTCTCAGAAGGGAGCTGTGGGGGCAGATAAAACAACAGGGGTCGGCCGGGTGCGGTGGTTCATGCCTGTAATCCTAGCACTTTGGGAGACCAAGGCGGGCAGATTGCCTGAGCTCAGGAGTTCGAGACCAGTTTGGGCAACATGGTGAAACCTCATCTCTACTAAAATACAAAAAAAAAAAAAAAAAATAGCCAGGCGTGGCGGCGTGTGCCTGTAGTCCCAGCTACTCGGGAGGCTGAGGCAGGAGAATTGCTTGAACCCGGGAGGCAGAGGTTGCAGTGAGCCGAAATTGTGCCTCTGCACTCCAGCCTGGTGACAGAGTGAGACTCCGTCTCAAAAAACAAACAAACAAACAAACAAACAAAAAACCCTCAAAACATGTACTCATGGTTTGTTTTGTTCAGCCTGGCAATCCCAGCACCCAGACAGTGCTTGGCATAGAGTCAGGGCTTAGTAAACTTTCGATGGAATGAATTAATTAGAATATTTTTTAATCACTTCAGATAAAGAAGCAGCCTTTCTAAGTATAACATAGAACTCAGAAGCCAGAAAAACAAAAGTAAATTCAGCTACAAAAAGAAAAAATTACAAATAATTATATGGGGCAGAAAAACAAAATCAAAAGACAAATATTATGGGTGGGAAGAATTTGCAATTCATATCACAAAAATGTCTTCCCTTAATATTTAAAGAAATCCTAAATATTGATAAGAAAAAGCCAATAATACAATAGAAAAATGGGTGAATGATATGAAGGGTCAGTTCCCGGAATGTGAAATACAAAGACCCCTTGAATATAAAAGAGAGACTCCACCTCTTTCGTAATACAGGAAGAGCAAATAAACTCTAATGAGATACAGCTTTCACCCATCAGATTGGCAAAGGTCAGAAAGATTGGGAAAAAAACTATTGTTTACTGTGTATAGACTTAAGAGGCAAGGAAGGCTGGGCACAGTAGCTCACACCTGTAATCCCAGCACTTTGGGAGGTCAAGGCGGGCGGATTACCTGAGGTCAGGAGTTCGAGACCATTCTGACCTACATGGTGAAACCCCCCATCTCTACTAAAAATACAAAAAAATTAGCCGGGTGTGACGGCGGGCACCTGTAATCCCAGCTACTCGGGAGGCTGAGGTAGGAGAATCCCTTGAACCTGGCAGGTAGAGGTTGCATTGAGCCGAGAGCATGCCATTGCACTCCAGCCTGGGCGACAGAGCGAGACTTCATCTCAAAAGAAAACAAACAAGAGGCAAGGAAAGACCAGCTGAGATGGTATAGTATGGAAGATCTCTTCAGATGGCAAACGGACGATATGGTATATCTTGTGACCCACTTCTAGGAATTTACCCTGCACATATACTAGCACATAAAAATGAAGAACATTCGGGATCATATTTGTTGTAGTGTCATTAGTAATAGGAAGACATTGGAAATGGTCATCATAGGGCTGGTTAACAAATTCTGACAGATTCATACAATGAAATATTGTGCAGTCTCACTATGTTGCCCGTGTTGGACTTGAACTCCTGAGTTCACTGCAGCCTCAATTTCCTAAGCTCAACTGATCCTCCCATCTCGGCCTTCCAAGTAGCTGGGATTGCAGGCACCTGCCACTGTGCCTGGCTGGAATAATCTATGAATGTGTTATGGAAAGATCTCCAAGATGTAGTGTCATCTGAAAACAGCAATCTGTGGAGTAGTGCGTATTTCATGTTATCATTTGCATTTAAAAAAACCCCACATACATAGGTATTTACTTAGACTATATATAGAGTATCTCTTGGAGGGTACCCAAGAAAGTAGAAATAGTGGTTGCCTCTGGGGAGTGAAGCTGGGTGGCTGGAGAACAGAAATGTAAATTGTGTGTGTGTGTGTGTGTGTGTGTGTGTGTGTGTGTGTGTGTGTGTGACGGAGTCTCGCTCTTTCTCCCAGGCTGGAGTGCAGTGGCTCAATCTCGACTCCCTGCAACCTCTGCCTCCCGGGTTCAAGCGATTCTCCTGCCTCAGCCTCCAGAATAGCTAGGATTACAGGCGTGTGCCACCACACACAGCTAATTTTTGTATTTTTAGTAGAGACGGGGTTTCGCCATGTTGGCCAGGCTGGTCTTGAACTCCTGACCTCAAGTGATCCTCCTGCCTTGGCCTCCCAAAATGCTGGGATTACAAGGGTGAGCCTCTGTGCCCAGCCAGCCGAAATGTAAATTTTCATTCTAAACTTTTTTTTTTTTTTTTTTTTTTCTGAAGTGGAGTCTCACTCTGTCCCCAGGCTGGAGCGCAATGGCCCGGTCTTGGCTCACTGCAACCTCCGCCTCCCGGGTTCAAGCAATTCTCCTGCTTCAGCCTCCCAAGTAGCTGGGACTACAGGCACGTGCCACCACGCCCAGCTAATTTTTGTATTTTTAGTAGAGATGGGATTTCACTATGTTGCCCAGGCTGGTCTTGAACTCCTGACCTCATGATCCGCCCGCCTCGGCCTCCCAAAGTGCTGGGATTACAGGCATGAGCCACCACACCCGGCCTATTCTAAACTCTTACATGTTTTGAATTTTGTATCATGAGCTCGTGTTACCTTTCCAAATGATAAATGAAATTAAGAAAAATGTGTGTTACTTTAGCATTCTGCTCCATAATATATCCACTATTGATGTGATGTAAAAATAATGTTTTAAGTTATTTACCATTTACACTAATTGATTTTCCCTCCCCAATCTTTGAGTGCAATTAACATTCTAGAAAGACACTCCCCATTTATCCTGGGACAGTCTCCCAGGCACACCAGCAAGTATCCTCTTGCTGAAGAGAACACAAATGTTTGGCACATCAAGTAGCTGCTCCACAAATTCGAGTTCCTATCCTCCCTGGGAACAGAACCATTCCGGGACAGGACTTGGAGGGAACCCCTGCTCCATTGGCATGGGCAGGAGGCTGGGTGAGTGCCTAATGTCCCAAGCAGGGCCTTAGGAGGCATTATCCCATGAAATCCAAGGCTGCACAGGCTCCCTGCTCTTCATCATTAACAGCAGTGGCTTGTCAGGATGTGGCCCTGCCACCTTCCTGGACCCACCTTCCTGGATCTGTCTCTTACACTGTAGCCCTATGGAATTATCTCAGCTTGGCATCTTGGCACATTTCTTTGGCTGATTCTCCTTCTCGATTCTTCAAAACCCAGTTTAAACCACCTCTTCCCAGTGGAGTCTTCCAAGAGTCCCAGGGCTTCTTCGTGGCTCCACGGCTCCCACACTGCAGTCCTCCTCTCTTTGGCATTTGTTGCCTTGCATGGTGATCGCTGTCTGTCTCTGACTTTCCTGGGAATTCCTTGAGGACAAGGACTCTGTCTTATTCATCTTTAAATTCTTAGCCTACCCTAGTGCCTGGCACATAGTAGGTACTCAGAAAGAAGAAAGTATTTCTGAAATGCATGAACATACCAAGAGCTACGAGGTCCCATTTAGGGACTGACACATGCTACTGGGAAGTTCTGGGGAAGTCTCGTACATAGGTACATTTAATCTGAGCCTTAAAGAACAAATCCCACGGGGCACAGTGACTCATGCCTGTAATCCCAGCATTTTGGGAGGCCGAGGTGGGTGGATCACCTGAGGTCAGAAGTTCAAGACCAGCCAGGCCAACATGGTGAAACCCCGTCTCTACTAAAAATACAAAAATTAGCTGGGCATGGTGGTGCGTGCCTGTAATCCCAGCTAGTCAGGAGGCTGAGACGGGAATCGCTTGCACCTGGGAGGCAGAGGTTAGAGTGAGCCGAAATCACGCCACTGCACTAGCCTGGGTGACAGAATGAGACTCTGTCTGAAAAAAAAAAAAAAAAGGAAAGAAAGAAAGGAAGGAAGGAAGGAAAGAAAGAAAGAAAGACAAACCCTCACATACTGGACAAAAGGGAAAAGTAGGCATTTTAGGCAGAGAAAACAGTAGGCATTTTTTTTTTTGAGACGGGATCTCACTCTGTTGCCCAGGCTGGAGTGCAATGGCATGATCTCGGCTCACTGCAACCTCCACCTCCTGGGTTAAAGCGATTCTCCTGCCTCAGCCTCCTGAATAGCTAGAATTACAGGCACCTGCCATCATGCCTGGCTAATTTTTGTATTTTTAGTAGAGATGGGGTTTCACAATATTGATCAGGCTGGTCTCAAACTCCTGACCTTGTGATCCGCCTGCCTCGGCCACCCAAAGTGTTGAGATTACCGGCGTGAGCCACCGTGCCCGGCCCAAAAATGGCTTATCTTTAAGCATGAGAGGGGAGGGAGAGGAACCGGGGAGGCAGGTGGCACTTAGGTCACACAGCTTAGGAGACAAATGTTAATGGGTTGTTTGAAATTGGTTCAGGATGCAGGACAATTCTTTGTTGTGGGTGACTGCCTCACACACTGCAGGTCACCTGAGTCCCTGGCCTCACATAAATATTAACAGTGTCCCCCAACCATTATGACAACCACATATGCCCTTCACATGTCCACAAAGCTTCCTGTGGGTGGTGTCCCCTGGGTGTGGAGTACCACTCACCCCCATCCCTGCTGAGACCCACCAGCTTAGAAGAAGCCTGCAGGAGCTGGAGGATGAGACTGCAGTCCCGGAGCAGGATTCCAGGTGTGGAATCTATCAGTAAAGTCTAATCTGAGCAGTTTGGACTTGAAGGAGCTTGTTTATCCCAGAACCTAAGACTCAGAGAAACAGCCTGGGATTGAACACTGAAATTCCTCCCGCAACATGCCAGTGTGGAGCTGTGGAACCCTATGAGGTCGGTGGCCACCGGCACCTCTCTCCCTGCCAGGGGAGTGGCACCTGCCTAGTGGCCTGATGGGCCCCGTGGTAGTCTCTGCTGATTCTCAGGTTGGGGTGTGACAGGCAGTCCCTGAGCCATGTGTTATCCTTGAAGAGCAACTACTCCCAGGGGCAATGAATCTTAGAGGTTAAGAGTTAAACGTAGCGGCCGGGCACGGTGGCTCACACCCGTAATCCCAGCACTTTGGGAGGCCGAGGCAGGTGGATTACCTGAAGTCAGGAGTTCAAGATCAGCCTGGCCAACATGATGAAATCCCGCCTTTACTAAAAATACAAACAATTAGCTGGGTGTGATGGTGGGCATCTGTAATCCCAGCTACTCGGGAGGCTGAGTCAGGAGAATCGCTGGAGCCCAGAAGGCAGAGCTTGCAATGAGCCAAGATCATGCCACTGCACTCCAGCCTGGATAACAAGGGCAAAACTCCATCTCAAAAAAAAAAAAAAAAAAGAAGAAGTAAACATAGCAGCATGATTCACAACAGCCAAAACATGGGCACAACCCAAATGTCCATCCATAGATGAATGGATAAACAAAATGTGGTGTATACAAACGATGGAATGTAATTCAGCCTTAAGTAGGAAGGCAATTCTGACTCATACTACAACGTGGATGAACCCTGAGGACGTTACGCTCAGTGAAACAAGCCAGTCACCAAAGGACAAATAGTGTATGATTCACTCATGTGAGGTCCATGGAATCATCACGCTGTTAGAGACAGAATAGTGGTTGCCAGGGGCTTGGGGAAGGAGGGAATGAGGAGTTAGTGTTTAATGGGTACAGAGTTTCAGCTGGGGATATGAAAAAGTTCTAGAGATGGTTGGTGGTGATAGTTGCATACAATGTCAATGTACTTACTGCCACAGAACTATCCACTTAAAAATGGTTAAGATGGTCACTTTTATGTTATGTTTATATTGTCACTTAAAGAAAAAAAAAAAGCAACTGCTCGATGCAGAGACTAGAAGTCAAGCCCCGGCTCTGCTATTCACACCAGGGTGTGGTGGGTCTTGGCCAAGTTCATCTCTCTCGGACTCAGTGTCCCTGTGAAAGAGGGATCGTGACTATACTCTCCCCACAGTGGCAATGTGGGGAACTCTTGAGATCTGAGTATAAACCTGGGGGCACAGTGCCTGCCTGGCACATTGGGGGTACTCAGGAAGTGTGGTTATTATGGTGGTTACAGGTTTTACTATTTATTGCTTATAGAAGCAGCCCAAATGCTTCTATGGACTGTCTTTTCCCCTGCAGACACTCCCACAGAAGCATTTGGGGCACTGGCTTAACAGCAAGGTTACAGGTTAACTGACCATGAATGACTGAGATCTAGGACAGGGTGTGTGTAATCTCTCTGCGTCTTCCTGCTGGTTCAACATTCTCTCCTCCCACAAGAACCAGTTCCCAAGGGTACTCCACGCAACTTCACGTTGCCCTGCTTATCTGACCCCCAGAGGAACACTTCTTCCAGTGAAAACCTCCACAGTTCCCATTTAGACTCCTGCGGAGAGTTGCTCATTGCTGTTGACAGCAATAATAGTTCGTTTTCTTTTATTTTGATTAAATAATAGCTTGATTGGAAAGTGTTTCCCGGTGCAGCAATTAATAACTGGCTGGAGTTGCCAAGGCTGGAGGTAAGGCCAAAAGCACTTCACCCAGCTAGTCACTCATTACCCAGGAAATGTTAGACCTGGAGGCTATTCACTGCTGGTACAAACTCTGAAATTGGTAGGGAGAAAAAGGAAAAAAAGAAAAACAGCCTAAGCAATTTCCTTTTAGGTAATGAAAAGTTTAAAAATGGAGTAGCGTGTTGCCATAGCCACCATCTCTGGCTCTGGGCTGGCCTCCACGCTGGCATCCAGCGGACGGCATTTGACATGGTTTTCAGCAGAGGCAGCTGTGCCTCTTAAGTACCCATAATGAATATCTGCAGCTCCAGGCTCCCTCGGAAATCCTCAAGCCTTCACTTGTCACCTAATTTCCTCGGGAAGTGTTTCTAATTACACATTTCTTGCTGCCGGCTCCAGGTCAAGTCTTTTTGTACACAATATGCGAATTACATAAAACCACAAAACAGTGAGGGGACTCTGGAGTGATCAAAATTGCCATGTAGTTGTTTTAACTTAGTAGTTAAGCATCCGTGGGTGTAATAGGATGTCATTTGCATGAGCAAAAACAACATTAAAGGAACATCACGTGTTTCATTCTTGAGAACTCTTTGTAGGGGTCAGAACCCATTTCAGCAAGATATCTATATAACAATAGAATTTCCAACTCTAACACATGGACTGTTTATTTTAACTACAATAGCAGGGGCTTTGTAAAGAGAGACTTGTTTTGTACTGTTACCTGGGATCTGCCATTTAGGGACCTAAATGGCAGTTTTGTTTCCTGGAAGTGAAATAATCCTTATCTTTGGACTCTCTTAGTTTAGGAAATTCTCCAAGACGTAAAGCAACATTCACCAACTATTCTTAGAGAAAACTCTGAAATCTAGTTAAATTTATGTCCAGATGCTACTGTTTGGGTGTTAAGGTTTTTTTTAGAGTTGAGTAAATTGGAGGATTCTTTAGCTCTTAAAGAAGCGGCATAAATGGTTTTCTAAAAAAATGGGTTTTGACTGGACTGAGGCAACCCCCTCCCACACCGCAGTGTTTTGGAAGACTGAGCCTGTGCGGGATGGAGAGGTACGGGGGACTCTGGTTGTCTTCGTGGGGCCATGGAATTTTGCTCAAGTGAGCCCCCAGGCCATGCCCATGGACGTCCCAGAACCAGGGATGGCTGGTTCTGGCACCAGCTTGCAGCTGAGGCAAGACCTGTCCTGTCTTGAGGACATTATGCTAAGTGAAGTAAGCCAGTCATGGAAAGACAAATACACTGTGATTCCACTTGTATGAGGTACTTAGAGTCATCAGAATCATAGAGACAGAGTGGTGGTAGCCAGGGGCTGGGGGGAGGAGGGAAGGGGAGTTAGTGTTTAACGTACAATTTCAGTTTTACAAGATGAAAAGAGCTATGGAGATGGGTGGTAGTGATGGTTGCACAACAATGTGAATGTACTTAATGCCACTCAACTAACTGTACCTTAAAAATTGCTAAGATGGTGGCGGGCTCAGGGACTCACTCCTATAATCCCAGCACTTTGGGAGGCTGAGGTGTGCAGATCACCTGAGGTCAGGAATTTGAGACCAGCCTGGCGAACATGGTGAAACCCTGTCTCTACTAAAAATATAAAAATTAGCTAGGTGTGGTGGCTAATTAGCTAGTCCCAGCTACTCAGGAGGCTGAGGCAGGAGAATCGTTTGAACCCAGGAGGCGGAGGTTGCAGTGAGCTGAGATTGCACCACTGCACTCCAGCCTGGGCGACAGAGTGAGACTCTGTCTCACAAAATAAAATAAAAAATTGCTAAGATGGTAAATGTCATGCTATGTATATTTTACCACACAGACACATATACACACAATGGGGAAAGGAGAGAGGAACCTATCCTGACCCCATTCCCTAAGGAACTTCAGCAGGAAGTAGCAGTCACTGCAAGAAGTGTCTTTTGCTCCAGGTTTCCCTCTGCCCACTGACCCTCCTCCTCTCAGTCTCCAAATGTTGAGTGTCCCCAGGCCAGTCCAGGACTTCTCCTGTCTACACTCGCTTCCTAAGTATCTCATCCAATGACAAGGCTCTATGAGCTGTGACAGATTCTGTCTTCCAGAGTTGGTCCCAACAGTATCTCCCATTCTATAAGCTCTTCTCCAATATGACCTCCACACTCCTTCCACAGAGAGAAGGGGTCTTCAATCTAGGCAGACTTGTGACTCTCTTGTCACCAACAGAAGGGGGTAGAGATGATGCTATGTGACTTCCAAGGCTAGGTTAGGAAAGCTGCCATGTAAGTCGTCCAACTCCCAAAGGCTGCCATACTGGAAGGAAGCCCAACCCTCATGGGGAGGGCACTGTAAGTATCCCAGTTGACAGCCTGTGCTGAGGTTCCAGTGAATAACCAGCCATATCTGTGGGTAAAGATGCTTCCAGATGATTCCAGTCCCAGCTCTCATGTTGCCTCCAATCCTTGAGTCTTCCAAGCTAAAGTCCCAGAAACTGTGGAGTAGAGACTAACCATTTCTTCTGTGCCCTGCCCTGGATTCCCAGCCCACCAAACTGGTGGGCAAATGAAATAGCTGGTTTAAGCTAAGTTTGGGGTTGTTTTTTTTTTTTTTTTGAGACGGAGTCTCACTCTGTCACCAAGCTGGAGTGCAGTGGCGCGATCTCGGCTCACTGCAACCACTGCCTCCCCAGTTCAAGCAATTCTCCTGCCTTACCCTCCCAACTGGCTGGGACTACAGGCATGCGCCACCATGTCCAGCTAAGTTTTGTATTTTTTTTTTTTTTTGAGACAGAGTCTCGCTCTGTCACCCAGGCTGGAGTGCAGTGGCACGATCTTGGCTCACTGCAAGCTCCGCCTCTTGGGTTCACACCATTCTCCTGCCTCAGCCTCCCGAGTAGCTGGGACTACAGGTGCCCATGACCGCGCCCGGCTAATTTTCTGTACTTTCAGTAGAGACAGGGTTTCACCGTGTTAGCTAGGATGGTCTCGATCTCCTGACCTCGTGATCCACCCGCCTTGGCCTCCCAAAGTGCTGGGATTATAGGCGTAAGCCACCGTGCCCGGCCCAAGTTTTGTATTTTTAGTAGAGACGGAGATTTAAGAAGCTTCTCACAGAACTTGCTCAGGTGAAGCTGATCTTAAGCTGCTCATCTCTCAGGCATCCTCATCTCAGTAAGTGATTTCATCACTTATCTGATACCCAATTGCCCAGGCCAGAAATCTAGACATTGTCAGTAAGTTCTCTCTTTCCCTCACCCTCCATTCAGTCCATCAGCAAGTCCTGTGCCCTCCATCTTCAAAACATTTCCCATATAGGAGCACTTTTCACCTATGCCACGGGTTTAACCTTAATCCAAACCACATCATCTCTCTCCTGGACACTCTACAGAGTCCTCTCTGGTCTCCCTGCTTCCACTCCTGGTCTGCAGTTCCCTTCCCCACAATCAAGTCTCCAGAAGCCACAATGATCGTTTCAAGATGTCAGTTACATCACAAGCCCCAAGCCCTCCTTGCTTACCTGTCTGGTGATTGTCTGGGAATCTAGCTGGGGCTCTTGGTCAGAACATCCACATCTAGCTTCTCCGTGTGGCCTGGACTTCCTCACAATATGGTGGCTGGGTTCAGAGAAGAAGCATCCCAAGAGAAAGCAAGAGAGTCCCCCAGAACCACGTTGCTTTCTAGGACTGAGCCTCGGATGTCACTTCTGCCACATTCTATTGGTTGAGGCAGTTACAAAGTTCCACCCAAGTTCAAGGGGAGGGAACACAAACTCTACCTCTTAATGAGGCCTGCTAAGGTCACATTCTAAGAAAAGAATCTAGAGTGGAATATATATTCGTGCAGCCACCCTTGGAAAATACAATATACCACACCATCCAAAAAGATTTAATTCCATAAGTGACCAGGCGCAGTGGCTCATGCCTGTAATCCCAGCACTTTGGGAGGCCGAGGCTGGTGGATAGCCTGAGGTCAGGAGTTCGAGACCAGCCTGGCCAACATGGTGAAACCTCATCTCTACTACAACTACAAAAATTTGCCGGGCATGGTGGTGTGCACCTGTAGTCCCAGCTACTCAGGAGCTGAGGCAGGAGAATCGCTTGAACCCGAGAGTTTGGAGGTTGCAGTGAGCTGAGATTGCACCACTGCACTCCAGCCTGGGCAACAGAGTAAGACTCCATCTCAAACAAACAAAAGAAGATTTAACTCCATAAGAAAGAAAATCATCTATACACCAAAAAATATCACAAGGACAATATAAATGCAAAAGACAGGTTAAAGAAGCGCTAATTCCTCTTCTTTAGCTCCTCACTGAACTCCTCCTTTGGACATTGTGGGTTGATTTCAAGCTTCAAGGGTATTTGGCTGGTAACATCTTTTATAATCCTACAGGGACAGGAAGCCAAGAATGCTCTCTCCCTCAGCTCTACCTGTAAGGTTCACTTCAGATGCTCCTTTCCACAGCCCCTCCTCACCCCCTGTTACCAGCTACTCACCCCTTCTCCCTTAATTATTCACCTTTTAAAATCTTACCTCTCTTTAATCCCTCAAGTGTCAAGTTGTAGACCTTAAATATATACAATGCTTATATGTCAATAAAAAATTTTTTTTTCTTTTTAAAGAAGCTGGGTGTGGTGGCTCATGCTTGTAATCCCTCGTACTCAGGAGGCTGAGGTGGGAGGATGACTTGAGGCCAAGAGTTTGAGACCAGCCCAGGCAACACAGCAAAAACATCTTCGCTAAAAAAAAAAGACAGAGAGAGAGAGTATATTGAACTATAGATTTTTCAAAGGGCAGGGATTTTTTAAATTAATTACTGACCCCCTTCCTGCCCTGGTCCCATTACTGTTCACATGTATTAATTATTTAATATATGGTGGTGGAATTCACAAAGAAGTGATTGTGAACCAGGATCCAGCTCATCAATAGTTAATCCTGGAATATAGTAGGTGCTCAATTAAAACTTTTTTTTTTTTTTGAGATGGAGTCTTGCTCTGTCGCCCAGGCTGGAGTGCAGTGGCACGATCTTGGCTCATTGCAGTCTCCACCTCCCGGGTTCAAGCAATTCTCCTATCTCAGCCTCCTGAGTAGCTGGGATTACAAGTGCCTACCACCATGCCTGACTAATTTTTGTATTTCAGGAGAGATGGGGTTTAACCGCGATGCCCAGGCTGGTCTCGAACTCCTGACCTCAAGCAATCCACCCGCTTTGGCCTCCCAAAATGCTGGGATTACAGGCCTGAGACACTGCATGCTGCCTAAAACATGGTTTTTGTTTGGTTTGTTTGTTTTGAGAAAGAGTTTTGCTCTTGTTCCTTAGGCTGGAGTGCGATGGTGTGGTCTCGGTTCACTGCAACCTCTGCCTCCTGGGTTCAAGCTAGTCTCGTGCCTCAGCCTCCTAAGTAGCTGGGATTATAGGTGCCTGCTACCACAGCTGGCTAATTTTCATATTTTTAGTAGAGATGGGGTTTCACCGTGTTGGCCAGGCTGGTCTCGAACTCCTGACCTCACGCTATCCACCCACCTCGGCCTCCCACAGTGCTGGGATTATAGGCATGAGCCATCACGCCTGGCCCTAAAACAAGTTTTTAATGAATGGACTGCAATCCACCAAATACGAGACACTTATGGGAGAAGTAAGCCTAAGAGCTGATCCTTGCCTTCAGTTACTATTGACATCTTGTCCAACAACAGAAGAGCTGTTACAGGCAGTCAATGATTATAAGTTACTGATGACAGTCAGCAGGATTTAGAGAGACAGCTTTCCTAAGCATGGACAGGCAAAGTCAGAAAACATAAAGGAGAAGATTGATGGTTTCTATTGCATAAAAGTGAAACACTTTGGCTGGAAACGGTGGCTGACACCTGTAATCCCAGCACTTTGCAGGCCGAGGCAGTTGGATCGCCTGAGGTAGGGAGTTCGAGACCAGCCTGACCAACATGGAGCAACCCCATCTCTACTAAAAATATAAAATTAGCCAGGCGTGGTGGGGCATGCTTGTAATCCCAGCTACTCAGGAGGCTGAGGCAGGAGAATCACCTGAACCCAGGAGACAGAGGTTGCAGTGAGCCGAGATCGCCATTGTACTCCAGCCTGGGCAACAAGAATGAAACTCCGTCTCAAAAAAAAAAAAAAAAAAAGTTGCATGTCAGAAACCTTTAAAATTGGCATGCTCTGTGACCTGGCATTTCGACATTTTCAGATTCATGCCAAAGAATTTATTTCACAGGTCTGCCAAGATTTGTACACAAAGATGCTCCTTGAAGTATTGTTTTTAATAGCAGAAAATTGGAATTAATGTCTAGCCATTGGGACTGCTTAAATAGATCACTATAAAGCAACACTACATAGCCAACAACTATATAGCCATTTCAAATGCTGATACGAAATAACATTTAATGAAATGGAAGTATATTTACGTTATATAGCTAATTTTAAAAAATCAGATTCTCAAGCAAATGTACAATGTCATTTTTTCATCATATAGATATATACACACACATATACATATTCCATAAACATTAACTTGCAGATAAGCAGCCTAGAATGATTTATACCAAAATTTTAGAATTCTGAGTGATTTTATTTTTCTTGTCTCTTTTATGTGTTTTTAAACATTCCACACTCACTTATATTACTTTTTCTATTCAAGGAAAAAAATACCATTATTTCTCTTTAGTGGTGTGGAAGTTGGCCCTTAAATATAGATGGGAATGCCAGTTCGGCTGTTTCCTTTGAAAACATCTCAAGGCCCCAGGGGTGCACATTTACAACAGCCCGTTCTCTCCTGAGAGTAGAGGGAGGGTGGGAGGAATTTTGGTGAATGTCTGTACTTGCAATTCATCCTGCAGTTAATCTTTAAGACTGTGGGAATAGGTGCTTTGCGTTCCCTAGAACTGAAGCACATAGGTCTGGTTTGCCGTCCTTTTGTCTATATCACGTGGAAAGGTCTGGGCGTGGAGGCCTGCCTTAATCTAAATGCCACACCAGCCCCATCAGGGGCATTTCTGTTTCCTAAGTGATCCGACAGATGTGCTTTATTTTCTCCCATCAGAAATAAAGGGATGATATCATCAGTTCTATACACTGCACGTGGGGGTGGTGGAGAAGTGAATGACAGCATTCTGCAGGATAGAACCAGATGGGTGTGAGAAGCTGGATGGTAAGAGGGAAACAAAGTTTACTTATCTTCTTGATTTAGCTCTCAGTTTTATGAGGATACAGAAAAATCATGCGAAGAAACCTGATGGGAATAGTCTCTAACACTAAAAAATAAAGCAATGGGGCCGGGTACTGTGGCTCACGCCTGTAATCCCAGCACTTTGAGAGGCTGAGATGGGTGGATCTTGAGGTCAGGAGATCGAGACCTCTTGGCCAGCAAGGTGAAACCCCATCTCTACTAAAATACAAAAAATTAGCTGGGCATGGTGGCACGTGCCTGTAGTCCCAGCTACTTGGGAGGATGAGGCAGGGGAATTGCTTGAACCTCGGAGGCGGAGGTTGCAGTAAGCTGAGATCACGCCACTTCACTCCAGCCTGGCAACAGAGCAAGACTCTGTCTCAAAAAAAAAAAAAAAAAAAAAAGCAATGACTCAATCTTCAGGAATTCCTCTGACTCTATTTCCAAATATAATTCCTATATAAAACTACCCCCCTGCACTTTAGGGACCACTAAGCAACTGAATATTACAAGACAGAAAAAAGGAAGATTAACAATATGTGTTCAGATGCTTGCACCAAATATTAAACCTTGTCAGTTCACCATGGTTATACCCACGGGGGATCTGTGGGTATAAATAAAGACATTTCCTTCAACTTCAAGGTATTTGTTTTTTCCACTGTGCTATTTGCTAGAACCAAAAGATCAGGAAATGCTTCTAAATGCTCAAGTGTTTTAGCTGACTTTTTACAAGGTTTCCTTTGGATTCAGGAAGCTTTGAATGGCATAAATGGGCTCTGTGCAGATGCTTCTAGAAAGTTTATGTGTGCTCATCTCAGAGATTCCCAGAGAGTGGCTACCTCCACATCCCACCTCATGGGGCCCATGACCGATGACAATAACGTCAAAGGAGGCTGTAACTCTCTCTTAACTTTTTCAGGCTTGAAACCACAGAAAGCAATAAATTCAATGACACATATGATCGGCATCTTTCCCGTGCCAGCAGCCACGGCTGTGAGCCGCCAGGGACCCAGTTGTGTTAGAGACCTTGACCTCATAGAGTTGACAGCTGGGAGTGAGAATGGAGCTAAGGTGGGGACTGCTAACAGGCTTCTGGATATTTCTGTTCTTATTTTATTCTTGGATAAGATGACAGAGGAAAATGATTTTAAACAACCTGTTTGATAAAACCATTGGCGTATTTAATGGAATGCCCTCTACAAATGCTAAAGGGAAATTTAATAATCCCACAAAGTCTCCCAACTCTCTCCCTTTCTAAATACAGTTGCATGTCCTACAGCTACCCCACAAATCTCTCTCCTCTTTTCCTCCACAATCTCCCAAATTCACTCCCAACCCAGCCTCTGACTTCTCTCTCTCTCCTTTTTCTCATCCTTTTCCAGTGGATGGGTCCTTCTTCCTCCAGCAACTGTCTCTTCTTTCCCGTAAATCAAGTCAGGTCAATCTTGGCCCTTCTCATTTTCCTCCTTTCCTTCAACCGCACAAACGCAGGCACGGCATCTACCAAGAAAGACCGACTTCTCCTTATTCAGTGCGGGAACTCAGCCGGTTATATACAGTTAACTGGTTCCACAAATGCGCAACCTGAAGCAGAGAGGGCAAGGAACTTACCCAAGGCCACACAGCCTGGAAGTAGCAGAACCAGTCTTCAAACTTCCTGATTTCAAAGCTTGGGCTGTTTCCAAAGTGCAGGGGAGGCCCTCAGGGAGGGTTCTGGGTGGATGAGGAACAGAATTAAGTCCTGTTTACCGACCGCCATGTCCTCTCAGACTCAGGGGGCGGATCCGCTTCCACGCCCAAGACAGGAAACAGCCTTTCTCCCGGGAAGCTCCCTAAGGTCTGCGCCTCAGGAAAATTGTCCATCCCCATATCTTGGAAAAAAGCTTTCTTGCTCCCAGAGGCCTGCACAGGGGCGTCCACGCTGGCTTCCTGTGAATGGCGCCCCTGGAGTTGCGGGAGGCATTTTGCCCCTGGCTGCACAGTTCCTTTATTTCTCATGACGCTTTTTTGGAGGCCTTGAGGAGAAGAACTGCAGCATCTGCTCTTGGTTCACAGCCCTGCCGAGGTTCAAAGCCCACGGTTTCTCACTAACGCTTCAGGCAGGGCCAATCAATACCCTAAGCTTCAAACTCATGCTGTGTAAGGAACCTGTAAGAACTGACACCTCTGGGTTGCAGTGAGCCGAGGTCACGCCACTGCACTCCAGCCTAGGCGACAGAGGGAGACTCCGTTTCAAAAAAAAAAAAACTCCTCTGGTAGTTGCAGGTGTTTCAAAGGCTCTGAGAAAAGAGTGTCCCAAATATATACGTAAATACATGACCATCTTCTCAAGAAGTTACTGTTATGTAAAGTTCAAAAAACAACCACTTTAAGGGGAAATTGATGGGGTTCAGAACATGCTACCCTAAACTATGGCACCTTGGTATTTGAGAAAACAGCCCTGAAGACAGGCACACAGAAGAATCTAAACAAACAGGTCCTGCTGGGTTCCCTTCAGTTTATTCCCATTGGATCACATCCTTTTCCCTTCCAGTCCTATTTCTTTACAACTGTCCACTTTTCGTTAAACTAAAAGTAACAATGCACAAGTTTAACCATTTCTTTGGGTCTTAAATGCTGAAGGCTCCCGTGTCATGTAAAACTTACAATGAATTAAATTTGTATGCCTTTTCTCTCCCTCTTTTTCTTTTTTCTTTCTTTTTCTTTTCTTTTTTTTTTTTTTTTTGACACAGAATCTTGCTGTGTCACCCAGGCTGGAGTGCAGTGGCGTGATCTTGGCCCACTGCAATCTCTGCCTCCCGGGTTCAAGCAATTCTTGTGCCTCTACCTCCCGAGTAGCTGGGACTACAGGTACGTGTCACCGCGCCCAGCTAATTTTTGTATTTTTGGTAGACGGGGTTTCACCATGTTAGCCAGGCTGGTCTCGAACTCCTGACCTCAAGTGATCCGCCCGCCCTAGCCTGCCAAATCTTTTTGGGACGAAGTCTCACTCTGTCGCCCAGGCTGGAGTGCAGTGGTGCGATCTTGGCTCACTGCAACCTCCGCCTCCTGGGCTCAAGCAATTCTCCTGCTGCAGCCTCCCAAGTAGCTAGGATGACAGGTGTGCGCCACCACGCCTGGGTAAGCAAATAAATATATTTTTTTTCTTTTTTGGGACAGGGTGTCACTCTGTCACTCAGGCTGGAGTGCAGTGGTGCAATCATAGCTCACTGCAGTCTTGACCTCCTAGGCTCAAGCAGTCCTCCCACCGCAGTCCCTCAAATAGCTGGGATTATAAGTGTGTGCCACCATGCCCAGATGATTTTTTAAATTTTTTTGTAGAGATAGTGGTCTTATTATATTGTCCAGGCTAGTCTCAAACTCCTGGCCTCAAGTGACCCTCCCTCCTGATCCTCCTTCTTTGGCCTCCCAAAGTGCTGGGATCACAGGCATGAGTCACCATGCCTGGTTCCTTTTCTCTTGCTAATCTGTCTTTTGTATATAGGGGGTCTCATGTATGAACCTTGCAATGGGTAAAGAAAAGAAATCTGGCCAGGCACTGTGGCTCATGCCTGTAATCCCAGCACTTTGGGAGGCCGAGGCGGGCAGATCACCTGAGATCGGGGTTCCAGACCAGCCTGACCAACATGGAGAAACACTGTCTCTGCTAAAAATACAAAATTAGCTGGACGTGGTGGTGCATGCCTGTAATCCCAGCTACTCATGAGGCTGAGGCAGGAGAATCACTTGAACCCGGGAGGTGGAGGTTGCGGGGAGCCGAGATCACGCTATTGCCCCCCAGCCTAGGCAACAAGAGCGAAACTCCGTCTCAAAAAAAAGGAAAGAAATCTTCCCTCAGCTATAGAACCTATGAGGCATTTTGGTGAGTATGGGACAAAAGAACAGGAAGAGAAGAGACTTCAAAATGTCTGAAGAAACAATTCTGGGCTAGAGGGCACAGTGGCTTCTCCTCTCCCCCTGTCTAGATAGGCCTCCCTGGTTTTTCTGGGGCCTCCAGAGTCAGAACTCCACTTTCCCATGGCCAAACGTCCGCAGCCACTTCCTACCCTGCCCCCTGCCCCAGGTAGCTGGTGGCCAACGTGAAGGCCACCTACAGTAAGAAAAGTAGTCCTACATCTCTGGACCAAAGGAGGTTTTCGATGAGTGAAATTCCATGTGCTTGGGGTTTGAATAAGCCTGGACCTCCTAATTCATTTTTAATACTCATCTTTGATCTGCTTTTAGCTTAGTGACCAAACAATAGTCAACTGGTTCACCAAAACCAGAATGAACAGGTGCTTTCTGGAAGCCTCCTCCTAGGCTCTTAAAAAAATATAAATCAACAAAGTGTATATAACGTGAAAACATGATTTGACAACATATTCCCTAAACATAGGTGAAAATTTTGAAAAAATCAAAATAAGATTTTAGAAAGAAGCACATTTGCTTTAAATGAGTGACCCCAAGCACATAGAGTTATGAAACTCTATGTGCTTGGGGTTTGAATAAGCCTGAGCTTCATACTTCATTTTTCATACTTGTCTTTGATCTGCCTTTAGCATAACAATCAATCAACAAACTTTGGACTGACTACTTAAAGAACCATGGTGGGAGAAACCGCGCTAGATTCATTATCTCCCTACCAGAATTGCAGGGGGAAAAACAACATTCTTTCTAGCTTAGCGTTCAGAAGAAATCCCTTTATCAATTTATGTCAGTTTTAGCAATTTAGACTCTATTAAAATGTGGAGCAGCAAAAGACTGAAACCTCAGAATAAGGAGCTGGCCAGGCAGGGTGTCTCATCCCTGTAATCCCGGGACTTTAGAAGGCCAAGGTGGGCAGATAGCTTGAGCCCAGGAGTTCGAGACCAGCCTGGGCAACATGGTGAAACTCCATCTCTACAAAAAAAAAAAATTTTTTTTTTAAATTAGCTAGGTGCAGTGGCACGCCTGTAATCCCACCTATTCGGCAGGCTGAGGTGGGAGGATCACCTGAGCCTGGGAGGTCGAGGCCACAGCGAGCTGAGATTGCGCCACTGCATTCCAGCCTGGGTGACAGAGTGAGAATGTGTCTCAACAACAACAACAACAAATTTTTTTAAAAAAGAATAAAGAGCTGAGAACAGCCTTTCTAGAAACTCAAGAATTAGTATGCTAAAACGATGTGTCAAAACTGTGGTCTTTTTGTATTTTTAGTAGAGATGGGGTTTCACCATGTTGGCCAGGCTGGTCTCAAACTCTTGACCTCACGTGATCCACCCACCTCAGCCTCCCAAAGTGCTGGGATTACAGGCGTAAACCAAAGCGGGCGCCTGTAATCCCAGCTACTCAGGAGGCTAAGGCAGGAGAATCGCTTGAACCAGGGAGGCAGAAGTTGCAGTGAGCCAAGATTGCGCCATTGCACTTCAGCCTGGGAGACAAGAGCGAAACTCCGTCTCAAAACAAAACAAAACAAAACAAAAAAACCTGTGATCTTCCTAGAAACTCTCAAGAAAACCCTGTCTTCACAGGAACTGTCCAGTCGTTTCCCTTCAAGTGCTTGCGAGTGAACCCCAGAACATGAACAGCATCAACTGCTTTGTGTCTCTGGTTCCTTTTCCAGAGGAAAGCACGCTGTTGTTAGGAAGTGTCTGTATGTTGTGAGGTTCTTACAGCTTATCAAAAGCTCTTCATTAAGAGAAATGCGTGCCAGCAGGCATAGCAATAAAAAGCCTCAGATAGACAGACACACACCCTTCAGAAATTCAAACATTCATGCCTGTGTCAACAAGATTTCAGATAAGGACAAACCTAAGAATCCAAACATCATATTCTACTCGCCCTCACCTCACCTGCCTCTGCCTGCACTGTATTTTCATGCATTTTAATTTTCTTTTTTTTTTTTTTGAGACGGAGTCTCGCTCTGTCACCCAGGCTGGAGTGCAGAGGCGCGATCTCGGCTCACTGCAAGCTCCGCCTCCCGGGTTCATGCCATTCTCCTGCCTCAGCCTCCCGAGTAGCTGGGATTGCAGGCGCCCACCACCACGCCTGGTTAATTTTTTGTATTTTTAGTAGAGATGGGGTTTCACCATGTTAGCCAGGATGGTCTTGATCTCCTGACCTCGTGATCCACCCGCCTCGGCCTCTCAAAGTGCTGGGATTACAGGCATGAGCCACTGCACCATGGCTGCATTTTAATTATTATTATTATTATTATATTGAGACAGAGTTTCACTCTCGTTGCCCAGGCTGGATTGCAATGGCACAATCTCGGCTCTCTGCAACCTTCACCTCCTGTGTTCAAGCGATTCTTTTGTCTCAGACTTCTGAGTCTCTGGGATCACAGGCATGTACCATTGTGCCTGGCTAATTTTGTATTTTTAGTAGAGACGGCGTTTCTCCATGTTGGTCAGGCTGGTCTCGAACTCCTTACCTCAGGTGATCCTCTTGCCTTGGCCTCCCAAAGTGCTGGGGTTATAGGTATGAGCCACCGCGCCTGGCCTTCATGCATTTTTATTAGGTAGCCAATCATCATCCCGATTTGTATCTACTTTGGCATTGCCCTAGGAAATACAGTTTCTAATTTGTAGAATAAAAACATTTTTCGTGTATTACTGGACTGTGAATTGCAATAACTTAATTAAGGTATAAAAGATCTATGATAGCCGGGCACAGTGGCTCACACCTATAATCCCAGCACTTTGGGAGGCCAAGGTGGGCAGATCACTTGAGGTCAGGAGTTCAAGACCAGCCTGGCCAACATGGTGAAACCCCGTCTCTACTAAAAATACAAAAATTAGCTGGGTGTGGTGGCATGTGCCTGTAATCCCAGCTATTTGGGAGGCTGAGGCAGGAGAATTGGGAGGCTGAGGCAGGAGAATTGCTTGAACCTGGGAGGTGGAGGTTGCAGTGAGCCAACCAAGATCTCACCACTGCACTCCGGTATGGGCAACAGAGCAAGACTGTCTCCAAAAAAAAAAAAAAAAAAAAAAAAGGCTGGGCACGGTGGCTCACGCCTGTAATCCCAGCACTTTGGGAGGCTGAGGTGGGCAGATCACGAGGTCAGGAAATCAAGACCACAGTGAAACCCCGTCTCTACTAAAATACAAAAAATTAGCCAGGCGTGGTGGCGGGCGCCTGTAGTCCCAGCTACTCGGGAGGCTGAGGCAGGAGAATGGTGTGAACCCGGGATGGGGAGCTTGCAGTGAGCCGAGATTGCACTACTGCACTCCAGCCTGGGTGACAGAGGGAGACTCCGTCTCAAAAAAAAAATAATAAAAATAAAAAAATAAAAAGAGAAAAATATCTATCATATGTAGTTTTTAAAAATCACATTTGGAATGAACATACTGATTTACTTTAGGCGCCATGAATATTTTGACCCCAATGTTTACATGAATTACACGGCAGGTTTATCTTGATCATGGGTCTTATCATGACTCCTGCAGATTTATTGACTCTTGGCGGAGCTGATGGATCAATTCTTTTAAAGTTGACTTCAGAGACCACACTACTACTGATTCACTTCTAATGTTTTGGTGAATATGATTCAAAAATATTCCAGTCTATCATTCATGATGTATTTAAGTGAATCTCTATTATGTTTGGTAACAATTTTTAGAAAAGAAAAAAATGAATAAATAAAAAGGAATTTATCAAAGTACAGGGAGAAAAAGAGAAAATTTTAGACAAACTTTTCCCTTGGATTTGGTTACTTGAAAGCACCCAAGCCTATGAATTTGGTTCCTTCTCCACATAAAATAGCCGCTCTCATTCCCCTTCTTAGGAACAAGTCTGGGTTGTTTGCCCAAGGGTGGCTGGTGACCGTTCCTTGTATTAGGCCAAGACATTGGTAGCCTTTGGTCAAAAGAGCTGGGCGGGGAACTGAGGCCAGAGTACACGGAAACCCAGTGCTTGAACAGCAGTGAGTCAGAAGTGGGTAAACTACAGAAGTTGAGGGCCCAGAAATACCAGAGTGCTAAGCAAAGACAGGAAGGCAGAGTCCAGGCACCTGTCAGCTAAGGCACTTGGTTAGAGTTGAAGCACTAAATCAAGACACGGTCAAACAGCCAGGCATGGTGGCTCATGCCTGTAATCCCAGCACTTTGAGAGGCCAAGGCAAGAGGATGGCAATTTGGGAAGCTGAGGCAGGAGGATCTCTTAAGCCGGGGGCAATATAGGAAGATCCTTTCTCTACAAAAAATAAATTTAAAAAATTATTAATAGCTGGGTAGGGTGGCACGTGCCTGTAGTCCTAGCTACCCAGGATGCTAAGGTGGGAGGATTGCTTAAGTCCAGAAGGTTGAGATTGTAGTGAGCCATGTTCACACCATTGCACTCCAGCCTAGGCAACAGAGTGAGACCCTGTTTCAAAAACAAACAAACAAACAAACAAAAACGGCTGGGCATGGTGGCTCATGCCTGTAATCTCAGTACTTTGGGAGGCCAAGGCAGGTGGATCATGAGGTTAGGAGTTCAAGACCAGCCTGGCCAAGATGGTGAAACCTGGTCTCAAAATACAAAAATTAGCCGGGCGTGGTGGCAAGCGCCTGTAATCCCAGCTACTCAGAAGGCTGAGGCAGAGAATTGGTTGAACCAGGAGGCGGAGGCTGCAGTGAGCCGAGATCGTGCCATTGCACTCCAGCCTGGGTGACAGTGCGAGGCTCCATCTCAAAAAAAAAAAAAAAAAGAATGTGGCCTTTGCTCATTTGACTTCCCTCAGTTCTGCACCTTCCACTAATGCACATTCTCTTTTTTCCATGCTTATTCAAGACCTGCTGCTGTTATAAAGTGATGGCCACACTCTGTGTTTCACAAAACTGACCCTCGGCCACAACTGTTCTCCCTTTTTTTTTTTATTTACACTATGTATCATCTGTAAAACTCATTTAGGACTTAACCTCATGATACCTTTTTACGTTGTTGGAACTGCTGTTCCATGTGTCTTGCTTCTCCAAGCCAGACTATAAGCTCCTTGAGGGTAGAGCCTGACCAACAGGAAGAGAGGCCACATTTCCAGGGGTCAGGCTTGCTCACCCAGGATGGACCCTCTGGCCTGCGGTTTGTTACGTTTTCCTGAATAGAGACAGGATTGTTCCCAGAGTCTGAGGTGGGGGTTGAATCTTCAGGGTTAAGTGGTCCCAGTATAGCCTAGTTGGGGAGTATGGGCATAAGTTCCCGGTGGTGCTTTCTGACTATATACCCTCTTACCATTTTGTTCTCCAATTCTCTTTTAATTTTTATTTATTTACTTTTTTTTGAGACGGAGTCTTGCTCTGTCACCCAGGCTGGAGTGCAATGGTACGACGTCAGCTCACTGCAACCTCCACCTCCCAGGTTCAAGCGATTCTCCCACCTCAGACTCCCGAGTAGCTGAGATTACAGGCACCCGTCATCATGCCCAGCTAATTTTTGTATTTTTGAGGAGATGGGGTTCCACCATGTTGGCCAGGCTGGTATTGAACTCCTGAACTCAGGTGATCCACCTGCCTCGGCCTCCCAAATTGCCGGGATTACAGGTGTGAGCCACTGTGACTGGCCTCCAATTCTCTCTATTTTTTTTTTGTTTGTTTGTTTGAGACGGAGTTTTGCTCTTGTTGCCCAGGCTGGAGTACAGTGGCACAATCTCAGCTCACTGGAACCTCTGCCTCCCGGGTTCAAGCAATTCTCCTGCCTCAGCCTCCCAAGTAGCTGGGACTACAGGTGTGCACCACCATGCCCAGCTGCTTTTTGTATTTTTAGTAAAGATGGGGTTTCACCGTGTTAGCCAGGATGTTCTCGATCTCCTGACCTCGTGATCCACCCGTCTCGGCCTCCCAAAGTGTTGGGATTACAGGCGTGAGCTACCGTGCCCGGCTTTTATTTTATTTTATTTTATTTTTAGACGGAGTCTCGCTCAGTCACCCAGGCTGGAGTGCAGGGATGCGATCTCGGCTCACTGTGACCACCGTCTCCCAGGTTCAAGTGCTTTGCCTGTCTTAGCCTCCTGAGTAGCTGGGATTACAGGCGCCCACCATCATGCCCAGCTAATTTTTATATTTTAGTAGAAACAGGGTTTCACCATGTTGGCCAGGCTGGTCTTGAACTCCTGACCTCAGGTGATTTGCCTGCCTCGGCCTCCCAAAGTGCTGGGATTACAGGCGTAGGCCACCGCACCCGGCCAATGCCTTGACTCTTGAATCTTGACAAGCCTCTACTCAGCCCATTTTTGGCTTTCTTGACCTACTTTTTTTTCTTTTTCCTTTTTTTCTTTTTCTTTTTTTTTCTTTTTTCTTTTTTCTTTTTTTTTTTTTTTTTTGAGACAGGGTCTCACTCAGTTGGCCAGGCTAGAATGCAGTGGCGTGCTCATAGTTCACTGCAGCCTCGACCTTCTGGGCTCAAATGATCCTCTTGCCTTGACCTCCCAAAGCACTGGGATTATAGGCATGAGGGACCCCAGTGCCCAGCCTCTCGATCCACTTATTCATCTTTTGTTTTTGAGAGGGAGTCTTGCTCTGTCACCCAGGCTGAAGTGTGGTGATGCAATCCCAGCTCACTGCAACCTCTGCCTTCTGGGTTCAAGTGATTCTCCTGCCTCAGCCTCCTGAGTAGCTGGGATTACAGGCACCTGCCACCACGCCCAGCTCATTTTTGTATTTTAGTAGAGACAGGGTTTCTCCATGTTGGCCAGGCTCGTCTCGAACTCCTGACCTCAAGCGACCTGCCTGCCTCGGCCTCCCAAAGTGCTGGGATTACAGGTGTGAGCCACCGCGCCTGGCCTATTATTCATCCTTTACTGTGCATCCTCCCTGTGCATGGAGCATCTGCTTTTAAGATCAGGTGAACAGATGGGCTCCCCCCGCGGCTACCTTGGCACTTTGGTTTTCTTACATCTGTACTGTTCAGCTGGGGCATTGCTGGCATCGGGGCCAAAGGGGGGGCAGTTCTATGTCCTTGGATTAAAGGACTTTTAACATCCCTGGTTCCCTCCACTCACTGAGAACCAACATCGCCACCCATGAGTACGACAAGCAAAAATGTCCCCATAAATGTCCATATGGGCCCTAGGGAAGGTGAACCACACCCAGCCGAGTCACCTGCTCTTAATGCTGCCTCCCCGCCCTGCTCCCCAAAATACACACACACTTTCTCCCTAAAGGGGATTGCTTGTGCTCTTATCAATAGACAGTTTCTTTTTTGAAAGCTTGTCATGTCTTTAAGTCATTCTTCCTTTTAGCATTTTTGTTTTGCCTTAGAATGAGTATTACACTAAAAAATATTTTGTTTTGTTTCATTTTACTTAGTTTTTGTTTTTGTTTTTTGAGACTGGGTCCTGCTCTGTCACCCAGGCTGGAGTACAGTGGTGCAAGCAATGCTCACTGCAACCTCAGCCTCCTGGCCTCAAGCAATCTTCCTGCCTCAGCTTCCTGAGTAGCTGGGACTACAGGTGAGTGCCAACAAGCCTGGCTAATTTTTATGTTTTTTTATTTTTTATTTTTTATGGAGATGGGGTTTCACCATGTTGCCCAGGCTGGTTTCAAACTCCCGAGCTAAAGCGATCTTCCCACCTCAGCTTCCCAAAGTGCTGGAATTACAGGCGTGAGCCACTGCACCCTGCCGCATTTTACTTGCCATTATGGGAAATGTCAAACATACACACAAATAAAGACAGTAATATAATGGACTCCTGTGAATCTATCAACTGGTTTCAACAATGATCAACTCATAGACAATCCTGTTTGTCTTTTCCCTTCTTTCTTTCTTATTTTTTTATTAGAGACAGATCTCACTATGTTGCCTGAGTTAGAGTGCAGTGGCTTCTGACTGGCACAATCACAGCGCACTGCAGCCTCGAACTCCTGGGCTCAAGGGATGCTCTTGCCTCAGCCTCCCAAGTAGCTGGGACCACAGGTGTGCACCACCAGACCGGCTGACAATCCTGTTTTCTCTATACTCCCACCTAGCTATCCTCAGCTCCTTTTCTGCTGCCACTAATTTTGAAGCAAATGATAGACATTGTATCATCAAATGCATGTACCTTTTGGATAAACTTTCTGATATCTTTTTGGTTTGTTTGTTTTTTTAGACAGAATGTTGCTCTCTCGCCCCCTCTGGAGTGCAGTGGCGCAATCTCCACCTTCCAGTGCTGCTCACTCACAACCTCTGCCTCTCAGACTCAAGCAATCCTCCCATCTCAGCCTCCAAAATAGCTGGGACTATAGGTGTGCACCACTACACCTGACTAATTTTGGTATTTTTCGTAGAGACGGGGTTTCGCCATGTTGCCCAGGCTGGTCTTGAACTGCTGGCCTCAAGCCCTCCTCCCGCCTCAGCCTCCCAAAGTGCTGGGATTACAGGCAGGAGCCACTGCGCCCAGCCGAACTTTCTGATATCTTTTTTAAATCAACAAAGGTTAAGGTGAAGCACTTAACCCTTCCTTACTTTCTTTACTTGCTTAACAGTCTAGACCCCTCCCTTCCATATCACCCACACCTGCCTCCTGGGTTGCCAGACTTGACTCCAGGGTTGGAGCC
Source organism: Homo sapiens (assembly GCF_000001405.40). Taxonomy (NCBI): domain Eukaryota; kingdom Metazoa; phylum Chordata; class Mammalia; order Primates; family Hominidae; genus Homo; species Homo sapiens. The sequence continues at coordinate 23,095,234 of NC_000018.10, read as the reverse complement.
ACCTTCCTTTTTTCCTTTACCTTCTGACAAAAATGCTAGGACAAGTTCAGGATTTACCAGATGCTCTGTGTTTTTGGCAGAAGGAGACTTTCAGCAGCTGTTTGGATCATGCAAGTTTTGTTACTATTCTGTGTTTCATCTGTGCTAGTTTGGTGATCTATATGAGGCAATTGGCATTCACATCTCTCTCGGGTGGAGCGAAATATAGTTTAACACCACCCGAATAGCACGTCTGTTTCCACCCCTCCTCGGGTTCCCTGGAAAGCTGTCTCCCAGGCTGGGAGCTCTGAGTCCATGATTTCACCAATCCTCCCGTTTCCTTGCCTGTCTTGCAGATTGGAAAAAAAGATATGTCCTTCTGCTGATGAACTGATGGGAGTTACAGTTCCCATCCCAGTACTTAAGGAAACCAAAGAGATGGCTTTTCAATTTTGTCTGTAGAACTATTTTGCAAATGAGGAGAAAATGTGTTGGGTCGGTTGATGGCTGAGTGCTAATATGCGCAGAAGATTGAAACACTGGGCTCTGCCGGATGGGTTCTTAAAGGATTAGCATGATCAAGTCGGGCGTCCTACTTTCTTCCTTCCTCCCCCTCCCTGGGGTGCCTTTGCTGGCTATTCGATTGCCTGCTGGTTAGAACTGACTGACCCTGCTGACTTTGGGGCAGCTCTCTGAAAACAAATTGATGAACCGTATCAACACTAAGCCTGACCCGAAGCGGTGCCAAGAGCCAAGCCATTGATGCCGAGGGTCCCTGGCTCTTCAGTTTACGCTGGGAGCCGTGACCTTGACCTGGATTGCAGTTTTTGAGCCAGTTCTCTCCATGAATCATAGCCCTTCTCTCTTTTTTCCTCCCAAATGTAACTCCCCTCTGGCTCTACCTCTAGATGGGTGTTTAAAAAGAGTGTAGACTTGAGTGAAGAAGAAACAGACTGGATGACCCCTGGATACTCAAGCTGCACATGGCTCCTGTGGAAAGAAGGAGATGTTCAATGCTCATAGGTAGCACCCCAAAGGAATGCTTAGATCCTTCTATTCAATTAGCAGGTGACCTGTTGTTTACAAACATCTCAGCAGAAGAGTCTTCTATCCAAATTCCACTCCTAAAAAGGGACATAATTTTCACTGCTTTATCTTCCTTTGTACTTGTAACATGAACCCCAGATTAGAAGGTGCAGTGGTAGGCTGGGCACAGTGTCTCACGCCTGTAATCCCAACACTCTGGGAGGCCGAGGCGGGCAGATCACCTGAGGTCGGGATCACGGCACTGCACTCTAGCCTGGAACATGAGAGCAAAACTCTGTCTCAAAAAAAAAGGGGGGGTGCTGGGCACCGTGGCTCACGCCTGTAATCCCAACACTCTGGGAGGCTGAGGCAGGTTGATCACAAGGTCAGGAGATCGAGGCCATTCGGGCTAACATGGTGAAACCCTGTCTCTACTAAAAATACAAAAAAATTAGCCAGGCATGGTGGCAGGCACCTGTAGTCCCAGCTACTCGGGAGGCTGAGGCAGGAGAATGGCGTGAACCCGGGAGGTGGAGCTTGCAGTGAGCCGAGATCACGCCACGGCACTCCAGCCTGGGCAACAGAGTGAGACTCCGTCTGAAAAAAAAAATAAATTAGCTGGGCATGGTGGTACACGCCTGTCGTCCCAGCTATTTGGGAGTAAGGAGGGAGGATTGCTTGAGCCCAGGAGTTTGAGAATGCAGTGAGCTATGATCGTGCCACTGCACTCCAGCCTAGGTGACAGAGTGAGACTCTGTCTCAAAATAAACACACACACACACACACACACACACACACACGAGAGGACCAATCCCACTCCAAATCATTGATGCCTACTACAAAAATACAAAAGGTCACAAGAAAACCAATGGGTAGGCCGGGTGCGGTGACTCATGCCTGTAATCCCAGCACTTTGAGAGGCCGACGGGGTCAGATCACCTGAGGTCAGGAGTTCGAGATCAGTCTGGCCAACATGGTGAAACCCTGTCTCTACTAAAAATACAAAAAATTAGCCAGATGTGATGGTAGGCGCCTGTAATCCCAGCTACTCGGGAGGCTGTGGCAGGAGAATCGCTTGAACCCAGGAGGCAGAGGTTGCAGTGAGCCGAGATTGCGCCATTGCACTCCAGCCTGGGTAACAAGAGAAAAACTCTGTCTCAAAAGAAAAAGAAAAAGAAAACCAATGGGTATCCCAAATAAATCAAAACAGATACCTAATCACAGCCTTCTGTGGAATTCATAACTCATCACTCACATAACAGGGATTTCCTTTTCTTTCTTTCTTTCTTTTTTGAGATGGAGTCTCACTCTGTCACCCAGGCTGGAGTGCAGTGACGCAATCTCAGCTCACTGCAACCTCCACTTCCCAGGTTCAAGTGATTCTCCTGCCTCAGCCTCCTGAGTAACTGGGATTACAGGCACCCGCCACTATGCCCAGCTAATTTTTGTATTTTTAGTAGAGATGAGGTTTCACCATGTTGGCCAGGCTGGTCTCAAACTCCTAACCTCAGGCGACCCACCCACCTCGGCCTCCCAAAGTGCTGGGATCACAAGTGTGAGCCACCGTGCCCAGCCAACATAACAGGGATTTCTAAGTGTGATGGTTAATTTTAGGTGTCAACTTGAATGAATTGAGAAATATCTAGAGAGGTGGTAAACCATCATTTTGGATGTGTTGGTGAGGTGTTTCCAGAGGAGACTGGATTGTGATTTGGTGAACTGAGCAGGGAAGATCTGCTCTCAGTGTGGGCAGGCAACGTTCAATCGACTGGTGGACCACAGAGAATAGAAAGACAGAGGGAAGGCAGAGTCTCATGCTCTCTCCTGGAGCTGGGACGGCCTTCTCCTCTTGCCCTTGGACAGCAGGACTCCAGGCTCCCTGGCCTTTGGACTCCGGGACTTACACCAGCATCCTCCTCCACCAGCCCCGAGTTCGCAGGGCTTTGGCCACGGACTGAGAGTTATACCATTGGCTTCCCCAGTTCTGAGGCTTCGAACTTGGGCAAAGCCACACTACCATCATCCCCGGGTCTCCAGCTTCCAGATGGCCTGTCATGGGACTTCTCAGCTTCCATAATCACATGAGCCAATTCCCCTCATAAATCCCCTCTCATGTCTCTATATATCCTATTGGATCCATCTATCTGGAGAACACTGACTCATCTAAAGCATCTTAAAAATAAGAATATATATATATATATATATATTTTAAAAAGGAATATATATGTGTACACACACACACACACACACACACACACACACACACATATATATATATTTTTTTTTTTTTTTGAGACAGGATCTTGCTCTGCCACCCAGGCTGGAGTGCAGTGGCGCCATTATGGCTCACTGCAGCCTTGACCTCCTGGGCTCAAGCAATACCCCTGCCTTGGCCTCCTGAGTAGCTGGGACTACAGGCACGTGCCACCAAAACTGGCTAAAAATATACACATATTCTTAAAAATGATTATTCAGCCATGACTTGCAATTTATAAAGAACAAGAACAAAGCTTATCTTTAAAATAATCATTTTATTAATCGTCCATTGCCACTCCTTTGGTCAGAGTTTCTCTAGGTGGTAGCTGCTTTTCTCACTCCTATTCTTTAATATAGCAAAAGAAGAAGCCTTCAAATGAAGTTAATATGAAACCAGAGACAGTGAAGAGAGAGAACCAGAGGTTGAGAAGAGGAAATACCAGCTTCTTTCGGGATGATGTTACTTCCTTTTTCAAGACAAAAAAAAAAAAAACAGTCTTTTCATGTTGGATTGTCAAGGCATAAATTGTAGTGTGGTTCCTAAATGTCTGACAATAGGGAAATCATTTAATAAATTATAGTACTGTCAAACAATGAAGTATCATGAGCCAATTAAAATGAATTTTTTAGGTTGGGTGCAGTGGCTCACGCCTGTAATCCCAGCACTTTGACAGGCTGAGGCAGGTGGATTGCTTGAGGTCAGGAGTTTGAGTCCAGCCTGGCCAACATGGTGAAACTCCGTCTCTACTAAAAATACAAAAGTTAGCTGGGTGTGGTGGTGCGTGCTTGTAATCCCAGCTACTCAAGAGGCTGAGGCAGGAGACTCTTTAACCTGGGAGGCGGAGGTTGCAGTGAGCTGAGATGGCACCAGGGCTCTCCAGCCTGGGCAACAGAGACTCTGTCTCAAAATAATAATAATAGTAATAATAATAATAAGTTTTTAATGGGCAACATTTTAGTGTGGAGAAATCCATAAGATAAAGTGATAAATGATAAAAATCAGAATATAAAACTATGTGTGATATGATTACAAGGTTGTTTTATACACACACACAAGATAGGCATTGCAGTATTAACAGAGGTTATCATCAGATGTTGAAGTTATGGCTTTAAAAACATGAATTATTATACTTTTTATTTTCCAAATATTTATATGGGCATTTATTATTTTTATAATAAAAGTTGGATATAAAATAATAAAGGGTTTTCATATTGTGGTTGAACTGTAAATGAGAGTTACTGAAGATTAGAGTTTCCAAAAATAAACATGTGGTTTTAATAGTCCTGTCTCATTGTGAATAGAAATACAATTTTTCGGCCGGGCGCGGTGGCTCACGCCTGGAATCCCAACACACTGGGAGGCTGAGGTGGGTGGATCACGAGGTCAGGAGTTCAAGACCAGTCCGGCCAACATGGTGAAAACCCGTCTCTACTAAAAATACAAAAATTAGCCGGTCGTTGTGGTGCGTGCCTATAATCCCAGCTACTTGGGAAGCTGAGACAGGAGAATTTCTTGAACCCGGGAGGGGGAGGTTGCAGTGAGCTGAGATCATGCCACTGCACTCCAGCTTGGGTGACAGAGCAAGACTCCGTCTTGGAAAAAAAAGAAGAAGAAGAAATACAGATTTTCTATGTTGTTTTCCCTTATCCTAGGTGCTTTTTAGCAGATTCCTATTGCACTAAGTGGTTCAGATCTTCTTAGCATGTACAGAATTTTTCAGGAGTTAGTGTTAAATGTTTTGGGCAAATGACTTTCAGACAACTGGGGCTCAGCCTAGCAAAGGAATCCTGCAGTACACTAAGAGTTTCCTTCTAATTTAAAGGAGATTCTTCTTTCTTTCTTTCTTTCTTTCTTTCTTTCTTTCTTTCTTTCTTTCTTTCTTTCTCTTTCTTTCTTTCCTTTCTTTCTTTCTCTTTCTTTCTTTCTTTCTTTCTTTCTTTCTTTCTTTCTTTCCTTCCTTCCTTCCTTCTTTCCTTCCTTCTTTCTTCCTTTCTTTCTTTCTCTTTCTTTCTTTCTTTCTCTTTCTTTCTTTCTTTCTTTCTTTCTTTCTTTCTTTCTTTCCTTCCTTCCTTCCTTCCTTCCTTCCTTCCTTCCTTCTTTCCTTCCTTCTTTCTTCCTTTCTTTCTTTCTCTTTCTTTCTTTCTTTCTCTTTCTTTCTTTCTTTCTTTCCTTCCTTCCTTCCTTCCTTCCTTCCTTCCTTCCTTCTTTCCTTCCTTCTTTCTTCCTTTCTTTCTTTCTTTCTTTCAGACAGAGTCTCGCTCTGTCGCCAGGCTGGAGTGCAGCGGCGCAATCTCGGCTCACTGCACGCTCCGTCTCCCAGGTTCAAGTGATTGTGCTCCCTCAGCCTCCCAAGTAGCTGGGACTACAGGCGCCCGCCACCACGCCCAGTTAATTTTTGTATTTTTAGTAGAGATGGGGTTTCACCATGTTGGCCAGGATGGTCTTGATCTCTTGATCTCGTGATCCACCTGGCTTGGCCTCCCAGAGTGCTGGGATTACAGGCGTGAGCTACTGTGCCCGGCCCCCCACCAACTCTTTTTTTTTTTTTTGAGATGGAGTTTTGCTCTCGTGTTCCATGCTGGAGTGCAGTGCCGTGATCTCGGCTCACTGCAACCTCTGCCTCCCAGGTTCAATCAATTCTCCTGTCTCAGCCTCCCAAGTAGCTGGGATTACCAGCATGCACCACGCATAGCTAATTTTGTATTTTTAGTAGAGACCGGTTTTCACCATGTTGGCCAGGCTGGTATCAAACTTCTGACCTCAGGTGATATGCCCGCCTCAGCCTTCCAAAGTATTGGGATTATAGGCGTGAGCCACCATGGCCGGCCAATTTCAATTTGTCGACTTGAAGTGTCTGCTAAACATAAGACTCAAACCAAGAAAATCCCCTAGGGAATAAATATGGCAAAAATAGGGTGAAGACGCATTTTTATGAACAGGTATTTGAATATTAAATGTTGAAAAGAAAGACTTATTCATTTGAGATAAACTAAAAACCACTTGAAATTTAAATATGGCACCTGGTTCTAATGTAGAGGTGTTAATTTCTTCCTTGAAAATTATTTTTAAAACTTAATTAGAAAAACAACAGAAAACTTAGATTCGTATTTCCCCCAAAGCTGGCCAGCCCTCATGGAGAAGAGCGGGGCATCTTTCACAGTCCCCATCAGCGAGGTTTACTGGGATGAGATGGATTAAGAGGAGGCCTGGGAGAACACCCGGGGCCACAGAGCCGCACCTCCAGGGCTGAAAGTCATGGAGCCTGCTCCCTTGGTGCTCTGTTTGCCACCACACCCATTCCGTGCCTTCCGGGGCTCCCATCAGCTCTCTCAGGGAACTACACTTCTCAAGTTCCTTGTCCTCTCTGGCTTGATATAGCATGGAAGCTACCGGAAGAGTGGTGTCTCTGTGAACAGCTCCGGCATCTGCCCAGTGATGCCGAATCCTGGGCTCCGTTCACTCTGTGTCTTCCAGCCTTAGTACTTCCTGCTGTTGCTATTCTCTGTTTGGCTTCTCCACTCATTCAGCTCTTATATAATAAATCCCCTTTGAGTTCCTCTTAAAATATCCAAATTGGTTTCTGCTTTTCTTTTCTTTCTTTTTTTTTTTTCTTTGAGACAGAGTCTCACTCTGACGCCCAGGCTGGAGTGTAGTGGCATGATCTGGGCTCACTGCAACCTCCACCTCCCGGGTTCAAGCGATTCTAATGCCTCAGACTCCCGAGTAGTTGGGATTACAGGCATGTGCCATCACGCCTGGCTAATTTTTGTATTTTTAGTAGAGACAGGGTTTCACCATGTTAGCCAGGCTGGTCTCAAACTCCTGGCCTCATGTGATCTGCCTGCCTCAGCCTCCTGAAGTGCTGGGATTACAGATGTGAGCCATTGCACCTGGCCTTTTTTTTTTTTTTTTTAATTTGAGACAGGGTCTTGATCTGTTACCCAGGCTGGAGTGCAGTGGTGCAATCATAGCTTACTGTAAACTCACACTCCTGGTATCAAGCAATCCTCCTGCCTCAGCCAGCCTCCCAAGTAGCTAGGACTCTAGTAGCTGGTACCACCATATTCAGTTAAGTATTGAAAAAAAAAATTTGTAGAGATGGAGTCTGGTTCTGTTACTCAGGCTGGTCTCAAACTCCTGTCCTCAAGCCATCCTCCTGTCTTGGTCTCCCAAATTGCCAGGATCGCTGCTGGGCCTGGCAGTGTCTGCTTTCTGGGAGGACTCTGATACTAAAACTATCCATGATTTAAGATCATACTGGGAAATGCTTTCCCAGTATGATCATATAGGGAAACATATAGGAGAGTGGTGAAGGGAAACAATTTCAAAGATCCATGGTCCCGTCAAATCCATTTGTCACAATGGCGGCGATGAAAGGCAGAGGCTGCAAGAAACAGGGCCTGTGTGTGCACCAAGGTTTGGAGAGAATTGTAAGCATGTGTCTAAACAAAACCAGAAGTTAGCTATCTTGATAATCCAGATTTCATGGCTGATAGCTGGCAAGTTGTTTATGTTATCACAGAAAGCCATTTATTTCTTTAGGAATGAACTTTTTGATACCATGAAGCTTCAAATAATGCTTGTTCTCTTGAGTAGAAGCATTCTGGAAGCATCCAAATTTAATGAAACCTGAACAAAGCCTGGATATACGGGGACATCTCCCATTGCCGTGCTAATCATGATTGGGTAGCAGAGCGCATATAATTTTTTAAAAACCCCTCTGGGATAATTACTAGCTGCCTCTTAAATTTTAAAATTCTTAACTCTGTATTTATTAAGTCAGGACCATAATTTGTGAAATAAAAGAATTATCAGCTGTGTTAGTTTTGTTACCAATAGGGAACCCATATGATAGAAGCAGACAGAGAATAGTTAGCAGCTGTTTCCTATAAAGAACGAAGGCAACCGAGCTCACTGGTGATTTCTCCCAGCTACTCGGGAAGCTGAGGCGGGGAGCCTTGCTTGAAGCCAAGAGTTCAAGGTTATAGTGGGCTCTGACTGCACCTGTGAATAGTCCCTGCACTCCAGCCTGGGCAACATAGCGAGACCCCATCTCTGAAAAAAAAAAGAGCAAGCTAGAAGGAAAACAAGATGTGTTTAGTACTGCATAGATAAAACATTTTTGTTGCATAAATCATGCACACCTCAAATTATTAATGAACAGGAATGAGCAATTCATTCAGCCTGGAATAAATCATCCCTTTTAAGCTGGGCTTGGAAAGATGACAAGGCATTGTGTAGGCAAGAGCAGGATGGGATTTCAGAAAGACCCAAGAGCATACAGTGGAGGCAGTGAGCAGCCGCCAGGTGAGGCTACAGCAGGCAGGAAAGGAGGCTGGCTTTGCAGGCCAGATTAGGCAGTTTTGACTTCATTTTCCATTTTTGGGAGGGTAGGACATGAGGACTAAGCTTTTTTTTTTTTTTTTTCCAGGAGACAGAGTCTTGCTCTGTTGCCCAGGCTGGAGTGCAGTGGTGCGATCTCAGCTCACTGCAACCTCCGCCTCCCAGGTTTAAGCGATTCTCCTGTCTCAGCCTCTGGAGTAGCTCAGATTACAGGTGTGCGCCACTATACCCAGCTAATTTTTGTATTTTTAATAGAGATGGGGTTTCACCATGTTGTCCAGGCTGGTCTCGAACTCCCGACCTCAGGTGATCCACCTGCCTCGGCCTCCCAAAGTGCTGGGATTAAAGGTGTGAGCCACCACGCCCGGCTCAGCTCTGACTTTTTATCTTCCCAAATGCCTACCTAAGGGGTCTGGGGAGTTATGCCCTACAAAGCATGGATTCTCATCTCATGGTTTTATTTGACCCTGTATATTGTGACTTGCTTTTCGATCTGACTCTGGCATAACATTATGAGACAAGAAAGAAAATATTTAACCCCAAAATATATTTCCTTGCCATGCCTTGAAATTGCCCTGCAAAGTCTCTTGTGGGAAAAATCCACCTTCTATAGAGAATCCCCTTCCCCCTTTGTTTTCCTTCCTTTCTTTCTAGATTCAGGAGATAGTCAACTAAGAGCCAGGCACCCTTTTAGGTCCAATAAGAAACAATTTACAACCTGTTCTCTCTCTAAAGTCTGCTGATAGATTCCTCCGCACAATAAAACTTGGTCCCCACAATCCTGTATCTTAACCTGAACATTCCTTTCCATTAATCCCAGGTCTTCAGATAAACTCAACCAATTGTCAACCAGAAAATGTTTAAATTTACCTGCAGCCTGGAAGCCCCCGCTTTGAGTTGTCCCACCTTTCTGAACCAAACCAATATATTTCTTAAATGTATTTGATTGATGTCTCATGTCTCCCTAAAATGCATGAAACCAAGCTGCGTCCTGACCACCTTGGGCACATGTTCTCAGGACCTCCTGAGGACTGTGTCATGGGCCATGGTCACTTATATTTGGCTCAGAATAAATCTCTTCAAATATTTTACAGAATTTAACTCTTTTTGTCAACATGCAGGAGGGAGGACATAGAAGGCTTTTAAGCTGAAGAGTGACATGATCAGTTCTGTGCTTTGCAAGTTCCTTGCACGTACAAGTTCCATAAATATTTGTCAGATTGAATTTTTAAAAGATGATAATGGAGCAGCAGCTAAAAATCCCGAATGTAATTACAGAGCTTTAGGTTGGGAGTATTTTCATGCTAGGTGTGGTTAAGACCTATTGTTGGTTTCCTAGCAACCATGCATCCTTTCCGTGGAGAAATCTGAAGGGTCACTTGAACGTCTCCACTTGGGAATCATGCTAAGGAGAGTAGGAGGGCATTTATTTGATTTGTTCCCTCAACTTCCAGAGACTGCAAGTCACATTCAGAAGGGATTATTGAGGTTTGGGTGGGGGTAGGTGCCTCTGCAGAGAAGGCTGGGGCACAGGAAGGGAGCCTCGGTGAAGCACTTGCTCTCCTATCATGCACATTCCTGTCACAATGAGGTCTTCACAGAAAACTTAAACACAAAGGACACAGACACAGAGAGAGGCTCAGATGGATATATGAGGCGAGAGATTGTCAGATGAGCGCTGAGGGTGAGACTTGGGTGAGGAAGGACAAAGATGAAAGAAGCTAAGTCTCGGCCGGGGCCCGGTGGCTCATGCCTGTAATCCCAGCACTTTGGGAGGCCGAGGCGGGTGGATCACGAGGCCAGGAGATCGAGACCATCCTGGCTAACACGGTGAAACCCTGTCTCTACTAAAACTTAAAAAAAAAAAAAATTATCTGGGCGTGGTGGCGGGCACCTGTAGTCCCAGCTACTCGGGAGGCTGAGGCAGGAGAAGGGTGTGAACCCGGGAGGCGGAGCTTGCAGTGAGCCGAGATCGCGCCACTGCACTCCAGCCTGGGCGACAGAGCGAGACTCCGTCTCAAAAAAAAAAAAGAAGCTAAGTCTCATCAAGAAACATCATCAAGATACTGAGCATCTTTTTTAGTCATTATTATATAGGGTAGCAGAATATGCCACCCCAAAATGTGCCCCTTTGGCATAAGGATGATTTCAAACTGAAGACAACCTTAAAGAGACACGGCCGGGTGTAGTGGCTCACCCCTGTAATCCCAACACTTTGGAGGCCAAGTCAGGCGGATGGCTTGAGCCCAGGAGTACACCACCAGCCTCGGCAGCATGGTGAAACCCCGTCTCTACTAAAAATACAAAAAAATTAGCTGGGCGTGGTGGCACATGCCTGTAGTCCTAGCTACTTGGGAGGCTGAGGTGGGAGAATGGCAGGAACCCAGGAGGCAGAGGTTGCAGTGAGCCAAGGACGCACCACTACACTCTAGCCTGGACAACAGAGCAATATTCCGTCTCAAAAAACAGAAAAAAAGAAAACCGAATCATCGTTTTGCCCCAGATATGAGATTTGTTCAGTAAACAAATTCCCCTCCACTCCCACCTCCCACTATCCTGGGTGATCTTTTTCTTGACTCTATCAGATGAGAAGAGGAGGGGAATGAAGAAGAGGAGAGAGGGAAAGGAGACCTTCTAGAACTGGGGTCAGCAACTGCTAGAAATAAAATTTGTTGCCTAGCAACAATGCCTTCTCACCTCCTCCCAGCTATCAATTTTTGATATTCCTCTTCTCCCTCCCTTCTTTAAGGGCTATTCTCTTCATTTAACTAAATTTTACCTATATTAAATAGGGAGGCAAAAATGCATGTATCATAATCTTATGCTAACATAGCTGAATATGGAATTTGCAGATCATAGAGGAGTGAATGCACAATTCTTCAAATGAAAATCCCTTTATTTGGCTATTACTTATTTAACAGATATTTATTGAATGTCTGCAGTGTGCCTGACACTCTGCAAAGGACTGAGTTAGAAAATCTTCCACAGGTAGATTTAAAAACAGAAAGAAGGCCGGGAGCAGTGGTTCACGCTTGTAATCCCAACACTTTGAGAGACTGATGCAGGTAGATCACCCGAGGTCAGGAGTTCGAGACTAGCCTGGCCAGCATGGTGAAACCACACTTCTACTAAAAATACAAAATTAGCCGGGCGTAGTGGTGCATGCCTGTAGTCCCAGCTGCTCGGGAGGCTGAGGCAGGAGAATCGCTTGAACCTGGGAGGCAGAGGTTGCAGTGAGCCCATAGCACTGCAGTCCAGCCTGGGCAACAAGAGTGAAACTCCCGTCTCAAAAAAAAAAAAAAAAAAAAAAAACCCCAAAAACAAAACAAACCAAACCAAACCAACAAACAAAAAATACACACAGAAAGGAGTCCCTGGTGTCCAGGAAGAACTAAGAATTGGCAGAGGAATCACATGTTAAAGTTCGAACTTTAAGAACACATATAGGTTGGTAGACATAATGTCAGTATATGAAGAATCAACTGCATTACGATATACCAGCAATAAACATCTGAAACATTCCATTTATAACAGCCAAACCACAAAGTACCTAGGAATTAAACTAACAAATGATGTGCAAGAGTTGTCTGGAGAAAATTATAAAGCTCTATGAAAAAATATATTTTCAGAAATCTAAACAAATGGAAATATTTATCATGTTTGTGGATAAAAAGCCAAGAAATCCTAAAGAAGTCAATCCTTCCCAAAGTCATCTGCGAATCCAATAACATTTACGTGAAAATTCTAATGAGTATTATGACAATCTTCATACGCTAATTCTAAAAGTTATGCAGATAAGTAAAGGGCCAATGATAGCCATGGTAATTTTATTTTACATAATTAATTAATTAATTTAGAAACAGGGTCTCGCTCTGTTCCCCTGGCTGGGGTGCACTGGTGTAATCATAACTCACTGCAGCCTCAAACTCCTTGGTTCAAGCAATCCTTCTGTCTCAGCCTCCTGAGTGGCTAGGACTACAGGCATGCACCACCACACCCAGCTAATTTTTTTTTTTTTCTGTAGAGACAGGGGTCTCACCATGTTGTCCGAGGCTGGTCTGGAACTCCTGGCCTCAAGTGATCCTCCCACCTTGGCCTCCCAAAGTGCTAGGATTACAGGTGTGAGTCACCATGCCCAGCCAGTCATGGTAATTTTAATTATAAAGTACATGGCAGGAGGCTTACCCAGATATTAGAATTTCTTATAAAGCTACAGGAATTATAGCAATATGATATTGGTATAGAAATGGAAAAGTAGACCTCTGGAACAGAATGGGGCCCATTGAAACAGACTTATGCATAAAGGAATCTTGACACATGACAGAGGCAGAATTACCAATGAAGTGGGGAAAGGGGTTAATAAATGGTGCCTGGGAAAACTGGCCCTCTACGGGGAAAAAAATTAAATTTCATCCCTGTTTCATACCATAAACAAACATCTATTCCACATTACTTGAATAATAAAAGCAAAACTTTATTATTTATATATTTTTTGAGACGGGGTCTCTTCTGTTGGCCAGGCTACGGTGCAGTGGTGCAAACACAACTCACTGCAGCTTCAGTCTCCCCAGGCTCAGATGATCCTCCCACCTGAGCCTCCCAAGTATAATAGCTGGGATGACAGATGCACACCACCACACTCAGATAATTTTTGTATTTTTTTGTAGAGATGGGGTTTTGCCAAGTTTAGGCTTGTCTTGAACTCCTGGACTCAAGTAATCCTCCTGCCTCAGCCCCTTAGAGTGCTGGGCTTACAGGCATGAGCCACTTCACCTGGCTAAAAGCAAAACTTTAAAAGGCCTAGAAGCACGTGCATTAAAATATCTTCATAACCTTGGGCAGGAGATAATCATTTCCCTTTTTTTTTTTTTGAGACGGAGTCTCACTCTGTCCCCTAGGCTGGAATGCAGCGGCACAATCTCGGCTCACTGCAACCTCCACCTCCTAGGTTCAAGCGATTCTCCTGCCTCAGCCTCCCCAGTAGCTGGGGTTACAGGCACGTGCCACCACACCCAGCTAATTTTTGTATTTTTATTAGAGACGGGAGTTTCACCATGTTGGCCAGGCTGGTCTCGAACTCCTGACCTTGTGATCTGCCCGCCTCCACCTCTCAAAGTGCCGGGATTACAGGCATGAGCCACCGCACCCGGCAATCATTTCTTAAGACTCAGAAACATGAACAGTACTTGAAAAGATTGCTACCTTTGTTAAAGGAAGTTTTCTGAAAAGGTAAAATCATGACTCTCACATAGATATACAATGAACACATGTTAAAGATTTTATTTACCTCATTATGAGACAGGAACCAGGCAGATGTTATGATCATTTAAAGGAGAAAGCAAAGAACCACATACTGATGTGGAATAAAGAAATGTTGAGGCCGGGTGTGGGGCTCATGCCTGTAATCCCAGAACACTGGGAGGCCGAGGTGGGCAGATCACTTGAGGTCAGGAGTTTGAGACCAGCCTGGCCAACATGGTGGAACCCCATCTCTACTAAAAATATAAAAATTAGCCAGGCACGGTAGTGGGTGCCTGTAATCCCAGCTATTTGGGAGGCTGAGGCAGGAGAATTGCTTGAACCCAGGAGGTAGAGGTTGCAGTGAGCCGAGATTGCACCACTATACTCCAGTCTGGGTGACAGAGTGAGACTCCATCTCAAAAACAAAATAAAATAAAATAAATGTTGAAATAAATTTATAAATAGATGTGAACTTCGCTCTTTCCAAAGGCAGGTTGAGGTGGGGGAGATTAATGGGTATGAGCAGAGGGAGTCAATTCAACCACCACCAAACAGAATTTACGTCTAGAGACAAGAATTATTTTGCATTGCTATCAGTATTTGACAACTTAAAAGTTAAAATAGGCTGGACAAGGTGGCTTATGCCTGTAATCCCAGTACTTTGGTGGGCTCAAGGTGGGGGACTGCTTGAGCCCAGGAGTTTGAGACAAGCCTGGGCAACACAGCAAGACCCCATCTCTATGAAAAATGTAAAAATTAGCCAGGCATTGTGGCACACGCCTGTAGTCCCAGCTACTCAGGAGGCAGAGGCGAGACGATCTACCAGAGCCTGGAAGGTGGAGGCTGCTGTGAGCTGTGTTTGCACCACAGCGCTGTAGCCTGAGTGATAGAGCGAGATCCTGTCTCAAAAAAAAAGTTATAAAATAGCTCAAAGACAATAAATAGCTGAAATTAAATAATCTAGAACAGTGTGCTCTAAGCAACACATTGTTTTCCACTGGAGACACCAGTAATTTTTTTTTGTTTATTCCAAGTTTTTTTATATATCTGATTACTTTTTTCTTTTTATTTTTGAGATGGAGTATTACTCTGTCACCCAGGCTGGAGTGCAGTGGCACCATCTCGGCTCACTGCAAGCTCCACTTCCCGGGTTCACGCCATTCTCCTGCTTCAGCCTCCCGAGTAGCTGGGACTACAGGCACCCGCCACCACGCCCAGCTAATTTTTTGTATTTTCAGTAGAGATGGAGTTTCACTGTGTTAGCCAGGATGGTCTCGATCTCCTGATCTCGTGATCCTCCTGCCTTGGCCTCACAAAATACTGGGATTACAGGCGTGAGCCACTGCACCCAGCCTGGGTGACTTTTAATGCAATGCCTCACATATAACAACTCAGTAAGTACCAGATGAATAGATAAATGATGAATGACAAAACGAAAATTTGAGCTGTAAGTAGAGTTCGGATAAAATATTAGCATCGGCCGGTTGTGGTGGCTCACGCCTGTAATCCTAGCACTCTGGGAGGCCGAGGTAGGTGGATCACGAGGTCAGGAGATCGAGACCATCCTGGCTAACACGGTGAAACCCCGTCTCTACTAAAAATACAAAAAATTAGCCAGGAGTGGTGGCGGGTGCCTGTAGTCCCAGCTACTCAGGAGGCCGAGGTAGGAGAATGGCGTGAACCCGGGAGGCAGAGCTTGCAGTGAGCCGAGATCGCCCCACTGCACTCTAGCCTGAGTGACGGGTCAAGACTCCATCTCAAAAATAATAATAATAATAATTAGCATCTTTGTAAGAATGGCAGAAAACAACTTGAGGTCTTTTAGCCTTTCTCTGCTGGCTATGACACATCTCTGTGCTTCCTGGATAGTTTGTTAGTTTCTGTTTTGTGTTCATTCATTCACTTATTATTCATTCTTATTATTCATTATTCATTCATTTATTCAACATTATTCATTGCAACTTGTGGGAAGAACAAAATAAACAACATTGACAACAAGGAATAAACCCAGAAGCAGCAAGAGACTTGGGAATTTTGTAGTGACGCCAGTTTGGTTTCCACTGATACATTCGGGTAAAAATGACTCCAGTTTGGTTTGCTATGTGGAAGACAAACAATTCATTCCTCACTCACTCTCCTCTGGAGTTGAGAGAAAACAGCCATCCCTCTTCTCCCTCTCTGTGGAAAAAGACCGAATCAGTTGGCGGAGCTTAGCTAAGCTTTTTTTAGTGAAGTTAGAACTTGCTTGGAGACACAGGACTTCCTCTACAAAAGGGCTTTTTTTTTTTTTTTTAATTGAAGGAAACACTGAAGTCTCTTCTAACTCTAGCTGGCCCCCAGCCTGGCTCTCTGCAGCCCCTGCAGTTGACCCTGTCTGACTTTGCCTCTGCAGGAACTTTCTTCACGTTCAAAACCATGAAACATTTTGCCCTGCCTCGGAGTAAAATCAAACACCAGTGAGAACCTCTTGAAGTGAGTTTCCATAGACTCTCAGATGGAAGCCTGGGAATTTCACTGTGCCCCTAAGGAGACCTGAGCTTCCTAAGAGATGAGGACACTTTGATTTCCTAATGTGACTTTTGTCACAGTGGAGCACACTTTGACTCTCACTTCCTGTTTTAATTCTGTTTGGAAATAAAAATCTGCTGAGATTTAGTTTCAAAAGAGCTTCTTGAGGTTTTCTCTGCCAACTAGAAAAGGGAATAACGGCCAGGCGTGGTGGCTCACGCCTGTAATCCCAACACTTTGGGAGGCCAAGGCAGGTGGATCACCTGAGGTCAGGAGTTCGAGACCAGCCTGACCAACATGGAGAAACCCCATCTCTACTAAAAATACAAAACTAGCCGTGCATGGTGGTGCATGCCTGCAATCCCAACTATTTGGGAGGCTGAGGCAGGAGAATCGCTTGAACCCGGGAGGCGGAGATTGCGGTGAGCCGAGATCACGCCATTGCACTCCAGCCTGGGCAACAAGAGTAAAACTCCATCTCAAAAAAAAAAAAAGGAAAAGAAAAAGAAAAGGGAATAAACACAATTGCAGTCAGCACGCACTGATAACCAGGGCTGCCAGTTAACGTGGGGACCTTGCTTTGTTGAGATGGAACACATCCTACTCGGGAGGGCTATGAATGAGGTCTCAAGGGGTGAGCCAAGGTTCCCTGGGTGGAGTGGACTGGGGAACAAGGCAGATGGAGCTGCACCAGGAAAAGCGAGGAGAACAGGGAGGGAGCTGAGGGATGTGGGGTGCATGGGGAGTGGTGGAATAGCAAAGCCTTCATTGGGAGTTGGGCTGTGAGGGGCCTTGTGCCAGGGACTTTACTCCAGAAGCCAGAGGGACTCATGGAAGGTTTCTAGCCTGAGTCAATTTGGTTTCAAAAGATCACTCTACGTGAAAGAAGGAAGTGCTTCTTTCTTAGCCACCTTCTTGGGTGGCTGCTGGGGTAACTTAGGGAAGCCATGCTAAGTGCAGGAGCTGAGATAGTGCCTTTAGTGACAGTAGAAGGGGTTAGAGGAGCAGAGGGGATGGAACCTAGACCTCAGCCATTCCCCGCGCTGCCTCCTGGTCCAGTGATCTTTCTCCTACTCCAGGGCACCACCAGCTCTTCCCCCAGAGCCCTCCTTGGCAGAACAGAGTATACAGTCCCTGCGGAACTGGAGGCCCAGCTAGAGATGGAATATGGCATGCCAGAAAGTTCTTTGAAGTAGTGTATTTTGTCTGAAAAAATGCATGCAAATATTTACGTTCTGTTTCAGAAGAGTAGTGCTCCAGGAAGCTGAACCACTTTTTTAACCTGTGACTCTGGTGCCCCCTGCTTTTCTCACTTACACACATGCCAGGCTGGGAATGGTCCCTGCTCCTGAGCAGCCAGTTTGTTGATATCCCCTCCACACACCATAAGATCATGGACGCCAGGCTTGCTTTCTGGAGTGGGAAGCACATGTGCACAAAGCATACCTGTCTGTGTCCTGGAAACACTGCCTTCACTTCTCTTGAGTGAAAGGATTTACTGAATTGGATTTACGATATTTAAATTAATTTTATTGTCACTCCCTTCAAATTCCTTTTTCTTTCCCCACTCTGATAAATACTCAGTTAATTAGCTTTACAGATCAAGAGTTAGCTAGTGGCGGCCGGGCACGGTGGCTCAAGCCTGTAATCCCAGCACTTTGGGAGGCTGAGGTGGGCAGATCATGAGGTCAGGAGATCGAGACCATCCTGGCTAACATGGTGAAACCTCGTCTCTACGAAAAATACAAAAAATTAGCCAGACGTGGTGGCGGGGGCCTGTGGTCCCAGCTACTCGGGAGGCTGAGGCAGGAGAATGGTGTGAACCCAGGAGGCGGGGCTTGCAGTGAGCCGAGATCGCGCCTCTGCACTCCAGCCTGGGTGACAGAGCGAGACTCCGTCTCAAAAAAAAAAAAAAAAAAAATGGAGTTAGCTATTGGCAGGCACAGACTGCCAGAGTCTCCAATGGGACGCCTTGGCTTAATGGTGCTGCAGAGTATTTTGTGCTTTGTATCTAACGTTTCTAAAATTG
Organism: Homo sapiens; assembly: GCF_000001405.40. Lineage (NCBI taxonomy): Eukaryota > Metazoa > Chordata > Mammalia > Primates > Hominidae > Homo > Homo sapiens. The sequence goes on along the minus strand of NC_000018.10, from coordinate 23,076,851 downwards.
ACAGTAATAGTGAACACTAACTGGCCAGTTGCTGGGTGCTGGACATGACGTTAGGGTACGTTATTTCATTTCTTCATTACAGCAAGCCTGAGGTAGATATTATTATTGTTTCCATTTTATAGATGAGGAAACTGGGACTTGGAGATAGTTTAAATTTCTCAGAGTCCTACATCCAGGAAATGGTAGAGCCAGGATATGATTTCAGGTGGTCAAATCCCAACACAAGAGTTTTTAGCCTTGACGCTGTAGGGATGAAACTGAATCTCTGGTGAACGACTAGAACATAACACTTAAAATCCTTTGCAGCCCCAGCATTTGATGATTTTGTGAAATCTTGAAGAAACAGATTGATTTGGATGAGACTTGATGAAGGATTGTGGAATATCACTATAAAATCCTACTTTTGGCCAGGCACCGTGGCTCACACCTGTAATCTCAGCAATTTGGGAGACTGAGGTGGGACGATTGCTTGAAACCGGGAGCTTGAGACACAGTCTGGGCAGCAAAGTGAAACCCTGTCTCTACAAAAAATGAAAAAAAGTAGCCAGGTGTGGTGGTGTGTGTCTATAGTCCCAGTTACTTGGGGGACTGAGGTAGGAGCATTGCTTGAGCTCAGGAGGTTGAGTCTGCAGTGATCCTGCCACTGCACTTCAGGCTGGGCTGCAGAGTGAGACTGTGTCTCAAAAAAAAAAACCTCTACTTTTTCTCCGTTCTATCATTCTGAGACAAAAGAGTATCAATAAGAATTAGAACTGTGTTTTTCTTTTTTTTTTTTTTGAGACGGAGTCTCACCCTGTCACCCAGCCTGGAGTGCAGTGGTGTGATCTTGGCTCACTGCAAGCTCTGCCTCCTGGGTTCACGCCATTCTCCTGCCTCAGCCTCCCGAGTAGCTGGGACTACAGGCACCCACCACCACGCCCATCTAATTTTTGTAGTTTTTGTAGAGATGGGGTTTCACCATGTTAGCCAGGATGGTCTCAATCTCCTGACCTCGTGATCCACCTGTCTTGGCCTCCCAAAGTGCTGGGATTACAGGCGTGAGCCACTGCGCCTGGCCCATTTTGTATTTTTAGTAGAGACAGGGGTTTCTCCATGTTGGTCAGGCTGGTCTCGAACTCCTGACCTCAGGTGATCCACCTGCCTTGGCCTCCCAAAGTGCTGAGATTACAGGCATGAGCCAGCGCGCCCGGCCTAAGAATTAGAATTGTGGTTTTCTGATTTTCATTGGGTACATGTATAGAAGCTGCGAAGAAAACTTGACTTCGTTTTTCATTTTTGTAAGACACTGTCTCTAACATTTATCCATGCGAGGAACTCTCCCCAGCCTGGAGCTGCAGCCCAGAAACGGCACCCCTGTGTGTGTAGCATGCGTAGAGGAGTTGGCTCCTCCAGGCTGTAGGTATCACCTGCCTCACCAGCCTTGAGTTTGTCTGGAAGGCTCAGTGCCCGTGCAAAATCCCTATCTAACACTACGGGACTGTATTGTTGTTATTTTGTTATGTTTGCAAAGCTGTCTTGCTTGACCCAGGTTTAAAAATGCAGTAGCGGCCAGGAGCGGTAGCTCATGCCTATAATCCCAGCACTTTGGGAGGCAAAGGCGGGCAGATCACGAGATCAGGAGATTGAGACCAGCCTGGGCAACATGGTGAAACCCCATCTGTACTAAAAATACAAAAACTAGCTGGATGTGGTGGCGCACGCCTGTAATCCCAGCTACTTGGGAGGCTGAGGCACGAGAATCGCTTGAACCCAGGAGGCAGAGGTTGCAGTGAGCTGAGATTGCGCCACTGCACTCCAGCCTGGCAACAGAGTGAGACTCTGTCTCAAAAAAAAAAAAAAAATGCAATAACTAGCTCGGTGTGATAGAGTTTGCCTGTAGTCCCAGCTATGGAGGCTGAGGTGGGGCATCACTTGAGCCTAGAAGTTTGATGCTGTAGTGTGCTACAACCATGACCCACCTGTGAATAGCCACCACACTCCAGCCTGGGCAACAGAGAGACCCTGTCTTTAAAAACCAAAAATAATAAAAATAAATGCAACAGTCACTTGAAATTTATCATGAATTGTATATTCTTTCTCATGTGTTTTAGTGGAAATCACTGTTGTCCATGTCATGCTGCTGAAACTCCACTTCATACATACAGTACATACATACATGTATTACAGAATAGCAGTCGTATTCCCAGAGCACTTTATAGTTTTTAAACTGATCTCATTTACATAACTTCCTCATTTGGTCCCTGGTGATCATCAGGATGAGTATTAGTAGTCCCATTTTACAGATGGGGAAATAAAAACTCAAAGGAGTTCATTGACATATAGGAGCACTTGGAAATCCTTCTATCTGCAAGGGCCTTTGGTTTACAATGTCTTATTTCTCTCCTCCACCACCCTCTATGAACTTATATCCAGATTTCTCAATGACACCTGTTGACTCTCATAAAAGTGTTCTTCCCTGGAATTAGGTTCTGGATGGTGGTCACCTTGTGTCAGTTCAGAGCAAAGTTCTGGAAGGTTCAGGGGAGGGCTTGTTTTTTCAGTGTTCCTCCGTGTGATGACTGCCTCCGGGTGTCCTGAGCTTCAGGGTCACTCTGCAGCTGAGACGCAGCACTGCCTGGCTCACAGGGCACTCCCAGTCTTGTTTTGACTGTACATCGATGTCGTCTCCTGCACTGCGCTATGTGGTTTCGGGATGCAGAGTTTCACAGAAGGCATATCAGGCTGTGAATACTCCACCCCCATCCCATCACAAAAACCAGTCCAAGGAAAACACCAAATGCTAATTGAAACTAAGACAACGGCACAAATATTTATGGGGGCAGAAATTCAAACAACACTAGCAAAAACAAAGAACACATTTCAAATTGGTATTAATTAAACAAAAAGAAACACTATGGTATCTAATGTAAATATTTTGTTATCAGATCTGATACCTTCAAATGATTATTACAACTAGGAGGATAAGATAATATAAAATATTTACTTAAAAAAATTAATTTTAGCCATTTGCCTTCATATTGGTCCATGCTGCCATGGAAAAGGCCTGGGATAGGAGTCAGAATAAATGCCAGAAGTAGCTATGTCATTCTGAGCATGTCACCTAACATTGTCCAACGTGGCTTTCAGTTTCCTCAACTGAGAAGAAAAGAAGAGATGAGAGGAGATAAGAAAACAAAAAGAAAGGTTGGGAAAGAGAGGTAGCTCAGCAAATGTATCATCCACAGGGGCTGAACTATGTGATCTCTGATGTACTGGTTTCTATTGGTTCAGAGTGTGGACTCAAGCCAGGGTGCCCAGGTTCAAATCCTAGCTCCCTCATCTACTGGCTGTGTGACCTTGACATATTTCTTCACTTCTCTGCACCTTCATTTCCTTATTTGGGAAACCCAGCCTCACTGAGTTGTGAGCATTAAATTATTAAATATACAAATATATACGTACTGAATAGTTCCTAGCACATGGTAAGTACCTGGGAAATGTTAGGTCTTAGGGTTTTTTTTTTTTTCTGAGACAGAATTTTGCTCTGTTGCCCAGGCTGGAGTGCAGTGGTACGATCTCAGCTCACTGCAACCTCCGCTTCCTGGGTTCAAGTGATCCTCCCACCTCAGCCCCCAACCCGTCTCCCTCAGTAGCTGGGTCTACAGGTGTGCACCACCTCACCCGGCTCAGTTTTCTATTTTTGTAGAGGCAAGGTTTCAGCATGTTGCCCAGGCTGGTCTCAAACACCTGAGCTCAAGCCATCCTCCCACCTCAGCCCCCGAAAGTGCTGGAATTACAGGCGTGAACCACTGCATCTGGCTAGGTCTTAGTATTATTATTAGATAATCTTACTTGGAGGATAAAATAATGTACATTGGAGGAAAAAAAAAGTGTAGAGGACTTCTCTAAGGATTCTGTGTTTTGCCCAGAGTATAAATAGCAGAAAGGAAGGAAACTAATATTTATTAGGTACCTACTTTACGTGTGTGTATGTGTGTGTGTGTGTGTGCGTGTGTTGTGTCTGTGTATAGTATATTTTGAGTCAGGATCTCGCCCTGTTTCCCAGGATGGAGTGCAGTGGTCTGATCATAGCTCACTGCAGGATTGAACTCCTGAACTCAAATGATCCTCCTGCCTTGGCCTCCTGAGTAGCTAGGACTACAGGCATGTGCCATTATGCCTGTCTAATTTTTAATTTTTAAAAATTTCCATAGAGACAGAGTCTTGCCATGTTGCCCAAGTTGGTCTCAAACTCCTGGCCTCAAGAGATCCGCCTGCCTTGGCCTCCCCAAAGTACCTATTATATTTGAAGCTACTATATTCCCATTGACTAGATGAAGGTGGCACAAATGAGGACTGAAAAAATATCTTCTCCGGGAATGAATCCTGTGAAATAAGTATTTTTCTTTCCTTTTCAAGAGAGGAGTCTGAAGATCAGAAAGGCTAAGTAACTTGCTTGAGGTCACATAGCTAGCAATGGCTGAGGGGGGATTTGAACCCCAGTCTCCATGGCTCTGAAGCCCATGCTGCTTCCCTTATGACATACTTTCCAGGAGATTTTGGCCAGGAAGGGCATATTCGTGTGTCCTGCCCAGACTGAGACGGGGCTTTGGCTTGGTGACGGTTGCTTCAGCAGAGCACGACCAGGGTGCTGGTAATTTCACCACACGCTGCCTTCATCCCAGCCGCTGTCGTCTCCTCTCTTCCAGCTGCTACCACCATCCAACCACCCCCTCTCCCTTCCGCGAATATGATCAGTGTCAGGCCAGGATGGGTTTCATATGAGGTTATGTTTCATATGTAAAGTAGTGGACAGATAGCTGATCCTCAGCTGGTATATAAAGTAGGTATTCAATATGTTTGCTTTTCCTTCCTAGCCAAGAAGACACACCATTGCCCCTCCCTCTGTGCTCCTGTCCCGTCTCTTTTGCTCCTTTAACCTCTACAGCAGTGATGCCTGCTTTAGGCCAAAAAACCCAGGTGACTTGGACATTCACGTTCAAGGCACTTCTTTTGCTAGTCACTGTATCAATTATTAAGAATACACAGGTAAATAAAGCATGGCCCCTGCTCTTGGGGAATTCACACATAACTGGGGAGAAATGTCTAAAAATGGTTAAGGCTCATTTTTGCAGGTGCATGCAGAAAGCCAGGAATGGTGGTAGGGGAGGTAATGACTCTGTCTGCCAGAGGACTGGCGAAATCCCACTAGACAATGTGATTTCCCACCTAGAGAAGAGTTCAAGGGGTGAGAGGAAGGGCAAAATAAAGACAACCACATATGTAAAGGCCCAGAGTCATGAAAGACTACAAGACATCCAGGAAGTGGTGAGAAACCACGTGTGTGTGTAGCAAACGGTGCCTGGGGAGGATGTGGGCTGACTGGGAGGGGTCTTGTGTGCAGCTTCAGAGCCTGCAATGTGCCCAGAGGCAGGGAGCCAGAGAGACTGGATGGAGGTGGAATTGATATGTAAGAAGCTCACTCTGGGCCAGGAGAGGTGGCTTATGCCTGTAATCCCAGCATTTTGGGTGGGCGAGGCCGGTGGATCACCTGAGGTCAGGAGTTCCAGACCAGCCTGACCAACATGATGAAACCCTGTCTCTACTAAAAATACAAAAATTAGCCGGGTGCGGTGGGGGGCACCTGTAATCCCAGCTGTTGGGGGCTGAGGCAGGAGAACTGCTTGAACCTGGGAGGTAGAGGTTGCAGTGAGCCAACATTGTGCCACTGCACTCCAGCCTGGGCAAAAGAGCAAGACTCTGTCTCAAAAAAAAAAAAAAAAAAAAGGAAGCTCACTTTGGCAGTACATATGTTTTGAGAATGCTGTGGTGTGGGGATAGATTTGTGGAGGAAAAGCAGTCAGGAGGCTGTCTTCCTAATTCATCTGTGGACTCCAGGGTCTCCTCTATGGTAGGTGGTGGAAGGGACAACTGAAGTGCAATGGTTGAGGTGGCATCACCAGGATTTCGTGACTGGTGGGATGTGAAAACTCAGGGAGGGGAGGCATCAAGGGTCATACGCATGATTCTCCTTGGGAGACTGAGCTGTGGGAACCATTTAACGGAGGCAAGAACACAGGAGGAGTGTCACCGACCGCAGGTTCTTGGGCCCCCATGCAACAGAAGTTGACACAAGGCCAAGCAAGTTCCCCAGACAAGACTTTATTCCAGGTTTATATTTGAACACAAGGGATACAGCACTGGAGGGAGAGTTCTCTGGCTGGCTCCCCAGGGTATGTCTGGTGTTTCTAGGAAGGTTGACAGGCATCTACATGAGCTATGTGAGTGTCGTGACATGTGCAGAGTGGAGCGCAGGGCGCACAGGTGCAGTGAGCAAGCAGGTTAGTACCCGCACCGCAGGATCACAAAATGGCAGCAAAGTCCCTTCCCGGGTGGGGATTTTAGTATTATGATGAGGCAAGGGGTAAAGGTTGGTCATTCGTCTGGTCTTGTGCACATGCGGTCGATAGGGTTAACTCCCGTGAGTAAGATTGACTGTGGGATGCTGTTTATCTTCGTTCCTTCAAGGTTTTGCAGTCAGTGGGGATGGCACCAATGATAGGAGGTGATATAAGATCTGGTAATAGGAGGGTATAGAAAAAAGTGTGTTAGAGGTGGGGGCTGAGTCCTGTCCCTACTCTGTCTCCTTAGTGGGGACAGAGGCCAAGTTCCTCCCTACTCAGGAGGACAACTTTGGCCAGGGGCATAACAAAATGAGGCTTTGATAGGTTAAGTTTGAGGTGCTAGGTGACAGCAATACAAAAACATCCAGTCAGTGGGCCACAGAAAACACAGGGCTGGGGGCTGGGAGAGAAGTCGACCCACTGGCTTATGATAGTTCAAGAAATAGGAACTGATGAGCTTACAGTGGAGAAAATACTGTACCTTGGCAAATACAGTCATTTAAGGAGCAGGTAGAGGAGGAGTCAATGAAAGGGTTAGAGAAAAGACAGTCTAAGAAGAGGAAAGAAAAACCAGAGAATGAAGTGTCCCTGTGGACTGGCAAGTTACCGGAAGCAGGGTGAGACCCAGAGAGCCGACTACCCTGGAGAGGTCAGATAGAGTGAGAACTAAAGTAAGCTATCATCGTGTGAACCCCGAACATCTGAGACAGGTCTCAGTTAATTTAGAAAGTTTATTTTGCAGGGTTGAGGATCCAAGGTTGAAGACGCGGGCCCATGACGCAGCCTCAGGAAGTTCTGAAGACACGTGCTTAAGGTGGTCAGAGCACAGCTTGGCTTTTTTTTTTTTTTTTTTTTCTGAGACAGAGTCTTGCTCCATCACCCAGGCTGGAGTACAGTGGCACAATCCTAGCTCACTGCAACCTCTGCCTCCCGGGTTCAAGCAATTCTCCTGTCTTAGCCTGTCGAGTAGCTGGGACTACAGGTGCCTGCCACCACACCCGGCTAACTTTTGTATTTTTAGTAGAGACAGGGTTTCAACATGTAGGACAGGCTGGTCTCGAACTCCTGACCTCAGGTGATCTGCCCGCCTTGGCCTCCCAAGGTGCTGGGATTACAGGCGTGAGCCACCGTGCCGGGCCACTCGCTATAATTTCACGTTTCCTTTACCTTATGTAAAATGTAGAGCTACTGAGCAAGAGAGGAATGCATAATTGCCATTTACCCCCAACTCTCTTCACATGTAAAGTGTAGATTCACTGAGAGCTAGGCAGAGCCTCACAAGAATGTGACCACTTGCCTCATTGCCCAACCTCTTTTTCCCCCCCTTCTCCTTTTTTACCCTCTTCCCCCCCACCCCCTCCTTTCCCTCCTGCTTCCTCTTTCCCCTTTAGATACTGAAGTCCTCAAAACCCTCTGGAAAAAGCATGGGACACAGATTCTCCTGTGACTTGTATTTCTTTTTCCTGGGCGTATCCTCAACCTTGGCAAAATAAACTTCAAAATCAATTGAGATTTGCCTGTCACTTTTTGATTTATGTTGTGAAGGAAGACAAGCACATGGAAAAGCATGTTAGATATGATAAACGCTATGGTTAAAGGAAGGCAGGGCATGGGTCAGGGCGCAACCACCCCATGGGTTCTTCCTGCCCACTGCAGACAAAACCAATTCACGGAGACCATGGCGTTGCAATAAAGACAGAGTTTAATTGACATGAGGCCGGCCACACCACGTGGGAGATGAAGTTATTATTCAAATCAATCTCCCTGAAGATTTGGAGGCCAAGGTTTTTCAAGGATAGTTTGACAGGCCAGGGAATCTTATTCTAGGTGGGGCCACAGGACCCCTTGGTGGGTCTGGGTGGAGCCACTGGTCCTGAAAAGACATTTCAAAAGGCCAATTTTAAGTTTTAAAATAGTGATGTTACCTGCAGGAGTAATTGGGGAAGTTGCAAATCTTGTGACCTGCAGAATAGTGGCTGGCAGTCGTTTATGTCTACACCTTAGCAGGATTCAGGGTCCTCTCCTCCTACTAACCTGGCGGCCTTTCATTAGCTTTACGAAGGTGGTTCGGTATGGGGAAAGGGCTGTTATCATTTAAGCTATAAACTAAATGTCTCCCACAGTTAGTTTGGCGTGAGCTCAGGAATGATTTAGGGCAATTTGGAGGTTAAAGGCAAGATGGGGTTGGTTAGATCCGATCTCTTTCACTGTCATGATTTTCTCACTGTTACAATTTTTGCAAAGGCGGTTTCAAGGGAAGGCTTCCTGGGGAAGTGGTACCTGACTTGGGACTGGAGAGATTTATAGAAGTTGGCCAAAGAATAGGACCTGAGGTTTCCAGCAGAGGAAATAGCCTGTTTAAAAGTGTGTGGAGGGCTGGGTGCAGTGGCTCATGCCCACAATCCCAGCACTTTGGGAGGCTGAGGTAGGTGGATTGCTTGAGTCCAGGAGTGCCAGACCAGCCTGGGCAACGTGGTGAGACTCCATCTTGACCAAAAAAAAAAAAAAAAAAAACCAGAAAAATTTTTAGCCAGGTGTGGTGGTGCATGCCTGTAGTCCCAGCACGTTCAGAGGTGAGGGAGGCAGATCGCTTGAGCTCAGGAGTTTGAGACCAGCCTGGGCAACATGGCAAAACCCTGTCTCTACAAAAAATACAAAATTAGCCAGGAACGGTAGTATGCAACTGTAGTTCCAGCTACTCAGGAGGCTGAGGTGGGAGGATACCTTGAGCCAGGAAGGCAGAGTTTGCAGTGAGCCAAGATCGCACCGCTATACTCCAGCCTAGGTGACAGAGTGAGATCCAGTCTCAAAAAAAAAAAAAAGAAAAAGAAAAAAGAAAAAGAAAACAGAAAAGAAGAAATGGGCAGGTTTTTTTTTAACAGTGTTAAATTTAGTTTGAAGCTGTTTCCTTGTAAGTCTAGCCTAAAAGTTTCTTCATGCATAGTGAACTGTAACCTAATTGGATGAGTAAACAGACTGTAATGTACTCTTATACCAACCACCGAGTTTCAGCCAATCACAGGCAGCCAACCGTTCAAATAAGGCAAACTCCAAGCTGTAACCAATCTGGCTCTTTCTACACCTCACCTCCGTTTCCTGTACATCACTTTCCTTTTCTTGTTCTTAAATCCTGTCCAACCACGCAGCAACATCAGAGTCTCTCTGAACCTATTCTGATCTGGGAGATTACCCAATTCACCAATTGTTCATTGCTCAAATAAACTCTGTTATATTGCATTTGTCTGAAGTTTTTCTTTTTCTTTTTTAAAGACGGAGTCTTGCTCTGTCACCCAGGCTGGAGTGCAGTAGCACAATCTCGTCTCACTGCAGCCTCTGCCTCCCACGGTTCAAGCGATTCTCCTGCCTCAGCTTCCAGAGTAGCTGGGATTACAGGTGCCCACCACCATGCCTGGCTAATTTTTGTATTTTTAGTCGAGATGAGTTTTCACCATATTGACCAAGCTGGTCTCAAACCTCAGGTGATCTGCCTGCCTCGGCCTCCCAAAGTGCTGGCATTATAGGCGTGAGCTACCATGCCTGGTCCTGAAGTTTTTCTTTTAACAACAGTTACATAAGGACCAGGCCGGTCTTTCCTGACCATAGCAATCAATATTTACTCTGGTATCAGATGGGCAAAACAGCAGAACATTCCCCCATGCTTCCTTGCTGGCTTATGCATTTCACCCTGAGGAGTTCCTAGTCAAGCTGGTCAGAACCCTTGCCTTGGCTCTCCAGAGCAGATGCTGCCCTGGGACTTCTTTCCCCTGGATTAGAGTTGGGACACCTGGGCCCCATCTGTGTTCTGCAACCAATTCTCTCTGTGAATATGGGCAAGGCACAACTTCTGTGTCTTCATTTTGAAAATGAGACGCTGGGCTACACTGATCCCTGGGGATCCATCCATACCCAACATTTGGCAGAGATATCAGATGAAAGTCTTTTATAATTATCTTGTTTGTCCTCACAACCTTCTAATGGAGTGAACAAGTTATTAGTAAAAGCTTTCTGTTTCAGGAATTCCTTTTGTGAGGTACTATTAGATAATCTGATCTCTCTCGCTCCTTTCCTGTCTGTTTTCTTCCTGGCCCTGCCTTTCCAGGTTGAGGAACGAGGAGGAGGACTTGGTCTTAAGTTGGACGCAGCTGTCTGTTTAAGAAATCATCAATGACGCCATTCGGCTTTAACAGGATTCCTTTTTCCTCTCTACAAGAGCCAGGAATTTCCACTTGATAGTTTGTTCATACCTTCTTAGGAAAATCCCACTAAATCACTGCAGCTCAGTACAGAGAAAGAACAACACGAGCTAGGAATGGGCTACCGTTCCCTGATTATATGATGAATAAATCAAAAAGAGTTGTGAAAGAAACCATTAATTTAAGCCAGAAGAAAGCTGGGCAAGTTATAGACTGCATAAAAAAGTATAAACTGCAAAATACTCATTTTTGGAAATACCATTGTAGACTATTACAGCCAGAAGAAGGCCGGGCATGGTGGCTCATACCTGTAATCCCAGCGCTTTGAGAGGCTGAGGTGGGCAGATCATCTGAGGTCAGAAGTTTGAGACCAGCCTGGCTAACATGGCAAAACCCTGTCTCTACTAAACATACAAAAATTAGCTGGGCGTGGTGGCATGCTCCTGTAATCCCAGCTACTTGGGAGGCTGAGGCAGGACAATCACTTGAACCTGGGAGGCAGAGGTTGCAGTGAGCCAAGATCACACCACTGTACTCTAGCCCGAGCAAGAGTGAGACTCCGTCTCAAACAAACAAACAAACAAAAAAACAAAACCAAAAAAACAGCCAAAAGACAACTTGAAAATCAATGACCCTATCTTTTTTATAGATAAGGAAATTTAAGACTAAAAATAAGCTGACTCACCCTAGTTTGCAGCAATATTATTTGGTCTTATGTTGGGGAGCTGTGACATAAAATGACAAATTAAAAAGAAAAGCAAATTTAAAACAGAAGTCAGCAAACTTTGTCTTAAAAGGCTAGATGGTAAATATTTTTGGCTTAAGGGCAATACCCTCTTGGCCATTGTAGCAAAAGCAGCCATAGACATGCAAACAAATCAGCATGGCTATGTTCCAATAAAACTTCATAAAAATAGGCAATGACACTAGGATGGCTACAACAATTTTTTTGTTTGTTTTTTGAGATGGAGTCTCACTCTGTTGCCCAAGCTGAAGTGCAGTGTCACGATCTCAGCTTACTGCAACCTCCACCTCCCGGGTTCAAGCGATTCTCTTACCTCAGCCTCTTAAGTAGCTGGGATTACAGGTGCACGCCACCATGACAGGCTAATTTATATATATATATTTTTAGTAGAGATGGGGTTTCACCATGTTGGTCAGGCTGGTATCGAACTCTTGACCTCGTGATCCACCCGCCTCAGCCTCCCAAAGTGCTGGGATTACAGGCATGAGCCACCGCGCCTGGCCTTTTTTTTTTTTTTTTTTTTTTTTTTTTGAGATGGAGTCTCACTCTGTCACCCAGGCTGGAGTGCAGTGGCTGAATCTCGGCTTACTGCAAGCTCCGCCTCCCGGGTTCACGCTATTCTCCCGCCTCAGCCTGCCGAGTAGCTGGGACTACAGGCACCCGCCACCATGTCCGGCTAATTTTTTGTATTTTTAGTAGAGACGGGGTTTCACCATATTAGCCAGGATGGTCTCCATCTCCTGACCTCGTGATCCGCCCGCCTCAGCTGGATTCCAAAGTGCTGGGATTACAGGCATGAGCCACTGCGCCCAGCCCAACAATTTTTTTAAAAACAGGAAAATAGGTGTTGGCAAGCATGTGGAGAAATTGGAACCCTCATTATGTTGCTGGAGGGGATATAAAATGGTGCAACCTCTGTAGAAAACAGTTCGGCATGTCCTCAAAATTTAAACATAGAATTACCAAATTGTAAACGAAATGCTAGTTAGTGGCTCTCTGAATGTGCAGTCTCGTTAACACGAGTGAGATCTGACACAAAAAAAGTGAATTTATTCCGAAGCTAGCTTGGAGAAGGGGCACAGAGTGTCCTGCCGTTAAATGTGCCACTTTGCTTTTAGAGCAGAAAGCAGGTATTTTTGATAAGGCAAGGGAAGACACGAGCAAGGGCAGGGGTTCCCCTAACTTGGCATCTTATTTATGGGGGCAGTTGAGCTGGTGCCTTCCTGGGTAGAAGTAAGTTGTGAAAGTGGCCAAGTGGGCATGCTTTCCATATGCCCTCTTGGTGGATTAAAGTTCCAAGGCAACCCCCTGACAGTGAAAGTTTCATGGCAGGTATGCTTTTGTTTTCTTTCTTTCTGAGACAAAGTCTCACTCTGTTGCCCAGGCTGGAGTACAGTGGCACAATCTCAGCTCACTGCAACCTCTACCTCCCAAGTTCAAGTGATTCTCCTGTCTCGGCCTCCTGAGTAGCTGGAATTACAGGTGTCCACCACCACACCCGGCTAATTTTTATATTTTTAGTAGAGACAGGGTTTCACCATATTGGCCAGGATGGTCTCCAACTCATGACCTCGTGATCTGCCTGCCTTGGCCTCCCAAAGTACTGGGATTACAGACATAAGCCACCGCACCTAGCCATGGTATACTTTTGTTTCCAAAACACCAACGATTTGGTCTCGGTCCTGCTGGCCTCCTACACGGGAAGCCAATGACTGAGACAACAAGTATTGCTAAGAGAGAAGGCTTTAATCGGGTGCTGTGGCCGATGGTAGCTCAGTCTCAAATCCATCTCCCTGACCCACTAAAATTAGGGGTTTATACAGCAGGGAAGAAATGTAACAATGTGCGAGAAAACAGGAATTCTGGAGGGGTAAGGAAGCAATTATGATTAATGAGGGGACTGGAGCCCCATTGTCTAGATAAGATGATCTGGTGAGTTTCAGCTCTTTGATACATTTTGAGAGTTCTGCCAGTCCTTTTCTGAGGAAGGAACTCAGATAAAACAAACCTAAGTTTCAAGCTTTAAGACCAGAAGGGTCAATTTCTATGTTTATCCAAAAAAACTGTTTATGGGACTATTGGGTCAGTTTCACTTTGGTCTGAAAGTCGACTGTCAGCTCTGGAGGGGAGATCTGTCTTGGAGAACACAGAATAATTTGCCCTGTGTGGAATGTCTGGTGAGGGGAGAGGTGAAAGGTTATGTTTGCATTTTTGAAGGGCTCAGTAGGACATAGGGAGCTGGGGAAAGGAGAAAAGAAGAGAGAGAGAGAAGGAAAAAAGAATAATTAAACCACCTGTAGAAAAATGGGAGTCCTTGGTTACAGTATGACCTATCAATTCTACTCCTGTGAATATATCACAAAGAATTGAAAATGGAGACTCAAGCAAGTCCATGTACATGCAGGTAGTAGTAGCGCTATTTACAATAGCTAAAAAGTGGAATTAGGGCAGATGCCCGTCAGTGGATGAATGGATCAGCAAATTGTTGTGCAGCTTCAGTGTCCCTTATCCAAAATGCTTGAGACCAGACATGTTTCAGATTTCCAATTTTTTTTTCAGATTTTAGATATACATATAGAGTATGAGATATCTTGGGCATAGGACCCAAGTCTAAACACAAAATTCATTTATGTTTCATATATACCTTATAGCCAAAAAGTAATTTTATACAATTTTTTTTTGAGGTGGAGTTTCGCTCTTTTCACCCAGGTTGGAGTGCAGTGGTGCGATCTTGGCTCACTGCAACCTCCACCTCCTGGGTTCAAGTGATTCTCCTGCCTCAGTCTCCTGAGTAGCTGGGATTACAGGCATGTGCCATCACACCCGGCTAACTTTTGTATTTTTAATAGAGACGGGGCTTCACCATGTTGGCCAGACTGGTCTCAAACTCCTGACCTCAGGTGATCTGTCTACCTTGGCCTCCTAAATTGCTGGGATTACAGGTGTGAGCCACCGTGCCCAGCCCTATACAGTATTTTTAAAAATATTGTGTGTGACACAAAAGTTTTACTGTATTTTGACTGCAGCCCATCACAGGGGTCAGGTGAGGAATTTTCCACTTTTGTTGTCATGATGGTGCTCAAAATGTTCAGGATTTTGGAGCATTTCAGATTTGGGATTTTGGGATTAGAGATGCTTAACCTGTATACACATACAGTATAATATTATTGATATGGTTTGGCTGTGTCCCCATGGAAACCTCAACTTTAATTTTATCTCCCAGAATTCCACATGTTGTGGGAGGGACCAAGGGGGAGGTAACTGAATCATGGGGGCTGGTCTTTCCCCTGCTATCTCATGATGGTGAAGAAGACTCACAAGATCTAATGGGTTTATCAGGGGTTTCTGCCTTTGCTTCTTCCTCATTTTCTCTTGCCACCACCATGTAAGAAGAGCCTTTACCTCCTGCCATGCTTCTGAGGCCTCCCCAGCCACAAGGAACTGTAATTAAACCTTTTTTTTGTTCCCAGTTTCGGGTATGTCTTTATCAGCAGTGTGAAAACAAACTAATACAATTATTTATCCATAAGAGGTAATGAAGTATTGACATATACTACAATGTGGGTAAACTTTCAAACCATTGTGCTAAGTGAAAGAAGCCACACGCAAAAGGCCACATGTTATATGATTTTATTTACACGAAATATCCATAATAGATTATAGAGATAAAAAATAGATTTGTTATTGTCAGGGACTAAGGGAAAAAGGGAATGATGAGAAACTGCTTAGTGAGTACTGGATTTTGCTTTGTAGTGATGGAAATGTTTTAGAACTAGATAGATGTGATTGCACAAGATTGTGAATGTACTAAATGCTGAATTGTTCTTTAAAAAAGTTAATTTTATGTTATGTGAATTTTACTTCAATAAATTATTTTAAAAAAACAAGAGTCCAGGCACGGTGGTTCACGACTATAATCCTAGCACTTTGGGAGGCTAAGGCAGGTGGATCACGAGGTCAAGAGTTCGAGACCAGCCTAGCTAGCATGGTGAAACTCCGTCTCTACTAAAAATACAAAAAATTAGCCAGTCATGGTGGTGTGTGCCTGTAATGCCAGCTACTTGGCAGGCTGAGGCAGGTGAATTGCTTGAACCTGGGAGGTGGAAGTTGCAGTGAGCTGAGATAACGCCACTGCACTCTGGCCTGGGCGACAAGAGTGAGACTCCGTCTCTAAAAATTAAAAATAAGGCTGGGTGTGGTGGCTCACGCCTGTAATGCCAGCACTTTGGGAGGCTGAGGCGGGTGGATCACGAGGTCAGGAGATCGAGACCATCCTGGCTGAAACCCCGTCTCTACTAAAAATACAAAAAAAATTAGCCGGGCGTGGTGGCGGGCGCCTGTAGTCCCAGCTACTTGGGAGGCTGAGGCAGGAGAATGGTGTGAACCTGAGAGGTGGAGCTGGCAGTGAGTGGAGATCGCGCCACTGCACTCCAGCCTGGGTGAGAGAGCGAAACTCTGTCTCAAAAAAATAATAATTATTATAAATAAAAAATAAATAAAATAAAACAAAACAAAAAACAAACAACAAGGTGGATATGGTCCATAGACTGTAATATGCTAATTCCTTTTATAAATGAGAGAATAGGATGGTTCAAAGGATGGTGAGTTTTTATTGCCAGAGATGTTTATTATTACATTTTTATATTTATTTATTTATTAGAGACGGAGTCTCGCTCTGTCGCCCAGGCTGGAGTGCAATCGCGCAATCTCGGCTCACTGCAGCTTCCACCTCCTGGGTTCAAGCGCTGCTCCTGCCTCAGCCTCCCGAGTAGCTGGGATTACAGGCTCCCACCATCACGCTTGGCTAATTTTGGTACTTTTAGTAGAGATGAGGTTTTACCATGTTGGTCAGGCTGGTCTTGAACTTCTGACCTCAGGTGATCTGCCAGCCTCGGCCTCCCAAAGTGCTGGGATTACAGGCGTGAGCCACCTCACCTGGCATGTTTGTTATTATAATCATTTATCCCGTGAGGGGAAGAAATAAAGCAATTTCCCAGGTAAAATATTAGCAGAGCCAAGAATATTGTTGAGTTTGAAAATGCCTCCAAATCCAACTACGTGAGTTTTGGACAAATTTCAGACTCAATTTAAATCTATTACTCTTTTGGTAAAGATCAAATTCAATGTTTGAGGGGCTTTTGCTATTTTTAGAATGCATCAGATATCTCCCATCCCAATTTTGGGAACTAAAATAAATGTTTGGGGCTTTTTGTGAACTTCCTGTTTCTAAGGAAGAACCTAAGAAAGTCTCATGTAAAGTGTTCCAGAAGCTCTTGGGACATCAAAGAATTCCAAAGAAACAAGGGAATTAGTTCATTGCAGAGGAATCTGAAAGACACCAGATAATTTTATTTAATAAACACACAGAAAACTCCTTCTCAAAGACAATTCAAGGGATTTAATCAATTCGGGGTTCAATGACCCCAAAGTCATGTCTAAGTCAAATATGAAAACAAACTGTGAGAAGACTAGATGCTTACGGAAAGATGAGAAATTCTCGTGTGAACATGGACAACTTGGCCTGATAGTCTCACTGCTATTTTTAATTAATTTTAACAGTTGGGAAATGGGAAAAAAGAGGCTATTTTCAAAGGAGAAGAAGGTAGAAAGGAAATGATGTCTGTGATTTGACTTTTGTGTCCCAGGCCAGCTTTCCCAGGCGACAGCAAGCAGCCCCTAGGTGGCTTTTGCTCACAGAATCGTCATGTTTCAAGTTAGAGTAAGCCCCATTTAGGCTTTCAAAGAGTCACTAACAAGAAGGGTTGCGTGGCATCAGAGTGGCTCATTCCTGAACCATTCCTCCATGGTGAGTTGCTTCCCAAACTCAGATGCTTAGAGTTCTGGGGTGTCCCCCCTTCTTCTTGTAGTAGCAGGTTCTCTCAGAAAACACCAGTCATTATTTACATTTTAGCGTGAATGAGTTTAAGGCGTTGGAAATTTACATTTAGCCAAATATAACTGTGAAATAACACGTGTTGTTCTTGAGTTCTGGTTCTGGGGAGCAGATTGGAAGAATGTTTCTGGGCAGAAGCCTCCTACAGGATCTTGAACATTCACTTTATTCAGGCTACTAACTCTCCCCAAGATGAAGGTTGACCTAGGAAGTGTAAATGTTGTTGGCTTTGTAACTATGGAAGAGAAACTCTTGGAATGAAGGGCAGACACCAGAACACTTTACAATATTTTATGATTGTGGAAGATTCATTTAGTTCCACCTCTTAGGTGAAAAAGTCGTTCATACCCAAAGTGGGAGGAGGGTTATTAGTGATTCATTTTTTTCTATTATACTTTGCTGTATTTTCTGCAATGAGCTGTATTTCTTTAATACTCAGTTAAAAAAATCTAAAGAATGTAAAATATTTTTAAAAACTCATGTTTTCTGGTTACAAACTATTTTCACTGGTGCATCCAAATTTCTATTCTATTTGTCATTGCAGCTCTTCTAAAACTGCTTCTTAAAATAATTGAAATAGGAAAATCACAAAAATTATAAGAACGACTACGGATGCAGCTTTTGGTCAGGCTAATCGATGTTCTCTGTCCACACAATAGTAGAGATCTCGAAGGATTAGATGTTCCAATCACACTGGGGTGCCGAGGGATCGTCATGCTTGGTTAGATTGAAAGAGACAGTTGGAATTGTTCTTGGAACTGTGCTGTTCCTGTGTGGAGACAGTCTTGGAAATAGTTGCCTTTTTGTACCACTCCACACATCCTTCAGCTAAAACACCACAAATACTGTGCTTATTGTGTGCAATCTTATCTCCCTCATTTAATTGTGGAGGGGTAGGGAAAAAGGGGATTTGTCCTCTATGACCATGCTAGTGGTGAATGGATGAATGGGTGGGGACCCCAGGATACTACATCCACCTAAACTTCAATGAGACATGGACAAGAAAGAAAATGATTAGTTGAAATATATTTTGGCCAGGCGTGGTAGCTTACGCCTGTAATCCCAGTACTTTGGGAGGCCAAGGCGGGTGGATCACCTGAGGTTGGGAGCTCGAGACTAGCTTGACCAACATGGAGAAACCCCGTCTCTACAAAAAATACAAAATTAGCCGGGCGTGGTGACGCATGCCTGTAATCCCAGCTACTTGGGAGGCTAAGGCAGGAGAATCACTTGAACCTGGGAGGCATAGGTTGTGGTGAGCTGAGATCATGCCATTACACTCCAGCCTGGCAACAAGAGCAAAAGTCCATCTCAAAAAAAAAAAAAAAATATATATATATATATATATATATATATATATATATAATGAATATATGTATTCAAAAATATATTTAAACATTCCTTTCCCTTCTTATCCATGCCTCATTGAAGTCTGTGTTCATGCAGCATCCTGGGGTTTCCATTCCTTCATCCATATGTACACATTTGGATGAATGAATAGAAAGGCTGTCTCACTGTCCTTCAGATCCTAAGTATGAACTGTTTTGCAAGTTTTATCTGCTCTTCAGTACCCAAAATTTACACTTTTGTTACTATAAACATATACCTCCTAGGTCAGTATTGGTGTCTAGCAGAGGGTAGAAATATTTTGCTGTCAAAGAAAGTTGTTAGGTCTGGCTTTACTTTTGTGAGCTATATAATAAAGGGTCTGTTACTAAATCAGAGTCACTTAGCCTGCACTTTCATCTCGGTGCAATAACAACATGCCAGTCCTTTCCTGCCCCTGCCGTTTTGGATTATGTGAGGGCAGAGGAGGGATGTTTCACAAGACACAGGGCATTCAGTTGTCTTGGAGTTATTGTCTCAGACTGAGATTGGGCTGAAAGCTGCACAGTGTCAGAATGATTATGATTCTCTCCTTTCAGATATTTACACTTTATGGGAAAGCTATCATTATGTCAATGACTCAAGTTTCAAATCTTCCATCAAGATGTCTTTTTTGGGAGGGAAGTTTCCTGTCCTTTCTTGGGCAGCTAGAATCCTTGCCAATGCATTCCCCACCCCATACCTGCTTTGTCTCCCTACAAGCTGTCTGAGACATGTCACCTGTCTTTAGTGGAAGGCCGACTTGTTTCCATTTACAGGTCCTTGAAAGTAAAGCTTGTATCATGGAAGCTGTTGGAGTTTGCACAGAGACTGGCCCATTTGAACTACATATCATGTCTCTGTTCAGATCTGGGTTTCATGTATTTGGAGTCTCACATCTTGCAATAAATACATGACTTTGATAAGCTGCCGGGGTCACTCAAGGGCTAGAACAGATGATCTCTTGTAATCACTATGGTTTAAGAGAGTCCAGCCATCTGTTTCAGCTTGGCACCCTCAGGGTAGCTATGTTGGCCGCATCACCACATTCTAAACCCTTAGCTTTGCAAGGTCAGATACTCAGTATCATCAGATATTCCAGAGCAAATCAGGCTTTGGGGGGCTGATTCCCAGTAACCAAACTCACAAGAGGCTGATGGATAAATGTATCTTATAATGTGCTTGTGAGGTTTAAATGAGTGAGTGGACGTAAAACTTACTTACGTCTGGCCAGGCACATATAGTAAGTGTCTTGTAAATGTTGACTTTTATTTATGTTGTGACCTATCAAACATAGTAGATGCAGCACAGAATAAACACCAACAAATATTTACTCTTGGTGGCTTCCTCCCCTAGGTTCTAGAATCCATACACAGCACCATCCTTCTATCAGGCAGTCAGTCACAATGTGATAAAATAGGTCACTTCAAAAAAAGTATTCCGGTCCTAAGGATGCAACTGGCCCACAATCTCGCGGCTCTCTGGGCTCTTGATCAGCTTGAGAGGCCCTCTTGCTTCCTGATTTTATTTGGCAAAGCTGCTGGACCATATTTACAACCATGTTCAAAGTGCTTAGCTTCTGCAGATGGCTGGTCCTAGCCATTTTATGTTGATTTCTTGTTAACGTCAATTGTGATTGATATTCACCATAGATGCCAGTTTCCCCATGAGCTACATCAGCCAGCTGCCAATGCAAAAGCACAATGCCTACTAATGAACACTCACCGCCTGGACTGCACAGTCATGGTGCTGGACTTGTCTTGTGAGTCCAGAGAATTCGGTGGAATTTGCTCTAGTGCTAACACTTAACACAAAGTTATGCCTGTGGTCCCAAGGAACACTCCACTCCCAATTTTTGTTATGCATTGAATTGCAACACCCCCTCCCATCCCTGCCTATTGAGATAACTAACCAAACTCTTGGGAGACGGAGAACAGAGCCCTGATAAACTGAGATATCTTACATTTCAGCAAGAATAGGGAGAGAGGGAAAGGTCTGGAGCACAAAGTTCTACCCGGGAAGAGACGTATCGTAACCTCAGGTAGACTGCAAGGTGGGGCCAGGGTGGGGGTCAGGTTGCTAGGGTAGCCAAGGGCCAGCAGAAAAGCACATCATACTCCCAGGTAGATTGAGGGGGAATGAGCCTGTTGAAAAGAGGTAGAAAGTGGAGGGGGAGTAGGAAGCTGCCCTTTTTTACTGTAGGGCCCCAGGGTGGATTCTGTCTGTGGAAGATGCTTACTGGTGCTGCCGGTCCTGAAATGAGCAGAGAGATGCAATGTCTTCGGAAGAGAATGCCAGTGAAGAAAAGAAGTTACTATAACTTCAACTCCATCTATCCTTGCCTGCCTAATGGAATAAGAGCTGGGTGTCTGCAAATGGTTAGTCTTCACGGAGTAGAGGGAATCTATCCTCCTCTCCTGAGCTGCATGGCAATCTGTCATCTAGCGGTCTGTGGCAACATGGTAGAGGGATGGGTCATTACTCTTCAGTATCATCCTAAGAGTCATGCAAGACATAACAGTTTCATTTAGATTCTGACTTACAAAGGAAAACACAGGCCAGGAGCGGTGGCTCACGCCTGTAATCCCAGCACTTTGGGAGGCCGAGGTGGGCGGATCATGAGATCAAGAGATGGAGATCCTAGCTAACATGGTGAAACCCTGTCTCTACTAAAAATACAAAAATTAGCTGGGCGTGGTGGCGGGCACCTGTAGTCCCAGCTACTTGGGAGGCTGAGGCAGGAGAATCACTTGAACCTGGAAGGTGGAGGTTGCAGTGAGCCGAGATCGCGCCACTGCACTCCAGCCTGGCGACAGCGCGAGACTCTGTCTCAAAAACAAAAAAAAGGGAAAATACAAACCTTTTCAAGTTTGAGCCAGAAAGTCAATCAGCTAAGGGAAGTCTTCCCTTAGCCTCAGTATAATCAATGTGTCTGGGAAAGGGGTGGAGGGATGTAGGAAATCTCCAAAGGTGCTCTATTCTTCCTTGTCATGAGATCCACGGAGGCCAGCTGGGTGCTTGTCCCAGGGAGCCAGGTCAAATCATCAGTCGGAATGTGCCAGAGCAGCCCAGGGCCAGTGTCTCACGCCTGTAATTCCAGCACTTTGGGAAGCTGAGGCGGGTGGATCCCTTGAGCTTAAGAATTTGAGACCAGCCTGGGCAACATGGTGAAACCCCGTCTCTACAAATTAGGCTGGGCCCGGTGGCTTACTCCTGTAATCCCAGCACTCTGGGAGGCCCAGGCAGGCAGACCACCTGAGGTCAGGAGTTCGAGACCAGCCTGGCCAACGTGGTGAAACCCCATCTCTACTGAAAATACAAAAAGTGGGTGTGGTGGTGGGCACCCATAGGCTCAGCTACTCAGGAGGCTGAGGCAGAAGAATTGCTTGAACCTGGGCGGCGGAGGTTGCAGCAAGCTGAGATCGCACCACTGTACTCCAGCCTGGGTAACAGAGTGAGTCTTCATCTCAAACAAAACAAAACAAATAAAAAAAACCCATAAAAATTAGCTGGGCGTGATGGCATTTGCCTGTAGTCCCAGCTACACAGGAGGCTGAGGCGGGAGGATCCCTTGAGCCTGGGAGGCAGAGGTTTCAGTGAGCCAAATCGGGTCACTGCACTCCAGTCTGGCTGACAGAGGAAGACTCTGTCTCAAATGTGCCAGAGCTCCTGCCTCCTGCAGCTATAAGACTCTGGGGGCATCTGTGGCCACTCTCATTTTTCCTAGTCCAAGGGGACCCTCTCTGTATCTTGTCTCCAACATCTGAGTTGTGTCGCTAGAGCTAAAACCAGTCTGCTCTCCTTCTTGCACCTTCACTGGCAAGTGAGAACATTATTCTCTGGGGAGTGAGAACATTATTCTCTGATTGTGTACATGGGAGTCCCTGCTGGCGGCAGCAACAGGAGCGCCCCTGCCAGCGACAACGACGCGGAAGGGCAAGGCTGTCTTTGGGATGGAGGTAGGGTTGCCCGGCAGGGCTCCGAACGCCAAGAACCCTGTGACCCACATTGTCACACTCCCATTTCCTCCCTATGGTAGTGTAAAAAGGGAGTTCCTCAAAGTGCAGCCCTTGGCATCTTCACCCATAGGCAAAAGTCTCCTCTGCATTTATTAGATAGCAATGTGGCAGTTTTTAAGCTGTTGGCTCTCAGCAGAATCCCCCGCTCTATACTCCACCTTGATGCTGAGACGGGGTCTGCACCCTCTGTTTCTCTGTCACCAGCAGGAGCCCTGGCTGCTCTGCCTATAGAAAGCCCTAGGGGGAGACTGACCAGTTGAAGCGGGGAAGGATTTGCCTTTTCCCATGTTTCTTGCTGTTGCTGTCATTGTTACCACAGCAACACTAATTCACCTTGGCAGCAACCAGAAACGGATTCCAGTAGCCAGAAGTTCCAGTTTCCAGTTTCTCCTACACTGGCCAACCTCAGAGACACCAGCCCCAGCCCGGCGCCTCCTCCAACTCCAGGTCCTAATAATCCAGAGGCCTCTGTTCCCCCAGCCCCAGGGGTGGTAGCCGCCTCCTGCAGTTACTCTCCTTTCTGCCTTACGGCATGTTCTCTCCTCACCTTTTCAGTACTCCGAAACCTGTTTACCTGATTGCTATTGTATGTGATCTCTGTTAAAATTACACAAAATAGCATGGCTTCTCTTTTTTTTTTTTTTTTTTTTTGAGACAGTTTGACTCTTGTTGCCCAGGCTCATGCAACGTGGCGTGATCTTGGCTCACTGCAACCTCCGCCTCCCAGGTTCAAATGATTCTCCTGCCTCAGCCTCCTGAGTAGCTGGGATTACAGGCACCCGCCACCAAGCCCGGCTAATTTTTGTATTTTTAGTAGAGACAGGGTTTCGCCATGTTGGCGACGCTGGTCTCAAACTCCTGACCTCAGATGATCCACCTGCCTTGGCCTCCCAAAGTGCTGGGATTACAGGGGTGAGCCACCACGCCTGGCCGCTTCTCTTTTCTTGACAGCACTCTGCCCGACACAGGTGGCTTTTTAAAAATTCAACCCACTAACCTTCATGGAAGACAGACCTGGGTTAGGCTCTGTGCTAGATGCTGTGGTTACTAAACAAAATGTGGTCTCTACCTCTGAGGAGATCCATGTGGAGTTACAGTAACAAACATCTGTATAGAACTCTAGTTTGCAAATCTCTCTTTAACATAAAGTTCCACTTGATTCTTACATCAACATTACAATATATTATTTCCACTTACAGATTAGGGAATTGCAACTAAGAGATGCCAAGTAACTTTTGCAAAGTCACACAACTAGCAAAAAGAGAAGTCCTTGACCTTGATGCTGCACTTTCCTGGACTCCAAAAGCAATCAGTTAGTTTAATTGGAATCTGATGTCTTTGTAATTTCTCACTCTGAATTATTCTTCACTGTTTAAAGTGAAAGATACTTTGAGGTACTTGTGAAAGTAAGGGAGAAGGGGAAAGAAGACAGTTTCCAAGTGATCAAAAGATAGTCCCGATAGTGAAGATTGTCGTCCTTTTCATTTTTCAGTTTGTGGTCTTATGCATCTCAGGTCCAGGTCTCAAAGGACCAGAGCGTCTGCACCCAACTCTTGCATTGCCCGGGTCTCCCACTGGATTAGGAGTTGGGGGTGGTGGGTGGGTACAAAACTCTGCTCTCATAATCTCAGAGGGGGCAGGAAGGAGGGGAGGGGCTTGGGACAAGGAGTGAACACTGACTGGACACCCTCTCCTCCCTCTCACATCCCCCTGGCATAGCTGCAGAGCCCGACTGAGGGGCCAGGAGGGCCTCCTCTTCTTCCTGACCCTGAATTTAGTCTTATTACATCTTCAAATGAGGGTAGGCATACAGTTATATTTAGTGAGTGCATATACTGAAACCATCGATTTGTTAAATGTGAACAAAATATTCTCATACTTTTGGTAACTCTCTTTAGGAAGTCTCCTCCTGCTGCTGCCTCCTCTCTCTCCCTCTTTCTCTCTCTCTCTCTCTCTCTCTCTCTGTCACTCTGTCTCCATCACTGGCCCTAGTAGTTGACCCTTCCTTTAATTTTATAATAAGTTTGTATCAGTTGGATAACGGTTTCTTAGTGGAGCCTCCATTGACAGTACAGTTGCTATTTCAAACCATTCAAAAAAGTTACAAGCAAGTGGTGGAGAATATTTTGAGATATTAATTGAGGTTTCTTTTCTCCAGGCTTTCTTGTACCCATTAACCTTCTCCCACCACTGGAGACATAGGGATAGAATTCTAAGTGTGCTGCTCTTAGGAGACAGCTAACAAAGAGACAAATTCTTGGCTCTGTGGCTGAGCACGGTGGCTCATGCCTGTAATCCCAGCACTTTGGGAGGCCGAGGCAGGCGGGTAGATCACAAGTTCAGGAGATCGAGACCATCCTGGCTAACACGGTGAAACCCCGTCTGTACTAAAAATACAAAAACAAAATTAGCCAGGCATGGTGGCAGGCGCCTGTAGTCCCAGCTACTTGGGAAGCTGAGGCGGGAGAATGGCGTCAACCCAGGAGGCAGAGCTTGCAGTGAGCTGAGATCGCGCCACTGAACCCCAGCCTGGGCGACAGAGTGAGAGTCCATCTCAAAAAAACATTCTTGGCTCTGAGTTCTAAAATAGGGTCTTTCGATGCACAGCAAGGCAAAAAGTCTTTTTTTTTTTGAGATGGAGTCTTGCTCTGTCGCCAGGCTAGAGTGCAGTGGCATGATCTTGGCTCACTGCAACCTCCATCTCTCGGGTTCAAGCCATTCTCCTGCCTCAGCCTCCTGAGTGGCTGGGATTACAGGTGCCCACCACCATGCCCAGCTAATTTTTTGTATTTTTGGTAGAGATGGGGTTTCACCATGTTGACCAGGCTGGTCTTGAACTCCTGACCTCAGGTGATCCACAAGCCTCAGCCTCTCAAAGTGCTGGGATTACAGGCGTGAGCCACTGTGCCCAGCTGGCAAAAAGTCTTGAAAGCCAAGACTTTCCAATGTAAGAGCTGGGTTTTTGGTTTGTTTGTTTTCTTTCGAGATGGAGTTTGGCTCTTGTTACCCAGGCTGGAGTGCAATGACGCCATCTCGGTTCACTGCAACCTCTGCCTCCCGGGTTCAAGAGATTCTCCTGCTTCAACCTCCCGAGTAGCTGGTACTACAGTTGTGCGCCACCATGCCTGGCTAATTTTTGTATTTTTAGTAGAGACAGGGTTTCGCCATGTTGGCCAGGCTGGTCTCGAACTCCTGACCTCAAGTGATCCACCCGCCTCGGCCTCCCAAAGTAATGGGATTACAGGCGTGAGCCACTGCACCTAGCCAAAAGCTGGGTTTTTGAGGGAGAGAAGAATGAATTTGAACTGTACAAAATTTGATGCTGGCTCTCAATCATCAGTGGCTTTAACATCCAAGGTGTGCCAGAGCTGGTTTGCACCAGTTCAAGAGAGCCAGTGTCCAGTGACATCACAGAGGTAGCTGGAAATCAACCATGGTGGAAGGTTTATGCCGTGAAAATGGCAAACACGATGAAACAGGGCTTTTTTTCCCAAAGAGTTCATTTTTAAGCATTTGCCAACATATCACTGCTTTATTCCACAAACATGTGATTCAAAACAATGAATGAGGCCGACTGGGCATGGTGGTATGTGTCTGTAGTCCCAGCTACCCAGGAGGCTGAGGTGAGAGGATCACTTGAGTCCAGGAGTTTGAGACCAACCTAAGCAACACAGCGAGACCCGGTCTCCAAAAAAATAAATAAAGAATGAATGATAATGTAAGAGCAATTTCTGCCCCTATCTGGAGAAAAATCCCCCAGATAGAGGATGGAGTGGGGGTGAGGAGAAAAAAGCAAGGTTGAACTGCTGGAGGAGATGCTTCCTGGGCTGAACCCAAGGGGACTGGGGAATGGGTTTAGTAAAACTCCCAGACTAGGCTGATGATGTGAGGCCAAGAGGATTCTGTCCCACTTCCCACCTGCAACTCTGTGAGAGGATGGCGGCTGCCTAGAGTGGGGTGTGGTCAAATGGGCAGAAATGACAGCAGGGCAGGTGGAAGCATAGAGAGGCCGAGAGACTCTGTCTCTCTCCCACTCCACCCGCCATGCCTCCCTCTACTTGTGTGAAGCCTGGGAACACAGGGAGCCTTCCTGTCTGCCTCCAGGATTGGCCAGATGGGCAGAGACATGGAGTGCACAGGCCAGTGGGATTGCTGACCTCACATCTGGGAGGCTGGGCTGTCAAGACCCCTGGGGCCAGCCCATAGCAGAAAAAGTCAATAGGGAGAAAACCAGTGAGTGTGGATTAAGATCCCCCTCTTGCGAGACACAGGTCCCTGCAGCTCAGGCATTTTCCAGAATAGTGAGGGAGAGAGAGAGTCACTAGTTGACTGTTTACTGCAGGAGACATTGGGTTACCTTTAATTGGTAAGATGTCATTTCCTGTTGCTGGGCAGAAATGGTGGCTCATGAGATAAAATCAGTGAAAGGAAAGGAAAGCTAAATTTTTTTCCCCCGGGCAACTTTTAAGACTGTAGAATTAAATACCAAATACATTTATGAACTATATGATGAATATGCTTTCTTTGGTTTCTTCTCCTTTCCTCCTCCTCCTCCTCCTTCTTTTTTCTTTTGAGACAGGATCTCACTTTGTCACCCAGGCTAGAGTGCAGTAGTGCAGTCATAGTGCACTGCAGCCTTGAACTCCAGGGCTCAAGTGATCCTCCTGCCTCAGCCTCCCGAGTAGCTGAGTAGCTGGGACTACAGATGTGAGCCATCACACCTGGTTAATTTTTTTTTTTTTTTTTAAAGACGGGGTCTCATTCTGTCATCTAGATTGCAGTGCAGTGGCACAATCTCGGCTCACTGAAGACTTGACTTCCTTGGCTCAAGTAATCCCCCCACCTTAGCCTCCTGAGTACCTGGGACTACAGGCAGGCACCACTATACCCAGGTAATTTTTGCATTTTTTGTAGAGACAGGATTTCACCATGTTGCCCAGGCTGGTCTCGAACTCCTGAGCTCAAGCTATCTGCCTGCCTTGGCCTCCCGAAGTGCTGGGATTACAGGCATGACCCACTGTGTCTGGCTAATTTTTTTCGCTTTTTTTTTTTTTTTTTTATTTGTAGAGACAGGGTCTTACTCTGTTGCCTAGGCTGGTCTTGAACTCCTGGCCTTAAGTGATCCTCCCATCTCATCCTCCCCAAGTGCTGGGATTACAAGTATGAGCCACCTTGCCTGGCCGGCAAAAAGTCTTTCTTCTTTAGTAAAAACTTCTAAGAAGTTTTTCTTCTTTACTATGTTTTTTATTTTACTTTTTAGATAGAGTTTCACTCTTGTTGCCCAGGCTGGAGTGTAATGGCAGGATCTTGGCTCATTGCAACCTCCACCTCCTGAGTTCAAGCGATTCTCCTGCCTCAGACTCCCAAGTAGCTGGGATTATAGGCACCCGCCACCATGCCCGGCTAATTTTTGTATTTTTAGTAGAGATGGGGTTTCACCATGTTGACCAGGCTGGTCTTGAACTTCTGACCTCAGGTGATCCACCCACCTCGGCCTCCCAAAGTGCTGGGATTACAGGCGTGAGCCACCTCGCCCAGCCTAGTTTTGTTTTGTCTTTTTGTTGTTGTTGTTGTTGTTGTTGTTTTACACAGAGTCTTGCTCTGTTGCCCGGGCTGGAGTGCAGTGGTGCGATCTCGGCTCACTGCAACCTCTGCCTCTTGGGTTCAAGTGATTCTTCTGCCTCAGCCTCCTGAGTAGTTGGGACTACAGGCACGCACCACCATGCCCAGTTAATTTTTGTATTTTTAGTAGAGACGGGGTTTCACCATTTTGGCCAGGCTGGTCTCGAACTCCTGATCTCGTGATCTGCCCACCTCGGCCTCCCAAAGTGCTGGGTTTATAGGAGTGAGCCACCACACCCAGCCTTAGTTTGGTTTTTAATAGTGACAAATATGGGAGAATATAAGAGAGAGGAATACTTCCTTGCTTCACTCCCTAATGTTTTTGTGGTTGTGAAGAGTTGGTGGGGAGTGGGGAGAACAGAGATGTCATGATTTGCCATCTACTTCCACCAATGAACAAGACAAGATTTATTTGTTTATTGATTAATCAGTTACTTTTTTCAACAAACCAACTATTTAACCCAACAGCAGTAATGTGCTTTTAAGAACATTATTCATCACGTTTAATTAATGTTCTTCATTAAAATGTTACTGGTTTTCGTGGTTTTATTTATATTTTATAATTATGTGAAGGTTATAAACATACGGGATTCATGCCTAGTTTATGTTTGTACTCTTTTTTTTTTTTGAGACAGAGTTTCGCTTTTGTTGCCCAGGCTAGAGTGCAATGGCACGATCTCGGCTCACTGCAACTTCCATGTCCTGGGTTCAAGCAATTCTCCTGCCTCAGCCTCCCGAGTAGCTGGGATTACAGACGTGCGCCACCATGCTCAGCTAATTTTTTGTGTTTTTAGTAGAGACAGGGTTTCACCATGTTGGCCAGGCTGGTCTTGAACTCCTGACCTCAGGTGATCTGCCCGCCTCGCCCTCCCAAAGTGCTGGAATTACAGGCATGAGCCACCACGCCCGGCCCTATGTTTGTACTCTTTAAATAACATAATAAAAATAATTTAAGGCAACATTGAGGGCCTACAGGAAAACATTTTCTTCTTTAAGAAGGGTCTATAGGCTAGGCGCTGTGGCTCACACCTGTAACCCCAGCACTTTGGGAGGTTGAGGTGGGCAGATCACCTGAGGTCAGGAGTTGGAGACCAGCCTGACCAACATGGAAAACCTCGTCTTTTTTTGTAAAAATATTTTGTAAAAATACAAACTTAGTCGGGTGTGGGGGTGCATGCCTGTAAATCCCAGCTACTCGTGAGGCTGAGGCAGGAGAATCGCTTTAACCGGGGAGGCGGAGGTTGTGGTGAGCTGAGATCGTGCCATTGCACTCCAGCCTGGGCAACGAGAGGGAAACTCTGTCTCAAAAAAGAAAAAAAAAAAAAAAAAAGGGACGGGGGAGGGAATCTGTAATAATTTTTTCTCTTTTAAAGGGTCCTTGAGTTGTTAAATATTTGATGACCAAATTATTGAGGTTTTTTTTAAAAAAACATTTTCTTAATAAGCCCCCTAGAAATTTGCATTGTTATTGCCTCATTTTATCATAGGGTTTATTAACTTTTTCCACCACTTCTATGCTGTTTTCCTCATTAATGAAAAGTCATTTATTGGGCAGCCACCCCAAAATCCAACTGAAGATACATCTTGTAGAGTTTCCCCCTTTTTTCTGATCATTCAGTTCATGAAAAGGCAACATTGAGCCTCAGAAAACTAGAAAGAAAAGGCCCCAGAAGGCTGAGGCTGCTGTGGATTTCCCCTTAATCCTCTGATAGAGGGATTCCTGTGGCCCCATTTTCAACTGAAGCCCCTGCTATGCCAGAAAAGGAAAAGAGGGGCTGGGCGCAGTGGCTCACACCTGTAATCCCAGCACTTGGGGAAGCCGATGTGGGCGGATCGATTGAGCTCAGGAGTTCGAGACTAGCCTGGGCAATACTGCAAAGACTCTGCCTCTACAAAAATAAATTTTAAAAACTTTAAAAAAGAAGAGAGGGAGAATTGAAGAAAATCATGGAAAATGGTGACTGAAAAGTTGTGCATCACCAGAACAAGTGGAAGGAGAGCCAAGACTGCAATGGGAATAGAAGAAACGGGACAAAGAAGCACATGAATGACAACAATGCCAAGGAGAGCCACAGGGGCAACACTGAGAAGAACCAGAGAACAAGATCCATGGAAGCATGAAGATAATAGAGAAGGAAGAAAAGTCTAGAGAAGTGTCATGAGCCCAGTGTGATGGGACCCTCCCAATTTCCTTTTCCTTCTATTTTTGGATTTTTTTTTCCTTCTCATTCCATGCCTTTGGTAAGGGACACCCCTCCACCCCCCCAATTTCTGTGCTTTCTGGGATAGCTTTGGAGGTAGAGAGCCCTTCCACAGTTCTTACAAAGAGATGAGTGGTTTCATGGTTTGCCAAACGTGGTGTACTGGCTTATGAGAGTCAATTGTTAAATTTTTGAGAATTCTGTGAGCCAGATGTGAAACATGATAATTTTTAAAATTAAATTGTATAAACTTACAACTGAATAAAGGATATTAAAAACACAAAATAAGTACTAAAACCTCGTCATTCCCTAATGATGTTAGCATATGTTACTATCTGTGTATTGATGTTTGGAAGGTTACTCAGGTCTTCTGTATGGAAATGCGACATGGTAGCACCTTACCATATGTCTCTTCCTGACTTCACCTTGAGGTGAATTCACACTAACAGGCTGAAACCAGCCATGGTGGGAGTATTTACACCATAGAAATCAGCAAACACTATAAATCAGGGCTTAAAATATTGTTTTATTGATTGTCCAAATGTAACAACATGGCAGAGAGAATATTAATAATGCAGATAATACTTGAAAGTGTGTTGAGTCAGTAGCTGTTACATTGTGAATAACACAAGAGATTGAGAACAGGGGAGTAGAAATAAAGAGAAATTGCGGAAGTATTCTTCCAGTATTCAACAACTATATTTAAAAACTATAATCTAACTCATCAAAAATATTGCTTATGGCATTGTAGAATGAGTGACCTTCTCACATATGTCCTTGTTTCACTTTTGTCTTACTTTTTTTTCTTTTTTTATTTTTGAGGCGGAGTCTCACTCTGTCTCCCAGTCTGGAGTGCAGTGGCGTGATCTCGGCTCACTGCAAGCTCCACCTCCTGGGTTCATGCCATTCTCCTGCCTCAGCCTCCTGAGTAGCTGGGACTACAGGCACCCACCACCATGCCCGTCTAACTTTTTGTATTTTTAGTACAGACGGGGTTTCACCATGTTAGCCAGGATGGTCTCGATCTCCTGACCTCATGATCTGCCCTCCTCGGCCTCCCAAAGTGCTGGGATTACAGGCGTGAGCCACCACGCCCGGCCACTTTTGTCTTACTTATTAAACAAAAATATCAACCAGCATTCATGTCAGAACTTTATTTGTTCATCAATCACAACCATTGTTGCTGCAGGTACAAGAGTTTAGCAAAAGTCAATTAAATCATTCCCTGAATATCAATTGGCTATGTGGAATTTTAAAAGAGTGTTGTATATTTTACCATCTGTAAATTGTGTGCCTCACATCCTTTTTATTGATAAAATGTATAATAAACTTGTGTACCAATATTTCCATGCAGTTGTTTTTTGTTCTTGTTGGAGAGCCAGTTGTTAAGCATTTACCAGCACACCAGTGGGTAGTTTGGTTCCTAAGCATTGCCTCACTCAGCCACCCAGAAGTGAGACCCAGAAGGTGACACCCAGAAGACTTCCTTTAGAAAAGGACCTGGGGCCAGTGAAAAGCACAAGCACATTTTCCCTCCCCTTAAAAAAATTGTGGCAAAATATACTTAACATAAAATTTACCATTTTAACTTGTTTTTGCTGTTGTTGAGACAGGGTCTCACTCTTTCACCAGGTTGGAGTGCAGTGGCACAATCTCGGCTCACTGCAACCTCTGCCTCCCAGGCTCAAGTGATCCCCCAAACTCAGCCTCCTGAGTAGCTGGGACCACAGGTGCATGCCACCACACCTGGCTAATTTTTTTGTGTTTTTGGTAGAGATAGGGTTTCACCATGTTGTCCAGGCTGTCTTGAATTTCTAAGCTCAGGCGACCCACCTGTCTTGGCCTCCCGAAGTGCTGGGATTACAGGCGTGAGCCACTGCACTCGGCCTATTTTAACCATTCTTAGGTGTACAGTTTCAGCGGCATTAAGTACCTTCATATTTTTGTGCAACCATCACCACCATCCGCCTCCACAACTTTTTGATCATCTCAGACTGAAGCTCTGTACTCATTAAACAGTAAGTCCGTCTTCCCCCCATATTAGTCCATTTTCATACTGCTATGAAGAAATTCCTGGGACTGGGTAATTTACAAAGAGGTTTAATGGACTCACAGTTCTACATGACTGGGGAAGCCTCACAATCATGGTGGAAGGCAAAGAAGGAGCAAGGGCATGTCTTACATGGTGGCAGGTAAGAGTGTGTGCAGGGGAACTGCCGTTTATGAAACCGTCAGATCTCGTGAGACTCACTCACTATAGCGAGAACAGCACGGGAAAAAACCACCCCCATGATTCACTTACCTCCTACTGGGTCCCTTCCATGACACGTGGGGATTATGGGAGCTACAATTCAAGATGAAATTTGGGTGGGGACACAGCCAAACCATATCACCCCCTTTCCTTAGCCCCTGGTAATTACTCTGTTCTACTTTCTGTCTCTATGAATTTGCCTGTTCTAGGTATCTCATATAAGTGGAATCATACAACATTTGTCCTTTTGTGTCTGGTTTATTTCACTTAGCATGGTGTCCTCCTCAAGGTTTATCCATGTTGTAGCATGTGTTAGATTTTTCTTCCTTTTCTTTTTTTTTGAGACGGAGTCTTGCTCTGTCACCCAGGCTGGAGTGCAGTGGTGGGAGGGATCTCGGCTCACTGAAAGCTCCGCCTCCCAGGTTCACGCCATTCTCCTGCCTCAGCCTCTTGAGTAGCTGGGACTACAGGCGCCCACCACCATCCCCGGTTAATTTTTTTTTTTTTTTTTTTTGTAGAGACGGAGTTTCACCTTGTTAGCCAGGATGGTTCTCGATCTCCTGACCTCGTGATCCACCCGCCTCAGCCTCCCAAAGTGCTGGGATTACAGGCGTGAGCCACCGCGCCCAGCCTGAATTTTCTTCCTTTTTAAGGCTGAATAATATTCTATTGTGTGGAGGCACCCGCATTTTGTTTACCCATTCATCTGTCAACGGACATTTGGGTTATTTCTTCCTTTTGGCTATTGTGAATAATGCTGCTATGAACATGGGCGTGCAAATAGTTTTTCTCTCCTTCCCTTTCATGAAGCCCTTTAATTCTGGAGCTCCCATAGGGCAGATGAGAGCTGGATCAAAATGTCGTCCCAGAACTATCCCAAACCTTGCTTTGCCTAAATACTTGATGTCTCTTTCTGCTCCTGTTTCTCAAATAAGAGGCTGTGTGCTATGGGAACAGCACCCAGAGAAGCCAACTTCAGCGACTGATCCATGACACTGCCTGATGTTTCTGCCAATGGCTGGAGTGAAGTACAGTGTGAACTAGTGCCACAACGTGAGCCACAGTAGCCCCAGAAACTGGATGACAGAAACTACAGCAGGTGTCTGGTGAGCAAAAGGACTTTGATATTTTGAGAGACCATGGCCTTAAGGCATGAAGGACGGGGCTGAGGGCTTAGCCCTCTTCAGGATCAGGAAATGCCACTGACACTGAGCAGCTAGTGTGATTGGATCTAAATAAGCTTTTTAAAAAAATGCTGGAAATAATCCATCCTGATTTGTGCCTAGTTGCTGAAAATGTGATCAGCCTTTTCCAGATGGAGCAAATTATTTGCTATTAAAAATTCATTTAAAAATAACAGCCAATCATCATATTTTCATTGTCAGCTTATCTTCTACCCCAAAAAGCTGATAATAAAATGAAACATGGGAAAATTTTTCTGTTTTTTGAAGAAGAAAACACATTTTTGGCTCCTCTGAGCAAATGGTAGAGATGTATTCAACAGGACAAGGTCAGTGTGATGAATGTTTTTGTATGAGATCAACAGGTGTGCAGACAGTGGAATCAAAGCTTGTGGTAAAGAGCACTTCCAAATGTAATTTTTAAATCTTTTGTCAGGCTTAGAAAGGCTTCCTAGGTTGTGGAGTGCTGGCCTTTGCTGATATTAAGAACCTTGATAGACTTGGGGTAGAGGGATGACATGTTATTATGGATGCTAACTAAAGCTCAATAATACTTACAAAGCAGTCACCTCCACACTGTCTGCCCTTTGTAATTCCTACTAGCCAAGATCTCTGTTTATAGGCATTTGCAATTCTGCTCCTTAACTCTTGCCCACATCTCCTGGTCAAGTGACCTCTCTGGAAGATGCCAAAGCTGAGTACATTCTGGGCACAGTTACTAGAGCTTGAGTCAGTAATCAACTCTGAGTAATCCTCTCAGTTTGTGCCTAAGTGGTCCCCAAGACCAGCACTGTGGAACAGAGAAAGATGCTCTGGACTGAAACAAACCACCTTAGTCCATGTCTTCACCTGAGGCAACCCCTACTCCTGCTTGACACCATTGCTCAATGAAATGAGCATCAATCAGCTGGGGGTGAACACCAGCCCCAGAAGGAGGGGTAAAGGAAAAACGTTTCTCTACTCACAACACTTTTGGCACCAAATATGTGGGTTTTCCACACAAAGCAATTTTCCAGGTCTTTGTGGACACCAACCGGGTGTCCTACAAATTTCATTCAGTTCTGACATTAACTACTTGGAGTTAGAGCAGATCCCAAAGAATAAAGGCTCAGTCCCACAGCACTGCTCCCCAGGACCACTTGGATGCCAGTTGCAAGTATTGGATGTCCAGAATACCCACACATCTGTCTAACTAGGCTAAAAATCAGGGGTTCCCACAATCGCCTCCTCAGATTTGAAAATTTACTGTAATTTCATGGAATTAAAGGAAACACTTTACTTCCTATTGTTAACTTAAAACCATGAGACCTATAAATTTGGAAAGGTCTTTATTTCTTGAGAAGAGTTGCTACGTGCAGGGAAGTGGAGCCTGTGGTTGAGACCAGAAGCCGGCACTTCAAGGGAGGAAGGCAGGGACAGGAATTTTATGTCAAATGAGTTGGATAAACATGTATATTTAACAGGTCATAGGGGGAGGTATGAATATTCATTAAAGGGGTCAAGCACATTTGCAATGAGGCAGGAGAATCGCTTCAACCCAGGAGGCAGAGGTTGCAATGAGCCAAGATCTCATCACTGCACTCCAGCCTGGGCGACAGAGCAAGACTCCATCTCAAAAAAAAAAAATAAATTATTAATACATGCAACAGTTCAGATGAATCTCTAGGAATTATGCTGACTGGAAAAAGCCAACCCCAAAAGGTTATATATTGTATAATTCAATCTATGTAACTCTTCCAAAACGGCAACATTTTAGCAATGGACAACAGATTATTGGTTGCTAGGTGACTGTGGTGAATACCTAACACATGATACAACTGTGTAGAATTAAATACATACACACAAATGTGTAAAAATAAAAGGGGATTTCTGAGTAAGATTGTATCAAAGTTGATATCCTGGTTGTGATTTTGAGCTATAGTTTTGGAAGATGTTACCACTGGAGGAAATGGGTAAATGTTTCATACAATCTCTTTGTATTATTTCTTACAATTGCATGTGAATTAAAATTATCTCATTAAAATTTTCAGTTAAAAAAAAAATTAACCAGGGCCAGGTGTGGTGGCTCATGCCTATAATCCCAGCACTTTGGGAGGCCAAGGTAGGTGGATCACTTGAGGCCAGGAGCTTGAGACCAGCCTGGCCAACATGGTGAAACCCCTTCTCTACCAAAAAAATACAAAAATTAGCTGAGTGTAGTGGCAGACGCCTGTAGTCCCAGCTACTCGGGAGGCTGAGATGGGAGAATCACTTGAACTCAGGGGGCAGAGGTTGCAGTGAGCTGAGATGGCACCACTGCACTCCAGCCTGGGCGACAGAGTGAAACCCTGTCTCAAAACAAGAACAAAACATTAACTATAAACACAACATTTTCCTTAAAAAGCATAAGGCCAGGAAAACTCCAGGCCAAACTTTCAGTTCTATTCTGTAATGCCACAGGTTTTTCTCAGAACTTCATGTGACTTCAGATCATTGTTCTTACTATACATGCGTTCAGATACACTCACTCACATATATATCTTTTCCTTAATACGATTATTTAAAAGATAGGGTCTTACTACATTGTCCAGGCTGGACTTGAACTCCTGGGTTCAAGCAATCCTCCTGCCTCAGCCTCTCGAGTAGCTGGGATTACAGGCACACGCCACAGCTCCCAGCTTCCACATCTGTTTCTTTACAGTCTTTCCTCACCCATCATTCTATTGAATAGACATTAAGTACTTTGTAGGTTGATGAATTAATCTCTTGCTAATGTGGCCCTGAGACTCACAGCCCTTAATTTCTCTCTAGTGCCTGAAGTCTCATATGAGATTTCTTTCCTTCCTTCCTTCCTTCCTTCTTCCCTCCCTCCCTCCCTTCCTTCCTTCCTTCCTCCCTCCCTTCCTTCCTTCCTTCCTCCCTCCCTTTCTTCCTTCCTTCCTCCCTCCCTTTCTTCCTTCCTTCCTTCCTCCCTCCCTTTCTTCCTTCCTTCCTTCCCTCTCCCTCCCTCCCTCCCTTTCTCTCTCTCTCTCTCTCTCTGTCTCTTTCTTGTTTTTTTTTTTTTTTTTCTGTGAGACAAGGTTGTACTCCGTCACCCAGGCTGGAGTGCAGTGGCATGATCACTGCTCACTGTAGCCTCGACTGCCCAGGCTCTGGTGATTTTCCCACCCCAGCCTCCTGAGTAGCTGGGACTACAGGCACCCACCACCGCATACAGCGAATTTTTTGGTATTTTTTGGTGGAGATGGGGTTTCGCCATGTTGGCCATGCTGGTCTTGAACTCCTGGGCTCAAGTGATCCACCCACCTTGGACTCCCAGAGTGCTGGGATTACAGGTGTGAGCCACCGTGGCTGGCTGAGATTTCCTTTCTAAGAAAACTTGAAAATGTCTGATAGATGATCCTTATAGCATTGGAAAGATTATGCCTTTAGATCTGCTAATACTGAATTCTTTATTTATTTTTATTTATTTTTATTTTTTTTGAGATGGAGTCTCGCTCTGTCACCCAGGCTGGAGTGCAATGGTGCAATCTCGGCTCACTGCAAGCTCCGCCTCCTGGGTTCACGCCATTCTTCTGCCTCAGCCTCCTGAGTAGCTGGGACTACAGGTGCCCACCACCACGCCTGGCTAATTTTTTGTGTTTTTTAGTAGAGACGGGGTTTCACTGTGTTAGCCAGGACGGTCTCCATCTCCTGACCTCATGATCTGCCCGCCTTGGCCTCCCAAAGTGCTGGGATTACCAGTATGAGCCACCGCACCCAGCCACCGAATTCTTATATTCTGGAAACACAAATCTTTTTATAGGGAAGAGACTAAATCTTCTCCTTTTCCTCCTCCTTCTTCCTCCTCCTCTTCTTCATTCTCTTTCTCATCTTTTTCTTTTCCATTTTCACTACGTACAGACACTAGACATATTCCTTTGCTTTGTCTCATGCTTACAACAAGCCTATGAACGAAGTATTATTTCTGTTACCTTACACATATAAGAAAAAAACTGAGGCCCAGCCACTTGCCCATGGTCACATGGCTGATTGTTGGAGGTGGAAAGAGTGAGGGTCATGATCAACTCGGTATACCACTGGAGGCTATATGAGTAAGCAGCAAACTGTTTCTCATAATGCAGAATGTTGGCAAACTGACAAACTGCTTATGCCACCCAGAAGGACTTCTTAGGGCAGTCACGATCCAGGCACAAATGTTTCTTATTATTAGGCATAATTAAAGCCTGTCAGTAACAATATGAACCTGTGATCAATTAAGCAGCTGACCAATCGTTACCTCTTCCTCCTTGCTCTTGTTACCCAATAAATACCAAGTGCTGTAGAAGCTCAGGGGCTGCCTTTGCTCACTAGAAGCAGGGAGCCCTTTCTTTTTTCTTTTTCTTTTTTTTGAGATGGAGTCTCGCTGTCTCCCAGGCTGGAGTGCGGTGGTGCCATCTTGGCTCACTGCAAGCTCCGCCTCCTGGGTTCACACCATTCTCCTGCCTCAGACTCCCAAGTAGCTGGGACTACAGGGGCCCACCACCATGCCCGGGTAATTTTTTGTGTTTTTAGTAGAGACGGGGTTTCACCGTGTTAGCCAGGATGGTCTCGATCTCCTGACCTCATGATCCGCCCGCCTTGGCCTCCCAAAGTGCTGGGATTACAGGCGTGAGCCACCACGCCCGGCCAAGGGAGCCCTTTTCTTCTTCTCTTCTTCTCTCTTCTTCTTCCCCATGCTAGCCTTTCCTTAAAATAGTTACTTTTGTTTTTTGTTATCATTTCTACATGGGTCCCTTCGTTCAGTCTCGTAGTGAAGGTCTCAGGCAGTAACAGTAGTAACTGCTGTAATGAGGGTCTCAGGCAGAAACAGTAACTGCTGTAATGAGGGTCTCAAGTAGTAACAGTAGTAACTGCTGTAGTGATGGTCTCAAGTAGTGACTGTGGCAGTCTGCCACAGCTGATAAGTAGTAGAGCCAGGAATAAAGCACAGGTCAAATGTGCATTCTCACAACACCACACCTGCGGTTCTGTTACCGTACCAGGTTCCTTCCCCAGTGCATGACAAGTCAATACACTGAGACACCAAGCTGCAGCAGAGAAAGAGGTTAATCATCAGGCAGCCAAGTGAGGAGATGGGAGGAAGCCTCAAACCCCAAGGAATTTGGGGCTGGGGATCTTAAGGGGTTTGGATGAGTAGGGGGCTGAGGTGTGGGGATTGTTGATTGGTTGAAGAGGGCTGGGTGAGGTCATGGGACAGGGACATGAAGAAACTGTATTCTTATGCTGATTCAGTTCCTCTGAGGGGGTCTTCAAACTGGTTGGCATCAGCCATTCCAATTGAATTCAGGATCTGGAAAACATCTGAAACTTTTTTTTTTTTTTTAGACAGAGTCTTGCTTTGTTGCCCAGGCTGGAGTGCAGGAGTGCAGTGGTGCAATCTCAGCTTAC
The DNA here is from genome assembly GCF_000001405.40 of Homo sapiens. Taxonomy (NCBI): domain Eukaryota; kingdom Metazoa; phylum Chordata; class Mammalia; order Primates; family Hominidae; genus Homo; species Homo sapiens. The sequence continues at coordinate 23,037,589 of NC_000018.10, read as the reverse complement.
TGAAACCTCCACCTCCCAGGTTCAAGAGATTCTCCTATCTCAACTTCCCGAGTAGCTGGAATTAATTTTTGTATTTTTAGTAAAGACCAAGTTTCACCATGTTGGCCAGGCTGGTCTTGAACTTCTGACCTCAAGCAATCCAACCACCTTGGCCTCCCAAAGTGCTAGGATTACAGGCATTAGCTACTGTGCCTGGCCTTAAGCAATTCTTAAAAGCCTTATGAATCTATCATTAGAGATCCTATCTACAGGAACAATGGGGATGCAAATGGTCAGTATCTAGTGCTAGGAGATTTTGAGTTAGCAAGCAGCTACCAGGAAGTGGACCAAAGTGTGGCTTGATTAACATTTAGTTATACCTATTTTTCTGTCCAGAATCTGGCATGTAATTCTTGTTAACCTTGTTGTCAGAGGTGTTTGAACCAGAGCAATTGCTTCTTGAATAGGGGCTGGGTAGAATAAGGCTGAGACCTACTGGGCTGCATTCCCTGGAGGTTAGGCGTCCTTAGCCACAGGATGAGATATGAGGTCAGAACAAGATACAGGTCACAAAGACCTTGTTGATAAAACAGCATATGCAGTAAAGAAGGCAGCCACATCCCACAAAACCAAGACGGTGATGAAAGTGACCTCTGGTTGTCCTCACTGCTCATGATACACTAATTATAATGCATTAGCATACTAAAAGACACTCCCATCAGAACCATGACAGTTTACAAATGCCATGGCAACGTCAGGAAGTTATCCTATGGGGTCTAAAATGAAGAGGAACCCTCAGTTCCAAGGATTGCCCACCCCTTTCCTGGAAAACTCATAAATAACTCAACCCTTGTTTAGCATATAAACAAGAAGTTACTATAAGTATAGTCAGTCCAGCAGCCCATGCTGCTGTTCTGCCTATGGAGTAGCCATTCCTTTATTCCTTTCCTTTCCTTTTTTTTTTTTTTTTTTTGAGACAGAGTCTTACTCTGTCGCCCGGCTGGAGTGCAGTAGTGTGATCTCAGCTCACTGCAACCTCCACCTCCCGGGTTCAAGTAATTCTCCTGCCTCAGCCTCCTGAGTGGCTGGGACTACAGGCATGTGCCACCAGTCCTGGCTAATTTTTTTTTTTTTTTTTTTTTTTTGTATTTTTAGCAGAGACGAGATTTCCCCACGTTGGCCAGGCTGGTCTCGAATTCCTGATCTCAGGTGATCCGCCTGCCTTGGCCTCCCAAAGTGCTGGGATTACAGGTGTGAGTCACTGCGCAAGGCATCCTTTACTTTTTTCTTTTTTTTGAGACAGCGTCTTGCTCTGTAGCCCAGGCTGGAGCGCAGTGGCATGATCTTGGCTCACTGTAACCTCCACCTCCGGGGTTCAAGCAATTCTCCTGCCTCAGCCGCCAGAGTAGGTGGGACTACAGGCACGTGCTGCTACGCCTGGCTAATTTTTGTATTTTTAGTAGAGTCAGGGTTTCACCATGTTGCTCAGGCTGGTCTCAAACTCCTGACCTCGTGATCCACCTGCCTCAGCCTCCCAAAGTACTGGGATTACAGGCAAGAGCCACTGCACCCAGCCTACTTTTTGTTTTTGTTTTTTGAGATGGAATCTTGCTCTGTCGCCCAGGCTGGAGTGCAGTGGTGCGATCTCGGTTCACTGCAAACTTGGCCTCCAGGGCTAAAGAGATTCTCGTGCCTCAGCCTCCTGAGTAGCTGGGACTACAGGCGCATGCCACCACGCCCATCTAATTTTTGTATTTTTAGTAGAGACGGGGTTTCACCATGTTGGCCAGGCTGGTCTCAAACTCCTGACCTCAGGTAATCCATCCGCCTTGGCCTCCCAAAGTGCTGGGATTACAGGTGTGAGCCACTGTATCTGGCCTCCTTTACTTTCTTAATAAACTTGCTTTTAATTTACTCAGTGGACTCACCCCAAATTCTTTCTTGCAGGTCTACGAACCCTTTCTTGGGGTCTGGGTAGGGATCTCTTTCCTGTAACACTGTGAGTACGGTTTCAGTTCTCTCAAAGTTTTTGGTGCTGTGACCTCTTGAAATTTAAAGATTATTGAGGATCCTAAAGAGCTTTGGTTAATGTGAATTATATAAATTGGCATTTTCCATATTAGAAATTAAGGCCGAGCACAATGGCTCATGCCTATAATCCCAGTGCTTTGAGAGGCTGAGGCAGGAGGATTGCCTGAGGCCAGGAGTTCGAGACCAGTCTGGGCAACATAGTGAGACCGCCCCCCTGCACCCCCCGATCTCTAAAAAAAAAAAAAATTTGAAAAAAAATTGAAAAAAAAAATAGTTGGGTATGGTGGCATGCACCTGTAGTCCTAGCTACTCAGGAGGCTGAGGTGGGAGGATCACTTAAGCCTAGGAGTTTGAGGCTGCTGTAAGCTACAGCTGTGCTACTTCATCCCAGTCTGGGCAACAGAGCGAGACTCTGTCTCTAAAAAATTTAAAAAATAAAAGATATTAAAAGTGATAAATTTTAGAATATTTATTCATCTAAAAATAAACCCACTAGCTTTTAACATAAAATATACAAATTTTATCAAAAATAAATATATATATCCCAGAATAAAAAACATTAGTGAGAAAAGATGTCTGAATCTCTTTAAAGTTTGGCTTAATAGAAGACAGTTGGATTCTCAGGTCTGCATCTGCGTTTAATCTGTTTTGATATGTTGGTTCATATGAAGTATATGAAAAAAATCAGGCCTCTTATAGTCTTTTAACGAATTGTTGGCTGGGCGTGGTGGCTCACACCTGTAATCCCAACACTTTGGGAGGCTGAGACGGGCGGATCACGAGGTCAGGAGATCGAGACCATCCTGGCTAACACGGTGAAACCCCGTCTCTACTAGAAATACAAAAAAAATTAGCTGGGCATGGTGGCAGTAAGCTGAGATCGTGCCACTGCACTCCAGCCTGGGTGACAGAGTGAAACTCCATCTCAAAAAAAAAGATCTTTACCACTGGCAAAACATTATCTGTGTGAGTAAAGATAATCCTGATGCTGAGCAGTCAAAATACAGAAATACCTTTACTTCTAAAGTTGGCATAACACTGCAGCTGTCATTTGTAACTCTGTTTCAAATTTACCTGTTCATCTATAAAAAAGAAAGACAAGTAAACTTGTACCCCCAACCAATTTACTTATAATGAGAGGTTGGAATAGATTATTTCAAGCATTAACTTTTTATTCTTTGATTTTTTGAAACTGTCAATGAAATGCATGCTCAGGCCATTTTTGCACAGCTTGTTATCTGTGATTTTCTTGAGCTTAATGCTAACTTCCTATCAAATCCACTCAAGATATTGCCTGGTTCACTGGACATACATGTCTTTCAAATTTTGAGTCCACTTTCTACATTTTCTCCCAAATATCTTATCAAAATTGATAGGTTGATGGTCTAAGGTTAATCTGAGTTTCGTTCTTTATTTGTCCTGCCAAACTTTGGTGGAAATGTTAATAAACAATGAAAGGGCCCAGACTCAGTAAGCATGAATAATGGATAATTATCTTTCTGAATAAATGGTTAGAGGATAAATAGAAAAAAAAAAGCAAATTTCCTGGACAAATCTCCAAGGGGATAGTGGGCAGCCTCAAATTTGAGTGCAGAATGTGTTGGGCAAATATCTACTACATAATTGTCCCTGGATTCTTAAATATGTAAAAAGAAAGTTCACTGTAGAATTACTGATAATTTCTCTTTTAAAAAGTGTTACAATTATAAATGACATGTAGAACAAGGGTCCCTCCCCATTTCTAGTAGGAGACCTAGTTTAATGATTCTAATTTTGCAATGTTCGTTGTGACAACTGAGTTGGTTATAGGCTCACTGAGGAGAATTGTCATATTCATCTTTCTACTCTCAGCTGCTAGTTCTGGCATGTAACAATCATTAAGTGGTTACTAAATTTTTTATTTTCCATTGCACTGCCATGTCTTAGCCCCAGGTGCTCCTCATATTTGGAATATTATAATAGGTTACTAAATGCTTTTCTTGCACACCTGACTCTATGCCTGACCACGCCGTCACCAAATCCATTTTATATATATTGCGGGCCTGATGATGCCATCTAAATTAATGCATTACTACACAGCTCAAAATGTTTTCTACTGTCTTGAAGTTTAACATTTTACTACTTTTCCTTGTTGTCATAGCAATATTTCTTAATTTGCCTTATACTGATTTGTGAACTTGTTAAAAATATAAATGCTCAGACAAAATCAGAAACTTTGGGGTGGAGCTTGGCAATCTGTGGTTTAACAAGCCTTCCAGGTGATTCTATTGTACACCAAAGTTTGAATGCCACTGTACTAGCCTGTAACAATGACTTAGGGCAGTGTTCTCAAACTTGGCTGCACACCAGAATCACACAGGGAGCTTTAAAAGAAATATTGATGGGCCGGGTGTGGTGGCTCAAAGGCAGGCAGATCGCTTGAGCCCAGGAGTTTGAGACCAGCCTGAGCAACATGGCGAGACCTCAACTCTACAAAGTCAAACAATACAAAACAGGCATGGTGGCACGCCGGTAGTCCCAGCTACTCAGGAGGCTGAGGCTGCAGTGAGCTGTGATCGTGCCACTGCTCTCTAGCCTGGGTGACAGTCTGTCTCCCCCAAAATTACTGATGCCTGGAACTTACCCTCAGACATAATTGGCCTGAGGTGCAGAAAACATTTGACTAGGTGGACTTATAAGTAAAGGTGATAAAATTGAATGCTTGAAATAAATTCATGTTATTAAAGTATCATTGTTTACTGAAGTTCTGTATAAGATTTAATTTGAAGAAAGGGATCTGCTACTAATGGTCTGAAAAACCACAGTACTACAGACTCAAGTCTAAAGTCTTAATTTTGCAGTCAAGACCCAAGTTTACTGCCTTGCTTACTTAAACCACATACTAGCTCTACTCCCTAGTTCTAATACATATACCTACAAAGGGGAAAGAACATCAAACTGAGGTCCCAGATGCCATACATTCTGGTTCTAGCCCTTTGGGACCTTGGCAATCACTGACTCTTTGGGCTCCTGTTTCTTCATTACAAAGTGAGAGGCTTGAATCAGATGATCTCTAAAGCCCCTTCTGACTCAGTATTTTAGCATTTCCACATTCCAATTAGTTGGTTTCCCAACTTAGATTGCATTGTCTCCTCTTTGCTTCTCTAGGTTAACTCATCCTAAGGCATAGTTTGGGTTCTAATTGGCCTTAAGATTTCTTCGGCACAGCCTAAGCCTCTTTGACCTCTTAGGCATCTTTTTATGGCTGCCTGTTCTCCCCCTGGGTAATATGATCTCATACATTTCTTTGTATTCCTAAATGCCCAATATATAGGTACACAATGTTGACTTTTTTTCCTCTCAAGACCATGAATTCTTGCCTCTGCCCTTTGTATATTTCAACAATAGCTATGTTGAAAGCTCTTTTTGGCCTGATGAGCTATCATTACTGTGCCAAAGGTATCCAATTCATATCCTGTATATCCTAGAAATTCTCTTTTGATTGCTCAGCCCCTAGTTTCCAACTAATTATTTCTCCAAAAATAGCGCTCGGCCGGGCACAGTGGCTCACGCCTGTAATCCCAGCACTTTGGGAGGCCGAGACAGTGGATCATCTGAGGACAGGAGTTGAAGACCAGCCTCGCCAACATGGTGAAACCCCGTCTCTACTAAAAATACAAAAAAAATTAGCCAGGCATGTTGGCGTATGCCTGTAATCCCAGCTACTCAGGAGGCTGAGGCAGGAGAATCGCTTGAACCTGGGAGGAGGAGGTTGCAGTGAGCCAAGATCGCGCCAGTGCATTCCAGCCTGGGCGATAAAAGTGAGACTCTGTCTCAAAAAAAAAGTAAATAAATAAAATAAAATAAAATAAAATAAAATAAAATAAAATAAAAATAGCTCTCTTCTGGCCTCTGCTGGTGTGATAGCAGAAAACTGTTTCATTCTTTGCTTAAGTGCATGCCAAAGAATTCAAGTGTAAGGACACTTAAGTTTTCTTTTGTCTCTCTTCTCTTTTCTTTTCCTCTTCTGTGAGACAGGATCTTGCTCTGTCACCCAGACTGGAGTGCAGTGACACAACCTCGGCTCACTGCAGCCTCGACTTCCCAGGCTCAAGTGATCCTCCCGCCTTAGCTTCCTGAGTAGCTGGGACTACAGGCACACACCACCACACCTAGTTATTATTATTACTATTTTGAGATGGAGTTTTGCTCTTGTTGCCCACCCAGGCTGGAGTGCAATGGCATGATCTCAGCTCACTGCAACCTCCGCCTCCCAGATTCAAGTGATTCTCCTGCCTCAGCCTCCCGAGTAGCTGGGATGACAGGCATGTGCCACCACACCTGGCTAATTTTGTATTTTTAGTAGAGATGAGGTTTCTCCATGTTGGTCTGGCTGGTCTCGAACTCCCGACCTCAGGTGATTCGCCCGCCTTGGCCTCCCAAAGTGCTGGGATCATAGGTGTGAGCCACTGCGCCCGGCCTATTATTATTTTTTTATGAGACGAGGTCTTGCCATGTTGCCCAGGCTAGTCTTGAACTCCTGGGCTCAAGTGAACCTCCAGCCTCAGCTTCCCAAAGTGCTGGGATTACAGCCGTAAGCCACTGTGTCCAGTCAACACTTCGGCTTTCTAAGGACTATTCTAACAGTTCAACTCGGCAAAGAGAAAGACTGAGGTGTCACTTAAACTGCTAGATATGCTGAAAATACACAGTTGGATAGTAAAATTTGAGATACAGTTCAAATGCTTATTTCTGCAGTGGCATTTTTCAAAATTAAACTCATGGATGTTATGAGATGACAAAGATGACAAAGTAAGATTCTTAGGTGTTTCTTTAAAAGCTTGCTCTTTTAGAGAATATTTGTCAAATTTTGTCTAATTCTGACACTGTACTTAGTATCATGCCTGGTAAAGTGCTGAATAAATGTTTGTTAAATAAATGAACTAGTGTTATTTGGTTTATGTAACATTAGTCTTTTTATGTAACTGAATTACAAATGAAAGACCATCTTGGAGCTAGGCTCAGTGGCTCATATCTGTAATCGTAGCACTTTGGGAGGCCGGGGCAGGAGAATCACTTGAGCTCAGGAGTTCAAGACCAGCCTGGGCAACATAGTGAAAACTCATCTCTATAAAAAAAAAAAAACACAAAAAATTTAAAGAAAGACAATCTTGGGAGAAATCTTTGCCCTCTTTCAAAGTTATTTCTTTCAGAGCGTCTAATGCCCTACATACATTTAAAAATACATGCTAGTTGCAGTTTATTATTATTATTATATTATTATTTTTTTGAGATGGAGTCTCGCTCTGTCGCCCAGGCTGGACTGCAGTGGCGCTATCTCAGCTCACTGCAAGCTCCGCCTCCTGGGTTCACGCCATTCTCCTGTCTCAGCCTCCCGAGTCTCTGGGATTACAGGCGCCCGCTACCGCGCCCGGCCAATTTTTTGCACATTTAGTAGAGACGGGGTTTCACCGTCTCTCCTAAATCGAGCCAGGATGGTCTCGATTTCCTGACCTCGTGATCCGCCCGCCTTGGCCTCCCAAAGTGCTGGGATTACAGGCGTGAGCCACCGCGCCCGGCCTATTTTGTTATTTATTGAGACAGGGTCTCACTCTGTCATCCAGCCTGGAGTGCACTGGCGCGATCTTGGCTCACTGCTGCCTCAACCTCCCGGGACTCAAGGGATCCTCCCACCTCAGTCTCCCAAGTAGCTCCTGTGCCACCATGCCCGGCCTAGATGCAGTTTAAACTGAGTTACTAATATATTGAGCCTATTGGCAGCAGCCTTGCCAGTTGGACTTTGAGAAAACTTTTCACCGCATGAAATGTTTTAGGGAATATTCTTCTGTTTCATCTGGCTTTTCTCTCAAGGTAACATTATCATGTCTTCTACACATATTTGGGTATCCATGATTAACTCATTCAGACTGTCCCATTTGACAACCTTAGGTTTCAAACGGCTTAATCAGAATATCTCTTTACTAAAGGTAGGCAAGCTGTCAGTCAAATGTTAAGTGCGACATATAGGTTCTACATGTTTCCTAAGTTTAAATCAATAGTCTCTAACTTTAAAAAGCTTGCTAGTGGCCAAGTGTGGTGTCTCCTGCCTGGAATCTTACTACTTTGGGAGGCTGAGATAGGCAGATCACCTGAGGTCAAGAGTTTGAGACCAGCCTGGCCAACATGGTGAAACCCCATCTCTACTAAAAATACAAAAATTAGCCGGGCGTGGTGGCGCACGCCTGTAATCCCAGCTACTCAGGAGGCTGAAGCAGGAGAACTGCTTGAACCCAGGAGGTGGAGGTTGTATTGAGCTGAGACTGTCACTGTCACTCCAGCCTGGGTGACAGAGTGAGAGACTCCATCTCAAAAAAAAAAAAAAAAAAAAAAAAAAAAAAGCTTGCTGGCAACCTGAAATTCTATGTAACTATGTAACCAGTGAATGACATACATTCTTATGAAAATATTATCTAACGTGTATTATACAAATGCTTTACAAATGTATAAAGCCCTTTAATATACATTATCTTTTTAAAGAAAAGCTTGAGTGCAGTGTCATAAACAGCCATTTTGCATTTAAATGTTATCTAACCCAAATGTTTTTTAGTTTTGAGAGAGTTTCACTGTGTTGCCCAGGCTGGAGTGCAGTGACGTGATCTTGGCTCACTGCAGCCTCCACCTCCCAGATTCAAGCTATTCTCCTGCCTCAGCCTCCTGAGTAGCTGGGATTACAGGCATGCACCACTACGCCTGACTAATTTTTGCATTTTTAGTAGAGACGGGGTTTTGTCATGTTGGCCAGGCTGGTCTCAAGGTTTTGACCTTAAGTGATCCACCCACCCTGGCCTCTCATCAAAGTGCTAGGATTACAGGCATAAGCCACCGTGTCCTGCCACTGAAATGTTTTTAAAATGTGTCTATTTCCTTACTCCATTTAAAGGCAGAAGTTGGTCCACAGCAGATAAGATGGGAGAGAGACCTCAGCTCACTCAACTTCACAGGGTAACTGAAGAGTAAATGAAAACTGCTATAAATGGGATGGATAGCTGTGAAGCTACCATCAAGTGGACAAACCCTACCTCTCTTTCTGCTTAGGCTGCTTCTTAAAAAGCAAAATCCATTGGAAGTATGTAACTCCAACCACACATCCTGTGGTGCCTTGTTCAAATCCAGGTGTCTCTCAAACCCTGGCCTTTAGGACTATACTATAGTGAAGATGAATTAGTAGATTCTGGAATTAGGCAACCATGGGTCCTAATTTCATCCCTACTAGTTATTAGAGGTAGCCATGAGATGGATAATTCTGACCTCTGAGAAGTCAGGAAAGTTATGAGGTAGGGCTTTCTGGAAACTTTTTTTTCTAGGGGACAAAAACAAATGCACGTACTTTTTTTCTTCCTTTTGTGCAGAACATGGGCGTGATGCTCGAGTGGCATAGACTGCTTTACAGATGCGAGGGTGAACACCAATACGAAGTATGGAAGAGCAGAAAACCAGGAGACATCTGGGTCCCTGAGGCCACTATGGAGCTGCACTAGTGGCATTGGACTGCTCACCTCTAGACTTTTTAAGGTGAGAAAAATAAAGCCAGTAATTTGTTGTTTAATCTGCTGTTTTTTGGATCCTTTTTTTTTTTGCAGCTTAACAATATTTATTAAGTGATAAGCTCACAGGGTTGAGGATCAAAAGAGAACCATCTATGTGAAGAGTATAAAACAGTTCTTGACACACAGGAAGTGGCCAGTCAATGATAACTATTATTTTTGGGAGATTATCTGACTACCAGCAGAGAACAAAAATCAAACAGAATAAACAACTTGGGAAGGGAAGAAAAGGGCTGAACAGAAGTGATGATAGGGTGATAAAAAATTCAGAATCATAGAGCCAAACAAGGTACATAAGTGGTCTGACATATAGTACATAATCAATATGTATAATTCCTTTTCCTATCCTATCTGTGAGAACACAAACTAATGCCATTTAGTCACGAGAACCTTGATCAACAAGGAAGACCAGACTAACCAAGAAGATTTTAGGACTCTGAGAAGTAAAGATTGTATTTATAAGGTTATTTATATTTGAGCGAGACATTCCACTCAATGTCTCTTTTATTCCTGCTTATGTAATACTGTCAAGATATAAATCAAAGAAATACACAAAAGAGATACTGATAAACAAAATGTCACTAAAAAAGATGGCACAGATTGGTCAGCCATCTTAATGACTCATTAATGGCTTAATGACTCATTAAGCCATCTTAATGACCTTAATACTAGGTCCTAGAGGAATAGAAAGTTGCTAAATAGAAAAATCTATTTTGAAACCAAATTGTTCATAACATTTGTCAATCCACAGAAATAATACAATAGAATTTGAACAAATGGGCAGAGAACTCAACATATTTAACTTCAGAAATGCACCAGAAAAAAAAAAAAAAGTATGGCTGGGCACAGTGGCTCATGCCTGCAATCCCAGCACTTTGGGAGGCCGAGGCAGGTGGATCACGAGGTCAAGAGATTAAGACCATCCTGGCCAACACAGTGAAACCCCATCTCTACTAAAAATACAAAAATTAGCTGGGCATGGTGGCGCACGCCTGTAGTGCCAGCTACTTGGGAGGCTGAAGCAGGAGAATTGCTTGAACCCGGGAGGCGGAGGTTGCAGTGAGTGAGATTGTGCCATTGCACTCCAGCCTGGCGACAGAGCGAGACTCCTTCTCGGAAAAAAAAAAAAAAGAAAAAAAAGTATGATGAAAAGAAAACATGTGAAGAGCTGGAAAAGTAGGACCAGATCAGAGAATAATGTTTACAATATGTGGGAAAGGAAAAAAAGTCGATATTTGTGGTCACCTTGAAAGGAATTTATGACAATGTAGTACCTGATTCCAATTCAACAAAAGCTGGAGAGTTTAAAAAAACTATGAAAATACAGTCTTTCTTTTTTGTTTTTTTAAAAAAAGACTTAAATACTAGACACTGATATGACCTAGAGAAGAGCAATTGATGAAGAAAAATCTGTAATGATTAACATGAAGTCACTGCTCAATGTAAATACCAAGGGAAGATGAAGTAAAAAGAAAAGAACTGAAAGGCAACAAATCACAGACTACAACTATTGTATTTTCAAAATTGTATTAGGTATCACTACATAAAGTAAAAACTCTTAAGTTAGAGTGCAAAATGAAAGCGCCTTATTGTTTTAAAGGTGCAAAAGCAAAATATCACAAACATTTTCAATAGAAAACTGATTTATAAATCCATTTACAGAAGATCAAAAAAATCAATGTTTAGTACCAACTTTAACTATAAATAACTAAGAAGGAAAAAACTGTCCTTCATCCTTCTGTTTCTGTTTCAACGTCTATGTCTTCTGCTCCTTGCCTTTTGGAGAAAATATTGCGTTGTAAGGCTGACGTCTTTTTGGACGAGGACAAGGATCAAGATCTTCCTTAATATAACCTTAAAAACAAATCATAAACTTAGAAGACTGTATGTGCAACATGCATTTCTTTCAGCTTATATCTAGTAAACATTTCTCTTATTTGATGCTTTGTAAGTTTACATGATTCTTCTGATTATTAGCTGTGTGATGCTGATGATTGATCTCACTATTTAGCATCAGTTTCCTCATTTATAATAATGACAGCAAATATTTACCAAATGGTTACATATATCATCTCATATAACTCACATTCCTTTGAAGTAGTTTCTACTATACCTGTTTGACAGATGAGGTAATAGAGACCCAAGGAAGTTAAATTACTTGTTCAAGTTCACAAAGCTAAAAAGTAGAGGAGCTGGGACCTGGCCCAAGCTCTTTCTTATTCCAGAACCAGAACTCTTAAACACTTTCCTATTCTGCCTCCCATAGGTAGTTGCAAAGGGGGACAAAGTGCTAAACATGAACTCTACTATTATAAATTTCAGGTACTTATCAAAAATACTTTTTACAGTAGCTATTTCAATAGATGACAATCCCTCTATACCCTTCAGACTATTAGATCTCCTAAGGTGTCTCTAAGCATGTAATCTTCAGGGGAAGTATTTGCTCTGCCATACGCATGGGGTGCAATCACAGGCTCTATCCAGACTGATTCTATCTGGTGACCAGGCAGTGAGATATCACATCAAAGTTGACTCAATCTGGCTTATTAATGGGGAAAGCAGAAATACAGTGAAAGCTGTCAGAGACTTTGCATCTTTTGGAAAAACTATCTTACAGTTAAACATCTGGAGCGTCTCCAAAAGTGAAGAAGGTCTCTCCCTCCTTGTTGTGCAGCTAAATCATCAGAGCTCTTCATTGAGAACAGTTTCTTTTCAAAATTAAATTAAATTAATTGTTTTTTTGAAACAGGGTCTTGCTCTGTTGCCCAGGCTGGAGTGCAGTGGTGCAATAACGGCTCACTGCAGCCTCCACCTCCAGGGCTCAAGCAATCCTCCCATCTCAGCCTCCTGAGTTACTGCTGGGACCACAGGCATGCACCACCATACCTGGCTAATTTTATTATTTATTTCGTCTAGAGCCAGGGTCTCACTCTGTTGCCCAGGCTGGTCTCGAACTCCTGGGCTCAATGGATCCTCCCATCTTGGCCTCCCAAAGTGCTGGGATTATAGGTGTGAGATACTGTGCCCAGCTGAGAATAGTTTCTATAAGATGGCAAGGCTGAACTGAAATTCTAGGTGGTATAATTTTATCATTTGACATTTATTTAATGCTATTTTATCGTCTTGTGGGTAAAAATTTTAAACATTTATCTGTAACTGACAAATACAGGCCTAAAGCCTGAAGGCTACTAATTAATTAAAAAGTCAAATCATAAATATTCTAAACACTACTATACTTTTCAATCACATACCAGAAAACATATCTTGTTTTCATAAAACTCAGTATTTTTTTCTTAAGACGAATCAGGTACAGTAGTGAGAATGAAGGGAAAGAGTAAAAGAAGCAGTTCAATCTGTAATTGAATGATCAACTGAGATAACTAATTGCCTCTGGACCAGCTAAAACTCAGTATTTTAAACCACAAGGTAAGACTTAGTCTGTAACTGGATGGTCTTTGGACCATGGAGAAAATAGCAAAAAATAATAAAGAGGTCAGAAAAGTCCCTGCTTAGCTAATATTCTTCCTCTCTTATGGCTTTTTTTCTGAACAGCTTCATTCAAGTACACTTGGTATGTAATAAACTGTACACATGTAATGTCAGTATTTAGCTCATGTTTTAGGATGATTTTGAATTAAAATTCTTCATAAAACTAAGAGTATGTTGTCTTATTAAAAGAATGTTTGATTGAATGTCTGTACCAACATTCATTTAATAACAAATGAGTTTTGAACTATATGTGCCACATACAAAAAAAGTCTAAGAATACAATAATGTAGAGAATAAAATCTTCAGTTAAAGAGGCCCCTTCAGGCCGGGCGTGGTGGCTCGAGCCTGTAATCCCAGCACTTTGGGAGGCTGAGGCGGGTGGATCACTTGAGATCAGGAGTTTGAGACCAGCCTGGCCAGTATGGTGAAACCCCGTCTCTACTAGAAAAAAAAAAAAAAAAAAAAAATAGGCTGGGTATGGTGGCATGTGCCTGTAGTCCCAGCTATTCAAGAAGCTGGGGCAGGAAAATCGCTTGAACCTGGGAGGTGGAGGTTGCAGTGAGCCGAGATTGTGCCATTTGCACTCCAGCCTGGGCCTCACAGTGAGACTCCATCTCAAAAAAAAAAAAAAAAAAAAAGGCCCCTTCATAAAAACTAGCTATTAAATGCTCTTATGAGCTCCTCTGGAATTATACTTTCACAACAAAGGGTCTGTGAAATGGACCCTGCTTAATTAAATAGCTCTTTTAAGGCTAAGGACTCGAGCATTTCATTTCATTTAAACCAATGATTACAATAAAGTTTAGACCTTAGTGACTATGAATTACTATATGCCTGGAATAGTGGTAATGTCCAGATTGATAGTCCTAGCTTGAGCACAGAAATGGGAGTATGCTACCCCAAAGACAGTTAAATGACATGAAGACTTCAGATCACATACCCAACTAACTTAATTTTGGTAGAAAATATAAAACCAGAAAAATGTGGATCTATACTTTTTAGCATTATGCTGCTGGTAACATAGAAAAATTACTACTCATGACCTTTTATTAACAGCCTAAAAGCTGAATATATTCTCAAATTATATTAAATGTAAGTGTCATATCTAAACAAGCTAGTTGCATGTCAACAACCTAACAAATAAACATCTTTTTTATTTATTCAGATACCACTTATAAACATCCAGCATTCTGGGTAAGTGAGGTTTTAAAATCCAAAATTCATAGCAGTAGATTTTAAGATTCTCTCTTTTTAAATATAACTTTCCTGGTAATTTTTGTTAGGTTATTTATTTTATTTAAAGTCATTTTGGCTGGGTGCAGTGGCTCATGGCTGTAATCCCAGTGTTTTGGGAGGTCAAGGCAGGAGGACCACTTGAGGCCAGGAGTTCACGACCAGCCTGAGCAACATAGTGAGACCCTGTCTCTAGGGGGAAAAAAAAAAAAGTGCTGGGTATGGCGGCACAAGGCTGTAGTCCTAGCTACTTGGAAGGCTGAGGTAGAGTTTGAGCCCATAAGTCGGAGGCATCAGTGAGCCATGATTATGCATGCCACTACACTCCAGCCTGGGTGACAGAGTGAAGCCCTATAAAAAAAAAAATCATTTTGATGATAGAATAAAAGAGAAATTGCTTTTTGAAATTTGGTAAACCAGAATAATATAAGCACAATCACATTAAAGTGATATTACCAATCTCTAATTCCAAATAAATTACTGAAGAGTCCTTTTATCTTTAGGAATGTTTTTATGTCACAAAACTAGCACCCAACCTGCAGCAAAAGGTAAAGAGAATCACAGAAAAAAAGGTGCATGTTCACATTTGGGCATATACAGTTATTTATTTTATTTTATTTTATATTGTATTTTATTTATTTTATTTTATTTTATTTTATTTTATTTTATTTTTGAGACAGAGTCTTGTTCTGTCGCCCAGGCTGGAGTGCAATGGCACAATCTTGGCTCACTGCAACCTCTGTCTCTTGGGTTCAAGTGATTCACTTGCCTCAGCCTCCTGAGTAGCTGGGACTACAGGCATGTGCCACCACGCCTGGCTAATTTTTTGTATTTTTAGTAGAGATGGGGCTTCACCATGTTGGCCAGGCTGGTCTTGAACTCCTGACCTCAGGTGATCCACCCACCTTGGCCTCTCAAAGTGTTGGGATTATAGGCGTGAGCCACTGTGCCCGGCCAAGTATTTAAAAAAAATAATTATAAAATGTTACAATCTATACTCTCACCTCTTTCCATACAAGTCTGAGTGGAAGGAAAACCAACTTCCCAAAAATTCTCTGGTGTGTTGGGTGGAATGTAGCGGAATCGGTGTCTTGAGCAGGAAGCCAATTTCTTTTCTCTTTCTTCTGCTGGCATATCTGCATAATACTAATAATAAAAACTGGTAAGTTTTTTCACTAAAGAATAATAAATGGAGTGTTATGCTTATTGATTACAAACTAGAAGCTAAAAAAGCCATTTACTAAGATATTCAGCAGTCTAAGGAAACTTAATCCTCATTGATGATACTATTAGTAATTAATTCTTACAGACAGTATTAATTACTAACAGTAATCAGTGCTGATGTTGGTCTGTGAAGTGCCTGCTTCACTGATGAGAAAAGGAGCTTGTATCACAATGTAAACCAATAAAGTGCTTCCTTTATCAGTAAAGTGTTGCAATTAAAAAAAAAAAAAGCCAGCTGATCTTGACAGTGTGCTTAGTGATACAGCTGATTTATACACTGGTACAAAGTCTTTATCCTTATTAGGCCAGTAAAAAAAATTCAGAGGTCTACATGTTTCTTAATTATTATTTGAATATAACGTGTGTTTCAAAGTAATTTTCTTATCTCTACGGCTTTAAAAAATAATTTAGATCTGAATGTTGAAGGCTCCATGACTTCTCCCTTTAAGATTTCAGTTAGGATCAAAAGCCTACTATTTTTTGGCAACTGTGAAAACAAAGAACTTGAACTTCATGCACACAAGGATAAAATTATACGTAAAAATTGTACAGGTTTTTAAGGCCTAGACTTAGTGAAAACAAAGCAGTAGTTTAAGGTTTAATAGAACATAGATGACAGAATCACTTTTTTTTTGAGAGACAGAGTCCTGCTCTGTCACCCAGGCTGGGGTGCAGTGGCACGATCTTGGCTCACTGCAACCTCCCACTCCTGTGTTCAAGTGATTCTCTTGCCTCAGCTTCCCAAGTAGCTGGGACTATAGGCATGCACCACCACACTCAGCTAATTTTGTATTTTTAGTAGACACGGACGGGGTTTTACTATATGTTGGCCAGGCTGGTCTCGAATTCCTGACCTCAAGTGATCCACCTGTCTCAGACTCCCAAAGTGCTGGGATTACAGGTGTGAGCCACCCAGAATCACATATTTAATCCAGCCGATTCCTTCACTTTACACTTGAGAAACTGAAAATGAAAGTGGTAATTTGCCAAAGATATCACCTATTGAAAGTGACAGACTTAAAACTAGAATTTAAGTTTGAAGTAAAAGCTTTTAATACATTTCTATTTTACACAGATTAAAGGCTTTAAAGAAGCTGTGAAACAACTTCATTCAGGTATCTTTTTCATCATTCTCACTGCCCTAAGTATAAGCCTTTGTTACCTTAGTCTGGGCTTTGGGATGAGATGAGATGACCTTAGAGAATCAGGGCTTATTGGAAAAAACACTGCCACTGAATTAAAACATATTTGAGAAACAGTAGTCGGTGAGTGCAGTTGTAACACAGCAAGCAAATGGGTGAGTGGTTGAACAGAAATCAGAGAGGAAGTGCAGAGCCAGAGTTTGTTGTCCTTGATAAGGACTTTAGATTCTTTTTCTTAGTGGGATGGGAAGACAATGAAGGATTCTGGGAATGACATGATTTAACTTTTATTCTAAAAAGATTATTTAAAAAAAAAAAGGCCATTCATTGCTGAGCTGAAAGTACATTGTTAAGAGACAAGAATGAAAAGTAAAAGAGAATGGGGACAGAGGTACATGGGAACTGTATGTACTTTCTGTACAACTTTGCTGTGAACCTATAACTGCTCTAAAAAATAAAGTTTTATTTATTTATTTATTTATTTATTGAGATGGAGTTTCGCTCTTGTCACCCAGGCTGGAGTGCAATGGAGCAATCTCGGCTCACTGCAACCTCTGCCTCCTGGGTTCAAGTGATTTTCCTGCCTCAGCCTCCAGAGTAGCTGGGATAACAGGCATGCACCACCACGCTCAGCTAATATTTGTATTATTAGTAGGGACAGGGTTTTACCATGTTGGCCAGGCTGGCCTTGAACTCCTGACCTCAGGTGATCCACCCGCCTCGGCCTCCCAAAGTGCTGGAATTAGAGGCATGAGCTACTGTGCCTGGCCAAAATACAAGTTTTAGAGTAAAAAAAAAAAAAAATGACCAGGAGAGCACTTAGAAGCTATTACAATTATAAAATGTTGGCCGGGTGCAGTGGCTCACACCTGTAATCCCAGCACTTTGGGAGGCTGAAGCGGGCGGATCACGAGGTCAGGAGATCGAGACCATCCTGGCTAACACAGTGAAACCCCGTCTCTACTGAAAATACAAAAAAATTAGCCAGGCGTGGTGGCAGGCGCCTGTAGTCCCAGCTACTCAGGAGGCTGAGGCGGGAGAATGGTGTGAACCCAGGAGGCGGAGCTTGCAGTGAGCCGAAATCGCGCCACTGTGCTTCAGCCTGGGCAACAGAGTGAGACTCCAACTCAAAAAAAAAAAAAAAAAATTATAAAATGTTGCCTTGGTCCAGGGCATTAGTGGTGGTGATAGTAAGTGGATGGATATGGGATATATTTTGAAGGAAGAATCAATGGGGTTTGTTGATATAAAAGTTATTGAGATGTGAAAGAAAAAAGTAGTGAATAACTATAAGATCTCAGGACATATAGGAGACTCAGCAGTGAGGTTTGGGAATTGAGGGCAGATATTGTATGTTTGTTTTTGGATGTGTGAAATTTGAGATCACTATCTCAGATCCACATGAGTATTGCACACTCCACTTGCAGAATAGGCAATGGGATAAATTTAAGAACTGTAAGCATATGGTTAGTATTTAAGTACATGGGACTGGCACTTCCACTTCTGGTCATGATGGAGTAACAGAACAGATTTACCTTCCTAGGTAAATTAACTAGAAAAACTAAAATGTATACAATAATGGTTTTCAGAGATTGGATAACAGAAAGCACGGGAAATGATTATTGAGAATGAATGTAACTTAACAGTGTTTCTAGCAAAATAGCTTTTTTCTAACTAGTAGGATTAATTCTAGATCATAGAATTATGGTTATAACTAAAAAACCAGAGATTTACTCAATGTGGACCATATTCTTTAAGACATCGTGATATATTCAATTTGTGTAATGAAAACTCACGAACTCACATTATAGGCTTTTGCTTGTATTGCCAAACTGCTTTTCAAAATAGTGATCCCAATTTATATTCCCATTGTTAGTACATAAGAGCATATTTTTACCCAATGCTTACCTGTATTACAATCTAGTCATACTTTCACATATAATTTTAATGTGCTTGGTTATTAAATTTTCTAGCCCGTATGTTAAAAATGAAATTTAAAAGGGGAAGTAAATTGCTGAGGGCAGGCATCTGAGAGCTAATGGACAACAAGGGAAGAAATAAAAACAGCATGTTCCAGGTCAAAACAGAACCTGCCTGGGACTATTCAGTAAAAGGACAATCAATACAGTTGGCCCTTCATATCCTTGGGTTCTACATTCATGGATTCAACCAGCCGTGGATCAAAAATATTCAGGAAAAAAACCTTCATCTGTATTAACATGTACAGACTATTTTTCTTGTCATTCCCTATACAATACAGTATAACAACTATTTACAAAGCATTTACATTGTAATAGGGATTATAAGTAATTAGAGGTAATTTAAAGCATATGAAAGAATATGCATAGGTTATAGGCAAGTACTATGCCATTTTATATCAGAGACTTGAGCATCCGTGATTTTGGTATCCACAGTAGGTCCTGAAGCCAGTTTCCCACAGATACAAAGCAATGTCTGTACCATCTACTTCAACATCCAAGACAGCCAATGTATAAAAGGAAAAATATAAGTGTTTAAGTATTTATTCATTATATCTTGTTTAGGAAGAAAAATGTTTGGTGCAGTGGCTCACCCCAGTAATCCCAGTACTTTGGGAGGCCAAGGTGGGCAGATCACCTGAGGTCGGGAGTTCGAGGCCAGCCTGACCAACATGGTGAAACCCTGTCTCTACTAAAAATACAAAATTAGCCGGGCATGGTGGCGCATGCCTGTAATCCCAGCTACTCGGGAGGCAGAGGGAGAGGCAGGAGAATCGTCTGAACCCGGGAAATGGAGGTTGTGGTGAGCTGAGATTGCACTATTGTGCTCCAGCCTAGGCAACAAGAGCAAAACTCTGTGTCAAACAAACAAACAAAAAAGAACTTGGCCAGCATGGTGGTTCATGTCTGTAATCCCAGAACTTTGGGAGGCCAAGGCAGGCGGAATAATTGAGGTCAGGAGTTCGAGACCAGCCTGGCCAAATAGTGAAACCCTGTCTCTACTAAAAATACAAAAATTAGTCATGCATGGTGGTAGGTGCCTGTAATCCCAGCTACCCGGGAAGCTGAGGCAGGAAAATTGCTTGAACCTGGGAGGTGGAGATTGCAGTGAGCCAAGATCACGCCACTACATTCCAGCCTGGGCAACAGGGCAAGACTCCGTCTCAAAAAAAAAAAAAAAAAAAAAAAGAACTTATATTGGTACCAATTATTTTTAAAAAATTATGAGTATACCTAATTTCCTGAGAATGTTGGTAAAAATAATTTTTTTTTTTTTGAGACGGAGTCTCGCTCTCTCGCCCAGGCTGGAGTGCAGTGGTGCAATCTCGGCTCACTACAAGCTCTGCCTCCCGGGTTCACGCCATTCTCCTGCCTCAGCTTCCCGAGTAGCTGGGACTACAGGCGCCCGCCACCATGCCTGGCTTTTTTTAATGTGTTTTTAGTAGAGACGGGGTTTCACCATGTTAGCCAGGATGGTCTAGATCTCCTTACCTCGTGATCCGCCCGCCTTGGCCTCCCAAAGTGCTGGGATTACAGGTGTGAGCCACTGCACCTGGCATTTTTTTTTTTTTTTTGAGACCAAGTTTCACTCTTGTTGCCCAGGCTGGAGCGCAATGGCACAATCTCGGCTCACTGCAACCTCCACCTCCCGGGTTCAAGCGATTCTCCTGCCTCAGCCTTCTGAGTAGCTAGAATTACAGGTGTGCACCACCACACCCAGCTTACTTTTGTATTTTTAGTAGAGATGGGGTTTCGCCATGTTGGCCAGGCCAGTCTCGATCTTCTGGCCTCAAGTGATCCGCCCTCCTTGGCCTCCCAAAATGCTGAGATTAGAGGCATGAGCCACCGCACCCGACCCAGAATACTCCTTATTCCTGCTGTTACGCCTGGCTCAAATAAGAGGTTTCTATAACCAATATGGTTTGTATACGTGATTTTAAAATCATGCATTTATTATCTATAAAGCCGTACTTAAAAAAAAATTAGTATCTACATTAGTACTTACAATTTCACATTCCTTACACGTGTGCCCAAGCAGTTTTCTTCTCTCCTCTTTTTTCCGAACCACCTCAATATGAGGAAAATTTTGCAAGCTAGTCTCTCTGGGGGAAAAATGAATTAAATTAACAAAGCTTAGAGTTCAGAGGAGAAATAATCCCCAAAACATTCATTCATTTTTATTTGAAATGTTTATTCAGTATGTTAGAAAAATATTGCTTCGTCAAATACTTATTAAGTGCTTACTATATATACACCAAGTATTTTTATGGGTATTTTTTTCTAACTAAAAAAATTAAAACTATTTACTATCCAAAGTGACCTGCAAATTCAGTGTAATCCCCATCAAAATACCAATAATGTCCTTCACAGAAATATTTATTTATTTAGAGACAGAGTCTTGCTCTGTTGGCCAGGCTTGAGTGCATGACATGATCTTGGCTCACTGCAACCTCCACCTCCCAGGTTCAAGCGACTCTTGTGCCTCAGCCTTCTGCGTAGCTGGGATTACAGGCCTGTACCACCACGCCTGGCTAATTTTTTATTTTTAGTAGAGATGGGGTTTCACCATGTTGGCCAGGCTAGTCTTGAACTCCTAACCTCAGGTGATCTGCCCGCCTCAGCCTCCCAAAGTGCTAGGATTACAGGCGTGAGCCACTGTGCCCAGGCTTTCACAGAAATATAAAAAAAAAATCCTAAAATTAGTCTGAAACCAGTAAAGTCATACCAATAGCCAAAGCAATCCTGAGCAAAAAAGAACAAAGCTGGATGGGCGCAGTGGCTCACTTGAGGTCAGGAGTTCGAGACCAGCCTGGCCAACGTGACAAAACCATGTCTGTGTTAAAAATACAAAAATTAGTTGGGTGTGGTGGCACAGGCCTGTAATCCCAGCTACTCAGGAGGCTGAGGCACAAGAACCGCTTGAACCCGGGAGGCAAATGTTGCAGCGAGCTGAGACTATGCCACTGCACTCTAGCCTGGGTGAGACTCTGTCTCAAAAAAAGAAAAAAAGCAAAAAAACAAAAACAAAAACAAGCTGGCGGCAACATACTATCAGACTTGAAAATATACGAAGCTACAGTTACCAAAACAGCATGGTACTGGCATAAAAACAGACACATAGAGCAATGGAACAGAGTACCAGAAATTAATGAATGCCTCTATAGTCAACTGATTTTTTTTACATAGGAGCCACGCACCTTCATTGGGGAAAGGATAGTCTATTTAATAAACGGTGCTGGTAAAACTGGATATCCACTGCAGAAGAATGAAAATAGGCCCCTATTTCTCACTCAATATAAAAATCAACTCAAAATGAGTCAAAGAACTAAATGTAAGACCCAAAACTATAAAACTACTAGAAAAAAAAAATACGGGAAATGTTTCAGGACAATGGTCTGGGAAAAGATTTTATGAATAAGACCTCAAAATAACAGACAATAAAAGCAAAAATATACAAGTGGGATTATACTGAAAGGCAATTACTATTACTTCTTATTTCTGCCTTTCACTGGCTGAAAATAACAATTAGGTTAGGAGGTAAAATATAATAACCTATTTAAAAATGAATACTGTATTATGAAACTCATAAATTGGCATTGTATAACATTAAAAAAAAATACTGCCTGTTTTCCAGTACTAAGAACCCAGATTTCAGGACTAACTTCTTCTGCCCAGAGAACAGATTCATCTGTTTGTATGCCATTTGCCATCCTATTTATGAGAAACATTACTGGCCAGGTGTGGTGGCTCATGCCTATAATCCCAGCACTTAGGGAGACTGGGGCAAAAGGGTTGCTTGAGACCAACACCAGGGGTTTGAGACCAGCCTGGGCAACATATCAAACCACCTGTCTCTACAAAAAATAAAAATAAAAAATTAGCTGGCTGTGGTGGCACACACCTATAGTCCCAGGTACTCAGGAGGCTGAGGTGAGAGGACTGCCTGAGCCCAGGAGTTTGAGGCTGCAGTGAATAATGATTGTGCCATTGCACTTCAGCCTAGGTAACAAAGTGAGATCCTGTCTCAAAACAAAACAAAACAAAAAAAAACCAGAAAAAAGAAAAAGAAAAATTACCTTATGCTGCTTCCACCTACCATGAATTCTTCAAAATATTAGGCATAACTATCATTTGTTGTTATTTTTAAATGAATAAGATCCTACTGTGAATCACGGAAACCTAGGAGGGTCAAAGCCACTAGGTATGGATTAATATGCTATGGAGTACGTTGGGAAGAAAAAGCAATCAAGAAGCACAACATTTTATTTTATTCATTATTATTTAGTTAGTTTGTTTTAAGACAGGTTCTTGCTTTGTTGCCCAGGCTGGAGTGAAGTGGCATGAGCATAGCTTACTGCAGCCTGAACTCCTGGGCTCAAGTAATCCCCCTGCCTCAGCCTCCTGAGTTAGCTAGGACTACAGGTGCAAGCCACAAGACCCAGCTAATTTTTGCTTTTTAGTACAGATGAGGTCTTACTATGTTGCCCAGGTTGGTCTTGAAGTCCTGGCCTCATGAATGTTTTCAATGTCATCTGGAATGGTGAATCCTTTCCAGAAGGTTTTCAGTTTACTTTGCCCATCACAGGAATCAATGGCAGGGATAGCCTTACAAACTGTATTTCTTAAATAAGAGAACTTGAAAGTCAAACTACTACTTGATCCAGTCTGCAGAACGATACGTGTTAGCGGGCATGAAAACAACATTCATCCAGCCTGGCCAACATGGTGAAACACTGTCTCTACTAAAAATACAAAAAAAAAAAATTAGCCAGGCGTGGTGGCACATGCCTGTAATCCCAGCTACTTGGGAGGCTGAGGCACGAGAATCACTTGAACTCGGGAGGCGGAGGTTGCAATGAGCCAAGATCGCGCCATTCACTCCAGCCTGGGTGACAGAGTGAGACTCTGTCTCTAAATAAATAAATAAATAAAAAATTCATCTCCTTGTACATCTCCATCAGAGCTCTTGGGTGACAACGTGCTTTGTCAATGAACAGTAGTATTGAGGTCACCTTTGCAAAAATTATGACAGTGGAAAAAATCTGACCTAGCTGACTTTATCTTGCTTTTAACCTTTAAGCTGTCTTTATTTTTGGGCATAGGCCAAATTAACTATGAGAAAAATTTAGTTTAACTTTAAAACAAAGATGACAACAGCTCCTTCTGGAAATCAGCCCTGTCCTTGCTCAGGGACTGAAACCACCTTTGTAAAACTAACAAATTAGCCACGAGGTTATTTTAAAACAAAGATGATTATCAGCTCCTTCCCAAAACTAACTCCTCCTTCTTGCTCAGAGACTTAAACCATCTATGTAAAACCAGCAAATCAGTCAAGAGGTTAAAATTATAGCTCAGTAGTGGAGTCATGCAGACAGAGGTCATGGGATTTCTAACCTCAATTGCTCCTACATACAAATGATATTACTATTATAAAACCTTGGGGTGTGAGGTATTTTTCAGACCCTACATTCTGACGGACCAGGTGGGCTCACCTGCGCTGGTAACTCATACCAAAAAACTGGTTCAATTGATCTTGTGATCCCACCCAAAAACCGACTCTGCAAAAAGACACCTTTGACCCCTATAATTTCATCCCCAACCCAACCAATCTCCATTCCCCGTTCCCAGCTCCCTCTCTGCCAAACTATCCTTAAAAAACCATAGCTTCCACATTTTAGGGGAAGGTGATTTAAATAATAACTCCAGTCCTCCCACTTGACTAACTCTGCAATTATTACACTCTTTCTCTACTATAATATCACTGTCTCAGTGAATCAGCTCTATTTGTATGGTGGGAAAAAAAGAAAAAACAACTGTTGGATGATTACAATATTTTGAAAGGATATCTTTTTTTTTTTTCTGATCAATAGGCTTAAAATATTTAGTAAACCATGCCATAAACAGATGTGCTGTCATCCAGGCTTTGTTGTTCTATTTCTAAAGCACAGGCACAGCAGATTGAGCATAATTCTTCAGGGTCCTAGGATTTTCAGAATGGTAAATGAGCACTGGCTTCAACTTGAAGTCACCAGCGCATTAACCCAAACAAGAGTCAACCTGTCCTTTGAAGCTCTGAAGCCAGGCACTGGTTTCTCCTCTCTAGTTATCAAAGTCATAGATGGCATCTTCTTCCAATAGAAGGCTGTTTCATCTGCACTGAAAATCTATTGTTTAGTTCAGCCACCTTCATCACTGATCTCAGCCAGATATTCTAGATCATTTGCTGCTACAGCTTCTATATCAGTACTTGCCATTTGCTTTGCACTTTTATATTATGGACATGGCTTCTTTCCTTAAACCTCATGAACCAACCTCTGCTAGTTTCAAACTTTTCTTCTGCAGCTTCCTCAAACTAAATAGAGTTAGAGGCTTGCTCTGGATTAGGCACTGGCTTAAAGGAATGCGGTGGCTGGTTTGATCTTCAATCTAGACCACTGAAATTTCCTCCATGTCAGCAGTGAGTCTGTTTCACTTTCTTACCATTGATGTGTTCACTGGAGTAGCACTTGTGATTTTCTTCAAGAACTTTCCTTTGCATTTGCAACTTGGCTGACTGGTGTAAAAGGCCTAGCTTTTTACCCATCTTGGCTTTTGAAATATCTTCCTCATTAAGCTTAATCATTTCTAGCATTTGATTTAAAAGTAAGAGATGTGCAACTCTTCCTTTCACTTGTATACTTAAAGGGCATCATAGTTGGTTTTTTTTTTTTTTTTTTTTTTTGGAGACAGCATCTCACTTTGTCTCCCAGGCTGGAGTGCAGTGGCGCGATCACAGCTCACTAGTCTCGACCTCCTGGGCTCAAGCAATCCTCCCACCTCAGCCTCCCGCAGTATAACAGTTGGAACTACAGGCGTGTGCCACCACGCTCAGCTAATTTTTTTTGTATTTTTTGTAGAGATGGAGTTCTTCCATGTTGCCCAGGCTGGTCTCGATTTGCTCATCACAGCCTCCCAAAGTTCTGGAATTACAGGCATGAGCCACCATGCCTGCTTCCATTGCAGGGTTCTTAACTGGCCTAATTTCAATGTTGTTGTGTCTCAGGGAATAGGGAGGCCCAAGAAGAGGAGGAGAGATGGGAAAATGGTCGGTTGGTGGAGCAGCCAGAACACACACGACATTCATTGATTGAGTTCGCTGTCTTACACGGGCATCGTTCATGATGACCCAAAACACTTATAATAACAGCATCAGGCCGGGCACGGTGGCTCACGCCTGTGATCCCAGCACTTTGGGAGACCTAGGCAGGCGGATCATGAGGTCAGGAGATCGAGACCATCCTGGCTAACATGGTGAAACCCCATCTCTACTAAAAAAACACAAAAAAATTAGCCAGGCGTGGTGGCGGGCACTTGTAGTCCCAGCTACACAGGAGGCTGAGGCAGGAGAATGGCATGAACCCGGGAGGCAGAGCTTGCAGTGAGACAAGATGGCACCACTGCACTCCAGCCTGGCGACAGAGCGAGACTCTGTCTCGAAAAAAAAAAAAAAATAGCATCAAAGATCACTGATCACAGAACACTGTAACAGATATAATAATGAAAAAGTTTGAAATATTGTGAGAATTACTAAAATGTGACACAGAAACATGAAGTAAGCACATGTTGTTGGAAAAATGCCGCTGACAGATTTGTTCAAACAGGGTTGCCACATACCTTCAATTTGTAAAAAACAGTATCTGCAAAGTGCAATAAAGCACCATGAAACAGAAAGTATACCTTAAATAGAAGTGTAATAAAAAGATCACATACATGCCCCTCTAGTTGGCAAGCACTTTCCCTCAAAAAGAAAAGTTTTAGTCACTCTAAGTATAAGTCCTTTTTTGTTTCAACTCAAGAACCCTCAGCTCTGGTGTGATCTGTGAATTAGAAAAGGGAAACCAGAAAAGTACACACAAAAAATATTGCCACAACTATATTTTCTTTCAAAGAGTTTATGGACTCCTAAGATTATGCAGATCACATTTTGGCCATATCCTTTCTTCTGAATATTAACTACTCCACTTCTATAGTGTCTTATCGTGACGTAGGGAATCTCCTAGCAGAACAGCATCTGTAGTAGACCTCAAAGCATCACTTAAACAAGCTTCTTGTCCCTGATACTACACAATCCATCTTCCCAGGTTTGCAGTCTTAGTATTCTCAGTGGAAAAAGCAACAATGTAACTCTGAGAATTCTAGCATCTCCATGCCTCCATCCCCACACTTCCATTCACCTCTTGTTCTCCAGCTATCTAATTGCTTCAGAATAAATAAAACTACTCATACATATTTTCTAAAAAACTAGTGAACCTTTAACATGAAACATTTAAAATGACAGTTCTTTTTTTTTTTGGAGACAGGGTCTCACTCTGTTGGCCCAGGCTGGAGTGCAGTGGTGTGATCATAGCTTACTGCAGCCTTGACTTCCTGGGCTCAAGCGATCTTCTCAAAGCTTCCTGAGTAGTTGGGACTATAGGCACACACCATCACACCTAGCTAATTTTTAATTTTTGTAGAGACGAGGTCTCACTGTGTTGCCCAGGCTGGTCTCAAACTCCTGGGCTCAAGCGATTCTTCCGCCAAAGCCTCTTGAAGTGCTGGGATTACAGGCATGAGCCACCTGGAAAATGACAGTTGTTACTCTGCAGTCCTACTTCTAGGAATCTATCTCAATGATCTACAGGCAAAAATATGAAAAGAGAATGTGCAAGGTTATTCACTGCAGCACTGTGTGCACTAGGCATAACTGTCAACAACCCAAGTGTCCACTGCTAGGGTATAAACTACAGTAGGGTCACATAATGAAGTACTATGGAGCTAAAAAGAAATGAGGAATATCGCTATATACAACTTGAGTGATTTCCAGGATCTATAGTTAAATAAAAAAAGCAGGCCAGGTGCAGTGGCTCATGCCTGTAATCCCAGCACTTTGGGAGGCCAAGGCAGGCAGATCACAAGGTCAAGAGATCGAGACCATCCTGGCCAACATGGTGAAACCCCATCTCCACTAAAAATACAAAAATTAGCTGCGCGTGGTGGCGCATGCCTGTAGTCCTAGCTACTCGGGAGGCTGAGGCAGGAGAATCGCTTGAACCCAGGAGGTGGAGGTTGCAGTGAGCTGAGATGGCGCCCCTGCACCCTAGCCTGGTGACAGAGCAAGACTCCGTCTAAAAAAGCAAAGTAGAGCAAAGTATATATAATATTCTATATGAGTCATGGATAGCATGACTATATACATGTATTTGCTTCTATTTTTTAGGATAGAAGAAAAATCATAAATTTTAAACAAATGATTACCTATAGGGATAGGGAGCTATAAGATATAGAGGCCAAGAATAGACGTGAGATTTATCTGAATATACTTGTAGTCTGGTACAATGTACATACTTTGTGTCCATTATATACATTTTATATATATATATATAAAATACATTATACTTTATGTACTTTTAAAAGAATTAAATATGAAAAGAAAAAAACCCAATTCCTAAAAAATCAAAAGCAAAATAAGGTACTGAGTTGGTGGCATAACTGCAAAAAATAATTATCCCAAATGACTTTAAAAAAAAAACGCAGTGATTTTACTGTACATTTCTAATAGAATATATTTTAAGGACAAAAGAGCATACAAAAAGTTTTCAAACAATTTTCATTAATTATATTATTGGTGGTATTATTCTGAAACTGCTTTATGTGTATTGTGGAATAAAATAAATTAAGGAATTATGTTGGTGGCACTGAGAAGTGGGATTTTCAGTAGGTGGGAAAGTAAATAAAGATGTAAGATAGAGGAGTTTACATAAATATCCTGTGGTCCTGAATTTGAGTTAGAGCGATCAGTATGAAGTATAGTTTACCTTAAAAAATCAAAGTGATATGGCCGGGTGAGGTGGCTCACGCCTGTAATCCCAGCACTTTGGGAGGCCGAAGCGGGTGGATCACGAGGTCAGGAGATCGAGACCATCCTGGCTAACACGGTGAAACCCTGTCTCTACTAAAAATACAAAAAATTAGCCAGGTGTGGTGGTGGGCGCCTGTAGTCCCAGCTACTCAGGAGGCTGAGGCAGGAGAATGGCGTGAACCCAGGAGGCAGAGCTTGCAGTGAGCCGAGATTGTGCCACTGCACTCCAGCCTGGGTGACAGAGTGAGACTCTGTCTCAAAAAAAAAAAAAAAAAAAAAATCAAAGTCATACAAAAAATCTTTTTCCTAACTCTGTCCACCTAAAAGGCTGAGAAACAATGACTAAAGTGCAACCCTAGCAGCCAGACTGTGGCCTAAACACCATTTCTCACTAAAAGGAACTAGGGCTCCAAGAAAAATGGCAGATTCCAGATAACAGAAGCAAGAAACCTATGAAAGAAGCTTCCTTTTCCTTTAGGCAAAGATGGGACAATCTGGGTATCTCTAAGGATAATGACTGCAATGGATTACAACACATCAAATATACTTAAATTGATGAGTATATAATGACACCTAAACAAAAAACAACCTAGTCACATTTGGAATGCTAGAGTACCATTTGTTTGGAAAACTGGTAACTAAAAAAGAAGAATTAAGCATTAAACAAAATGACAGCTCTTTAAGAGTTTCAGAGGAATAAAAAAAATCTTGGCCTGTTAGATTTCTAAAATTCTCAACAGAAATAAAAATAAAAGGAGTAACTTTACTGAGTAACTCAATTTACCAACATCTTAAAGAAAAAAATAACAATTTTTTTTGAATGAATTACTATGTCTTCAATTTGCTTTAAGAACAAATAGTAGGTGACTATAAGTAACAGAATTTGCAGTCCTTGTGAAAGGCAGAAGGTCGCATTATGGTTAAATCAAGATGCTTAGCGCCAGGCGTGGTGGTTCACGCCTGTAATCCCAGCACTTTGGGAGGCCGAGGCGGGTGGATCACGAGGTCAGGAGATCGAGACCATATTGGCTAACATGGTGAAACCCTGTCTCTACTAAAAATACAAAAAATTAGCCAGGTGTTGTGGTGGGCACCTGTAATCCCAGCTACTCGCGAGGCTGATGAAGGAGAATTGCTTGAACCCAGGAGGCAGAGGTTGCAGTGAGCCAAGATCATGCCATTGCACTCCAGCCTGGGCAACCAGAGCGAAACTCCATTTCAAAAAAAAAAACCAAAAAAACAAAACATGCTTAAAGGTTTTGTTTTTAAAGATTCAAAAATCCTTATAAAATAATTCTGAAGCATAATAAACCTAAGTCTTACTACCTAAAGTCTTTTTTTTTTTTTTTTCTGAGACGGAGTCTCGCTCTGTTGCCCAGGCTGGAGTGCAGTGGCGCGATCTCGGCACACTGCAAGCTCCACCTCCCGAGTTCACGCCATTCTCCTGCCTCCTGAGTAGCGGTGACTACAGGTGCCTGCCACCACACCTGGCTAATTTTTTGTATTTTTAGTAGAGACGGGGTTTCACCATGTTATCCAGGATGGTCTCAATTTCCTGACCTTTTGATCCCCCCGCCTGGGCCTCCCAAAGTGCTGGGATTACAAGCGTGAGCCACCATGCCTGGCCTACCTAAAGTCTTATACTACATAAAACTTATACAATTTAATAAATGCCCCAAGTTGAAAAGATAGAATAAAAAGACATTTAAAAAAAATAATAAAACAGACAGGCTGGGTGTGGTGGCTCATGCCTGTAATCCCAGCAGTTTGGGAGGCTGAGGCGGGTGGATCACCTGAGGTCAGGAGTTCGAGACCAGCCTGGCCAACATGGTGAAATCCCATCTCTAATAAAAATACACAAATTATCCAGGCCTGGTGGTGGGCACCTGTAATCCCAGCTACTCGGGAGGCGGGGGCAGGAGAATAACTTGAACCCAGGAGACAGAGGTTGCAGTGAGCCGAGATTGCGCCACTGTACTCCAGCCGGGGCAACAGAGTGAAACTCTGTCTCCAAAAAAAAAAAAAAAAGAAATACACACACACACATGCACACGCACACACACAAAAGCAGAGAAAATAACTATTACCACTGCCAAAAAAAGGTGATGGTGCCAAAAATTTCCTTATTTGTAAAATTTGTCGTTTTTATGCTTGAGTCTCTTTTTTATGACCATAAAGTAAATAATTTTAATTTAACCAAAGTAGCAATTTAACAGTTTAGAGATACTCTGACAAAGACAGCTCGACTGGCCAGGTGTGGTGGCTCAAGCCTGTAATCCCAGCACTTTGAGAGGCCGAGGCAGATGGATGGCTTGAGCCCAGGAGTTCAAGATTAGCCTTGGCAACGTGGTGAAACCCTGTCTCTACAAAAAATAAAAAAGTTAGCCAGGTGTGGTAGTATGTGCCTGTAGTCCCAGATACTCAGGAGGCTGAGGTGGGAGTATTGCTTGAGCCTAGGAGGCAGAGGTTGCAGTGAGCTGAGTTTACGCCATTGCACTCTAGCCTGGGTGACAGAGCAAGACTCTGTCTTTAAAAAAAAAGAAAAAAGAGAGAGAAATAAAAGACAGCTCTATTGTACTTCCAGTCACATTGCTGGTATAAATAAAAACCAACTTACCTTTCATCACCTTTAAAATACGGCTCCACAAACGCTTTCTGCTTGACTTTGTCTTGTTTATCACCATGAGCTATAAATAAAACATGCACATTACAAACTAAATGTAGAACTTAATGAGAAATAATTAACTAGCTTGGAAGAAAATGACACGCACTCAAACTTCCATTTTTATTGGGTTTCATGCTCCAGGCCTCTGAGCAACTCATTTAAATTTTCTGCAACTTTGTAACTATTTTTTTTTTTTTCTGAGCCGGTGTCTTGCTCTGTTGCTTAGGCTGGAGTGCAGTGGCACAATCTCTGCTCACTGCAAGCTCCACCTCCCGGGTTCACGCCATCCTCTTGCCTCAGCCTCCTGAGTAGTTGGGACTACAGGCGCCCACCACCATGCCGGGCTAATCTTTTGTATTTTTAGTAGAGACAGGGTTTCACCATGTTAGCCAGGATGGTCTCAATCTCCTGACCTCATGATCCGCCCGCCTCGGCCTCCCAAAGTGCTGGGATTACAGGCGTGAGCCACTGCACCCTGCCTCTGCAACTACTTTTTTCTTTCTTTTGCATCTGCATAATGAGGAGGGTGCTGTTTCATTCAACTCAAAATTACTAGACAGCTAAAAGTCATTATCTCAGGAAGTATTTTAGAGTATAAAAGAAATACTCAGATGCCCACTATTATCATTTGACAAGAAAGAACAACAAAAGACAGCTTTCAATATTAATTTTGGCCGGGTGTGGTGGCTCACACCTGTAATCTCAGCACTTTGGGAGGCCGAGGTGGGTGGATCACCTGAGGTCAGGAGTTTGAGATCAGCCTGGCCAACATGGTGAAACCCTGTCTCTACTCAAAATACAAAAATTAGCTGGGCATGGTGGCACATGCCTGTAATCCCAGCTACTCGGGAGGCTGAGGCAGGAGAATCTCTTGAACCAGGGAGTTGGAGGTTGCAGTGAGCTGAGATTGTGCCACTGCACTCCAGCCTGGCAACAGAGCAAGACTCCGTCTCAAAAAAATAAAAAAAATTTACACATAAGTATACATCTTTATACAGTGTGATACTCTGATATATGTACACAATGTGTAAAGACCAAATTAGGGTAATTAGCATATCTGTCACCTCAAACATTTGTCATTTCTTTGTGTTGGGAACATTCAAAATCTGTGCTTTTAGCTATCTGAGAACATATATTGTTGTTAATTATAGTCACCATATAGTGCTATTGAACACTACAATTTATTCCTTCTATTTAGCTTTTTATTTTTCTTTGTTTTCTTGAGATGGAGTCTTGCTCTGTTGCCTAGGTTGGAGTGCAGTGGCATGATCTAGGCTCACTGCAACTTCTGCCTCCCAGGTTCAAGAGATTCTCTTGCCTCAGCCTCCCAAGTAGCTGGGACTACTAGGCGCACGCCACCACACCCGGCTAATGTTTTGTATCTTTAGTAGAGACGGGGTTTCACTGTGTTAGCCAGGATGGTCTCGATCTCCTGACTTTGTGATCCGCCTGCCTCGGCCTCCCAAAGTGTTGGGATTACAGGCGTAAGCCACTGTGCCCGGCTCCCTTATTTATTTTTCTTAGAGATCAGGTGTTGCTATGTTGCCCAGGCTGGAGGGCAGGGGCAATTCATAGGCACCGCACCACTACTGATCAGCATGCAAGTTTTGACCTGCTCCATTTTTGAAGTGGGCCAGTTCACTGCTCCTTGAGCAACTTAGTGGTCTCCTGCTTCTAAGAGGTCACCATATTGATGCCAAACTTAATATGGATCATACCTCAGAACTCCAATACAGCACTACTCCAAGAACTCCAAGGCTCAAGCTATCCTCCTGCCTCAGCCTCTTGGGTAGCTGGGACTATGGGTGCCTGCCACCTTGCTTGGCTAGCTATATTTTTATACCAATTAACCCACCTTTGGCTATCCCAGCCTTCCCCACCTCTAGTAACTGCTATTCTACTCTCTACTTCTATGAGATCAACTTTTTTAGATTCCACATATGAATAAGAACATGTGGTATTTATCTTTCTGTGCCTGGCTTATTTCACTTAATATGATGTTCTCCAAGCTCATCGATGTTTGCACAAATGACAGAATTTTGTTCTTTTTAGTGGTTAAATAGTATTTTTGTGTGTCTATGTATATGTGTGTGTGTGTGTATATATATATATACACCTATCTAGCTATATATCATTTTCTTTATCTGTAAGTAGACACTTAGGCTGATTCCGTATCTTGGCTATTCTGAACAGTGCTGCAATAAACGTGAGTGCAGATACCTCTTTAACATACTGATTTCCTTTCCTTTGGATATACACCCAGTAGTGGGACTGCTGGATCTATGACAGTTCCATTTTTAGTTTTTTTTTTTTTTTTTTTTTTTTTTTGAGACGGGGTCTTGCGCTGTTGCCCAGGCTGGAGCACAGTGGCGTGATCTTGGCTCACTGCAAGTTCCACCTCCCGGGTTCACGCTATTCTCCTGCCTGAGCCTCCCGAGTAGCTGGGACTACAGGCACCTGCCACCATGCCCGGTTAATTTTTTTGTATTTTCAGGAGACGGGGTTTCAGCGTGTTAGCCAGGATGGTCTCGATCTCCTGACCTCGTGATCCGCCCGCCTTGGCCATTTTTAGTTTTCTGAGGAATCTTCATATCATTTTCTAAAATGGCTATACTAATTTACATTGTCACCAATCCTGTTGATTTTTACAATGCATCTTTAAGGTAAGTTATAACTAGGGAATAAACAGATTAAAGATTTTATCAGAAAATTGGTGACAAAGATTAAAACCTAGAGCTCAGAACTTGGGACTTGACTCCTAAGATGTCTAGACTCAAATAGCTAAACGCTAGCATCTATTCAAAGAATCAAAATTTACTGAGCATTGTGCTAAGTTCCAGACATACAATGTGTAACGAGAGAGCAGGTCTCCTGTCTTCATGGAGTTTACATTACAGTGAAGAAAATAGACATTAAGCAAGCAGAGAGTTAAACATTAAGCAGGTAGACAGCTAAGGGTTATGTGAGAAAGCACATACAAGGTAGTAACTGGGTTGAGAAAATAAAATAAATATGTAACAAATCCTAAATTATATGCCTGGGTGACTGGGAAAAATAAAAACGTTTGAAGATTATTTGGTTGGAAGTAAATGGAAATTGGCTTAGACATTACGTTTAAGCTGAAGAGACGCAAAAGTATCTCACAGTACTCAGAAATGCAAGACTGGGATTCATCAGAGAAATCAAACCTAGAGATGCAGATTTGGAATCATTTTCAGAGGTAAGGCTGATAAAAGTTGTGAGAGAAAAGTTGTGAGGAAGAAAGAGTCTTGGGGATATTCTAGGAAACAAGCTGTGACAAATGAAAAGAACGAGGCAGCATCGTCAGAAAAGCTAAGTGAGAAGAAATTCTGGGATAGTCAGTGTCAAATGTAACTTAAAAGAAGGAACAGAATAAGTACACCTTTGCGAAAAATAGTCTTTTTCTTTGAAATGAAACCTATTTGCAAAAGGTCCTTCTTGGGGGGAAAAAGGATACCGAACAGCTGTGAATTTTTATTTCAAAATTTACTTGATGGAGTTTTTGCCATGGACTAAGCAAGCAAAAGCCTACTGTCCTCTATCTTTGGTTTGGGTCTCACTCACTTTTGAGTTAAGGGCTGTTGTTTCAAAAACCTGATGGAAACATGAGCATAATCAAGATTGTGCCACAGTAGAAGGTATGTTCATTTAAACCAGCATAAAACAATCTTTGCACTAGATTAAAAATTCGGACCAATTTAATAAAACAAGGAGAAAAATGAGAGATTTAACAAAAATTACAATTTTCAATCCAGATTATCTACTTAGATTTTCAATTAGAGTATTCTTTTTCTGATTGCTATCCTACATTATAAAGTTACTGCTTCTAATGAAAGAGATATTAAGACTAATACACATAGTTACATTAGGTATTTTGTCTGGTAAGATAAAGCATTCACAGCAGAAAACAGATCTGAATTTTCCTTTTTTGAATTTAATTAATTAATTATTATTTTTTTGAGACAGGGTCTCACTCTGTCGCCCAGGCTGAAGTACAGTCAGCGGTTCACTGATGCAGCCACGACCTCCTGGGTGTTCAAGCGATCTTCTCGCTCCAGCCCCCAAGTAGCTGGGACTACAGGTATGTGCCATCATGCCGAGCTAATTTTTGTAGAAATGAGGTTTTATCACATTGCCCAGGCTGGTCTTGAACTCTCCTGAGCTCAAGCAATCTGTCTGCCTTGGCCTTCCAAAGTGCTGGGATTACAGGTGTGAACCACTGTGCCTGGCTGGATCTGAATGTTGTACAAAACTTTCTCCTTCTACTCTATTACAATTAATTTAATAATTAATAGACATTTCTCAAAAATTTTATCAATTTTATGCGTATTTAGAAAGAAATTTGTAATACCAAACTAATCTTAGTTTCTTAGTTCTAATAAATATTTTATAGCTATATAACACATTAACATAAGGAGAGGTTGGGTCAAAGGTACAGGAGAATGCTGAAAAATTTTCTGGAACTCTTATCAGTGTAAAATTATCTCAAAATTTTAAAAACCTGAAAAAATTTATACAAGAAATATGAAACTTCAATTGTTGATATGTCATCAAGCCTTTGTTAATTAGCTTGATAACTTAACTTACTGAATTCTGCAACTGAGAAGCCATAATTAAACAGAAAAAAATCTTACTGTGTAGTTTCTTTGTGGCAGTAGACAATTCCTCCTCTTCATCTGCTGCTTGGGAGAAACTGTCTGCCAAACAGGATTCATACTCTTCATGTGTTGTCCGATCAAACATATCTTCCAAGCTATCATTCATTTTTCTTTCTTCATCTATGTAAAAGAGCACTGGCTTAGGGCAATAAGCAAGCTTTTGCTTAATATGTAGACCATCATGAAACTGTAGTAACTACCACACAATAACAGAATGCAGTCCTTAAAGACACTTCTTAAAATACGGTTGTTAAAATATGGATTATATATTGGGTACTGAGCTTAGTAACTGTGTAATGTAATAATATGTGCAACAAATTCCCATGACACGTGTTTATCTATGTTACAAACCTTCTTATGTACCCACAAACCTAAAATAAAAATTTGATAGTTTAAAAAATGTTTTAAAAAAATGTGGATTACAGGCCTTACTTTGCAGAGTATTCTTTCAGTGAATAGATGTAATATAGGTAGTGAAAGGCTTGTAGACACGTATGTAAAAGATAGTTCTAAGAATGTTACTTGCAAGCTGTCTTGTTAAGAGTGTTAAATTCAGTGAATATAAGTGAGTAACAAACTATAATGTATGTAATAAAGTGTTTAAAGGCATGATTATTATGATGAGGGCTGCAGGCCTAGCTGTGAAGAGTGTTCTTTTGGTGAACAGATGTAATGCATGTAGTGAAGTGTTTGTGGACACATGCTAACATGATTCTAAGAATATTAGTTGCAAGCTGTAAGGCTGAGTGTTAATTCAGTTACTCTCAGTGAGTAGCAAACTGTAACGTATGTAATGAAGTGTTTAAAGACACTTCTTAAATCATGATTCTTATAATGAGGTTTAATTCTTGTAATCTGTGTATGAGGTAAGAATAAACTCCCAACTCTGGGTAGTTACTGTACATTTACAAAGGCTTTATGTTATGGCTTTAAATGTTCTTTACTCATGCTTTTTTTTTTTTTTTGAGACGGAGTCTTGCTCTGTCACCCGGGCTGGAGTGCAGTGAGGCGATATTGGCTCACTGCAACCTCGCCTCCTGGGTTCAAGCAATCCTTCTGCTTCAGCCTCCCAAGTAGCTGGAATTAGAGGTGTGCGCCACCATACCCGGCTAATGTTTGTATTTTTAGTAGAGATGGGGTTTCACCGTGTTGGCCAGGCTGGTCTCAAACTCCTGACCTCAAGTGATCCGCCCACCTAGGCCTCCCAAAATACTGGGATTACAGGTGCGAGTCACTGTGCTCGACCTTTCATGCTTACTTTTTGTAATGAAGTAGCAAAAAAGTATTTTCTTTCATCTTCATTAGCATCTGGTAGTTTAGTATTACTAGAAATTAGGAATTCAATGCCATATTTGACACGGAAAATGAAAAATTCATCTTCACAGATCTAACCACATTTCCCATTATATAATCACATTTAAAAAACACTAGAGTTTAAATCCAGTTGGCTAACAAATATGACAGAAAAGAGGCCTAAGATTATTCTATATAAGTACCACCTCTCCCAACGCACAGCACTCTCTCACTCTTACCTTGCTTTACCTTTCTCCTGGACTTACCATCATCTATTATATATACAATTGCTTATTTCTCTCATTAGAATGTACGTTCCATAAGGTAAGTACTTTTGTTCTGTTTATTCATTATCTCTAGTTCCTAAAATACTTCCTACTACAAAATTTTTGCTTGATATTTATTGATAATTAAACATTTATTCTGCATGCTGAAGGTCAAATATGTAAATAAAATACAACTTCTATGCACCAGGCATTGTGCTAGGCATCCTCGGAACATTCTGTGTATGCTGTTTGTAAAGCAAAATGTTAAATTGATGATTTATTTTTGTTTGATTTGTGATTGCGAAATACCTGAAGACAGAGAGTATATCCTTGTTGATCTTTCTGTCACAGCACCTAGAAAATCTAACAGAGTAGGTGCATGAAAATTTTCTGAATTGAAATACTGGCAGTAATATGGAATTTTTATTGGTATATTTCATTTTAAACCAATTCTAAGTGCTGGAAAAGTTTTACCTTATGGGGTAATTTTTTTTTTTTTTAATATAACCTCACTAATGTCTCCTATTCCATGTGCGGTTCTTACAACATGATGTCAACACTCCTCCCACTGAGTGTCACTGAGGGCCTGTTCATTTCGCTTTATGCCTGTGCAGATCTTTGTGACACTATGTTACCTCTGAGGTCATAAAAATGTCACCTGCTTCTGCTTTGTTCTGTTGGGGTGCCAACTCTGGGAACTTATCCTCCATGTGAAGAGGAAGCTCAAATGAGCCTAAGTGAATAAGCCCTGAGAGTAAATGAGGAGATGCCAATTCACTCTCCAGCTGCCCAGCCCTCTGCTGTTTCAGTTCCAGCCACCATCTGCCTACAACTGCATGAGACCCTGAAACAGAACTGACCAGCCAAGCCTTTCCTGAATTCCTGAGCCACAGGAACTATGAAGATAAGAAAATGGTATTGTTTGAATCCTCTGAGTTATTCAAGTGATTCATTCATTATGTAGCAATACTATCCATAGCACTTTATTAGCCAAAATTATCTCTATAATTTCCCCTCATTAGTCCAAGTGCTAATTTCTCTTTCACATGATACTTGCATCAAATAAATTTGAGAAACTATTGTCTTCTGAATAGATTTAAAGTGGTCATACTTTAGATTTTCTCTTTTCTACAAAAATGAGAAAAACATGATCAGAGGCTAGTATCAGGAACAAAATAATCTTAAAAGCAAAGTATCCTCTTAAGAAGAGTTATTTAGTGTCATACAAGCCATAAAATGGCAATAAACTACTGTGAAGGTTTTTTCTTTTAATAGGTATTGGCTTCTCTACCCAGGTAACCATCTGCTTCATCATATGGTTTGCTATTTGTCATTGAAGAACAAATAAGGCAAAGACTACTAAAGTTTTCTTTGATTTACTGCATTTAAGGCAGCAGTAGATAAGTAGATTCAAAAGAAGCCAGGGCAAGACTATTTTATTTTTTGCTCTGAGCAGGTAGACTATAGAAAATTCAGCAGAAGATAAGGAATGCACACCCAGCCTCAATGTATTCGGCTTCTAACAAATGATCACTGGGGAATGTCTCTGCTTTTAGCACTGCTTCCCCATGTGGCAGGCCCTCGCTCTTCAATACATAAGGATGATAAATGACAACTGTTCATAGTCTAGCTGTTCTCATGTCATGTGCCTCTACAGTTAGGAATGTTGCTAAGGTACTGCTAACCAAAATCCTCCTATTGTTCTCATCTCTTCCGGAAAATCAAGACTTTGGGTAAAGAATTAATAGTTTCTCACTACAAAGGGCTGTAGACCACTAATTTGGCCAAATTGCCTTATCAGTAGAGGTGGAATACAGCAGATTAACTCAGCATATACACTATCATTCTGAATGTTAACCTGTAAAACTATACTAAGACTTCTCGGTAGATTTCTCCTTTCTTTCCTTATCAAATTTCTTTAGAAAACGTTAATTCTAACACAGGACTCAAGACTTACTGTTATACCACTTATAAAAAATTGTCTACACCAGGGATCAGCAAACTTTTTCTTAAAGGGTCAGAAAATAACTATTTTAGGCTTGTGGGGCTATAAGGTCTCTGCATCAACTACTCAACTCTGCAGCTGTATGGAACAAACAGCGATGGGCAATACATAAAGAAATGAATAAGGCTGTGCTCTGGTAGAACTTTATTTACAAAACTGGTAGCTGGCTGTCATTTGCAAATCCCTGGAAGCCATATGAATCTTTTCTGAAATGAAATTAGTTTGGTTAAAGACTTTTTTTCTGACGCACTGAAACTGAGCTTTCCTAAGAGGAACATAAAGTTAACAGAGCAGGAAAAAACCTGCTTTATGGTGAAGAGGTCACTTGAGCTAATCAGTGCAATGGTACAACTACAAACTTCACACAACGTTATTAAAAAAAATAACAAAACAAAAACAGATCTTACTTGAACTTTTTTCTCCCTTCTGCTCTTGCTTCTTCATTTTTAAGAGAACGGTTTCACTAACCAATGTACAGTCCATGTCCACTGTCTCTCCTCCTAATTTTGACTGACTGCCATCCTAAATAAATATTTTAAAAATCAAAAATTTTAACAATTATTCCTTTATGGTCTTATATTTAATTTTTACAAAACATTTTGGTAAAATATACATAACATACATTTTACAACTTTTAAGCATTAAGCTATATTTGCTTTTATACTTTACGAACAGGTAAGGATTTAGGTTTTACTGCTTATAAAACATTTTAGCTTCAATATAATCAAGCCTAGGAAAAGAAGGACTGCTGCCAAGGAAAGGGAGAATTATTTACCACTAAACACCCCTGAACTTTTCCTGCCTTTATTTTCCAATTTGCCTTATAGTAATGAACATCAATGTACACTAAGAACACTTTCAAAAATTAAATTAAATTTCTTGATAGGCATATATTACTCAGCGTATGTTAAATACTTTGTTATTAATATGCTACCAAGTGAAAGAGAACTTCTGAAACTACACAGAAGCTAAATACAAGACAAAAAACTATTTCCACTATGAATTTTAACTTTTAAAAATAGTCAACTTGGAAAATGAATTTTATGGTACATTATTTTAAAGGTAATGAAGACATGATGAATTATTTTAATGAATGATAAAATTATATAAGATATGCAGCATTTTGCATTATTTTAATTTATGAGACAGGGTCTTGCTCTGGTTGCCTAGGCTGGATGTGCAGTGGTGTGATCATACCTCACTGCAGCCTCGAATTCCTGGGTTCAAGGTATCCTCCCAACCTCAGCCTCCCAAGTAGCTAGGACTACAGGTATGCACTGCCATGCCCAGCTAACTTTAAAATTTCCTATAGAGACAGGGCCTTGCTATATTGCCCAGGCTGGTCTCGAATTCCTGGCTTCAAGTGATTCTCTCTCTTCGACCTCCCAGAGTGTTGGGATTACAGGCATGAGCCACTGCGCCTGCCCACTGCATTCTTTTAAAAACTATATTAATATTTTTCAGTAAAGGCCTTTAAAGTCAGAAAGTATTACCCTTTAAAAAATACCATAAAGTTAGAAGAATAAGCATTTTTATTTCTTAATTTTCTGCATAAATACATGTAGGTTTTAAGACGTATCTGATTATCTTAAGGTGATACAGTGAGTCACGAGAGGAGGTTGACTAACAACTCATTGGAATAAAAGTCAAATGAGTTTTGGTTTTACTTTTTAACTTACCTTTGTATCTATTACAGTAACATCCATTTTATACTGAGAAAGGTCTGCTCCCGGATCTATACTCCACTGGATATTTTCAAAGGATACATCTTAGGTAAAGGGAAAGAGCATGCAATTAAAAAACTGATTTCAAAAATTCTCATCACTTTAAAATATTATGGGACCTAAAGAATAGAAAATTTTTGCAAATCATATGTCTGGTAAAGGACTTATATCTAAGATATATAAAGAACTCTCACAGCTCCATAATAAAAAGACAAATATCCCAATTAAAGATGGGCAAAGGATCTAAATAGACAGTTCTCCAAAGAAGATATACAAATTGCCAATAAACATGAAAGGATGCTCAACATCATCAGCAGTCAAGGAAATGCAAACCAAAACCACGAGATGGCAAAAATCAAAAAGCTATAACAAGTGCTAGTGAGGAGGTGGAGATACTGGGACCCTCACATACTGCTGGTGGGAATGTGAAATGGTGTAGCTGCTTTGGAAAACAGGCAGTCTTTCAAAAGGTAAAATGTAGAATTGGCATATGGCCCAACAATTCCACTCCTAGGTATAATCCAAGAAAAATGAAAACATACATCCACACAAAAACCTGTATACAAATGTTCATAGCAGCATTGTTCATAATAGCAAAAAAGTGACAACTTGAATGTCAGCTAATAAATACCTAAAATATGGTATACTTATGCAATAAAAAATTATCCAATAAAAAGAAATAAAATATTGATATATGCTGTAACACAGATAACTGAAAACATTATGCCAAGTGAAAGAAGTAACAAAAGATCATATATTAAACGATTCCATTTATATGAAAACTCCCAGAATAGGCAAATCTACAAAGAGAGAAAGTAGATTTAAGGTGCCTA
The DNA here is from genome assembly GCF_000001405.40 of Homo sapiens. Taxonomy (NCBI): domain Eukaryota; kingdom Metazoa; phylum Chordata; class Mammalia; order Primates; family Hominidae; genus Homo; species Homo sapiens. The sequence continues at coordinate 22,995,584 of NC_000018.10, read as the reverse complement.
GGACTGCAGAGGGTATATGGGGAAGGAAAGTGATGAAAATGTTGTAAACCTAGACTACAGTGATGGTTGTACAACTCTGTGGGTATACCAAACCACTGAATTGAACATTTTAATGGGTGATTTTTATGGTATGTGATTTATATTTCAATTAAAATTTTTTAAAATTAAAAACTATAACATTGATGGGGTTTTCAATATATGTAGATAAAATACACAGGAACTACATAAAGTGTAGTTACAGAACATGAAATAGTACATTAACTCCAAGTAGATTGTAAAAGGCTAAGTAGGTAGATACTGTAATCCCTAGAGCAACCATGAAAAAAATAAAAACAAAAAGCTCAAAAAAAATCATGAATGATAGTGAAAAAAATGTTTTCATATAGAGACTAAAACACTCACTGGAAAAACAACTAATGACTGTGCTTCAGGAAAAAGGGAAAATAAACCCAGAATAAAGGAATAACTTGCCAATGAAGAATACAAGAAAAAATACTGCACTTGAACTACAGAAATGTTTGGTGGCTGAAAAAAAAAATTACTTTTTTAAAGATAGCAGGCTGGGCGTGGGTGGTTCACACCTGTAATCCCAGCACTTTGGGAGGCCAAGGCAGGCAGATGGCTTGAGTCCAGTAGTTCGAGACCAACCTGGGCAACAAGGCGAAACCCAGTCACTTCAAAAAATAAAAAAATCAGCTGGGTGTGGTGGTGCATGCTTGTAGTCCCAGCTATCCAGGGGGCTGAGATGGGAGGATCCACCTGAGCCTGGGAGGTCAAGGCTGCAAGTGAGCCGTGATCATGCCACTGCACTCCAGTCTGGGTGACAGAGTAGGACCCTGTCTCAAATAATAATAATAATAATAATAAAATATAGCAAAATTATGAAAAGATGCCTATATATCTTAAGGCAAACAATTTTTTTTTTCTTTTTTTTTTTTGAGACGGAGTCTTGCTCTGTCACCCAGGCTGGAGTGCAGTGCAGTGGCACGATCTCGGCTCACTGCAAGCTCCACCTCCCGGGTTCACACCATTCTCCTGCCTCAGCCTCCCGAATAGCTGGGACTACAGGCGCCTGCCACCATGCCTGGCTTATTTTTTGTGTTTTTAGTAGAGATGGGGTTTCACCACGTTAGCCAGGATGGTCTCGATCTCCTGACATCGTGATCCACCAGCGTCGGCCTCCCAAAGTGCTGGGATTACAGGTGTGAGCCACCGTACCGGGCCAACAATGTTTTTAAAGGAGTTTAAAAACGTATATAAGTGGCCGGGCGCAGTGACTCACGCCTGTAATCCCAGCACTTTGGGAGGCCGACGCTGGTGGATCACGATGTCAGGAGATCTAGACCATCCTGGCTAATGTGGTGAAACCCCGTCTCTACTAAAAATACAAAAAAAAAAAATTAGCCGGGCATGGTGGGCGCCTATAGTCCCAGCTACTCGGGAGGCTGAGGCAGGAGAATGGTGTGAACCCGGGAGGCGGAGCTTGCAGTGAGCCGAGATCGCGCCACTGCACTCCAGCCTGGGCGACAGAGCGAGACTCCGTCTCAAAAAAAAAAAAAAAAAAAAAAAAGAACAGAAAAATCACCGGTAAAATGTGAGAATCGTCCTATAAATACAGACACCTGAAGGAAGAAATAAGTTTTTTTCCAAAACAATTCAATCTATTTAAAAAAGTAAATAATGACATTCAATCTGAAGTCATTAAAAAAGTGGAGATCCTGTTTATGGTGTACACACCTTGGTTGTTTTGTAGAGACTTTATTTTACCAGTTCTACATGGATTTAACTGAAGAACTGATGCAAGTTCACATCCTCCATGGTCTGACCTGGTTTGTATTTTTATTGGCTCATGAGAACCAGCACTCTAAAACAGAAATAATTGTTAGCTCTAAATGAAATCACAAGCAATCATTTTAATCAAAATCCTTGAACATTTAACACAAACCTTTATGTCATCTAAAACATTCTCAGTCTCCAAACTTTCACGTGGACGTAGAGGAATTTTAAAGACAGCATTTTCTTCTTTTATTTGTAATGATGGTTTATTGTCTGGAGAGCATTTATTCAAGGGCTGAAGGATGATGCATTCCTGTGAACAGGGCTCCCCTGGGGAATCTTTGGGCAACGTGCAGTTGCCATCTGAGGCCTTACGGCTTGAGGAAAAGCCCTTTGGAATGGTCTTCAAAGCCTCATAAAGAGTCACTTGCCTAAATTTGTTTTTAGAAGTCTCACTTCCTTGGCTTTTCTCTTGACGCTGAATAGCTGAAAATCGATCAGACAGATCCAGAGGTTTATCCATCACACAGTCTCCATTCATGGAAAACTGATTATCCATTGGAAAAGGGAAAGCATTTTCTTTATCAAAAGAAGCTTGGGGGCAGCTTACTTCATGTTCACTTTCTTCCTCAGTTTTCTTCCTTTTGGATGTTCGGCCTCCCAATGATTTCAGGGGCTCCAAATGTTTATCAGTGTTAGAATCTTTACCGTACTCAGTCCTATTCTGTTCACCTAGGGATTCACTTATATTTTTATTTATAAGTATCTGTTTATTAGATGACTGGATAATGATCTTGTTCACTTCAGACCCAAGACTGTGATGTGTGAAAAGGGCACTATCTTCAGATTTTGATCTAGTTTTTTCTAATCTAGATATACAAGTGTTGCTAAAAGGGAGTGTTTTCAGATGTTTTTTTTTCCCAGGCTGTAAAAGAGAAGGGGACAAACTTGTATTCAAATCTAAACCACTTTTGATACTAGAGGTAGCTCCAAATACAGGAGATGACACTCGAGTAGGTAATTCTTCTTGAGGAGGAGTCTTTGAAGTAGAATCTGAAAATCTAAATAAAGAGTGATAACAATTCTTTAATACAGAATTAATAGTAAGGTCTTATCTACCTCTTAGAAGCAAATGATTAACCAAAATTTAAGACAAGGTACAGCTTTTGGCTTCTCTTCATTTAGATGACAAAAGAGAAGGGGAAAAGCAGAGGAAAATGACATAGGAAGTATTTCTCAACACCATAATATTCATATTTTAAAAATTTTTCCTAAGTACTTTAAATAACTTTATTATACAAAAAATCATCTTTTGCCAGGCGCAGTGGCTCATGCCTGTAATCCCAGCACTTTGGGAGGCCAAGGTGGGCAGATCACTTGAGGCCAGAAGTTCGAGGCCAGCCTGGCTAACATGGTGAAACCCCATCTCTACTAAAAATACAAAAATTAGCCGGGTGTGGTGGCACACGCCAGTAATCCCAGCTACTCTGGTGGCTAAGGCACGAGAATCACTTGAACCTGGGAGGTGGAGGTTGCAGTGAGCTAAGCCTGGGTGACAGAGTGAGACTCTGTCTCAAGAAACAAACAAACAAAAATCATATTTTAATAAATTCCACTGAGAACCTAAGTTCTTTTGTTACGACATTTGATCATGAGTAACTCCAAGAAACAAAATTCTTACACTACAGAATTGAACATAAATTAAGATTCAGCCTGTCTCTAGCAGAGGAAATATGCGTAGAAAGAGCAGTAAGTTTGAAGATGTGGGCTGGGTAAGATCTCTGGCTCTACCACTTAATAGCTATGTGGCCTGAAACAAGACATTTAACCTTTCTGGAGCTGTATTTTTGTAATCTGTAAAATAAACCCAAAAATTAGGGTAACAAAATCTACTTTAATCAGTTACTAAGATGACAGACTGTGATATACATATATAGATAGATAGATATCTATATATCTAAAAACTGAAAGCTCTTTTAAAAAGCAAAATGCTATATAAATACAGGTACAGTGGCCCTCCTTATCTGTGGGTTCTGCATCTGTAGATTCAGCCATGTGGCTAGAAAATAATTTGGGTAAAAAATCCAAATTTCACAACATTCCAAAAGGCAAAACTTGAATTTTCCATGTGCCAAGTACTATGTTGAATCTTTGCAAATGGATTGATATGTAGGCATTGTATTAGGTATTATAAATAATCTGGAAATTACATAAAATATACAGGAGGATATGCACAGGTTATATGCAATAATGATGGCCATTTTATGTAACGGACTTGAGCATCTTTGGATTTTGGTACCCATGGGGGAGGGGGTCCTATAACTAATCCCCCACTGATATCACGGAATGGCTGTATTATTAGTTAATAGGTATTCTGAAATTAGTAAAAATGAGATGCAACACAATCTTGGAAGCTCATCCAAGCTTCTAGATGCATTTTGTAGAACATCCAGTTTTGGGAAATATAAACCCCGAAGGGATGACTGGCTCTTTAAAGGAGCAGAGTGACAAGTACTGGGAACAAGTACTGCTTGACAGAAACACAGAAAGTAGCTAAAAATGATATCCACCTTTCTACTGTAATGCAAAAAAGCTCTCAATTGGTCAGAAACTAGGGAGACAATTTTTAAAGTAAACATTTATATAACCACAATAACAAACTATATGTTGAAGGAGAGAAATGGCTTAATTATATGAAATTCATTGTAATGGGATCTCACCAATAGCTTATCAGTTTTCACCAACGTGCCCTTAATTACCTTAAACTATCTTCAGTATTTCTTGTAGATTCCTCAAAAGGCTGTTTCTTGTGATTTCCTTCCAGACAGTGGTAGAGCTCATCACCAAGGGGGCTCATGGGACCTTGAGTTTCCTTCAAGAGTAAAATATGAAGCACATCCATGTAATGGGATTTGTTCATTCTTAAAAAGGGATGAAGTACTGATATATGTTATGATGTAGATGAACCTCAAAAATATACTAAGAAGCCAGACAAAGGCCACATAATGTATGATTCCATTTATATGAAATATTCAGAATAGGTAAATCTCTAGGGACAGAAAGCAGATTGGAAGTTGCCAGAGGATGCAAGTGGGAGGTGGAAGAATGAGGGGAGGAGAATGGGGATACATGATTAATGGGTATGAGGTTTTCTTTGAAGGTGATAAAAATGCTTTGGAACTGGATAGAAGTGATAGCTGCATAATATTATGAATGTACTAAATATCACTGAGTTGTACACTTCAAAATAATTAATTTATGTTATGTTAATTTCACCACAATGAAAAATATGAAGCACTTTTTAAGTTTAAAGAGAAAAGCCTCAATGTTTTACACAAGTATATTCTACTCCTTGTATATAAAACTCCAATTCCAAAAAACAACATTAAGATGAGGGGAAGGGAATAGAGATAACTATTCATACTGATAGGAGATGAATTTAAAATAATCCTTTAGAGAACAGTGCTTCTCAATCTTTAACATGCATACAAGTCAACTGGAGATTTTGTTACAATGCAAGTTCAGTAGGTCTGAGATTCTGCATCTCTACCAAACTTCAAAACTGATGCAGATGCTATTGGCCCATGGATCACACGTCAAGCAGCAAGTCATTAGATTTCAGCTCCCTTAATCTATTTGGTGTCTAAGCTGTGACTTGCCAGGTTTATGGGTAGGGGGGAATTAGAAACTATTAAAACACATTCAAAGTTCAAAGGTTAAAAACTACCCATTATCATTTAAGAATGAATTTAAAACTAGAAAGGACAAAAAAATCTATATGTAATGAAAAACTAATTCAATTTTTAGAAATTCAACAGCAAGACAACTTAATAAGAGTACAGCTGGATGTGGTGACTCACACCTGTAATCTCAACACTTTGAGAGGCTGAAGCAGGAGGATCTCTTGAGGCCAAGTGTTTGAGATCAGCCTGGGCAACACAGTTGAGACCCCCATCTCTACAAAAAAAATTAGCTAGGCATAATGGTATATGTCTGTAGTCCCAGCTATTTGGGAGGCTGAGATGGGAGGATCACTTGAGGCCAGGAGTTTGAAGCTATAGGGCTCCATGACTGTGTCTGTGAATAGCCACTGCACTCCACCCTGGGCAACACAATGAGATCCTATCTCTAAAAAACAAAACAAAACAAAACAACAATTCTGAAATCAACCTGAAGGTTTAGGTCTTCTCTTAGATGAGGGCAGGGAGGGGGCATGAGAGAGGGGGAAGGGAAGAAAGTTGACAAAATCTCTATGCCATAATTACTCCCCTAAATTTTGACTCAACCCATATCCCAAGAATTCTAGATTCTACATTTCTGAGACTGCTGGGCTGGACAACAGAAATAGGACTTTCTAACAATGTAAGTTTTGTTTCAGGCCTTTACCCAAGATCTTTAGATAGAACAATTCTCTTGCTTAATTCTCTAAGAACTGACCTAAAAAGACATAAAATTAATTCATGTTATTGCCAAACTAAACAATTACTTACAGATTCTTCTTGAACACCAAGTCCAAGTGTTTCAGCAACAACTGTAGCTAAATTAAAAGATGACTTATCAGGGGTATAGCTGCTTGTTCCATGTGCTTCTAAGAATAAATAATAAACCATTTTAATAAATAATAAAACCAATTTTACAAAACTGTAGAAGCTAGACACATTAAAATGACAAAAGATGAAGGAAAAGGCTCACACTTCATAAGATGGCACTAGACACATTTTAAAATTCTGTGCAAAAAGTCCAAAATACCTACCATAAATGGCAATAAGTTGCAGGTCTATGCGTGCTAAAATTTTTCAAGTAAATTTTATGTTTTTCCTAAATGAACTGAATGCAATAGGTAGATAATTTTTCTTATTGCCACTGGGGAAAAAAATCTTAAAATGGATTTACAGTGGAATTATTGTGACTTATGTTACAGCATGAATATCAAACTATATTTACGCTCTCTTTCATGAAAACATACTTTGTAGGAGAGGTTGTCAGCACTGCATGTTTCAGGTTAAGCTAACACATATTCATAAATCACCTATGTTCTAGTATTTTATAAAGGTTAACTCAAATATTTATGGAGCACTTATTATGTTCCAGGTATTGTGCTAAGCAGTAGATGAAAAGAAAAAGTTCTTGTTCTCAAGGAGCTTATATAGTTGAAAGGTAAAAAGAGAACTGCAATAGAATGTGATAAACATTATAATAAAGGTACATAAAAGGGGTGATTTAAACACAGAATAAGGACTCCTAAATCTCTTCTGGGAAATCAAGGAAAGTTACAAGTGATGCCTAAGCTGACTCGAGAGAAGGAAGAATATGGCAAGTTAACTGGACTGGGGACAGAAAGTAGAATTCTAGGTATAATTAAGGGTCTAGAAAGTGAAACAAAATTGCTTGTTCAGGGAACTACGCGTGGTTTGACTGCTAGAAGTCAAACTACAGAAGATGGGAGTAGGACATGAACCCAGTTAGGTTGGTTAGGGGTCAGGTTATGCTAAGGAGTTTCAAATTTATCCTGTAGACAATGAAGAGATATCTAAGAGTTTTAAATAAAACAAATGCAATGTGTGGGCTGAAAAGGTATTAGTGGCTGTGACACACTCATTAGGCAAGAAGCAATCACTAATAGGCAAGAGGACTAATTAGATTACTAGAACATGTTGTCTTGATGAGAGATGCTAGTAGCCTAAACTAGTATAATAGGGGCACAGAAGAATATGTAAAACAGATATGCAGGAGGTGGAATCAGTAAGACTTAGAGGCTGTTTAGCAAAAACAGATGAAGCAGAAATCTAGGATGACTCAAAGAGGCATGTATAGTGTCATTCACTGAGATTGCAAATGCAAGGATGAAGAGTTGGTTTGACAGGTTAACTGTCAACTGTAGACATGCTGAAGTTGAAGGATATCCCTGTAGAGGTATCCAACAGCAGGTAGATACATTGGTTGGGAAACCAGGAAAAAAGTCGGACAGAGATACAGGTTTGGGATTTATTAGTGTATGAGTCAGAGAAGACTACTGACTGCAGGTGACATTCCTCCAGGAAGAGAGAGAAAGTGAAGCCGGGTACAGTGGTTCACGCCTGTAATCCCAACACTTTGGCAGGCTGAAGCAGGTGGAGCCTGCTTGAGACTAGGAGAGCAAGACCAGCCTTGGCAACATGGTGAAACACTGTTCTACAAAAATACAAATATCAGCCAGACATGGTGGTGTGTGCCTGTAGTCTCAGCTTCTTGAGGGGCTGAGGTGGGAGGATCACTTGAGCCTGGGAGGTTGAGGCTGCAGTGAGCTGTGTTTGTGCCACTGCACTCCAGCCTGGGTGACAGGGACAGACCCCGTCTCAAAAAATAAATAAATAAATAGAGAGACAGAAATAGAACAGGCACAGTACCATATATTTTGGAGAAGAGCAACACTGACGACGTTTACAGTCAGAATCAGTTCCAGTGTAAGGAGTAAGAAAGGGTTTGTGAATGCATTCTCCTCTCTTCAATCCCTGTAAGTCTCCCTCCCTACCTTCCCCTGTACCCCACTCCTCTAGCACTTTTCTCTCTCCTCCCTTCCTCCTTCCCTCCCCCTTCCCTCTCTCTTGCTCTCTCCTCCTCTCTTGCAGGTGGGGGTTGGGGAATAGAATCCATATTACAGTGAGTTGGAGTGAATGGGAATTAGTAAAGTAGAGATATTGAGTATAGACTATTAATACTTTTTCACCTCTGAAGAGAAGCTGTAGCTAAAGGTGGAGATTATTAAAAGGGGGATTATTTTTTAAAGATGGAAGATAACATATATGTGTATATACTTAAGAATAAGCCAGCAGAGAAGCTGCAGATACTGTATAAGGAAGATAGGACAAATAATGGAGCAAAGACCTGGCAGCAGCAGAACAGAATTGGTTCTAGAGAGCTGAGAAGCAAGGATCTGCCACCCTCTGTGTTGTATCCCTAGCACCCTTTGCTGGACCCTGAGCCTCCATGCACATGCACACATACTCATGGACAGACAAACAGACACACATGTTAATATAAAATGATTTGTAGCTTTCAGTATGTAACTTTTACACTATTATAAAATGAATAAGTGATTAACCTTGACCAACCCTCCCAACTGGGCTCTGGATCTCATCTCCTCTGACCTTTTTAAGGATGTAGCAATTGTTCCCTCTTTCTCCAGAATTATTAATTTTCTCCTATTTACTTGATCATCCTATCAACATAAATAAATGCCGATCATGCTATAATATTCCATCTTGAAAAAAAATCCTCCCTTGACCCATGTTCTTCTTTAGCCACTGTCCTGTTCTCTCCTCCTCTTTACTGCAAAATGTCTTGGGAGTACTTGTTTGTGTGTGCTCTTTCCACTTTCTCTGTCCTTAGTTTCCTTTGAACATGAGACCGATCTCAGATGGTCACCATTACACCTTAACAATTTTTATCATGTTACTAGTTTAACACTCAATGATCTACATGCAACCAAATCTCATGGTCAATTCTAAGAAGTCTTCATCTTACTTGACTTATTAGCATTGTTAAACACAGTTGATCACCTCTTCGTCCTCTCTCCACTTGGCTTAAAGGACATCATTTTTAGTTTTCCTATCTCATTGGCAGCTCCTTCTCTGTTTTGTTGGTTCCTACTCATTTTCGCAACCTCAACAGCTACAGTATTTTCTCTAAGGGGGTGAAAAATGGTTCGGGGCAGGGGGGAGCAAAAAAAACCTTACTATGTATAAAGCACAGACATACATGCATACACGTATCACCTAAACAGATATACAGTAGATCTGCAGTAATAAAATTCCAGCAGGGAAGGGACTGGGGGGAGGGGGGAAATGTCTAAAAATGCTGGGGTGGGGGTTGTTCAACAAAAGAAAAGTTGAAAATCATGACTTTACATAATGAAGTTCCCCAAGGCTCAATACTTGGACTTCTTCTTATCCCCATCTATTATCACTTGCTTGGTAATCTCATCTAGTTTCATGGCTTAGATGCCATCTACCTGCTGATGACCTCCATATGTGTCTCCATCCTCAACTTCTCTAAATTCTAACTCACATCTACTCATGAATCCAAACTCTACCTGAATGTTGAGTTTGCATTTCAAACAGAATATTACCGAAACCAAACTTCTAATTTTAACCACCCCCGCCCCAACCTATACACCTGCGGCTCCCAGTCTTCCATCTCAGTAAATGGTAACTCTATTTTTCCTGTTGTCCAAACCAATCTCCCCTTTACTCACTCTGCTCCAGCCACACAGGGTTCCTTAATGTTCCTCAAACAAACCAAATGGCATCTTCACTGCAAAGCCTCCGGGCTTGCTAATTTCTCTGCCTGGGTGCCCTTCTCCCAGATAGCCACGTGACTCACTTCCCTCCCTCAGTCCCTATGCAAACATCACTTTACAAGTGAGGCTTTCTAATATCCCTTCTTACCCTGCTTTACTTTTCTTCAGAGCACTTGCTTCTATCTGACATAAATTTTATTTCTCCCTCAACTAGATCATAAGCTCCATGAGGACAAGGGCTTTGTTTTATTCAGTGCCTGGTATACAACAGATGCTTCAATATTTGTTGAACAAATAAGTAAATCACAGTAAAGCCTTCTTTACTTAAAATTATTAGTAATTTATATTAATATGATTAGGGATATTTATATGAATAGGATAACATTACTTTCCAATATGAAAAAGATAGTAAACTAGTAATATAAACAAAATTATATGGAAAATACCTTTAAAATATTGTCTAAGTTAGACTGTGGGTCACTGTTACCCACCAATAACCACAATTTTAAACTTGTAAAGTAATCTCAGTATCTTGCTTACTGGCCATTGGAGATTGACTTTGGTCATAAGTGTCAGCTACTAGAATTTCATTTTCATTAGGATTATGTTGTGGATGAGTTGAAGACTTGGAAACTTTTCTCATTTCTAAGGGGAGAAAAAAATAAGAGATTACACAATAAACAATGATGATGAAAAGCATTATCAAATTATTTTTATTTATTCATATTTAAAATTTTTATGTATTATCTGTATTTAAATCCAATATAAGTACTGTTTTATTGACATAATTATCATATTCTAAGAAGTAAGCTCCTTTAATTTCACTAAGAAACAAAGCTGTTTAAGTTAAGACATTGGGAGAGAGGGGACTAGAACAGACAGCTTCTTCTAACCCAAATTGCCTAGAGTAGTAACATTTTAGTGTTACTTCTCTTTTTATATTTGTTACAAATCAGCAGGTTAATTTAAAAAGGTATACTGGGCTGGGCACAGTGGCTCATGACTGTAATCTGAGCACCTTGGGAGGCTGAGGCAGGAGGATCTCTTGAGCCTAAAAGTTCCAGGCTGTAGTAAGCTACAGATCACACCACAGTACTCCACCCTGGATGACAGAGTGAGACCCTATCTCAAATAATCAATCAATAAACAAATGATCAATCAATCTAATGTATACTATATCATTTATCTCCATGATCTTTGTTTTAGAGTTTCTATTTTCGGGAAGGAAACTCTGAAGCATGCTTTATCAGAAATCACTCCAATATTTAAAGATTTAGTTCAAAGAAAACCAAAATAAGGACAAGGTAAAGTGAAATGGTTTTACTATTTATAACTTGAGAGTAATATTAAAAAGCATTATAAACCTTAAAATAAGCAAGCAAGGGAAGTTAGAGAACAGGACTAATTAGTCATTAAAGCATTTAAAATTATTATTATTATTATTATTTTTGAGATGGAGTCTTGCTCTGTTGCCCAGGCTGGAGTGCAGTGGCATGATCTCAGCTCACTGCAACCTCCACCTCCAGGGTTCAAGCAAGTCTCCTGCTTCAGCCTCTCGAGTAGCTGGGACTGCACGCGTGTGCCACCACGCCCAGCTAATTTTTTATATTTTTAGTACATACAGGGTTTCACCATGTTAGCCAGGATGGTCTCGATCTCCTGACCTCGTGATCCACCCACCTTGGCCTCCCAAAGTGCTGGGATTACAGGTGTGAGCCACCGTGCCCGGCCTTAAAATTATTTTAAAATCATTTGTATGGCTCAAGGTTATCGTACATCTTAAAACCAAATTTCAGATTCCAAGTAAAAAATGATCAGAACAAGGTTAAAGCAAGTGAATTAAATTTCTAAATAGTTACATGCTGCTTTCATACAAAGAAGAAATAAACCAGAAGCATTTATATTGGTTACAAAAGACTTTCCTAATATGGAATTGTTTTCTAGATATTCTTATTTGTGAATTTAAACCTGATGTAAATTATGCAGTGATTATCTTTAATGATTCATGTCCTGTCTGATAGCAAACTAAAAGGTCAACGGATATTCATTTTAGATCTATGATTTTACATTTTAACTTAGCTCCTATTTAAGTGTAGGATTTTTAACAGTTCTTTTGTTTTCCACTAGATGGTGATACAAACGCTTATAAAGTGGGGGAAAACTGTCAATGTTCCAACATCTAAGAATAAGATCTGCTTATTTGTTTAAAGGCATATTTACTGTCAACAATTTATTTGTATTATACAAATATAGTAGTACATATATATCCCCCGTCCCCCATGCTTTCCTTGTTGCAAATAGTTTAGGTTAAAAATTAAAGTCTTTACTGTTTGCTTTAGATTAATACTAAAAGTAATACTTGTATCATGGCACATAACAAATTTTGGGACTATGTGAAAAGACAGTTTTAAAGCATTTAGCAGAAATGATAAACTAGGCTGGAATTAGAAACATGTCACTGAAAAGCCACAAAGTGTACATATTATAACACCATTTCTTGATTACCACTAACTCCTACAAATTACAACAAATAAAAATAGCCAGTTACAGACAGCTCCAATGGCAGGAGTACCCATGTGGCAAGACCTGGAGAGTAGGAAAGTTCAGAGCTAAGAAGATCTGTATTTGAATTTTGACTCATCTACATAATAGCTGACCTTGAGTGAGTTAACCTTTCTAAACATATCTTTCCTCATCTATAAAACAAAAGAGCTGATAGTTATCTCACAAGCCTGTTACGAGAATTAAAACATAGCAATAATACATGCAAATCACTCAGCATAATACCTGGTACACAGGAGGTAGAAATTAACATTAAGTTCCTTTCCTTTTTCCTTCTATCCCACTTGGATATATACACATAGGAATATTTTTAAAATAAAAAGAAAAAAGAAACTATTTACTACATTTATAAAATATGGTATATTTACATGTCATATAGATGACACGTATCTATACATAACACGGGCAGAAAACGCCTTCTCAGTCACTTTACAAATAGAAGTTAAACTCATAGTTGTACCATGGGATACCAGAATAGTGACTATCTTCTTATCACTAGATTGAATAACATAAAAACTAGTAGATGAACACTGGTTTACAAAACCAGAGAACTAAAATACAACTCCAACTCTTACCATTTGCACACACAGAGTGCTCCAATTTAGTATGTGTTTGTTCTATGTATCGGACATGGGGGTTCTCCTTTCTTCGTAGCCGGTTAACGCCAGAAAATGAGAAGGCTGTTATCGGTGAATCTGGAATAACGTCTTCCTCACATTCAAGCTCAGCTGCTTGATGCTGTTGATCATTCCTAGAGAAGAATGACAATGGAAAGAAAATCAATTCAATGAGTATTAAAACATTTACTACATGGCATGGAGTTACAGTAGAACACAAACATGAAGCTCTAAGGGATGTAATCCCTTGCATCTAATGTTCCAAACCTAAGTAGATAAGTACACGAATGATTACAGTACCCAGTGGGAAATACTATGTGAGAAGTGAAGTAGAAAGTATAGTCAATAGCACTTCAGGTGAAATTAAAAGTATTTCAAATTGCAGACAAGATCAGGAGAGAACCCACAGTCTGAGGAAAGGCATGCAGTACTGTGTACTTATGTTGGAGAAGGGAAAGCTGGAATTACATGAACGAGAGCCATGAGCTCAATGTGCACATAATGTAGAAAGCAAGAGGAAAGAAATTAAGGTTTTAGAGCTTGGATATAATGTGACAATCTAACAGTATTGTGCAAGATTGGGACAGAAGGACAGGAGGCAAGGAAATCAATTAGTGGCTATAATAGTCCAGGCAAGCCGCTCTGTCTGCGGTCTGAACTAGAATATTTTAAGTACATATGGAAAGGAAAGAACGTTAAACATCATGGTAGTAGAATTAGCATGCTTGACAAATACAGGATGAGAACACTAACAATGATAACAACCAATTTTTGTTATGTGTTTACACTGCCCGGCACTATTTAAATTATGAGTTTAATTATCACAACTCTGTGAGGTATTACTACTTTCATTTTACAAATGAGGAAATGAAGATACAGAAGTCATTTACTAAAATAGTAACAGAGTCAGGATTTAAATCTCAGCAGTCAGACCCTAACAATAACACATTGTTAACCAAATGTGTTATCCATAGTCTACAAGAAGGCTTCAAAATTTGAGTTTCTGTTACTGCTTTTATCTAGGCCCCCTTATAGTCTACTCTCAACAACAGTCACAAGAGTCCTATTAAGAGATAAATTGGGGCCGGGCGCGGTGGCTCACACGTGTAATCCCAGCACTTTGGGAGGCTGAGACGGGCAGATCACAAGGTCAGGAGATCGAGACCATCCTGGCTAACACGGTGAAACCCTGTCTCTACTAAAAATACAAAAAATTAGCTGGGTGTGGTGGCAGGTGCCTGTAGTCCCAGCTCCCGGGAGACTGAGGCAGGAGAATGGCGTGAACCCAGAGTCGGAGCTTGCAGTGAGCTGAGATCGTGCCACTGCACTCCAGCCTGGGCAACAGAGCGAGACTCCGTCTCAAAAAAAAAAAAAAAAAAAAAAAAAGACATAAGTGGCTCACACCTACAATTCCAGCACTTTGGGAGGCCCAGGCAAAACCCTATTGCTACGTACAAATATATTAAAAAATTTGCCAGGCGTGGTGGCACACACCTGTAGTCTCAGCTACTTGGGAGGGTGAGGTGGGAGGGTTGCCTGAGCCCAGGAAGTCGAGGCTGCAGTGAGCTATGATCATGCCACTCCACTCCAGCCTCGGCAACACAGTGAGACCCTGTCTCCAAAAAAAAAAAAAAAAACCCCAAAAAGACTTAAGTCATATGGATGAAATCTCATGAAAACCCTGTCACATCTGCTCATTTCACTGAGAACACAAGCCAAAGTCCTTTGATCCATGAAGATCCTACATGACCTGATGGTGCCCCTCCCATTTTTCCTCTCTGACCTTTTTTCCTATTATACTCTACTCCTGCCACACTCTCTTCCTTGAGGTTCCCCAAACACACCAAGCATACTCCCACCTTAGGTTCTTTGCACCAATTGTTCCACCTGCTTGGAATGCTCATCCCCAGATACCTACATACCTAATTATCTCTCTAATCTCCTTCAAGTCTGCTGGAATTTTACCGTTTAAAATTGCAACCTCCCTTCACACACCCTAGTACTCCTGTTCCCTGTTATTCTGCTCTATAAACTTTATCCACAGCATTTACTGCTTTTTAACATAGTATGCAATTTACTCATTTTTATTTATTTAGATTTTTTTTTGAGTCTGAGTCTTGCTCTTTTGCCCAGGCTGGAGTGCAGTGGTCCAATCTCGGCTCACTACAACCTCTGCCTCCTGGGTTGTAGTGATTCTAGTGCCTCAGCCTCCTGAGTAGGTGGGATTACAAGCGTGCAACACCATGCCTGGCTAATTTTTGTATTTTTAGTAGAGACAGGGTTTCACCACGTTGGCCAGGCTGGTCCCAAACTCCTGACCTCAAGTGATCCACCCGTCTCGGCCTCCCAAAGTGCTGAGATTATAGGCGTGAACCACGGCGCCCAGCTGCAATTTATTTATTGTATCTATTGCTCACCTGTTAGAATATAAGTTCTAAGAGGATGGGATCTTTGGTTAACCGATGAATCACAAGAGCCTACCACAGTAGACATACAGTAGGTATGGCGTAAACATTTGTTGAGTGAATAGGAGACATTCCCAGATTCCACTAGAGAATAAATTTGTGTGGATCTAGGCATATGTTCTTGCCCAACTCAATTCAGGATCAACTGTAACTGAAAGATTGGGTTTGAATTGAATTGTGAATGTTGAGTAAAAATAAAGTTAATTGACTTTCCCATGTCAAACCATTACTGACCTTATTTGCCAACCAATTGTTACCAGTCTGTCAGACATTTAGGCTTTACATGACCAAATCAGTCTGTCCTATTAGACTCGTATCAACTTGCAATACTATTTCCAAATAAAAGCTTATATAGTGAGAACTGTATGAACTATGACCAACAGAGATTTTTAAGAAACATTAATTGGAAGACAAAGACTAATTTTTCCCAAAAAAGATTTACACTTTAATTTCCTGAATGATACCAATATTATTTGTAGGCTTTAATCCTACATTTTATACCAAGGAACAATCTTTAGAGCTAATGTCTAATTATTTAAAATTTTTTAAATTTTAAATAAAATAAACATAAACATAAAATAAAATAAACATAAAATTATTTAAAATTTTATTTTATGTTTTTGAGACGGAGTCTCCTTCTGTTGCCCAGGCTGGAGTGCAGTGGTGCGATCTCAGCGCACTGCAACCTCTGCCAGGTTCAAGTGATTCTTGTGTCTCAGCCTCCCGAGTAGCTGGGACTACAGCTGCGCGTGCAACCATACCTGGCTAGTTTTTGTATTTTTAATGGAGACAGGGTTTTACCATGTTGCCCAGGCTGTCTCAAACTCCTCACCTCAAGTGATCTGCCCACCTTGGCCTCCCAAAGTGCTGAGACTACAGGCATGAGCCACTGTGCCCAGCCAAATTTTATTTTTAATTGACAAATAATAATTGTATCTACTTACTGGGTTCAACAAAATGTTTTGATACATGTTTACAGTGTAGAATGATTAAATCAAGCTAATTAACATCTATCACTTCACACACTTATCTTTTTTTTGTAGTAAAAACATTTAAAATCTACTTGGCAGTTCTGAAATATACAATCATTATTAAGTCACCATTCTGTGCAATAGATCTGATATCTAATTTTTTAATCTCTTCCTGTAATTTTCTTATTCTGGAAAAACAGTAAGTTAAAGTCATATGAGAAAGGCTTATAAATTAATGGAGTGTGAAATCTATCTGACCTAGCTTTAACTAATCACGTCACAGCCTGCTTGCCTATTAGTCATAAAAATTCCACCTGAAACATGAATGAGTCACGAGAAGCAATTGATTTCCTGGCAGAGTCAATGTGGAAGAAGCTGGGATCACAAAAGGAAAAAACAAAAAAACAAACAAAACTAGCTCTAACTAGAGGTGCCCAAACTAAGTAAATGAGTGCTGGCTTTGTCTTCCTTTGTCATAAAAGGAAAAAACAAAACTCCATATGTTAACCAAGTTCATCCTTTAAAACACTAGTCTCACTGATTTTCTGAGAGAAAGAGTTCACGTCACAGCTTTTGGTTAAATTAATTATGCACACTTGTCCTCCTTTCACTTTTCCTTCTGATGGCTTGAGCTGTTTGATTTATGGACCTCTGCTCCCTCTTAAACTCCTGTCAAAACTGTTTTAGTTGGTTTCTTCCCTAAAGACCTATAATTATGGATCTGGGGTTTCCCTTCATGAGTCTGTAAAAAAGTTTTAAATATTCAGCTTTTTTCCTTTTCTACTCTGAAGAACTTACATTTCCAGTTAAAACATAATTTAAACTTAACGAAGTAACATTATAGCCATTGTAGGGGAGGTGGCAGTACTGCTCCACTGATCAGGCTATACCTAGAATATTGATTTCTTAATTCAGATATTGACGAACTAAAACATTTTTAAAAATTCACAGTTTGAAGAGTTGAAGTAATGCCACATGAATGAACAGAGGATATTTAATGCCACAGTTAATGAACAGAGGATATTTACTCTAGAGAAAACAAGACTCAGGAGGGCCATGATAGCTGTCTTCATGTATCAAAAGAGTCGTCAAGTAGCACAGGAGAAGAGACTTGCTTAAGATGGTCCTGGAAGGCAGTCATAATCAAGAAATATAACTTATAAGCAGTGTAATTTCTATAAACTTAGAATTTTCTAATAATTTTGTCTCACTAAATTTAAATAGGCTTGGGAAACAGTAAACTTCTACTAGACGTGTTCAAACAATAGCTATTTGTTAAAGAAGCTGTATAAGGAATTCAATTTAGAAGAGGGTTGAATGCAATGAGTTCTACAGTCCTTTGAACTCTTACGTGTATAGACTCCCTTGACTTTCACTGACCCATCACATCTATTTTCTAAAACGAAAAGAATGATGACCTCAATACCTAGCTTTATACACATTTTTAACTTTATAGTGGCAAAATTTTACTGAATAATTTTGGTGTCACTAATAACTGCCCTATCATATAAGCCATCTTGTAACATCAAAACTAGCTCAGAAGAGTTAGAGTTACTGCATTTAACAAGCAGAAGTCAAATAATATTTTCTTCTAAAGTTCAGGGAAATTTCAGGCACAAATAGCATAATATGACAGTGGTTTAGGTGATCAGAGAAAATTAGGTTGCCTTTACAAGATGATACTTGCTTTTTTAAAAACAAAACAAAACAAAACAAAACTGCTGAGCAAAATGCAATTTCTTTGCGACCAAGCTACAGAAGAAGTTGGTTCATGAGAATCACAACTATCTTATATTTCAGAAGAGAATAAAAGACACAATCAGATCATCTCCTATACTCTTTTGACTAAGCATGTCCTAAATAAACATACATGCCTTAAGCTCATCTATATGATTACTCTTTCCTGTAATTTCAAACTTTAGCCTTCACTTCTTTTCTAAAATTTGAATTTCAACAGGAAAAATGCATGTGCTTGAGAACACTAAAAATAAATTCTAAACTAATTAGAATTCATATTTCTACCAAGCAAATGACACGATATAGTTTCAACCTAACTTATACACATTGGTTTTTGAGGCAATCGTCTATCTAATTCTGTGTTAACTTCTACACACTTGGTATCTCATCCCTTTGGTACTCATAAAGATCAAGGCTGATGTGTTCAAAATACCATAAGCTACGTACATACATAATCACTTCACATAAATTAATGTAGGTCAACAATCACTTATCTAAAATCCTTGGAACCAGACGGGATTCCAAATTCATATTTTTTAAAAAAAATGAAAGTAATACAGTAATACAGAACATATATACATAATTACATAACAGCTCCAGTGGAGTCTGAAGCATCATCCTGTAATCAAACACATTGATATTTTCACAGCAAAACATATGAATACTCACATGAAGTGGGATAAAGACTATAAACAGCATTCTGCCATTGCAGTGAGGTTAGGTTGTGAACAACATTTCAAAAATAACCTTTTGGGTTTTGGAATTCTATGTAACAGATTGTGGATCTGTGTCCTGTGTTCTCTCTTCATTATACAGCATTATTAAAATTAGAAAGTGTTGACATTTTCTTACAAACATTTTATAACATCAGTCTGATCTCATAGGTTCCTTTCCTCATCTGACTATTATTTCTCCTCAAAATTCCCTTTGGCTATCAGTATTCAGTAGACCAATCACATGGGAGGAATATCAGAATTCTATTGGATATCCATTATCCTAAAAGTATACCAGTAAGAATGATAATTCTACTTGTGAGATGTGTTCATACAAAAATAACTATTCTAAGCCAAAATAATGTTACATCTACATAGTTTTACTGAAGTTTTTGTAGATGTCTACTTAAACGCAACAGGATCTTTAGGAACGCTATAACGCCATTAGGATTATCCTGAATCCTAAGTTTTCAAAAATAGTATATAAGCTTTATATAAATGGGAACTAAAAGTTAGTCATATCTCTGCTCTGCTCTGCATTAGTCAGATCATATCTAGAAAAATATTCTTCTTTTGAGACAGTGTTGGATAATGGAAAGAAAAGAGGCTTTTCAGAAAAAATATGGGTCTGAGTGACAGTCCTATTACCTACCAGCTGTAAGACGACAGGCAAGTTATTTGACTGTGACCTTTGGTTTCCCCATTTGTAAAGTGGGGATAATAAAACTACTTTGCAAAGTCACAGTGAGAATTAGAAATAATAAACATAAAACACAAGAGGAAGTGGCACACAAGATAAAAGTTACTGGTTTTATTCTTTAAGAGAAATGGGGAGAAAAGGGAGAAAAACAGAGGAAGGAAGAAGTTCTACAGGCCTGAGTACTATATAAGAGGAAACACTTATTCAGTTTGCCCTTATGAAGCTTCTGGGACAGGGCTGGAAGGGAGCTAACAAAACTCAAACATCTGTTTGAAATATAAGTATTTTAATAATGTATTATTTATAATAAATCATTATAAAAATTAAAATGTTTTAATTACAATGTTGACACTTTCTTCAAGCACTAATCTAAGAGATGCATTCACACTATACTCTCAAAACACAAAAATGTAGTGATTTTCTTTGTATTTTTTAACTACAGAACACTTCATAATTTTTAAAATGAAATCTGCAACTCTTACAGTTATCTTCATGGTTTGTATAGCTAAATAAAATAAAATAACAAGGTTGGAGGAAAATACTTACTCAATTTTCTGCTGGAGTTGTTCAGAAAGCTTTTTATTTTCTTCCTGTAGAGTATTCCTTTCATTCACTTAAAAACAATGTGAAAAAGAAGGCAAATAATATATTTATATTAACATCTATGTTAGGCTTTCAAATAAAATATGTCAGCATGTATGAAGAAATTAGTACTTCTAATCCTAAATCATAATGTTTATTCAGGGTTAACACTAGTGTGCGCAAAACTAATTCGTTACTAGGTAGGGAGTACTACATCTCACACCGTGCCAGTTCCATGTAACTGATTAACTGATAATTTTATGTAATGCTTGCAGGCAAAAGAGGGTACTTCATGTACTAGGGAGTATAATTATACATACTGAGGACAAGAAAGCATTCCATCTGGTTACTCAGTCCTACTAATTTCAAATACCATTTTAGCAAGAGTCTCTATCTTGAAATTAATTTGATCATAAAAATAAAATAGGCCAGGCGCAGTGGCTCACAGCTGTAATCCCAGCACTCAGAGGCGGAGGTGGGTGGATCATTTGAGGTGAGGAGTTCGAGACCAGCCTGGCCACCATGGTGAAACCCCGTCTCCACTAAAAACACAAAAATCAGCCGGACATGGTGGCGCATGCCTGTAATCCCAGCTATTCGAGGTGGAGGCAGGAGAATCATTTGAACCTAGGACGCTGAGGTTGTAGTGAGCCAAAATAGTGCCACTGCACTCTAGCCTGGGTGGCGGAGAGTCTCAAAAACAAAACAAAACAAAACAAAAAAACACCAAAAACGCTGAATATCAGTGTAATTTTTATAACAAGCACATTTATCAAATCAAATTTTCTTCTTAGTCATACTCTAGGTTTCATGAATAATTATGGTTATCAGTAACTTAAATATATCCATTGAAGAGTATCTGTTTGTTTGAATCTCCACCAAATTTTCCTATCTGTATTTATTTAATTTGTAAAGCAGAAATCCAGTTTTGGGCTGTAACTTCTACTGGAACCAGCATAAAACTCTCATCAATGCTTAGTATGATGTCACTGGTTAAGCATGTGTTTTAGCAAAAGAAGTGGATCCCAGAAATCAGGTCACAGTAAATACAATCAACTTTCACCAAAGAAGGTTAATTGTACTCTAAAATTTGTTAATAATTTAGTGGTTTATAAATCTAAACATATTTTCTTACACTGAGTAAATTTTCTGGACTATCTACAACATGTGAGGTTATTAAACTACTTTCGTGGAGGATCCAAAAAAATTAAGATATAGACAGTGACCTAAAGCAATGTGCAGTCTAACAAAGGAGACAAGATACTACATAAACATGTTTTATAGGTTTAAAAGTGACAAGGGCAATCGAGAAGTACAAATAAAGTACTAAGGAAATTTCCAAGGAGAAAGAGGTTACTTTGGGCCCTTGAGAAGATCAGGAAGGCATTCATCAAAAAAAGGGCAACTGAGCTGGACAGGAGATTATTCTACAGAGAGAATCAGTGGAACAAAGACTGGGTATAATAAACGGTAGAAAGTTTTCAATAGCAGGTTAAGAAATTAAAACTTTATCTTATAGATTACCAGGAATCATTTTTTATAGATGAATGATGGGAAGACTGATTTGTTAGTACATATAGCATATACCAATGTGAGAAGAAAGTATTGACAAGACAAAAAGTCAGGTGGTCATTAAAAGAAATGAATATCTGGACCTATGTAGAGGTGGATAAACAGGAAGTAAAGACCAGTAGAAGAACTGTAACAGAGGCAGAATCATAGTATTTGGCAACTCATCCTTTGTAGGGTTCACAGAAGTCAAAGATGACCTTAGATTTCTGATTAAGATGGTTTACTTGATTTTCCCTCTCCAAATCCAAATAAAATGACAACACTCTAAAATAAGTCTACTGCAGTATTAAAAAGCCAGAAAGGGTGTCACTAACAGATCAGAACTATAAAAAATTTCTGAATTATTTAAAAATAGGCTCAGATTGATGGTAAAATCCAATGAAAAAGGGCCTTTAAAAAAGGGAGTATTCTTAGAAGAATCTCATACCAATTCTAGTATCAGAGGCAACATGGCCCACAAATTGCTAAACGGGTAAATAAAAGGTGCCTAATAGTTGCCCTTAGGCTAAAGTCATGAGGATAGATCTCTAAAAGTTTTGACGTAGGAGTCATTAATAAATACCGAGACAAGAAAATCAGAGCAGTGCTCCCAAGTAATTTATAGTAGACACAAGAAAAGGCGCTTTCACGCTCAGAAGACCAACTATCCATACGGAAAAGCTCTCTAGCAAGGTGTCTTTCCCTCCCATTTTCAGTCATTAGAGTAGGGTCCCTGTAAGATTTATTATCAGCAAAGCAAGGATTCTCCCTTGGGCTAATTGAAAGGTAATTTTACTTAAAGGTAATTTTTTAAAAAAATATCTAGCTTGTAGGGCTAAAAAACCCCAAAACTATACAGAAATGAAATACTGGGCAAGAGCAGAATGTAAGTGGAGAAGATCATCAAAGTTAAGTGCTTTAAAATTCTTATATTATTCGGAAGAGAATTAAGATATTAACTTTAAAAATGCAAAGCGGATCAACCGAGGTTAGGAGTTCGAGGCCAGCCTGGCCAACATGGCAAAACCCCATCTCTACTAAAAATACAAAAATTAGTCGGGCGTGGTCGCACGTGCCTATAATCCCAGCTACTGGGGAGGCTGAGGCAGGAGAATTGCTTGAACCCAGGAGACAGAGGTTGCAGTGAGCCGAGATAGCATCACTGCACTCCAGCCTAGGAGACAGAGCAAGAATCCATCTCTAAAAAAAAAAAAAAAGAAATAAACAAGATTCAAAGCATCCCAGCTAATTCTTTGATTTTTTTTTTTTTTTTTTTTTTGAGAGGGAGTCTCGCTCTGTCGCCGAGGCTGGAATGCAGTGGCGCAATCTTGGCTCACTGCAATCTCTGCCTCCTGGGTTCAAGCAATTCTGTTTCAGCCTTCCGAGTAGCTGGGATTACAGATGCCTGCCACCATGCCCGGCTAATTTTTGTATTTTTTTTAGTAGAGACGGGTTTTCACCATCTTGGCCAGGCTGGTCTTGAACTCCTGACCTTGTGATCCACCCACCTCAGCTTCCCAAAGTGCTGGGATTACAGGCGTGAGCCAACGCGCCTGCCCTAATTCTTTGGATCGTAACAGAACCTTGCTGGCAGAAAAACTGAATGAACAAAATGATGATTTAAATGTATGTTCCCCAATTAAAACATTAACATATCAAGCCTGTCTGTTTTAGAAATTAAACACTGGGGCCAGGCACGGTGGCTCACAACGGTAATCCCAGCACTTTGGGAGGCCGAGGTGAGCGGATCACGAGGTCAGGAGTTCAAGACCAGCCTGGCCAACATAGTGAAACCGCTTCTCTACTAAAAATACAAAAAATTAGCTGGGCGTGGTGGTGGGCGCCTGTAATCCCAGCTACTTGGGAGGTTGAGGCAGGAGAACTGCTTGAACCTGGAAGGCAGAGGTTGCAGTGAGCAGAGATGACGCCACTGCACTCCATCCTAGGTGAAAGTGTGAGACTCCGTCTCAAAAAAAAAAAAAAAAAAAAAAGAAATTAAACATTGGTTCACCCTAGAAAAGCTATCAGTAAAACTTACTACATGAACAGATGCTAAGAGTTTTATAAATTCACAATTAAGCAAAACTTGGCAAAAGAGGTACAGAAAGAAATATCCATAACTTAATTTCACGTATCTACTAGAAGGCCACAGCACACTTAAATGTAATATAGTCTAGTCTTCCCTTATGTATCAACTGCTATTCTGGGCAGTATTCTAAAGCCCCTTAGGCCAATAAAGTATGTAAAGAAAAACAATCACCAAAAGAAACTGTAAAAATAATTGAAAGAAAAGACGAAATTGTCACTATTTGCAAATATTTTTACCTAGACAATCTACAGCAAAATAAAGCTAATGAAAGACCTCAGAAATCCTTAGTCATCTTCCAATGATGGAGTGAGTGGGAGGGTCGGGGTGGTTCCTGGCTAGTGAGACTGAAGCAAAAGTTATTGGGTGGGTGTTCAAAGAAGCTTTTTTTTTTTTTTAAAGACTCTCCTGGCATGCTCATTTCAGCCTTTTGCTGCTGCTTCTTCCTTCTTGTATGAATGCAGTTACGAGGCCTGAAAAAGTACCTGCCATCTTTTGACTGTGAGACAGTAAGCTTGAGGATGAATGCCTGCAAATTCTAAAGATGGTAAATTTCTACTTCACATTCCATGTTAAAAATTCCAGATGGATTAAATATGCAAATTTACGTGTGTGTATTTTTATATTCTTGGGGATAGAGAAAGCCTTCCTAAACAAGGTAAGAAAATATACAAAACTTCCACTTGTCAAGTAGTTATAAAATGAAGTCAACAGGTAATGGCAAAGTAGAAAATATATGCACAGCATATCTACCAAAGTGTAATAATCCTTCCATAATATATAAATAACTCTTAGTTATTCACTAAATTAAAAGATACAAACAGCAAATAGGGCAATTTAAGACTGGGCAAAGAATAAATAAGCCATTCACCCAAGAAGACGATCATATAAAATAATACTTGACTGGAACAGTAACAGGGAATGCCAATTTTAAAAAGGTATCATTCTTCACCCACCAGATTGAATATTATTAATACATTTTTGCCCAAATCTGAAGAGGATGTAAGAAAATAAAAATTCTCAAACATTCAAACAAAAAGTTGAGCAGTCCATTAAAGTGACAATAGCTAAAAAATTGACACCTATACTATGGCATACAATGCAGCCATTTAAAAAAACGTTGTCTTATACTTTAACACCTAGATAAGCTTTTTTGCTTGCTTGGAGTTTTTGGCTCTATTTTAGATAAAGTTGCTGGAAATCTATTAGATATGTAGACATTATTGGAGATTATTTCCAGTAGTACTAACAATAATATTACTGTGGATCTCAACTACAGTTGGCCTTCTATATCTGTGAGTTCTAAATCTGTGGATGGGAAACATTTGGGAAAAAAAAATTCTACAAAGTTCCAAAAAGCAAAACTTGAATTTGCCAGACACCGAATACTACATTTAATTCACACAAATGAAGTGATGCGTAGAGACTGCATTTGGTATTATAAGGAATCTAGAGATGATTTAAAGTATGCAAGAGAATGTGGGTAGGTTATATGCGAATACTATGTGACTTTATATAAGGTACTTGAGCATCCAAGGATTTTGGTATGCGTCAGGGTCCTGGAACCAATACCCTACAGATGACAAGGAACAACTACATATTTATTGAGATGTAACAATTTTCTACTCATTGATAATATTCTTACATTCCTAAATAAATGTATGCACACGTTCACCCATATACACCACAGAATCTATAGACATATTAACATGTAAAGACTTCCAAGACATAGTCTAAAGTGAAGTAACACATTAGAACACAAAGTATGGTATGATAACATTAAAATTCAAAAGAGAAGGGAGGGAAGCGGGGTCTAACAAGGCACAGAGACAGAAAAACCTGGACCTGGACAGATATGTATCAGACTATTAACAGTAGTTACCTCTGGGAGCAGAATAAAGCTATATTCTTTCTTACCTCTTTTAAAAACAATGAGCATATATTCAATATTCTTGCTTGAATAACCACAGGGTAGCAATATAATTAACAGAAAAAAATAAAAGACAGAATTAGTTTGGAAAAGAAGATAATTAATTAGATTTTGAATATATTGATTGTGAGTTGCTTATGGGAAATCCAGGTAATGGTCACCAAAAGAAATAAATAGTTATAAGAGAATAAGGTTAACAGAAGTATTAAAAGAATAAAAGAAGGCGGCTAAGAATGTAGAAAAACTCTACACTCAATAGGTAAGGAGAATAAACTGAAAATAGTATACTTATGAAAACAGTATGTCATAAATACCAAGAGAGAAAACAAGTGTAGAACAATAAATTGTCTGCTTTGTATTTAACTTTACTAAGTATTAAGGTTACATGAAATAAAGATTAAAACCAAAGAAGCAAATATGGACATGTCCAAAAAAAAAAAACACCACCTGCTTCTTGTCTTACAACTGATGACTTAAGACCAATGTGGACAGTATTTGCACAACCTTTTTGTACCCTATTTCTTACTAAATTAAGCATGAGATTAAATCTACAAAAAGTACAAAAAAGGACATTTGAACTTTTACTAAATAAGGAAAAATATATGTAAACCATCCATTTAATTACAACCAATTTACTAATAGGTCTTAAAAATAATACATTACATACTTTAAATAATAAATGAAGAAAGGAAACTCACTAAGTTCTGTAATAAGTTTAAGATTCTGCTGCCGGATATTTTCAAACTCTTGCTGTTTTTTCCGCATATGTTCTTCAGTTACTGCACAGCGATCACATAAGCCTGCTCTTAACCTATGAAACAAAACAAGGTATTTTTCATCCACTAAAAGAGATTTCCTTCTTTGGAATTCCAAGACTTTTATAAAGATTTAAGGAACTGACTTGGCAAATACTGTGAAAATCAACTAGATTAATGATGTTATTATACCTTTAACATATTCTTATATAGGCTGAAATCATGTTATACCACCATTTTCTTCAGATTGCAATTCTATAAAAATCTGCCAATTTTAAACTCATGCTAAGGGAACTTATTTATTGAAGAAGCTGACCTTGTTTTAATTTGTTATGGTCAAAATATGAACCCTAGTCTAATACCAAGGGGTAGAATTATACCTGAAGCAACTTTGCAGCTGCTTTGCTCAGCACAGTATGTCACCCATAGTGAGTGTTCAATAATATTTTTGATGAAAAATTAAATTCATCAAAATTTATTTGCCAATCATTGGCAGGGCACAGTGGCTCATGCCTGTAATCTTAGCCCTCTGGGAGGCTGCGGCGACAGGATCATGAGGTCAGGAGTTCAAGACCAGCCTGGCCAATACAGTAAACACCGTCTCTACTAAAAAATACAAAAATTAGCCAGCTGTGGTGGTGCTCGCTTGTAGTCCCAGCTACTCGGGAGGCTGAGGCAGAAGAATCGCTTGAACCCGGGAGGTGGAGGTTGCAGTGAGCTGAGATCATGCCACTGCACTCCAGCCTGGGGGACAGAGCAAGACTCTGACTCAAAAAAAAAAAAAATTTTTTTTTGTCAATATTGTTGAATAAAGGTCAAGAAATACAAGGGAGAAAAAGTCACCTCATATTTTCCTTTTGGCATTAAAAAAATTATTAGTAAAAATTCACAATGTATTACATAAAAAAAATTACAGGCTGGGCACAGTGGCTCACGCCTGTAATCCCAACACTTTGGGAGGCCGAGGCGGGCGGAACACAAGGTCAGGAGATCGAGACAACCCTGGCTATCACAGTGAAACCCCTGTCTCTACTAAAAATACAAAAAATTAGCTGTGCGTGGTGGCGGGCACCTGTAGTCCCAGCTACTCGGGAGGCTGAGGCAGGAGAATGGCGTGAGCCTGGGAGGCGGAGCTTGCAGTGAGCTGAGATTGCACCACTGCACTCCAGCCTGGGTGACAAAGCGAGACTCCGTCTCAAAAAAAAAAAAAAAAAAATACGAAATAGCTTTTACTAATTATTTGTGACTGTTGAAGAGAAAAA
The DNA here is from genome assembly GCF_000001405.40 of Homo sapiens. NCBI lineage: Eukaryota > Metazoa > Chordata > Mammalia > Primates > Hominidae > Homo > Homo sapiens. The sequence goes on along the minus strand of NC_000018.10, from coordinate 22,967,599 downwards.
CACATATCACACAAGCAGGTGAGGAAGAGTTATATTCCAAAATGTTAATAATAGTTATCTTGTAGGTGACAGTATTATGGGAGATTTTCTCTTCTTCATTTTCCATATTTTTGAAACATTTTCCAATTTCATTATTTACCTAATCAGAAAAAAATACAGTTAAAAAGGAGACACATACCCCACGTTAAGAATTCAGGAAATAAATTCGAAGATAATTGTTTTTTTTTTTTTTTTGAGACGGAGTCCTGCTCTGTCACCCAGGCTGGAGTGCAGTGGCGCAATCTCAGCTCACTGCAAGCTCCGCCTCCTGGGTTCACACCATTCTCCTGCCTCAGTCTCCCGAGTAGCTGGGACTACCGGTGCCCGCCACCTCTCCTGGCTAATTTTTTGTATTTTTCATAGAGATGGGGTTTCACTGAGTTAGCCAGGATGGTCTCGATCTCCCAACCTCGTGATCCGCTTGCTTCCGCCTCCCAAAGTGCTGGGATTACAGGCGTGAGCCGCTGCACCTGGCCCAAAGATAATAATTTCAAGTCAATAACTAAGCCAATAATATAATAAGTATTTAAGTGTTGGCAGAGCATGGTGGCTTACGCCTGTAATCCCAGTACTTTGGGAGGCCGAGGTGGTCAGATCACCTGAGGTCAGGTGTTAAGAGACCAGCCTGGCCAATGTGGCAAAACCTCATCTCTACTAAAAACAAAAATTAGCTGGATGTGGTGGCTCATGCTTGTAATCCCAGCTACTCGGGAGGCTGAGGCAGGATAAATGCTTGAACCCAGGAGGCAGGGATTACAGTAAGCTGAGATAGTGCCATTGCACTCCAGCCTGGGTGACAGAGTAAGACTCTCTCTCTCCAAAAAAAAAAAAAAAAAAAAAAGATAGTAAGTATTTAAGTGTCTGTGGAAGTCACAGCATGGTAGCATATGCCACGAATTTTAAAATAAGTTAGAGATAAAACATGAAAAGTATACAACTAAAGCAAAGCAAAATAAAAGAACATAGACTTTTTTTTTTTTTTTTTAATGAGATGGGGTCTCACTATGTTGCCCAGGCTGGTCTCAAACTCCTGAGCTCAAGTGATCCTCCCACCCTGGCCTCCCAAAGTACTGGGATTACAGGCATGAGTTACCGTGCCTGGCCAGAACCCAGACATTTTATACAAAAGTAAAACTCATATGAAACAATGTTGATATAGATGTAAAATCAAAAGATAGGAAGTCATATGTAGCATTAATAGAATCGGAATTTCTAGAATGAATGAACAAACAGCTAGGCATCATGATTTAAGTGGAATGCAGTCTGAAGACAGGAATTAGATCAGAAGCCTTAAAATCACACTGTATAAAGAACACCACTTAACTAAAGATGGTAAAGTCAACACTTGCAACTATTTCTGCTCCTTTCTAGAATCTCATAAAATTACAGTAAAGATATATCTATATTTTAAAGATACAAACACATGAGGACAAGAAGAATGGAAGAGAAAACAAAACAAAAAAACGAAAGCAAGGCAGCTGGTGGGCAAATAGAAAGTGACCTGAGAATGCTAAATCATAAGCCAATGATAGGAAAAGCTGAGAATTGCATTGTCCAGGATGGTAGACACAGACACATGTGGCTATTTCAATTTAAATAAATAAAATAAAAATAAAAACTGAGCTTCTCAGTTGCAGACAAGTGCTCAGCAGCCACATGTCTACTTGCTACCATATTGAACAGTGCAGATTTAGAACAATTTCCACGATCACAGAAAATGCTATTAGACAGTACTGACCTAGAACCAACCTGATTCACACTGTAAAATTCCCAAAAGGCTCAACAATTGGTTCTGGGAGTGACTGATTAAAAGCACGTTTTAAGAAATTATTATACGAACATTCTCTCCTATATTCTGAGCAGTCAAGTGATTACCCCTTTGACATCCCAGCAGCAGACTGGAGGTTTAATGCTTAGACAATCTAAAACAGAGAGTGTCTGGTCTGGGAGCCATGAGGCTCAGTTAGGAGTAGGAGTACAATAATGAAATGAATATATATACACACCAAATTCTCAGATTCCAGCCTAGGCCCTCGTCATCTACTTGGCTCCAAGAACACTGGGAGTCAGCCCTATTACACATTCTAGAAAATAGAATTAAGGAGTCTTCTTTAGGAAATCTGACCAACCTGACAGGAAAGACCTAAAGGTACTGACATTAGGGCATCTTCGAGGAAACAGACCAGCCAGATCATTCTAACAGAGAAGCTCACAGTCTACAGCTCTACCCATGCACTCAGAGCTTCCAATTACTTTATTCTCATCTCTTAAATATAACAAATAACCAAGTATCAAAAGGCATCTGAGAAATGCTTATAAATTATAAGAAACCATAGCAAACAAAACATTAAAAAAAGAAATAAAAAATCTGGAAGAAATAATAAGCTATACAGAAAGAAAAAGAAAAAATGCCAATGCTATCACAGTCACAATCATCAAATTATGAAGAATACAGTAAGCCTTCACTTAACATCATTGATAGGTTCTTGGAAACTGTGACTTTAAGTCAAATGATGTATAAGCAAGCTAATTTTTCCCCCTCACTGTTAAAAAGAAATGATGTCAAAGGAAAGGATGTTATTTGAAGGCTGCTGTAGGTCATTTCTTTTAAAGTCATAGTTTCCAAGAACCTATCTACAATGTTAAGTGAGGACATACTATATTCTAGAGGTAAGAAATGATGTGAAAACTATAAAATGAGAATGGGATTGCCATAAAAGGAAATATTCTGAGAACAAAAAAGAGACTTTAGAAATTAAAAATAGTATCCAGGTGTGGCAGCCCATGCCTGTAATCCCAGCATTTTTGGGGGCTGAAGCAAAAAAGAATTAATTGCTTGAGGCCAGATGAAGACCAGCACAGGCAACATAGTCAGATCCTGTCACTATTTAAACAAAAACCAAAATAAAATAAAATAAAATAAAATAAAAATTAAAAATTAAAAATATTAAGAAAGAACTACAAATAGAAGGTAAGAAAGTAAAGCTAAGAAAATCTACTCAAAAAGTAAAGAGAAAATTTAGATAAAACTGGGCAATTATTCTAGAAGGTCTATCATATAAAGAATAGGAGTTCCAGGAAAAGCAAGGAAACGCAGGAGGGGATTTGAGGCAGTGTGGGGAATAGTGAAGAAAATCAAGAACATGGCCCACTACTTAAAGGACTGAAAAGAAAAAAAAAAAAAAAACCTAAGTCTCCAGCACAATGGATGTTAACAGATCTATACAAAAGAACTCATCATTATGGAATTTCTGGATGCTGCAAAGATAAGAGCCCATAAGCGTTCAGAAGAAATTTTTTTCTTTTTAAAGAGTACACAGAAAAGATAAAAAATCAGAATAGAGATGGGAGGATCGCTTGAGGCCAGGAGTTCTAGACAAGCCTGGTCAACATGAGATCCCATCTCAAAAACAAACAAAGACTAACAGCACTGTTTTGGTGGGGATTGTGGGGGAAAAAAGAAAACTCAGAATAGTGTGGGATTTCAACAGCAACATTAGAAGCTAAAAGAAGTGACTTGGAATTCTGAAAGAGAATTATTTCCAACCTAAACCTATATTCTCCAACTATTATTTCAACAAAAATTTTCAGACATGTAAAAATCTCAAAAATTTTGCTTCCTATCATTAATTTTTTTTAAGCATGACAATGGTACTCTTTTTTTGAGACAAGGTCTCAAAATGGTAGTGAGAGGGACTAATCGAAATAAAGTGAAACAAGAATGGCCACAATTAACTGCTGAAACCAAGTGATGGGTACAACGGAATTGGTTATACTACTATGTCTACTTTTATATATGTGTGATTTTCTAAAATAAACTTTTTTTAGGTCTCATACACTCCGTCTCAGAAATCTACTGGAGGAGGCATTCTACCAAAATAAGAAAAAATAGAAAAGAAGTCCTAGATATATGAAAAAGGAAAGCAGTAAAAGGAACCTCTGATGACCACTACGTAGCAGGTAAAGAGGACAGAGTCCAAATTGAAGCAGATCAGAGCCTCTGAGACAGATCTGTTTGAAAAGGTGAAATGACAGAAGATACAACCCATCTAAACACCTTGATACATTTAGATAAATGATAGAACGTTGTGGTTGAACTAGTGGTTGGTAAGAACACTAAGCATATGAAAAAAAGGTCCATCATAAACACTATGGACAACAGAAATTTGCATAGGAAGAAAAATTACAGTTTACAATATGTTTCAGCTTTGAACTGCATTTACATAATCATAAAATAAAAACTCAATAGTGATCTAACCAAAATTATTATACACTACATAGGAGGAAGAGGGAAATGGGAATGGCGTCTATGTAGAAAGCAGAAAAAAGAAAAAAAAACACCTAAGTCAAGAAAAATTTATAGATAGCTCATAAACATTTTTAAAAAGAGATTTTTGAAGTAAACAGCAAAACAATATGAAGAATTGAAAATGACTGCTTCTGAAGAAGGGGAAATTGGAAAGAAGGAGAACTTAATTATGTTTGTTGATCTCCTACTCTGAATAAATGTCTGTTCTTTTGGCTGAAATTATAAAGATGAGAAAGATCAGTACAATTGTTTGACTTGGAATCTGGTAGAAGAGACACAATAAAAAATAGACAAAAAAAAGGGAAAGTAAAGTAAGTTGTATAGCGTATTAGAAGGTGGTATGTACTTTGGGGCTGGGTGCGGTGGCTCATGCCTGTAACTCCAGTACTTTGGGAGGCTGAGGCACGTGGATCACTTGAGGCCAGGAGTTCGAGACCAGCCTGGCCAACATGGTGAAACCCTGTCCGTACGAAAAATATCAGAAAAATTAGCTGGACATGGTGGCACACACCTGTAGTCCCAGCTACTAGGGAGGTTGAGGTAGGGGGGGTGGAGAGGAGGGGGTGTGTATGTGTGTGAGCTCGGGGGGATCACTTGAACCCGAGAGGTGGAGGTTGCAGTGAGCCAAGATTATGCCACTGCACTCCAGCTTGGGCGACAGAGTGAGTGAGACTCTGTCTCAAAAAAAGAAAAAGGAAAAAAAAACAAGGTGATACGTGCTTTGGGAGGAAACAAATCACAGAGGGAGATAGAAGATCCAGTTAGGTTGGGGAACTTGGTGCAATTTTAAATAGGCTATTGAAGAAAAACTTCACTGTGAAGTTAACATTTGCGAGGAGATGTAAATGATGAGAGGGAGTGAGTTTTAAGAATACCTGCAAGAGACTGTTACAGGTGAATGAGGATAGAGTACAAAATTCCTACAGTTGAAAAGTGCCTGGACTATTAAAGAAATGTCAAGGAGGCCAGTATAACTTCAGTAGAGTAAAGCAAAGAGGAAAATCAGCAGGAGAAAAAAAAAAGTCAGAAGGGTACTGAGGGCTGACAGCTGTCTAAATATCTGAAAAGTTAATCATGTGAAAGAGATTTATGATCTAAAGGACTAAAACTAGGACCAATGGGCAGCAATTCTACAGATATAAACCTAGTATAAAGAAAACTTTCCAATTACAGTATTTAAGGATGGAATGTGTTACCTAAGAAGGGAGTGATTTCATTTGTCACTGGACATGTTTAAGCACAGAAAAGACGATCACTCAGAAATTAGGAAGGTAATTTTAAACACATGTTGAATAGATAGTTAGATCAGTGGTCCCTAAACCTGGCTATTTCTCAAAACCACCTAAGCAGATTTAAAAGGGAGGGAGGGAGAAAGAGAGGAAAAAGATTTGTAAGTCTACCCATGATCAACTGAATTAGAATCTGCAGGGACGGGGCCCGGGAATCTGCTCAGAAGCTTCTCTTCACAGATTGATCCTTAAAGCTTTAGAACGGGGTGTCCAATCTTTTGGCTTCCCTGGAAGAACTGTCTTGGGCCCACATACACTAACACTAATGATAGCTGATGAGCTTAAAAAATAAAAGTCAAACAAATTTCATAATGTTTTAAGAAAGTTTACAAATTTGTGTTGGGCTGCATTCAAAGCTGTCCTGGGCCACATGCAGCCCGCAGGTCGTGGGTTAGACAAGCTTGCTTTAGAATAAGGCACTCTCATCTTCTCCTACCTATGTTCTTTTCATGTCTTATCCTTATATTGAGCCATTTTGTTAACAGTGAAAATCTAATGCCTGAGTACTTAAAATATACACACTTGCCCTACCACTCACTCTGGGGTGTAAGAAGTATGGTATGCCTTGAACCTATGGAGCCATCCATGGCTTGCAATAAGTTTCATCATCAGCACTCATTACATGCTTAGCTTTCCTACCTGTATAGCTGGGCCCCCAGCTCTTCCACTCATGCTTGGCTTTTAAGTCTGGCTTAAACTCACAGCTAAGAGAAGGGTTAAACAAGGCTAACAGGCATCTGATATTGATGCTGATCTCCCAGCTACACATGCAAGTTTTTCTTTTTTGTCATTCGCTTTTCCTTATTTCTTGCTGATTACTGGTCACATACATATAATGCTTTTTACAAGTTAAACTAGGAGCTAGTACAACTTTAATTAAACAAACAAAAATGATTAGGTCTGTTGGAACTGTTCCTATTTACCAATAATCTTTACAATTTTGAAAAATCATGTCACTGACGAAAAATGCAGTTAGTGTTACTTGAATCATCAATAAACATACTTGTATCAGTCACATTAATGATCATTTTATACAAAGGAACGAGTATCTCAACAACTCATCTTTTAGAACAGACATACCCGTAATATTTACTTTCTGATATACTACAAATCAATTTTCTCTATATAGTTGTGATATTTAAAAAATAATTATGTATGTAGGTAGGTTATATTATTTAAATTTCATTTCAGGATACTAAAAATTACATTATAAAAAATTTTTATAGGCCAGGCACAGTGGCTCACTCCTATAATCTTAGCACTTTGGGAGGCTGAGGCAGGAGAATCTGCAGTGAGCTATTATTGCACTACTGCGCCCCAGCTTGGATGACTGAACGAGACTGTCAGAAGAAAAAAACTTTTTTTTTATAAAGGGAGACTGTAATATAAGCATTGATAATCATTTGTCTTTTTTGTTGAGACAGGGTCTTGCTCTTTCGCCCAGGCTGGAGTGCAGTGGCATGATCACTGCTCACTGCTGCCTTGACTTCCTGGGCTCAAGTGATCCTCCCACCTCAGCAGCCTGAGTAGCTGGGACTACAGGCACTCACCACCATGCTGGGTAATTTTGTACTTTTAGAGACAGGGTTTTGCCACGTTGCCCCGGCTGGTCTCAAACTTTTGGGCTAAAGCGATCTGCCTACTTGGCCTCCCATGCTGGGAATACAGGTGTGAGCCAATGCACCAGCCTCTGTACACTTTAAGTTGGTAAACTGTATGTTATGAGAATTTTATCTCAATAAAGTTGTTTTTTAAAAAATAGTAAAGTTCGGCCAGGTGTGGTGGCTCATGCCTGTAATCCCAGCACTTTGGGAGGCCGAGGTGGGCGGATCACAAGGTCAGGAGGTTGAGACCATCCTGGCTAACACGGTAAAACCCCGTCTCTACGAAAAAATATAAAAAAGTTAGTTGGGCGTGGTGGCGGGTGCCTGTAGTCCCAGCTACTCGGGAGGCTGAGGCAGGAGAATGGTGTGAACCTGGGAGGCGGAGCTTGCAGTGAGCTGAGATTGCACCACTGTACTCCAGCGTGTGTGACAGAGCGAGACTCTGTCTCAAAACAACAACCACCACCAAAAAAAAAAAAAAAAAAAAAGAAAGTTCATCTTATATAGATTTTTACCACACAAAAAGACCTTGAGGGGGAAAAGCAAAAGCTATCTAGCATTCCTGGAAAAATCTGGGAAATGATACAGCCATAAAACAAGAGTATACACACACACACACACAAACACACACACACATATAAATATACAGCAACAATCAACAAATAATAAAAAGTTCTTGGATATTACGTACGTGATTGTCAAAATAACTTCAATAGTAGGGTTGGAGAATAAAAGAAATCTCACAGAACATGGAAGAAAAACAAGTAATAGAAAATAAGAGAAAAGATGATAAAAAATCAGTCTCTGACTAAGAAGTGCTCCAGAAAGAGAGACCATTAAAAAATAGAGAAAGTGGCAGAAAAAAATTACCAGACTTTGAGTGCTAGTTTTTAGGTTAACAGGTTGAGTGTCCAGTGCAATGAAGGAAACACACACACACAGAGCATCACGAAGGTTGATCAGAACAAGGAAAAATTTCAGAAAGGAAAAGAAAATCTGTTACCTACAAAAGAATTAACACGAGAATGGCAGACTGTATCAGTACTGGAATGCTAACAATGAGAAATGCCTTCAAAGTTTTCAGGGAAAACTATTTTAAACCTAGAAATTTATATCCAGTCAAAATATCAACTATATAATAAACAGTAGAATAAAAATATTTTCGAGAATGCAAGGACCCTTTGAAAATTTAGTTCCTGTGCCTTCTTTTTCAGCAGTTACTTGAGGGTAAGCTGTAACAAAATGAGCTTAAAAAACCAATAGAAAGGCCCACATTTATCGATCACATTCACTGGTGTATCCCCAAGGTCTAAAACAGTGCCTGGAACAAAACAGGTGGTTCATTAAGTATTTGTTGACTGTTTAACATGAGAGAAATGAAATAACTGAATTAATGCAGGGATCTAATGAAGAGAAATCCAGAATGACAGCTTTCTAGAATAGTCTAGAAAGTGAATGACCTAAATTAGTACAAGAAGTTTTTTAGCCCAAGAAATATTTCTTCAAGAAAAAGAACTGGCTGAGCACAGTGGCTCATGCCTATAATCTCAGTACTCTGGGAGGCTGAGGTGGGAGGATGGTCTGAGCCTAGGAGTTCAAGACAAGCCTGGGCAACATAGGAGGACCTTGTCTCTATAAAAAAATCAGAAAATTAGTCAGGTGTAGTGTTATGTGTAGTCCCAGCTACTCTAAGGCTGAGGTGTGAGGATCACTTGGGCCTGGGAGGTAGATGCTGAAGTGAGCCAAGGTCGCGCCACTGCACTCCAGCAGAGCGAGACCCTGCCTCAAAACAAACAAACAAAACCTACAACAAAAAAAAATTAATGAATGAGTAGAATAACTAAGGCATTAAATAATATTAATGATGTAAGGAAACATGGTTCTTGTCTCAACATGAAAAAGGGTAGTGAGAAATTCTAGAAAAAAACATTTAAATAAGTCATTATCATAACATAATTATGAGCTGATTTGAACAACTGATTGGGGACAAAGTAAAAAACAATGTATTTCATCTGGACATTAGAAACAATTTCCCTCAGTGGCAGAAAGGCCATGACATCAGATACGTAAAGAAATGCAATCCTAGCTCTGCAGTGAATATTTATACAGTCAATAAATAAACTCAGTTTACTATTTTCCAACTTCTAGAATCAGCTTATAAACAAAATACAAAAAAGACTGAAATCTGGTAATAGAAAAGAAGATAACTATTGTCAACCTTGACCATATTTATATCGTAAAGGTTCAGCTCATCAAAGGCAGATGGTAGAAAGAGCGGAAAAGTGATAGAGGAAAGGGTAAGAAACACCAGTATCTTCCTGTAACATAATGGTAAGAACAGGGAAACTGTTCACAGGTGAAGCAATATAAAACAAAGACCTAAATATATATATTAAGGTTGAAAGGTAAAATAGAAGAGCTAAAACAATAACTTTTCAAATACAGGAGAGGGATTTTTAAAATATCACTGGCTAGATGGTTACAAAATGAAACAAAATGAAGCAATATTCCCTAGCTTATTACTTTCAGTTTTTCTTATCACCTACCATTCTTGATAATAGTATCTGTGAAAAAGGGTCAATTTTTGATTGCTGATCCTAGTTTAAATTTAAATAGAAGCAAGAAAATGTGCTAGCTCCTGTTTCCATCAGCATGGTTCCATTGCTTTCCTCTTGCCTATCTTCCACTGCTGCTGCTAAAGAAAAAACACTCCCAATTTCACAAGAGAATGCAGTTTCAGTAGCTATGTAACAGGTAAAGGGAAAAAAGGGCAATTCCACAAAAGGCAGAAAGCAACATGCATTCTGAGTTTATTCCAGTTCACAAAGATGAAGAAATAAAAGCTTCCATTTGCTACTAAAACTTATCAGAGTAACAATTATGCTCAATTGTTTGCTATAGCCCAAAAAGATTTATTGACATTTATTCATTTTCATTCAATATGGTTTCACTGTTTACTTACAATGTGCTCAGTGCTGTAAATACAACAGAGATGAAGGTAATGCCATTTCTTTAAAAAGCTTATAGTCTACCAGAGAAAGACAGGCAAAAAAAAAAAAAAAAAAAAGAAAAAGTAATTACAACAAAGTATAATTCATACTGTGACAGCAGAAATACAGAGTACTATGAAAGCACACAGCAACTTAACCTAGTCTAGCAAGTTAGAGAAAGTCTCCTGAATAATATGATGTTTAAATTCAAATCTATGAATAACAGCAACACAAAAGCGGACACTTGCTTCAGTGTTTGAAAAATAGTTGCAGAACCATACATCTCCTGATTATAAGTATCAATTTTCCTTTTAACAGCATCTGAAAATGAGCTCACTGACTGCCAAAATGCTTTAAAAAATATTAAACTCTATTAGACAACTGTGTTTTAACTTCTTTGTTCAGATTTTCAAAAAAAATGCGTTCTATCTACTTCTCCAGCACAGTGACTGTTTCTTAGATTTAGTGAAATACTTTAGTTCCTGGAAGGAAAGTCTGTAAATATACTCATTAAACATAATAATAATTATTAAACATAATATAAAACATAATAATCATTAAACATAAATGAGCCACATAAAATTAGAACTTAGAACTTTTTATTATCTAATTTACTTTTACTAGGTAATTCCCTTCATTGAAATATCTCAGTGTTTTCCCATTAACATACTAAGAATTGCTTTGTTTTATGAAGAGTAGGCTGAATTACTGTTCAGAAATTTTAACAAAATAGGCTGAACACAGTGGCTGATGCCTGTAATCCCAATACCGTGGAAGGCCAAGGCAGGAGGATCACTTGAGGCCAGGAGTTCAAGACCAGCCTATGATCAACGCAGCAAGACAGTCTCTATAAAAACAAAAAAATTAGCCAGGCATGGCGTGGTGCTTGCCTGTAGTCCTAGCTACCTGGGGGGGCTGATGTGAGAAGATCTCTTGAGCCAAGGAATTTGAGGCTGTAATGAGCTATGATGGTGCCATTACACTCCAGCCTGGGCAACAGAGTAAGACCCTGTCTCTAAACAAAACAAAACAAAACAAAAAGACCAAACAAAAGAAAAAAAAATTAACAAAATACATGTTGCTTTTAAAGGTCTCAGCAAAATGTTAGTTTGTACAGATTTTTAAAGCTTACTCTAGATAATCATTCTTACATATGACATAGAACTAAAAGAAAATTTTAAATAAAGCAGAAATTCACCAAAAGTTACCTACTTAGTCCTTTAAAGGTAGTATTTAGTTAGCAACAATTAAAAAAACAAAAACGAAAAAAAAACCTTCCAAGGAAACAGACTATACAATAGGCAATGTTGAAGACCTGATATTTCAGAGTGTCTGTTTTGGTAAACTTTAGATCAAGCACAAATACTTTGAGATGATCATTTAAGATGTAATTAATTTATATAACATTAATAAAGTTAAGACAATATAAAGGGGAGGCATCATGAAATAGTAAAAATGGAAGCGGGGATCAGATTTAAGATATAAACCTGGCCAGGCGCGGTGGCTCACACCTGTAATCCCAGCACTTTGGGAGGCCCAGGTGGGCAGATCACGAGGTCAGGAGATCGAGGCCATCCTGGCGAACACAGTGAAAACCCGTCTCTACTAAAAATACAAAAAAAAATTAGCCGGGCGAGGCAGTGGGCGCCTGTAGTCCCAGCCACTCGGGAGGCTGAGGCAGGAGAATGGCGTGAACCTGGCAGGCGGAGCTTGCAGTGAGCAGAGATCGCGCCACTGCACTCCAGCCTGGGTGACAGAGCAAGACTCTGTCTCAAAAAAAAAAAAAAAAGATATAAACCTAATTATGTATTAACTATGTGATCCTGGGAAAGCTTCTTTGCTCTTTGCCAGCTAGTTTCCTCACATGCAAAATGGATCTATCATCTATCCTGTAGCGTTAATAGAAAGATTTAGCGCTGGATGCCTAAGTACAAAGTGAATCCTCAATACATACTAACTACTGTATTTAAAAAAACAGATCTTCAGCTTAATTAAATGGAGCTTCATGAAACAAGAGATAAATCTTTAAGTGTGCCCACAGGAAATTTTGGATTTGCATTTGAAGAAAGGTGAGCAAAAGCAAGTCTACAAAACAACGAGCTACATATCCCTCATCCCACCCCGACTCCCTGCCACCAAATTAATACCACCTAATGAATTACAGGCCCATGTACCTGAGGATGTAAAGGTGAATGGAATGAAAGGCAAGGGAATATTTAGAATGAGAAATACCAAAGCAGCATGGCATCCACCAGAGGTAGAATAGATCTTAAAGAGAAAAGAACCTAGTTTTAAGAAATGCAGAATAAAACACATAATTTTAACAATTAAATGTATCAACTGGCTGCGCACAGTGGCTTATGCCTACAATACCAGCGCTTTGGGAGGATGAGGTGGGAGAACTGCTTGAAATCAGGAGGGAGGGATCTGGTAGGAGGTAACTGAATCATGGGGGCAGTTAACGCTATGCTGCTGTTCTCTTGATAGTGAGTTCTAACGAGATCTGATGGTTTCATAAGGGGCTTTTCCCCCTTTTGCTTGGCACTTCCTCCTGCCATCATGTGAAGAAGGACGTGTTTACTCCCCCTTCGCCATGATTGTAAGTTTTCTGAGGCCTCCCCAACCATGTGGAACTGTGTGGGAGGGAAATGTTGGGTTGGAGCCTCCACACAGTCCCCACTGGGACACTGTCTAGTGGAGCTGTAATAAGACGGCCATCATCCTCCAGACCCCAGAAACACCCAGATCCACCAACAGCTTGCACTGTGCACCTGGAAAAGCCGCAAACACTCAATGCCAGCCTGTGAAGGAAGCTGGGAATGGGGCTGTACCCTGCAAAATCACAGGGGCAGAGCTGCCCAAGACTGTGGGAACCCACCTCTTGTATCAGCATGACCTGGATGTGAGACATGGAGTCAAAGGGGATCATTTTGGAGTTTTAAAATTTGACTGCCCTGCTGGATTTTGGATTTGCATGGGGCCTGCAGCCCCTTTGTTTTGGCCAATTTCTCCCATTTGGAATGGGTGTATTTACCCAATGCCTGTATCCCCACTGTATCTACGAGGTAACTAACTTGCTTTTGATTTTACAGGCTCACAGGCGGAAGGAACTTGCCTTGTCTCAGATGAGACTTTGGACTTGGACTTTTGGGTTAATGCTGTAATGAGTTAAGATTCTAGGCGACTGTGGGGAAGGCAATGATTGTCTTGAAATGCGAGGACATGAGATTTGGAAGGGGCAAGGAGTGGAATGATATGATTTGGCTGTGTCCCCACCCAAATCTCAACTTGAATTGTAGTTCCCACAGTCCCAACTGTGGGAAGTAATTGAATCATGGGGGTGGTTACCCCCATGCTTCTGTTCTTGTGGATAGTGAGTGAGTTCTCATGAGATCTGATGGTTTTATAAGGGGCTTATCCCCCTTTTGCTTGGCACTTCTTCCTGCCATCATGTGAAAAAGGATGTGTTTGCTTCCCTTTCTGCCATGATTGTAAGTTTCCTGAGGCCTCCCCAGCTCTGCAGAACTGTGAGTCAACTAAACCACCTTTCTTTATAAACTACCCAATCTCAGGCAGTCCTTTAAATCAGCGTGAAAATGGACTAATACAGGGAAAAATAAAAATAAAAAAAAAATATATAGACTACATAAAAGAAAGTAATTTAATGGGAAGGAGATGAGGCACTCATCCACTGATTTCTTCTCTGAAACGGCCTGGAGAAGAAAAACTACTTAAAAAGGAAGTACAAGACTGCAAAGGTTACCAGAACAGGAAGCTCAAACTTTAAGCCATAAAATGAAGAGTGTTTTGAAGACACTGGAAAGCAATGTCTTCAAGGGGCAGGATGAAGAATACTATCTTGGGGATGAAATGGAGAGCCAATTGTATTAAGCCAATGTTTCAAGAAAAACATAATGAAAATGTTATCCAGTAAATTTGAGTGTAATAATTTTGGGCTCTAACAACTTGCTAAGGAACAACTAAACAGGAAGAGTACTGGAAGTCAATATAAGTTGGCCAGTCATCTTACTGTCTCCTACCACAGTAGGAGAATAAAATCCCTGGCTCCACCTTCTGTGCTGTGAAATCCTTCACCTGTTTCCACATAGGTGAATACACCAGGCATCCCATAGTCAGATCCTGCTATAAATGAGGAAAGCAGGGCAACTATGGCTCCAGGACTCCCTGTTAGCTTTGTCAAAGCTCTCTTACAAGTACAGTATCCTCTTCCCTCTCTTCTTCACAGAGTTAGAGGCATGAGGGTCTGACAGCTCTCCCAGACGCCTCATTTCTTACAGGTATTTTTCCCAATAAATCTCTTCAGTGTCCAAAGTCTTATTGATGTTTGCTTCTCAGAGAACTCAGGCTAACATATTTCGTTATTAATACCAATCTTGAAATTTTCTTTACATAGGAATGATGGAACAAAAAGCATTCCTAATCTCTTGGCGTTAATGCCATTACTCACTCCAACCTCACTGCTTGTAGAAAGTGGTGTAATGGTAGAAATGAGAGAAAAAACGTGGTGAAATAAGAGAAGGAAGCTCTTCAATGGCTGGAGTTAAAGGCTGAGAGAGATATGTTCCCTGAAATCCTCTACTACATATCCAGAGAAAACAGAAGGAAGCGCCTCACCACACTACAGATGAGTAACTAATGATTTCCTTTCCATTGCTGACCTGGGAAAGGGTGAGTGGGAGAGATGGCTTTCTAGTTTCCTGGCTTCTCAGCTAGACAGCCTAGACATGGCTGTGTTATATAACACAGATTAGAGTGCTAAAAGTTGGAATCATCTTCCAATTAGGAGATAGTATATGTCTTATTAAATATCTGTTATGTACTGCTGCTTCCATTATCTCATTTAAACTTCAAAATAGCCCTGCAAAGAAGGTATTGTTAGTGGTCAAGACCTATGTTCCTGGCTTTTCTTCTATTTTAATAGTTTCTCTTTCTCAATCTTTTGCTGGCTGGGTCCTTATTCTTCATGAAACCTTAATCAGGAATGCCAAAGGATTCAGCCCTAAGACCTCTTCTTTCTTCCTATACTATTCAAAGATGTCCTTAAGAGATCCACTGAATCCTAGATTCACATATACATCTATCTACTTGACATTTCCATTTGGATAGACAGGCTGTTGCTACCTACTTATATCCCTTTGTTATTCTCCTGCTTAAGTGGTTTCCATCACAATTAAAATCCAAACTTTTTGCCTATGTCCCTACGAAATCTAGTTGTTGCCCCACTAGATTTCCAATCTCACTCCTATCACTCATCCCCTTTACTCATTAAACTAGAACCACAGTAGACTTTCTGTTCCTCAAATATTTCAAACTTATTTCTACCCTAGACTTTCACATTTGTCTGTTCTATTTCCTTTTGTCTCTAGTTCTTCAAGTGGATGGTTCCTTTCTGTCAATCAAGTCTCAGTTAAGACAGCACCCCAACTCCATGGTGACAGAAGCTCCTGTGTTTAGGATCCTTCTAGACCTCACCCCATGTATCTCTTCATTTGGCTGTTGACTTGTAACCTTTAACAAATTTTTTGTAATAAACTGATAAATATAAATGTTTTCCTGAGTTTCGTGAGTCACTCTAGTAAATATAACCCGAGGAGGGGGTTGTGGGAACCCCAATTTAGAGTCTGTCCAAAGCATGGGTAAACAACCTGGGGCTTGAAATTGGCATCAGAATTGAGGGAAGGACACAGTCATGGGGACAAAGCCCTCAACCTGTGGGACCTGATGCCATATCCAGTGTAGGAATTGAATTAAGAGGATACCCAGCTAGTGTCTGCTGTAGAATTAATTGTTTGCTTGTTGGTAGGGGAAACTCCTCCTCACATCTGGTGTCTGAAGCATGTTGTACGAGTACAGTGGGAAAAGCTGCGTTTGGTTTTTTTTTCTACACAGATCCTGTGGTTACTCAATTACATAATTCGATTTTATTTTCTTCATAGCATTTATAATCTGAAATTGTCTCATTTGTTTGTCGTATGGCTCACTCCCAACCTTTGAAAATTAAATATATGCACAGACAGGAGTGCTAAATTATATTCACCAACTAAGATATGTAAGTCTTATTCAACTTCTGTTATGTATTGTTACTTGCACTGTCTCATTTAATCCATGACATACTAGGAAAAGTATCATCCCTAGCCCCCTAGAGCAACACCTAAGACAGCAAGGACTCAAATATTTGTTGTGGAATCTGAATTAAGAACACAGGGTGAAGCTGGAATTCAAAAACATATGTGATTCTAAAGCGCACAGGTCTTTATTCCACAATACACTGCCTATTCCAACAAATGTGCATCCATTGAGTTGGTAGTTGTAGAAAGTACTCAATTTCAGTTTGCACATATGAAGAATATTAAATTATTTCACCACTAAAAGGATAGAGACAAACTCAAATCACCCAGCCCTTCCGTAACATATACAAAAATATCAAGAAAAAAATTTTTTTAAGAGACAGGGTCTTGTTCTGTTACACAGGCTGGAGTGCAATGGCACAATCATAGCTTGCTCAAACTCCTGGACTCAAGCAATCCTCCCGTCTCAGTGTCCTGAGTAGCTAGGACTCCAGTCACATGCCTGGCTAATTTTTAATTTTTTGTAGAGATGAGTTCTTGCTATACTGCGACGCTGGTTTTGAACTACTGGACTCAAGCAATCATCTTCTTGCCTTGGCTTCCCAAAGAACTGAGGTTACAGGCATGAGCCACTATGCCTACCCTGGAAAAATAAAAACTATAAAGAAAGTATGGGATATCGTGGGTTTGTATTTTTTTTTTTTTTTTGGAGACACGGTCTTGCTCTGTCACCCAGGCTGGAGCGCAGCAGTGCGATCATAGCTCACTGCAGCCTCAATCACTTTGGACTCAAGCGATCCTCTAGAGTAGCTGAAACTACAGGTTCAGGCCATCATGCTCAGCTTTTAAAATTTTTTGTAGAGACAGGGTCTCGCTTTGTTTGTCCAGGCTGGTCTTGAATGTCTGGCCTCAGGCGATCCTCCCACCTTAGCCTCCCAAAGTATTGAGATTACAGGTGTGAGCCACCACGCTTGGCTGGAATATTGTTTACTATAGCAGGTAGGTAGTTTATAGGTCCTAAATAGCACTTACAATTCAGAAAAGGGAAAACAGCAAATGCTGGAAGCCTTTTCTAATCCTCAGTGTTAACCTCATAGGAGTGGGAAAGAAAGAAGTCTGTGTATGGAAGTAAGTGATAATATTATTTCAGGAATACTCAGAAAGAAGATCCCTAGACTCCCTCAAAGTGAGGAAATCTGCAAAGAAGAAAAGAGAACAGCAAGAACAAGAAAAGACGACAGAAACAGAATTGTGAAGCAGTTTCCACCTACTTAGAAGTAAAACTGGAATTAAAGCATTAAATGAATTAGAACATTGCTACCCTTGAGCTTCCACTACATCAAACACCAGATAAAGATATCATTTAAAGGGTAAACTGATGTGATCTCAGAATTAATGAAAATCTTAAAGAATAGATCCTTGTTTTCATAAAGTATTCATTCAAAGGTGAGAGAAGGCTGTGGGAAAGATCACTTTCAATCCCAAAACTAATTACAAATGAAAGTCAATGTACTTCTTATTATGGAGGAAATCACTTCTTACTCAAGACCTAAGTGCCAGACTCACCGATCTTCTAAAACTTTAATGGTTTCATGAAGGACTTTCTGCTGTTCCCTCAGCTGTTGATTTTTGGTGAAGAATTCTTCTAGTCTTTGTGCATCTCTAAAGGTCAAAAAATAAATAAGTTTTTCAGATAAAAATACTCTTAACAGGATAATTCTAAGAGCTCCACCGTGTTTATATAACAAATTTCTTGTACCAAAACAAAACAACTGAAAAGGTCAGGTTGGAATATCTTGTAAATCACAGTTCAAATTATACCAGAATTTTCTCTGCAGAGCTCTTATATACCATAAAGTCATCATGCCACTATTGACTCAACTTTGTCAAAATAGCTATCAAAATGTACATTATTTTATTATTTTGCATATATTTATTAATGTAAATAGTATTTCTCTACTCACATCATCTCTTCAATTATGGGGAACTCATACTTTCTATTTTACTAATTTCTGTGTTGTTTAAAATTTTTACCTGGTCTTGCTTTTAAGTCAGAGCTTACAGTGAAGTGGACGAACGGGAACCCTACGCCCAGATGCAAAATGGGTTTGAGTCCAGCTCTTCATTTACCAGCTGTGTGACCTGATACAATTAACCTAAACTCTCTGTGCCTCACCAAGTGTAGATACATTAATATCTACTCCAAAAGGTCTGAGAAATAAGTATTAATGTATGTATTGGATACGGAACAGTGTGGCACACAGTAGGCTTTATGTTAAGTGTTTACCATTATGACTTTATAGTGAGAAAAAAAACTAACAAAGACAACCAGAATCTTCTTCTACTTAAACCTGATTACCTTCCAAAGTTGTCATATTTTACCCCTCTATCATTATTTTTAAAAATCACCTTATTATATAAAGTATTCACATATTTTAATTCTAAGAAAACCCATTAGAAATTTGATTAGGATTTTCTGTATAGTCTTGAAGCTGAAAATGTAATACTATGATTCAAACACCTTCTCCCAGTCCCTTGAAGGGTCTAAAATATCAAATCAATTAAGAGTGGCAAATCAGTCTGTCATAAAAAGTAGATGTCAAAATGATTGTGTCAAAGTGGCTAGAATATAGTGTCACTGGCACCAAAATAGATGAGTAAAACAACTAAGCCAAAATGTCAGGTATCAAATATAGAGGGAATTTCTTAAATATTTGTTGAAAAGTTTATATTAATTGAAAAACCAATACACGTAAGAGCAACACCTTCTGGCTATACAACAAATATAGTTATGGTAGCATGTAGGGACATCTGAGAACTTGAAAATAACAGAAAGTAATATATCATTGAAGCTTGTTAACCTGGCCATTTCTCATTTAACAAAAATAAATAAATAAATAAATAAATAAAATATTTCCTACTACTTCTAGAAAATATATTTAATTCAGAAGGAACACCAGGTTTTCACTGATCCTATTCAGCAAATACAACCAGATAACTTGTCTAAGCCTGGAGGTGTGATTAATCATGTCCTAAAACAGACTGCCAACATGTATTCAAATTTAATATTTAACTTAATCTGTATCATAAAATACAGTAAATATTACATTGAAAATTTACACACATTTGCCTTAAATAATCTGTATCATAAAATACAGTAAATATTAAATTGAAGATTTACACACACATTGAAGATTTACACACATATACATTTTCACTCTTAAGGAGTGAAAAGTTAATAGCAAAGGGTTTTTTCTTAAATGATGAACAGAACTCTGTAATAGTAGTGAGTTATCTGATTTTCCCATATTCATATATTCCATTACTGTTCTATTTAGAATAACGCAGAGCATGACAGTATTTGTCTTAAAGCTAAACTATTATGTAGATGAATAACCTAAGTTGAAGTTAAAACTAACTTCAATTACTTAATAAAATATTCAGGTCAAGAAAGTGGTAACATAAAGAGCATTTACTAATTGCAGAAATAATTTAACAAGGTCTTTAAAAAAGCAAATTGATGAATTCCAGACAGTGCAAAAAGAGTCATGCAATTTCAAAAACAGGGAAGTGTCTAATATATTAAAGACAGGTCTACCCTGGACCTCATCCAAAGGAAGAGTTATTACTACACCAATCACTAACTTCATTTCTAAAGCAAGCTCAATGCCATTAGCAGCATTTTACTAAAAACTCAGTATCATTTTCCTAATTGGTGGCCTTCTGTCTTTCTAAGGTAACTGAACATTTTAAATACAACTGGCATAAGAAGCTGGGTAAATCTTGTATTTGAAAATGTAACTGTAATAAAATAGATAACAAACCTTCCTGTCTCTTTTACATACCTATGCAGCACATTCAACAATTTTTTCATTACTTTTAAATCAAATGTCATATATGGGGGCTGGGGTGGGGGGATCTATAGGGAGGGATAGGAACTACTATGAATAAAATGGACAAAACATTATGTTCGAGTTATACCCTCTACAAAGAAACTTTGTGATAAGGAATCAAAAGCATGAAAACAGTGCTGCACAACTGGAAAATTTTTTTTGTCTTTACAATTCTTTAAATTTCTTAATTAAAATAATTTTAAAAGAAAACAAGAGTTTATCTGAAGGTGAATAGTCTATATTCCAGAATTTCTAAATTTCTCAGCAGCTAAAGAGAATTTTCTTAGTAAGTGTTACAAAGCTACTCTGCCATCTGTTTCAGATTCCTGAATGTGGAAGCTCTAGAGAATCATGAGTAAAATATGTTCCCGAACTTAAAAAATCAGATCTGATTTAGAACTTTATAAGCAAAACAATTCAGAGAATCTTCAAGTAATTTCAAACTACCTAAAAGGAGTCTTAAAATACCCATTTAGTTTCCATTCATATGAGTTTAGAAATCCCAGAATTATTCTGCTCCTCGTCTTGTAGCATGTTGAATTCCATGTGTTAATTATGGCTCAACAAAGAACTCCGCTGACAAATCAAAATGAGACTACAGATCAATTGTCATTTTAATACTTTATGGGAAAAGATTACATATGTAAGTTGTATTACAATATAAACATACATAATTAAGGCTACACTTAAAATTGCAAAATTATTCTTTTTACTTTAGAATTTGAAAAAAAAAACTGCTGCTGACTACCAAGGCCCATACTAAGTAGGGCTAATTTTTTTTATAAATAAGACATTAAGGTCAAATTGGACATCAGTATCAACTACTCTATGAATGTCAAATTGGACATCAGTATCAACTACTCTATAAATAACACATGAGTATTACATACTGATACTTACAAGATTCGTTCCTGTTTTAGCTTGGTTACTTTTACTTGTAAACCTGAAAAGTAAAAAGAAAAGGTATTACTTCTACAACAGTTCCTTTATGAGTCAAATGCTCCACTATTAAGTCACATCAGTCTGGCCTCTAAATAATAAACCAGGTCTCATTAGTTTACAGTATATGCCCCTTACGTGTACTCTGCAGTCACAAAAGCATATCTGCAATGTATTGCTTTTAGTCTATCATATGACAGTCAAATGGAATAACATTTTCCCCATCTAAAGTAAGTTATTACTTTTCTAATAGCAGGGCAAGCATATAATTAGAAGTTCACTGTAAATGAAGGTCTATGTTCTGACATAGCCTGTGTATTTGCTAACAGCAATGGTGTTTATGTAGGCACAAATCTTCTGGGATTAAACTAGACTGTGGTAGGAAGTCCTGGACTAGTAGCAAAATTCCTTATGGAAAAGTACCTAACAAAAGGCATGAATGTTTTATCTCAAGATATCTATTACATGAATTTTTAATTTTAATTAAGTCTGATACAAAACATAAGAGAAGACCACTGCCTATGGACTCAGGTAATTACTGAGAAGAAAGCAGACTGACAGGCATTGAAACTGCAAGGAAGGATATGGACAAAACAGGGTGACATTTCTAATTTTCATGAACAGTAATTAACAAAAGAAAAAAGTCACTGAACAAATATGAAAATACATACATCATCAGCAACTAAATATAAGTCAAACCAAAACAACTAGCAAAATTGTAAAAATTATAAAACCCAATATTGATTTAAAAATGTTATTTAATCGGCTGGGCACGGTGATTCATGCCTGTAATACCAGCACCTTGGGAGGCCAAGGTGGGCAGATCACCCGAGGTCAAGAGTTCCGAGACCAGCCCGATCAACGTGGAGAAACCCCGTCTCTAATAAAAAGACAAAATTAGCCGGGTGTGGTGGCACATGCTTGTAACCCTAGCTACTCGGGAGGCTGGGGAGAATCGCTTGAACCCGGGAGGCAGAGGCTGCGGTGAGCTGAGATCCCGCCATTGCACTCCAGCGTGGGCAACAAGAGCGAAACTCCGTCTGAAAAAATAAAATAAAATAAAATAAAACAAAACAAAATAAAATAAAATGAAGTTATTTAATCAAATATTAAAATAGTAAAAAACTAGAAAATTTTTTCTGTTGAATATTGCTGTGCCCTCTATTTTCTCTATGCTCCCCATTTTCTGCAATGTGATTAACATAAAGGGGAAAAAAGCCCTCAATATTTACTCTTTAATTTCTCAATCAGTGCTTTTACTATTCTACAATTTACCCAATTATAGATCTACTCAAGAATTTTTATTTGGTGGCAGTTAGTTACCAATAAATAATTACTAGTTGACTGATTTCCGAAGAACCCAAGAATATTTACTATATGCCTTTGGTAGTTCACAGATTCTATCAAGTTATAAATCAGAAAAGTTTTTCATATATGTGTATAGAAACATTAATATATTTATCATTCCTAAGAACATAATTTTTCTTTATTTGTTAAACTTGATACAATCTTTTGGACAACATAATTTAGACAAATACAAATTTTAAAAACAAACCTATACATTTCCCAACCATGGTCACATAGACACTAAAGAAGAAGTCATCTCTTCTTATTGCCCTCCATAGTAATGATTTATTGCCAGGAAATCCATATACTGTGGAAAAATAAAGGCCCTGGAGAATTTTTTGGATGTTACATTTTTTCCTTATGTCTCAAATTTCACCTTTAGAAAATGTCCAACTGATATGACACATTTTATCTTCGATTCTATGCTCTATAATTTGAATAAATAAAATGTTATAAATAAGATGGTGAAAAAAATGTTACAGATAAACCTGTATTGAATGTTCACAGCAGTCTTAGCCAAACATTAGAAACAACCCAAACATCCTTCAATAAGTGAGTTGTTTAAAAAACCAAAACCTGTGGTGCATCCATGCACATGTTTTCCCTTCTCAAAAATGTGCGAAATTTTACTTGACAGATTTTTTTTTTGTTTTTAATTTTGGCTGACTTCTAACAATCAGTTCTGCCTTTAAAAGTGAAAAGTGCAGCCAAAGATGAAATGGATTCTTGCCACAAACCATTTTAAGAAAAGAAACAATGAGACAGAAAATCCATATAAACTTCAAAAGAAAATCCTTGGGAAACAGGGGAAGAACTACTCTTTTATCTGGTAAGCATTCAACACCTGTGAGGCATTTGTTCTGTCACGTAGATCACCCTGAAACAGGTTTATATGTGTATATGTGTGTGTGTTTAAATTTTAGCATTTGCTATTCACCAAGTCAATTAGGAATCTACAATTAGAACCCCTATAAAGTGTGCTTTAATCCTGCTCCACACCCATCGGAAGGAATGAGGCTATACAACAATGTAGCTCCTGTATGAACAGGTAATCTGTTGAACAAAGTATCTGGGATTGTAACACTGGCAACCTAAGATACCTATTGAGGAAACAGTGTTCACAAGACCAAGCACTGTGCTACAATTAACCTTACACACACTCATACATAAATTTTGGAGGAAATGAAACAATCAAGGGCCTGTATATTGTAATACACAAAGCAAATTTAAGAGTTCAGAAATGAGGCAAGAATTCCTTATGCATTAACAAAAATCACTGCTATGTTCTTATTTTAGTTCTTTACCCAGACCAAACCATATATATATATAAAATGTATGTACTGTCATTTTAAACAAGTTATTTATGGTTCTGAATTATAAATAATACCCCTAACATCACTTTCTTGACAAACAGTGGGGGCTTTATATACAAATGAAGTAATTAAACTTCAACCAAAACTACTACTGCTAGCATTTCTATAATTGCCTAACAAATTATTTAAATTCCAAAGCCATACTTAAGCTGTGCTCACTTTGCTTAAGATTGAATTATCTCAAAATGGGTAAATTAATTTTTGTGGATTTTATTATTTACAGATGTGAATGCAAATAAAAAATAAAAGGTGTGAGAGTTACTGATAATAATAATAATATTATTATTATTTTTGAGACAGGATTTCTGTCACCCAGGCTGGGGTGCAGTGGTGCAATCACGGCTCACTGTAGCCTTGACTTACCAGGCCCAAGCGATCCTCCTGCCTCAACCTCTCAAGTAGCTGGGACCACAGGCACACACCACCATGCCTAGCTAATTAAAAAAATGTTTTTTGTAGAGACAGGGTCTCGCTTTGTTGTCCAGGCTGGTCTCAGACTCCCGGACTCAAGTAATCCTCCTGCCTTGGCCTCCCAAGTGTGTGCCACTGTGCCCAGCCTGACAGCATTCTTAATAATGAGTGGGACAATTCCTTTCACTGTTAATTTGTGCAGTCTTAAGATAATGTTCTCTTTTTAGAATTTTTGATTCTATGTATAGAAAATAAATGGAGCAATTAAAAAATGAATCAAGAAATATTTATCCTGTCCTATTAGAGCCCCCAAACTTTCCCATTTCTTCAAGGTGTTTCAACTTTGCCTCACAAAACCTACCTAGTTTTCTTTGAAACTGATTACCATATTTACTAGACACAGAAAATATATTAGCTAGATGTTAATAGCAGACGCTGGCATAGGCAAAAGATCATTTATTAAAATAGTGGTATTCTGAAAATAAATATTTTAAATTCTATTTTATTATTTGTGCTTTTGATAATAAACTTGATACTGAAAAAGATTTTTAAAGGCAATAAAATTTTGTACCCAAATAAATATGCTTTAAAACTTTTGAAATTTAAAGAATTCTGAAGTTTCCATTAAATTCTGTGAGTTCGGAATTTAAAGCATAAACACTGTATATCATCAGTAACAATCTGTGACACTGATACTAGCAGCATTTGTCACAAAAGGAACATATCATGAAATGATACAATCATGAAAGGATAAAATTATCTTAAAGGATATAAAAACTCGGTCATAAATGTCTCCAGAATTTTTCAACAAAAATGGTCTGGTTTGCATATTGCTAGTCTCCAACAGAAATTAGAGCATTTTGTCTATTCTTGCCTAGTTTTAAAAGACATGGATGCAGTTTATTATATTGTTGTGATCAGTGCACATACTGTCATATTTTGCTATCATTTTATTATGTTTTGGCAAAAGAGGCAAAAATAATTCTAAACACGTGTAGCAGAGCATTCAGATTCAAGCAAGTTCCTATGGGTACATTTCTGTAGCTAAGTAAAAACTATATATCTCAAATATTACCATTCCCAACATTTCTCTTTTATTTTTTACTGACATGAAGCTTTAAAAGTCATGAGTCAATTTTGATTCCTATATATACCTTAAAACCTGCAAAGTCCAGACAAGTCCATGTTTGATGTCTTTCAAACAGCTTCTTACACTGGTTTCTACAAATGGATTCCCCACCTCCTTAAAAAAATTAAGTTCCCTTCAGGCATGTCTTTGATGTTATCATATAGAGACTCTAATTTTATATGGAACTATGTGGAACATATTGACGAAGGCATGGCCCAAACCAAAATGTTTTAAAATGACATATCTACTTAAAAAATAGTACTTATTCATTTAATACCTTTAAGAATCCATAAGTTATTTGAAATTGGGAAAGTGGCATGATCAATATAACGTACCAAAGATTATCTTCTCTTATGAGCTCATATATCCAATACCTAATATTCATAAAACACATGGACCTTATCATATACACCAACAATTACTGTATTCCTCCCTTAAAGTTATTCAGAGTATAGAAACTTTTGTGGGAATGTGATTAGAACATAACCATGAGGAGTACACTTTAAAGGAATTATCTACTACATAATATTTGCAAGCTTTATATATTCTATAATTTGATAAATATGGCATATTGTTCCTATTAAAGAGTATACCATTTGTTTCTTGATGCTTCCTCACTGTAAAATAGGGATTTCATGAAGATCCTGTAACACCAAAGAATAGGAAGAAGAAATCTGTCAAATATTTTATTTCTATTAAATTAATAGCTTATAAATAGCCAGGCACAGTGGCTCCTGCCTGTAATCCTAGCACTTTGGGAGGCCGAGATGGGCGGCTTGCTTGAGGTCAGCAATTCAAGACCAGCCTGGCCAACATGGTGAAACCTCATCTCTACTAAAAATACAAAAATTAGCCAGGAGTGGTGGTGCGTGCCTGTAGTCCCAGCTACTTGCGGGGCTGAGCCAGGAGAACTGCTTCAACCTGGGAGGCAGAGGTTGCAGTGAGCTGCGATCATGCCACTGCACTCCAGCCTGGGTGACAGAGTGAGACTCTGTTTCAAAACATAAAAAACAAAAATAGAAATCAAGAGTTTCAAGAAAGTTGCAGAATATAAAATCAACTCACTAAAACCAGTTGTATTTCTATACACTAACAATGAACAATCTGAAAAGCAAATTAAAAAAACAATTCTATTTACAGTAGCATCAAAAGAATAAAATACTTAAGAATACATTTCACCAAGGAGACAAAAAACTTGTACAATGACAATCAGAAAATGTTGCTGAAAGAAATTATAGAATGACCAGGTGTGGTGGCTCACACCTGTAATCCTAGCACTTTTGGAGGCCAATGAGGTCAGAGGACTGCTTGAGCCCAGGAGTTGAGACTAGCCTGGGCAACAAAATGAGATCCCTGTCTCTATAAAAAAATAAATTAGCCAGGTTCGGTGGTGCATGCCTGTAGTCCTAGCTACTCTGAAGGTGGAAGCGGAAGGATTGCCTGCACCCTGGAATTTGAGGCTACGGCGAACCATGATTGTGCCACTGCACTCAAGCCTGGGCAATGAGGCAAGACCTCATCTCTAAAAATTAGTAATTAAAAATTAAAAAATCTTAAAAAGAAATATAGACCGGGCGCAGTGGCTCACGCCTGTAATCCCAGCACTTTGGGAGGCTGAGGCGGGCGGATCACGAGGTCGGGAGATCGACACCATCCTGGCTAACACAGTGAAACCCCGTCTCTACTAAAAATACAAAAAATTAGCCGGGCGTGGTGGCGGGTGCTTGTAGTCCCAGCTAGTCAGGAGGCTGAGGCAGGAGAATGGCATGAATCCAGGAGGTGGAGCTTGCAGTGAGCCGAGATCGCGCCACTGCACTCCAGCCTGGGCTACAGAGCAAGACTCTGTCTCAAAAAAAAAAAAAAAAAAGAAATATAGAAGACACTAATAGAAAGGTATCCCGTGTTCATGGACTACAAAACAATATTGTTAAGATGTCAATACTATATAAAGCAATCTACAGATTCAATGCATTACCTATCAAAATCCCAAATCCCAAAATCCCAACATTTTTTGCAGAAATAGAGAAATCTGTCCTAAAGTCAAGGCAAGATGACAATCTCTTCAGCATAGCACATACCATTTTACATAATTTGGATCTATGTACATTTCTAGCATCATATCCTATCCACCTCCCCCAAAACTCCAATCTCCCATTCCATTTCCTCTTAGAACTAAACCTAACTATCCAGAGTTCCTTGAATAAAATCAAGCTCTTATCTGCAAACTTTTGCATGTGCTATTCTCTCTACTCAGAAAATTCCCTCCCCTTCCACCATCTTCCTTGCCTGGCTAATTAGACTTAATTATCAAGCCTGGTCTGACATAAACCATGCACAAACCCACTTCCCCATGCAACCACACACACCCTCAGTTCTTCCTTCATGTTTTCAGATAATAACATAGTATACTGCATTAAAATTCTAGACTAGAAATTCCCTTAAAGCTAGCACTATATAGGATTTATTCTTATTCACAAGGTCTGGCACATAGTAAGTGCCCAAAAAACATTTCTTGAACATTTCTTTGTGTCTCCATGAACACTGGGGCTTGAAAGAATACTTTTGGGGTTGTTCATATTTCAAAACTCATTAATTAATAAGGGTGTCACCAGAAGTTTTGCAAGAAACTAAACTTACCATGGGAAAGTTCTTTTTTTTTTTGAGACGGAGTTTCGCTCTTGTTGCCCAGGGTGGAGTGCAATAGCGTGATCTCAGCTCACTGCAACCTCCGCCTCCTGGGTTCAAACGATTCTCCTGGGTTCAAGCGATTCTCCTGCCTCAGCCTTCCTGAGTAGCGGGGATTACAGGTGCGCACCACCACACCCGGCTAATTTTGTATTTTTAGTAGAGACAGGGTTTCTCTATGTTGGTCAGGCTGGTCTCGAACTCCTGACCTCAGGTGATCCGCCCACCTTGGCCTCCCAAAGCACTGGGATTACAGGCGTGAGCCACCGTGCCCAGCCTACCATAAGAAAGTTCTAATACAGACTCACATACTACACTTTAGATTCAGGTTGATTATGTTTTAATAGTACTCCAGTGTAATGATACAGCTATAAAGCACTGCAATATTAAACTTATAATAGGTAATCAAGAAACAAATGTAATATGAAGCATTTCTCATACATAGGGACATAGGGAAAGTTACAGAATTAAAGTATATTAAAATTTAATATTAAAACCTTGAGCTTAGCTTCATATGGTGTATCTTTTAACACAAATAATATTTACTCATCTCAACCACAATTGCTTAATCCTCTAAAACTCCTTGCACGTCATAAAAACCTTTTAACTGTTATTTCACTGTACTGTAATTATCTGTTTACACGACTCTACTAAGACTGCAGGCTGTCTGAAGGTAAGTGGCCATTCACTTTTGTATTTCAGTGCTACGGGTTTGTCAAATGACTTTATGTAGTATTTTTATGTCTATATCCTGCAAAGAATTTTATAGAAGAAAATTAAATTTAGAGGTTAGGTAATTAGGCTAAGATCACAGAGCAAGTGGGTAAATGAAATCAGAATTCAAATGCAGGTCTTCAGTCAACAAATTGTATACGTTTTCCACTATCTCATACATATTACCACAAGTAAATAACAGCAAGTTGTATACAAACTATGTTCTGTGGTTAAAAAGCACCAATTTGACCATAAAAATGAATCACAAAAACTACAATTGTAAATGTCCTCTAAAAATGAGATCTGGCTGGGCGCAGCTCACGCCTGTAATCCTAGCTGTTTGGGAGGCCAAGGCGGGAGATCACCTGAACTCAGGAGTTTGAGACCAGCCTGGGCAACATAGCGAAACCCTGACTCCACAAAAAATACAAAAACTAGCTAGGTGTTCTAAGGTGAAGGATAAGTTTAAAAAAAACAAAAACAAAAACAAACTAGCTGGGCATGGTGCGTGCGCCTGTAGTCCCAACTACTTGGGAGGATGAGGTGGGACAATCACTTGGGCCCGAGAGTTTGACACTATAGTGAGCCATGTTTGCACCACTGCACTCCAGCATGGGTGACAAAGCAAGACCCTGTCTCAAAAAGAAAAAGAAAAAAAGATCAGCTGGGCACAGCAGCGGACACCTGTAATCCTAGCACTTTGGGAGGCTGAGGCCAGTGGACTGCTTGAGCCCAGAAGTTCAAGACCAGCCTGGGCAAAAAGGCAAAACTCTGTCTCTACAAAAAATACATAAAATTAGCTGGGCGTGGTGGTGCACACCTGTAGTCCCAGGTACCCAGGAGGCTAAGGTGGGAGGAACACCTGAGCCTGGGAGGTTAAAGCTGCAGTGAGCTGTGACCATACCACTGCACTCCAGCCTGGGCAACGGAGTGAGAACCTCTCTGAAAATTAATTAGTAAATAAATAAATACATGAATATATAAATAAATAAATAAATAATGAGATCTTTGGGCCAGGCGCAGTGGCTCACGTCTGTAATCCCACCACTTTGGGAGGCAGAGACAGAAGGATCACTTGAGGCCAGGAGTTCAAGACCAGCCTGGGCAACATAGTGAGACCCTGACTCTACAAAAAATAAAAAATTAGCCAGGCATGGCAGCGTGTGCCTATGGTCCCAACTACAGGAGGGAGGCTCACTTGAGAATGGGAGGTTGAAGCTGCAGTGAGCTGTGATCACACCACTACACCCCAGCCTGGTGACACAGTGAG
The DNA here is from genome assembly GCF_000001405.40 of Homo sapiens. Classification (NCBI taxonomy): domain Eukaryota; kingdom Metazoa; phylum Chordata; class Mammalia; order Primates; family Hominidae; genus Homo; species Homo sapiens. The sequence goes on along the minus strand of NC_000018.10, from coordinate 22,937,518 downwards.
ACCCTGTCTCAAAAAAAATAAAAAAAAAAAAAAGATATCTTTGAATTTAAAGATGGCCATTAAATGTACAAAATTCAACAGTGGACTGAATTAAAAAAAAGTATATATACATCATGGAATACAATGAAGCCATAAAAAAGAACAAAATTATTTTCTTTGCAGCAACATGGATGCAGATGAAGCCATTACCCTGAGCAGACAACAGAAATACTGCATGTTCTCATTTATAAGTGGGAGCTACACATTTAGTACACATGGACACAAAGAGGGGAACAACAGGTACTGGGACCTACATGAGGGTGGAGGGTCAGGGGGGTGGGAAGAGGGTGGGGATTGAAAAACTACCTATGGGGTACCATGCTCACTACCTGGGTGATGAAATCATTTGCACACCAAACCCCAGCAACATGCAATCTATCCATGTACCAAATCTGCACATGTACCCCCGGAACCTAAAAGCTGAAATAGAAATAATAAACAGGACTGTCATACAAAGGTATACAAAGCCACTACAGTCTCAACAAAATACTGCTGTAAGTATTTAAGAAAAGATTTTACCTTGTACTTCTCTATCATGACATTCTTTTAGTTTTGTCCAAAGGTCCTTAAAGTCACTAGATGTATCTGCAGAGTTAGGGCTTCCACAGCTGCTTCCCGAGATGTTCATCTTGCTTAATATGCTCCACACTTCTACTTGCTTAATATTTTCTGACCTTTTCTGTTACATTATAGAGGTATCAAGTCGTCTTTGGACAGGTCAAATACCTGAAATGACAGATTGCAACATAAATGAACTTTGCATTTATCTTTATGTACTTTGAAATCAGGATGAAACACAAGCCCAGATATCCTCATTTACCATTTCCTTATTTACCTATAATCAATCATTTTTAGAATTTGGGAGGGGAAGGAAAGAATAAGGAAAGATGATAATGGTGAGAAAAGTTCTGATTTCAGTTATTTGGCTATATGAGGTAAATTTTCAGGCAAATTTTCTTATTTCTCTTAGAGGAAGAAATTATCTCAATTATATTAAACAGAAAGGATTCAGATATTGAGGGGTTTTTATCATTCATGGTCAGTATTAATTTACCACTATAGACTAATGTATTGTTTTGGCTGGGGGAGATGGCTCTTGCCTGTAATCCTAGCTCTTTGGGAGGCTGAGGTGGGCAGATCACTTGAGGCCAGGAGTTTGAGATCAGCCTGGCCACCATGGTGAAACCCCATCTTTACTAAAAATACAAAAATTTGCCAGGTGTGGTAGTGCGTGCCTGTGGCCCCAGCTACTCAGGAGGTTGAGGCAGGAGAATTGCCTGAAACTGGGAGGCGGAATTTGCAGTGAGCGGAGATCGTGCCACTGCATTCCAGCCTGAGCGACAGAGACCCTGTCTCAATTAAAAAAAAAAATTGGTTTTTTTAACTTTTGAATTGGTGAAACATACTGAGCCCAAAACTGAAAAATATTCTTAGTCTTGACTTAACAAGCATCCACATATATACACATATCTATATATATTTTATAAAAGAGACAGTTGACTGATGTATTAACACAGATGAGGATCTGTATAACTTTCCAAAAACAAGAGAAGTCAGTAAGATTTAAACACAGCAAAGATCTATGAATACAGAAACATCTTAGAGTCATAAGACAATTAGGGTAATGTTACTTCATGCCTCTCTTAGAATAAAGGTGAATCATTAAGTTTATTACATAGTCCTTGAAGAAACCAACAGGTTAAGAAGTTTGAATGGATTAGTAAATATTTTAATATGTGTTCTTAAAATGAAACCATTAATTAGCTACAACTTAAAAAGTAATAGTGATCAGCAAGTCTACTAAACCTCACATCTGGCTCCTTAGCCAAAGCAAACTGATTGTTTCCTGCTAACCATTTCCTGAGGTCTCTGACAAAGGGGCTGAAAGAGTAATTCTGAAGGGAGCAGGAGTATATGTGAAGCCACTTGGTGAACCGTCAAGAGCTACAAAAATAAACTATCAAGCTTTGCAAAAATTGTGATTAGACTTTTAAAAAATAATCCAGAAACTAAATATGAGCTGGATTTTAGATATTAGGAAATTATTAATTTTCTTGGGTATGATAATGATGCGGTTTTGTTTGTTTTTTTTTTAGAAAGGCCTTATCTGTTAAAGGGATATTTACCGAGATATTTACAGGTAAAGGGATATACTCTGCGATTTGCTTGAAAAAAAAAAAATCCAGCAAAAACAAACAAAAATGGATGTTGGGTGAAGAGATGAAACAAGGGCTGAACTTCAACAATTTCTGAAGCTGGGTGGGTGCGTATACAATGGGGTTCATAATTCCAGTATTTCTCTTGTGTACATTTATTTCTGTAAAAAAGTTTTTAAAAGTAGAATTAGGTGCACTGCATTAGTTTTGTTACCAAAGAGGTTTTTATTCTATCTTTAACTCTAACAGATAAACAAATGGGCCTATATATAATTGTGAATAAAAGTCACCATTTGTTTCCCACATACCAGAAACTATAGAATATTAATATTAATATTTGTATTTATATATTATTTAATATATAATTATATATTATAGAATATTTATATTCTACCTAACCTTCAGAAAAACTCTGTAAGACAGCTACTATAATTTCATTTTAGAGTTGGGGGAAGAGGCGTAAGGCAGTAAATGTCCAAGGTCACACAGCTGGGACATGGCTATGTCAGGGATGGAAATCAAGTCATGAGACCAATAACTGTAAAATACCTCTCTGTAGCCCGCATGTTCTCAATCATAGGTGGGAACTGAACAATGAGAACACCTGGACACAGGAAGGGGAACGTCACACACCGGGGCCTGCCGTGGGGTGGGGGGAGGGATAGGATTAGGAGATATACCTAAAGTAAATGACGAGTTAATGGGTGCAGCACACCAACATGGCACATGTATGCATATGTAACAAACCTGCACGTCGTGCATATGTACCCTAGAACTTAAAGTATAAAAAATAATAATAAAATAAAGAAAAAATACCTCTCTGCAGCAAAAAGAAAAAAAAAGAAGACATAAACGATTTCTATTAAGTCAACAGTTTAAAATGAAGGTTTAATTACTTCAATGACCGAAAAAGTATTAACATATTCGTTTAAAGAGTGTAAAATAAGCATCCTTTACGTATCTATCTTCAAGTAAGTGATGTACAGTGCCTTAAAAACAAAACATAAAAACAAAACATTCAACTTGCAAATTCTGGCTCGCAAAACCCTTTCCACCTACCCGCATGCCCGGCACTTTTTGTTAGCATCTCTCTCTGCAATGAACCGTTATTCGAGGCACGACGACAATGTACATTTTTCAATCTCTCAGAACGTCACGTCTTACCTCCCAAGTTGCATTCTGGGCTCAAAGGCCTGTAATTTGTGTGTATTCCTTAGTATAAACCACTACACTGCAGGTGCTCACCAAAATACTCGCTGCCACACCACAGGTATTCTCACACGGGTAAGGCGAGAGGCACATTTCATCACACAGGGGACTTGAACAAACTGCACGGGACATTTCAGGGGTCCTCTTATGGGCGGAGCAGAGCAGCGGGGCAAAGGCTTTCCAGCCAGGTCCCTTCTCCATCCATTTCTCCCCAGGTGCCCGCGCCGGTTCCGCGTGCGGGTCTGGCCAAAAAACCTCCGAAGCGCGCGCGCGAGCCGCAGTCGGCGCATGCGCGGGGCGGGCTTGGCGGCGAAAGGCGCTTCCTCAGCCCGCGCGGGAGACCCAGAAGTAGTACTGAGGTAGCGCTCGTCCTCCCGCCGGTCCACCACCACCGAGTGTAGCCCGGGCCCGGCCTATTTCATCAGACACAACCCCAGAGCCGGGAGCCACCCCTACCCCGGGAGCCCTTCGCCAAGCACGCAGCTCCAGACCAGAAGCAGTCGCTCCGACCCAGAGCTCCGGGTGGGGTAAAGAGATTGCTTTTACTCACCGCCTCCGAGATTGCCTCGGGATTCGCGAAAGCCCCCGAAGGGAAGCGAGCACTTTCTGAGGCTGTGAAAGGACGGCTGCTCGCTTTTCTCTTTCGCCCTTTTCCCTCACCAGAGTGCCAAATCCTCGGTGGGAAAGCCGACCCCTCCGGACAGCCCGCGCTTTAAGGCCGGGGGCTGCCGGCCGGGCTCGGAGGCGGCCGGACCCGCCCCGCCCGGGAGCCCGCGCGACGTCACGCGGGAGTTCCACTTGCGTCACGCCCCTTCCTCCAGCTGCCCATCGCGGCGGCGCACTTCGTGCCCTAGCTGAGGAGCGGGCTCTTCGGTGCGGCCCATCCCGGAGGGCGATGGTTGGGGAGGGGAGCGCTACCTCGGAGCTGCCGGGAGCTACCCGAAGAGTCTGGCGACCGCCACAGCATTTCTGAATTGCGCTGGGGAAAGCTCAAGCCGTTCTGTTGGGGGAGCATCAAGCCCTTGCGGTTCTGTGAAAGTTATCTGTACACTGTGTCTAGCTTAAGCATTTTGCAGGGAAGCATGTGTAGAGTGACCTGTACCGAATGAAGAGTTAAAATTAACTGATGGGGGGTATGGACGCGGATCCGTCTAACATAGTTTTCGGCCTTGTCGCTGTTATCTGCAGTTTAGTGATGTGACCTGACAGGGTTGTGCGGTAACGCCATAGATCAAAACGATCTGTATTTTGCTGAGGTTAAACGGGAAGTTTCTGGCAAATTTGAAACGAGAAGGAATCTCCTTCAGCATTATTTATTGGGACAACATGCTGTTAGATAATTTTTTTTAAAAAGTCCATTTTTCTTGTGGCTGTTCGTTTGAGATTCAAACCGATAGTAGGTATTCCTATTTCTCCTGATTTGTAAAAGAATCGTTTTTAGACCACTAGAAATTCTACAAATGAACAAAATAGACTAGAATCAAATATCTTTTAAACCAGTCCAGTACTTTTGTGTAATTATTCTAAGACCTGGGAAGGGATAATATTAACAGGCTTTAAAAGTTTAGTACTTAGAAATCATAAATACAAAGTGGAAAGGTAATTTTTCCACCTGTCCCACATCTTAAGGGATGAATAAATATAACTTAAAAAGTTAGTATACAGAAGAGGGGTGCTAAACCTTCTATTAGCCTGTTACAGCAACTATCATTCACTTCCCCATTTTATAAGACTTAACTCCACATTTTTAAAAGAAAATGGATGAAATTTTGACTATGTAATTTTTAACGCAAGATAGGAAACATAATTGACAGAGTGAAGCTTTTATGTTTATGACAGAAATAACCTGTAATAAGTTTGTCATTTAACAGAGTATTGAAAGAGCAGTGTGCTGTGGTCTCTACTGTGGTCCAAAGAAAAACTGAGCAGAATGACCCAACCTGTTCCTATGGCCTCTGCCTGTGTCTCACTCTCTAATCCATTTATGCAAGTCAGAAACCAAAGAGTCATCCTTGACACTTTATTCATCCCTAACTTCCATATCCAAGCCATCACGCAGTCCAATTTTACTTACTAAACATGTAAATCCATCCCCTTCTCTCCATCACTACCTCCATAATCCAAGATACTGTTATTTCTTACCTAGTCTACTGCTAGGCTCCTTTCCACATCCACGCTACCAACCACCCCTCCTAAATCTTTGTTTTCACTGGTGTTCAGAAAAAAATTTGAACTTCTATTCTCCATATATATATTTAATTTTAAATTACATACATGTACTGTTGAAAAATGGTACATGATCTAATGAAGTTACAGGCTCTGAAGTCAGACATCTGGGTTTAAATCCTGCTCTAATACTTCCTTACTGAGTGACTTTGGACTGACTGCTTAAGCTCGCTGTCCCATTTTACCTACCTGTAAATTGAGGATAATAATAGTACCAACCTCACAGGGTATTAAGATTAAATGAATATATGTAAACTGCTTAGTATTCAGATATATACTATGTGCCCAAAAGCTAGCCATAATTAGTATTTCTTAGCTAATATGATTATAATCCATTTTAAAAGCATTTTTAAAGGATAAAAAATAGAATAAAAATACATCTTCCCTCCTCCACCTTAAATTGTGTCTACTTTGAGACCACTTCTCTATACTGCAGCTACTGTGATCTTGAAAAGTAAATCTGTTAATGTCACTATGCTGCTTAAACCCTTTCAGTGGCTTCCAGTTACTCTGTGAAGGAAGCCCCTTTGAATTGCCTCTGCTACCCCTTTGGCTTTATTTCCAGACATTTTCTGTCCTCTGGTCTCACTAGACTTTTGATGTCTCCTAGGCCATTGCGTGCTATTGTCTCTGCCTGGAGTTCTCCACCAAACCTACCCCCACTCTTTGCCCCAGCTATCTACTAATCATGTTTTTATCTTATTTCAATAGTCTCTTCTACTAGATCCTCCTACAGTACCATGTAACCTCCCCATCTTACAGTTTTTATTGTTTTAGTTATTTAATTAATTCTGTCTCCCCACTGGACTGTAAATTTCTTGAGATAAAAAACCACGTCTTGGGCCAGACTTTGGGTGGCTGAGGCAAGAGGATCACTTGAGGCCAGGAGTTCAAGATGAGCTTGGGCAACATAGTGAAATCTTGTCTCCTATTCTAAAAATCAAACCAAAATAGCTGGACACAGTGGTTCGTGCCTCTAGTTCTAGTTACTGTGGAGGCTGAGGTGGGAGGATTGCTTGAGCCCAGGAGTTCAAGGCTGCAGTGAACTATGATTGTGCCACTGTACTCCAGCCTAGGTGACAGAGCGAGAGACCCTGTCTTAAAATTAAAAAAATAAAAAATAAAAAAGGTTTGTTCACCCTTTTATCTCCAGGAACTAGCCCAGTGTCTGCCACCAAATCAATATTCTATGAATGAATGAAATGGGCATTCCCTGGTGGATCCCATTTCTATGTAAATGGAAACCTTTGGGTACATTCAAAATTCTTAGATTTTTAAATGAGATTTTATATGGCCACTTTAACAATGGAAATGGCGGGCATCCTCATAGATAGGTTCTAAAGCTTTAAGAACCACATGGAATAAATTTTGAGGTTCCAAAGATCTGCTGAAAAAACATCTTTAACAGAGAAGCAGTTATTTTGAACTCTTCATAATACTGGGTTTCTCATATGTTGTGGCTTAGGACAGTACTTCCCAAACTTTTTCAATTTCAGCATGCTTAGAAAATGAACACTTGTGTTATATATTGTAATGAAAAGATGAGGCTGCTTCCATCCAGTGGCAACAGAAGTTGAGACTAGTCACCTCAGGCCCAGTGCTGCCACCTTCAGGGCTAGGTTTTTAATGTCCCAGCACACCTATTGGAGGCCCCTGGCTAGAATGCTGAATTTAAATAAACTAGTGAAATAGTTAAAATGGTAAGTTTACATTATGTATATCTAGGCACCAATTTAAAATAAATTGTGTGATAGCAGTACAGACTCTAGGATTCTTAAAAGTAAAGTTTTGGAACTCACGTAGATTTAAAAGTCATCTAACTCAAGCCATTTACAAATGAAATCCTGTAGATTCTAGAATCTATGCTTAACTCCTGCAGCTGGGTAGTTGAGTGTTGTGAAGGGAAAATGACGTATCACGTTAGACTGATATCACTAAAGTCATATGGTTTCAAACTTCATGCAGGGCATCAGTTAATCCTTAAAATAGCCTTTGTTCAGCTCTTTTTATTTTCTCTGCTGTCTTCCAGACCTTTACTATTTTCAGTCCTCAAGCCTCTGAAGCTATTTTCACTCTAGGTGGACAACCTGGCCTCCTGATTAAACAAGACAATTGAGCTCCACAAGTGTGATCTTCCTAAACTTGCTTTTTTCTTTCTCAACCCTACGAATTAGGCAAAACCATTTGCAGTTAAAAATACAACCTGAGGCCAGATAGGGTGGCTCATATCTGTAACCTCAACGCTGTGGGAGGCCCGCGGGAGGCTCACTTGAGATTTGAGAAACTGCAGTATAGGCTGAATGACAGCCAGAACCTGTCTCTTAAACACACACACATACACACACACACACACACACACACACACCCGCCTGTCTCTTCACACACACACACACACACACACACACACACACACACACACACACCTGCCCAAACAATCCAGTTGCTTCTCACCTTTGTGTCCACCCTGGTTCAAGCTACCATCAACCTCTTCTACGGCAATATCCTCCTTTAAAAAAAAAAAAAAATCTGTTATCCACTCTGTTCTCCATTACAGTATATTCTCCAACAGCAGTCTGAGAGGTTCTTTAAAATCTATCAGAAAATCACACTCCCTGCTTAAAGCATTTCAGGGTCTTCCCATCACCCTAGAATAAAATCCAAACTCCTTTCCATGGTGTCAGGACGAGTCAGGCACTATATTCTGCTGATGATACCTCTTAAATATAATTTTGAATTAGTGCTTTCCTTTCCAACCTCACTTATTGCCCTAGTTGAGGCCCTGATGTTTCTTACCTAGGCAACAGCCTCCCTGCTTCCAGTCTTGTTCACCTTAATTCAGTCTCACAGCTGCCCAACATCTAAACCATTATTTCTGATCCTGGCATTCCTTTGCTTAAAACTCTTCAAAAGACTGTTGCCAGACTGGTGCGGTAGCTTACGCCTATAATCCCTGCACTTTGGGAGGCCGAGGTGGTTGGATCACTTGAGGTCAGGAGTTTGAGACCAGCTTGGCCAACATGGTGAAACCCTGTTTCTACTAAAAATACAAAAATTAGATGGGCATGGTGGCAGGCACCTGTAATCCCAGCTACTCGGGAGGCTGAGGGAGGTGAATCACTTGAACCCAGGAGGCGGAGGTTGTGGTGAGCCAAGATCACACCCCTGCACTCCAGCATGGGCGACAAAGCGAGACTGTGTCTCAAAAAAAAAAAAGAAAAAAAGGCTATTGCCTAAAGGTTAAAAATCAGTTTCTTTAAAATGTCACACAAGCTCTTATCCTTGCACAGTCTCTGCTGTACCCCTTGCTCTTTCCCTCTTTCAACAGGAAACTGCTTTTATTCCTCTCTCCTTCCCTTGGCTGTGTCTTACTCTTGGCTCATACAATGTTTTTCTCTTGGAATTACTTTCACCCCCATTTGTTACACTTCATCTTTCTTATTCTTTTAAGTCTCAGCTCAGGCACTACCTCTTTCAGGCGACTAACCTAACATCTCTCTTCATCCTTCCTTTCTATACCCTTTCACAAATGGCCTTCCTCATTCTCCCATGCCCTCAATATATATCTTTATCATTGCACTTAACACCATTATATTGTAATTATTTTTGTGTTTTTAATCTTCAGCTGGGCTCCTTGATGTCAGACTGTGCTTTCTTTATTCTTCTGTTTTCCTACTTTTTTTTTTTTTTGGAGACAAAGTCTTACTCTGTCCCCCAGGCTGGAGTGCAGTGGCGCGATCTCAGCTTATGATAGCCTTCACCCTCCAGATTCAAGCAATCCTCATGCCTCAGTCTCCCGAGTAGCTGGGATTACAGGCACCTGCCTAGCTAATTATTGTGTCTTTAGTAGAGACGGAGTTTTGCCATGTTGGCCAGGCTAGTCTCAAACTCCTGACCTCAGGTGATCCACCCTCCTCGGCCTCCCAAAGTGCTGGGATTACAGGCATGAGCCACCACGCCCAGCCCTGTTTTCCTGCTTTTTTTTTTTTAATTTTTTGAGACAGAGTCTCACTCTGTTGCCCAGGCTGGAGTGCAGTGGCACAATCTCGACTCACTGCAACCTCTGCCTCCTGGGTTCTTTCCTACTTTTTACTAGAGTCTTAGCACAGAACTATCCCACAGAGCCACATATATAATATTAAATTTTCTAAAAATTACATTTTAAGTAAAAATCAGGTGAAATTAACTTAATATATTTTATTTAACCCAGTTTATCTAAAATATTATTTAAACATGTAATCAATATAAAAATTAATGAGACTTTTTACATTCTTTTTCTTCATACTAAGTCTCTGAAATCTGTTATATATTTTACCTTTACAGCACATCTCAGTTTAGACTAGCCACATTATAAGTTCTCAAGTCTGCATGTGACTAGTGGCTACTGTATCGTACAGCGCAGGCCCAGCATATATAATATAATCAATGAGTGAACAAATGAGGTTGTGTGATTTACTTAAAGAAGCAGGATGGAACTGGGACGTGGGTATCCAATTCTTCGTTTATTTCTGCTATTTGTGCTGGGCATTTCCCATCTCTGTCCTGCTCCCTGCATCATCCCATCCCCCACCCAGCATTAAGTGCCTGTGTCTCCAGGCATAAAATTAAAAAGTAAGTGATTAAATCCTTTATGATTATTTATCTAAAACTCTCTAGTATCTCTGACATGAACACACAATACTGGTAAACTGGGGTGAATTGTTATACCTGCAGTCATAACTATTTTAAGAACACAACAAAGGCTGTTTGAGAGGTGAGGGAAAGAAACTTTAAGACAAAAGAAAAGTATCTTAACTGGCAACATTTGTGTTAACTTGAATGAACACTTGATTCAATTTTTTAAAAGTTGTTTACAGTAATTAGTAAGTGTTGTTTGTGAGTGGGAGTATACATCAATCAGTGATCTTGCCTCAAGTGCCAAAATGTTTTGTTTATGATTTGAGTTGATGGTGCCAAGATTCCAGATTGAGAAGTTTTATAATTGTATAAAAATATATATTTAACATTGGTGGAAGATGTCAGCATCACAGTTTTTATTTTGACAATATTCTAGGTGTTCATTTAAATGCTCATAATGGACATTAAAGAGTATACCTTGCTTTTTAATTAGAAAGATTAGTCTCGTGTAGCCTGGCCAATTTCCAGTTTAGATAAGGAAGCTTTATTTTGATCTTCACTCTAGCTACATTGGACTTCATACCTTCTTCGTTTCCCTTTTTAATCTGTTGAAATAGTTTTCTGTTTGTTTTTAAACATCATTCACCAAGCTGCTTCATTTCCCATCAGTAATGGCCAAAGTTTTACTGGCACATAATTTGCCCGATTTAGGAACTATCTCTTTATACTTGATAAAGAAGGTTAAACAGTATATTCATAGTTGCCCAGGTTTAAATTATAATGGGGTGATGAAGAACGTTGTTGATCTGTTATTTGCAAAATGGTTTCTTTTTTATTTATTTATTTATTTTGATACAGAGTCTTGCTCTTATCCCCCATGCTGGAGTGCAGTGGCACGATCTTGGCTCACTGCAACCTCCGCCTCCCAGGTTCAAGTGATTCTCCTGCCTCAGCATCTTGAGTAGTTAGGATTACAGACATGTGGCACCACGCCTGGCTAATTTTTGTATTTTTAGTAGAGACAGGGTTTCACCATTTTGGCTAGGCTGGTCTGGAACTCCTGACCTCAAGGGATCCACCTGCCTTGGCCTCCCAAAGTGCTGGGGTTACAGGTGTGAGCCACCGCAGCCAGCAAAATGATTTCTTATGAATGGAAAGGGACACCTGTTTCTTCCATGTCATCTATTTATAATGCAGTGGCTGTTTGGACAATATTTCGTATCTATTCATATAAGCTTATGAAGCCCAGGAATTTTGTTAGTTGGTTAGCCCATAAGCCTTTTTTCTAACCCTGGCACTTAAAAGGATCTCAGAACTTAACTGCTGAAAAAATAAGATAATTTAAGAGTGATCACTAAGACTGTAGAGTAAAAAAGTTTATTTTATTTTCAGAATCTCGAAAAACAAATCTTTACCATTTTGTCTATTAAAGTATTATACTGCATTGTACCTATGTATAATGCTACCATGATACAAGCTGTGGGAGTAATATTTATTTACAGCAATGGAAAATATTATGAAGGGCTAACCGTCGGAACAAGTCAGTGACATTTGGATTCTATTAATTAAAGAATTCTTTGATAGGTTCACACAAGCAAACATGTTTAATATTCATTGCTTTGTCCATGTGAAAAAATCATCGCATCTTAAACACTAATTTTTTTCACCTGTGAATTGATGGATTTATTCACTGCCAGCAAATAGTTGTGATCTTTAATGTAATTATGTGCTTCACAGATTACAGATATATCTTTAAACGCACTGTCTTTTTTTGGTCTTTATTCTAATTATGCTTGAGAAAAAAGACTTTGTTTAAAATATTGGCTTTTTGTTTTTTCTAATCCATGTTAATCTAAGTTTAAGGAAGCTTTGATAGTTACTTTTCCAAAGGTAAAATAAAAAATTTAAAAATGTTTTATGTTCAACGTTCAGTACTTAAAGGAGATCCTGAGTTTTAGCTAGAAATGTTTTCAGTTTTATGTAAGTTATAATCAGAAAGATTAAAAATGTACAGTGAAATTGTGTTTTAATTCAGTTCATACTCTTGGTGACAGTTTGTTTTTGTGGACTATTTAGGATACTAAAATTGAAATAGATAGGCTTCCGGCCAAGTGCAGCAGCTCATGCCCACAATCTCAGCACTTTGGGAAGTCTAGGTGGGAGGATTGCTTGAGACCAACCTGGGCAACATAACAAGACCCTGTCTCTACAAGAAAATAAAAATAAATCTAGCTGGGTTCAGTGTTGTGTGTAGCCTCAGCTACTTGGGAGGCTAAGATGGGAGGATTGCTTGAGCCCAGGAGGTCGAAGCTGCAGTGAGCCTTGCTCACACTCTGGGTGACAAAGCGAGACCCTGGCTCAAAAAAAAGAAAAAAAAAAAAGCTTCCTTCCTTTTCTCAGTTATGGTAGACCTCTTATGTGAGGTGATCATATGCCCTAGCTTACCAGTGACAGTCCTGGTTGATTCCTATTGCTCTAGCTTAATTATTAATACAGCTCACTTTTACTTTAAAAAACATCCTGGTTTGGATGACTGTAAACCATATGGTCAGAGCCTGATGCAGTGGCTCATGCCTGTACTCCCAGCATTTTGGGAGGCTAAGGCAGGAGGATCACTTGAGCCCAGAAGTTTGAGACCAGCCTGGGCAACATAGTGAGGCTTTGTTTCTATAAAAAATAAAAACAAATTAGCCAGGTACGGTGTGTATGCCTGTGGTCCCAGCTACTCAGGAGGCTGAAGCGGGAAGATCTCTTGAGCCTAGGAAGACGAGGCTGCAGTGAGCCATGCACTGTACTCCAACCTGGGTGACAGAGCAAGTACATTTTTCTTTTTACTTCAAAAAGCTTTGGCTGGGGGCAGTGGCCCATGCCTGTAATCCCAGCACTTTGGGAGGCCGAGGCAGGCAGATCATGAGGTCAAGAGATCAAGACCATCCTCGTCAACGTGGTGAAACCCCATCTCTACTAAAAACACAAAAATTAGCCAGGTGTGGTGGTGTGCACCTGTAGTCCCAGCTACTCAGGAGGCTGAGGCAGGAGAATTGCTTGAACCAGGGAGGCAGAGGTTGCAGTGACCTGAGATTGCACCACTGCACTCCAGCCTGATGACAGAGTGAGACTCCGTCTCAAAAAAAAAAAAAAAAAAAACCAAAAACAAACTAACTAAAAAATGCTTTACACTGTAGGAGGTAACTAAAAGTACTTTAAAATTTGATTGTAATTTAATTAGCCTCAGAGCTGAAAATAAACTGGACTTTCTCAGTCAGGATTGGAGTGAAACACCTATTATAATCATCTCACTTCATTTTTTAGGCTAATTTATTTCTTAGCATTTTTGGCACATATGCTTTTTTACTTGCCTTGTAATAGATATGTACATTTGAGAAATGAATATAAATTTACTTCTAATAGAATTAGAACAATGGTTATACTAGCTTTCCCAGCCCTGGTTGTGAGTTGTTTCATGTACAAAATTTAAAATCAAGTAGATTGAAGGGTCTTAAATTATGTTGTAATCTCAGAAGGGACAGAGTAGGAAGTGCTCCAAAAAATTGTGATCATGTTCTACAGTCAGTGCTGGCATATAACCATATTCCCAGCCTTCTTGTACTATGGAAAGAGTCGTGAGCTGGGAGATAGGATGAGAGATTAAATTCTGACCCTATCTCTGATTATCTGCATGTTTCCTAGACAAGTCTTATTTCCCTCACTGAAAGAGGATATTAATACTCACTGTGCTCAAAGGGGTTGTTGTAAGAATGAAATAATATATTTGAAATTTCTTAAAGAAGAATTAAGAGACATTTGAAGCAGCTTGCCTATTGGGAGAAGAATGGCAGAAGGCTTTCCAGGCAGAAGGCATGTGCAAAGGCTATACTGTGGGGAATCATTGTTGAGTTCTATAACTGCAAGTGTATAGTAATGTATTTGTATAAGTTGATACTGGGAAGGCATCAGCTGCACCATCTAATTTGCTGAATGAATTCTAATTTTTAATTCTAATCTTGTTGAGCAAATAATTTAATTTCTCTGTACTTTGGTTGTTGATCAATGAAATGAAGGTAATAATATGTACTTTAAGTGTTTTGCAGGATTGTTGATAGGATTAAATGAGAGAGAGAAGATATATATATATATGTAAGAAACTGTAACAATGTAAGAAACTGTTGTTAACGGTAGATAGATTTAAGAGCTACAGCTAATCAGATCTCTTCAATGGCTAAAGTTGTATAGTTATAGTGAAACTATTGAATTGCTAGGCAAATTGTGAAAGATTTATAATTATAGAAAGAATTACACTATATTGTTAAATGCTTTTACATGTATTATCTTGATTTACATAATTGAGTTCAGGTAAGTTAGATAGTATTATTATATGGTTGTTGTTATTAGTTTTATTATATTCCAAGGGATTTAAAAAATCATCTAACCCAATGGCAAAATTATATAGAAAGGAGAAACTAATCTCTTTATTTATTTCAGAATTAGTGGTTATAAGAAATTATTTATTGGCCAAGTGCGGCGGCTCATGCCTGTAATCCTAGCACTGTGGGAGGTCAAGGCAGGCGGATTGCTTGAGCCCAGGAGTTTGAGACCAGACTGGACAACATGAGGAAACCCCGTTGCTACAGAAAATACATAAAAATTAGCTGGGCATGGTTATGCGTGCCTATAGTCCGAGCTACTCCATAGGCTGAGGTGGGAGGATTGTTTCAGCCTGGGAGGTGGAGGTTGCAGTGAGCTGAGATCTTGCCACCTCACTCCAGCCTGGGTGACAGAGTGAGACCCTGTCTCAAAAAAATTAATAATAATAAAATAATATCTGTTATTATTGGGCTTTTTTCAGCAGTGTGTGTCTCCACTTTTTTGTATTTGCTGTGCACTCTTCAGTTTTCCTATTTCATCTTTATTCAGTTCATTAGCTACTTTACCTAACTTCTAAGGAGATAGTGTTATTTTTTTTTAAACTCACATTTAGTTATTCTAACAGAAATTCAAGTTAAACAAAAAGATGATGTGCTTTTGGTCAGATTTCTTTTTTCTTTGCACCTATTTCTCCTTCGCTTTCTCTGAACTAAGTTTACATATTATACAAACAAGTATGGTATTTACTTAATTAAAGTACTGTTTATCTGTTCGGTTTTAAAATTTTTAATCTGCTTGACTAGAGCCTTCATATAATGTGTTTTTCAGAGCCAAGCCTCAGGATCACATTATAGGTTATAATGAATTACTTCTTGTAACTAGACCCTCTTGGACACAGTCCAAGACAAACTTGTACTATTCAAAATTGTGTGTTTCACTGTAATGAAAAGTGTTACTCGAGGGTCCAATGTAGTCAATCTGTTTTTACTATAACTTTACTAGTGTGAAAACTTAAACAATAAAGTCTTTGGATCAATGCTGGACATAAAAGTATTTACAGCGTACATACTAATTGTCCATTTTGCTGCTGTTTGGCCCTTTAAAAATTGGCAAGCAAATTCAGGAAATAAATTGAAGTTTATTAGAAAATACCTTTCTCACAGAAGATCAAGTTTCAGTGCATCTCAGGTTTTGTGGGAATGGATCAAATACATCAGACAAAAATAGGCTAAAGTTCCTTCCTCTCCATTTGAAATTGCTGTACTCATTTCTCAGAACATCTGTTTTAATTGTATTTTGTATTAGAATTATAAAACTAAAGGAAAAGCAGTTTGACCACATTTGTCCTATAACATGATGTATCGGACACGTCTTGGGCCCTGCTTGCTCCAGGTATTTCAGTGGCAACCAGATTCATGCAGGTGAAACTTTACAGTCCCTCACCTGACTTTCTGTCCTAGGAGCTTCTCTGAAGCCAATAGAAACAAGTATGCAACTTGAAAGTGTAAGAAATTAGCAACCCATGCGGCAACTCTTAACTGATGGAAGTCAGAAGTTGTGGATAAGTGCTCTTCTCTTGTGTCTTCTGACAGGCTATTCTGGGGTAGTTTGATGGCTCCTAAGAAGATACTGGGCTTGAGCTCTGTTTGCTCATAGTGGTGGATGAACTCAAGGATGAACTTTTGTATTGGCCTTCCTTCCTTCCTTTCACTAATCCCTTACTCCTGTTTCTGGGTGCTTTCCCAAATAAAGAACTCGCACATAAGCCAGAGGTCTCAGGCTCTTACTCTCATGGAGAACCTAGAGTAAAAGGGGAAACTTGAGATTTCTGTTTCACTATTTTTGAATTATTAATGGAAGTTTCAACTTTTAAAAATTTGCATGCATGGATGGGACAGGCAGATTAATTGTATTAGTCATTTGTAAGAATGTTAATGACCCAAGATTGGTTGAACATGTGCATTTGAGGTTATTTTTCTGATAATGTTAATGGGTTAGATTTGAAAAGATTCACTCACTTGCTCATTCTCTGTTATAGGCAGAAGAATCTTTTCTTGCTGCTCTCCTAGGATCTACCAACCAGAGATTCTAATGTGATACGTTTGGAATGGAGTTATCGATCTGCATTTTTAATAGGCATTCCTCCAGGTGAGTCAGATGGTCATGGACTACACTTTGAGAAACATTGCTAGGTTATTATAGTAGTAATACTCCTGGGTATTATTAGCTACATAAAGTTATAATCAATCTTATATTTCTTAATGTTTCGAGAGTCATTGAGAAATTCATTAGATTTAAAATATTTTCATGTTGGAAGGAAGTGTTTCTCACTCCTAATCTGAATCATTGTAGATATGATAGGCAAAGAACTTTCAAGGGAATAGATTTAAGGTATAACTTTGAAACTAAAAATTTGTTATTCAAGTTACATTTTCACTTTGTCAGTGATACATAATTTCTAAGATAATAGTTTCTGGTTGTTCTTAAGGCTGTATGTCTTTAACACAATGAACTGTTATGTACTCTATTTCCCAGTTTTGGATTTATAGGCAGTTTAGTTGTTAGTCTTGAGTTATGCAAATTAGCTATTTGTATAAAACCATTTATTTATCTATTGAGACAGCATTTCACTCAGTTGCCCAGGCTGGAGTATAGTAGTGTGAAGACAGCTCACTGCAGCCTTGATCTCTTGGGATCAAGTGATCCTTCTAACCACTGTGCCCAAGTAATTTTTTATTTTTTATTTTTTGTAGAGACAGAGGTCTCACTTTGTTTCCCAGGCTGGTCTTGAACTCCTGGGCTCAAGCAATCCGCTTACCGTGGCCTCTCAAAGTGCTGGGATTATAGGTGTGATCCACCATTCCCCACCAGAACATTTTAAAAACATATTTAAAATTTTTGTTTTTTTCCTGCCTTCTTTGCAATTGTTTGTAGTAATATCTACTGTAAACATTTAAAAGTAAATGCAAATTAAATACTAATTTTAATGACTAGTCACATAGGCTAAATTGCTTACGTAGCTAATAAAATAGTTTTAATAAGAATATATAATTAATTAGGCTAGACATGGTGGCTCACACCTGTAATCCCAGCACTTTGGGAGGCCACGGAGGGTGGATCATCTAAGGTCAGGAGTTCGAGATCAGCCTGGCCAACATAATGAAATCCCATCTGTACTAAAAATGCAAAAATTCACCAGGTGTGGTGGCATGTCCCTGTAATCCCAGCTACTCCAGAGTCTGAGGCAGGAGAATCGCTTGAACCTGGTAGGCAGAGGTTGCAGTAAGCCAAGATCATGCCACTTCAGCCTGAGTGACAGAGCGAGACTCTCTCTCTCAAAAAAAGAAAAAAAGAATATGTGATTAATTAGTGGGCTAAATTGGTGAAATGATGCTTTTGTCTTTCTGCACACCATCTACATACAGTGTCTACAATTTAAGTGAAAAGATTCTTTTATCGTGGACTTAAATTGAAATTATAGCATCAGCAGAAAGCTTTTTGTAAAGCGATTAAACATCTTTCAGGAAATTAAAGTTGATTACAAGAGCTCAATAAGATCAGTTTGTGTTATAAATGGATTATTAGTTGGTTCTAATGTTAACTCTAAACCAATTTTTTGCTCTTTATTCATTCATTGGAAGATGTGTCAATTGACCTCTTTTTAGTTAAGCAAGCTCTCAGAATGTTTGTCGTGGTATTCTGAACTCCCTCTGACCAATACATTTCACAAAAAGCTCCTCCTTTGTGATCTTTGCTCATCGGCTTCATTCCCTAATCAATTAATCAGTCTAAGACTAATTTAATATTATCTTTAGAAAATGTTAAATCCTCTTCTATCTTCTTGTGCTCTATACATTTTGGACTCACTCTGCTCATCATTACTTGCTATCAAAATAATGCAATATAATTTAATATTAGCCTATAATAAATTTAATTCAGAAGGGAATTTTTTTGTAGGAGAAAACACATTCCAGAGTCCTGAAAGAATAATTTACTTGGTAGTAGAAAAAGCACAATCCTTAGAGCATATAGAAATTCTTAGGCTGAGGTGGGAAGATTGCTTGAGGCTAGGAGTTCAAGATCAGCCTGGGAAACATAGGGAGAACACATCTCTACAAAAAATTTTTAAAAAAATTATCCAGGTGTAGCGGCATGTGCCTGTGGTCCCAGCTACATGGGAGGCTAAACCTGGGTGACAGAGTGAGACCCTATCTAAAAAAAGAAGAAAGAAAATAAATTCTTGGCCAATTAATTTGACGTCATGTTAGATAATAGACAAAAAAAAGCTGTTGGAAAACTCAGAAGGCACAAGTAAGGTACAGCCATGCACTGAATAGCAGTGTTTTGATCAGCAGTGGAACACAAATGCTACAGTGGTCCTATAAGATTATAATACCACATATTTTTACGGTACCTTTTCTATGTCAGTATATGTTTAGATACACAAATACTTATCACACACACTATGTTACAGTTGCTTACAGTATTCAGTACAGTAGCATACTGTACAGGTTTATAACCTGGAAGCAATAAGACATACCATATAGTCTAGGTGTGTAGTAGGCTCTGCCATTGAGGTTTTGTAAGTAGACTTTATAATGTTCACACAACAATGAAATCACCTAATTTCTCATTTCTCAGAATGTATCCCTGTTGTTACTTGATGCATGAATGCATTATAATTTGAATTATCCATGTCACGCTTTCTTCCATTAGTACAGATGATTGAAATTGAATTTTTAAAAAGTATTTAAGGCTTTTAATCATCTTGGTGTACCACTCTCAAAATACTTTTAACAAAGACTTCTTTGAAGTGAATCTTTAATTGGATTGGATTATATGGGTTTCTGATTTTTTAAATTTAAGAAGGTTAAAATATTTTCCAACATTATATGTTTTTTTTTTTTTTTTTGAGACGGAGTCTTGCTCAGTTGACCAGGCTGGAGTGCAGTGGCGCGATCTTGGCTCACTGCAACCTCTGCCTCCCAGGTTCAAGCAATTCTTCTGCCTCAGTCTCCCGAGTAGCTGGGACTACAGGCACGCACCACCACACTGGCTAATTTTTGTATTTTTAGTAGAGACGGGATTTCATCATATTGGCCAGGCTTGTCTCGAACACCTGACCTTGTGATCTGGCTGCCTCAGCCTCCCAAAGTGCTGGGATTACAGGAGTGAGCCACTGCGCCCGGCCCCAACATTATATCTTAATGCCTTCCAAGATTGCTGATTTTATTTTTATCTTTCTGACAAAAACGTGCATATTCTAAGTTAAAGTTGACTTCTCTTACTGAAAGAAAATACTGAAATACTTCAGGAAATACCGAAGCTATTTGTTGAAATGTATTATATAGTCTGTAAAAGGGGTAAGAAGGATACTGACATTTGCTGAGCACCTGCTATGTTCTAGGAACTATGTGAAGTGTTTTACATGATATCTCATTTAATTCTTCCAATAACTCTGAAAGAATGGTATTAACTTAACTTCCTTAACTAGATGGAGAAAAGCTAACTCAGAGAGTTAAATAATTTCCAAGGGGAACGTAATTTGTAGCAGAGTTATTCAGACCCATGTCAATTTGGCTCAAAAGCTCACATGCTTTTCAGTATACTGCCTTTTCTCTTGTAAAGTTAAGAAACAAATGAAAGCGATTTTTTTCAGAGTCCACTTGGACTGAACTAAAATGACCAAATTTAGAAGCATTTTCCAGGTAGGATTTTACCTGTGATAAGATAAGGTAATTAGTAGAATTAACATTTAGTACCAGGAATCAGAATTGAAATTTTTGGCCTTTGGTTCTCCAACTTTCTGTAATCACATTTCCTAGGAATTCCTCAAATTAAAAATGTTTAAAACTTTTTTGAGCACTTGTGTGCAAAGCTTACCCCTTCAATAACAGCTTCTATCACCTCTAAGATGGGTTTTTAAGTCCTGCAATTTCTGTCTTCATAACAAAATTTTCCTGTCAGTTCTAACCAAATTTAAAGAATACTATATTAACTTAGGCAAATCCTAAATTATGAGCATTTAAGAATGACTAAAATAATACAAAAATATATACATACTAAGAAAATAGACAGTTGAGACAGCTTAAAGCAATATTGAGTCAGAAAATGAGAGCGGGATCCACAAGTTGGGCAAATATGAAAGAATGTGAGGCTTTCATCAGTCTGAAACAAAATAATATGATGGCATTAAGAGATTGGGGTTTGAAGTGGTAGTCACCTTTGTTATCAATGGCAATCCCATATATATTCAGCCATTGTCCCAAAAATGTTTGGGGCAATAATGGTATAGATTAAAATATAAAAACAAATGATTTTTTAGTTCACCAAAGATTCATTAACACACTATACAACATAATTTTACCTTTTTAGATTAGATTTCATGTAGTATTCAGAAGAGTCAATGTAGGGTAGTGAAAAAATTACTGGTCTTGGTGGAAGTCAGGAAACCTGGATGTTCTGGCCCCAGATCTACCCTTAGATTATATAATAGTGACTTAGCTATATTTTGGGGCTTTTCATTTCTTAACTCAAAAATGAGATATTGGATTCATTGGTTATTCTTTAAATGTCCCTCTTAGGTAAAAAATGACATAATTCTAAGTGCTTTTAGTGGAAAACACATGAAGATATTCAGGAGGGAAAGAAGTTGCAGTTGTTAAGAAAGCTAGCATTGTTGACAGAAAGAGTTATGCGAAATTGTGCAGCTAGGAATAAAAAGAAATGCATCCTCGACTAAAAGAGTAAAAAAATTTTAAATGAGTGGAATACTTTTTGACTAGGCGCTGAAGTATGTTGGTCTGTATAAAATACATACACACTCCTAATTTGATTGACAAATTTATATATCCTCAGTTTTAACAAAAATATCGCAATGTATCAATATTTTAAAGGACTAAATTTATGGAAAATACATGAAAGTAATATCTAATAGGACTTACATATATTTGAAAATGAAAATTCCATTAAATGAAAATTGTAAAATCCTCTCCCAAAATACAGAGTTAAGCTTGAAATTTTACCCATGGATTTTATATAAATGTATATCTAGTTCTTAAATAGCTTTCTTCAAAACCATAAACATAAAAAATGCTCAATAAATAAATTAGAATCCCAAATTAAATTTATCTTTAAACAGTAAGCCCTATGTTTTAAACACGGTGTGGTTTAAATTTTTTAAATTATCATATGCAATATATTCACCAGAAATACTAACAATGTGCTCTATTGGTATATATATATTACCTGAAAACTAGGTTTCATGTAGTAAATTCAGAAAAATTCAGCCAATTAAAAGTTTTGATCCATATTACCAAAAACTTGTCAAAATACAATTTGTGCTGAATAAAATTAATATTGGCTTGCTGAATCAGCACATTGCTTTTGCAGATACAACATTACATAGCTTTTCAGCAGTTTACCTGGATTACCAGAAATTCATGCAGAACTGCCTAGAAGTAGGACTATGAAGCATCCAAGGGTTTTCCCTGCAAAAAATGAAATCTCATCTGAACATTTATTCACACTTTTAAATTTATTCTTTGTCAACATCCTAAGGAAACTAATATTATAGCCTTTGAGTTAGAAAATAATTTTATAGCCTTTGAGTTTGAACATAGTGACAAAGTGGGAACCCTAGGGACAATGAAAAGGATGCATCAGTCTTGCTCAGCTCAAAGCAAAGTCCTACTAAGATGACAGGAAAGCATTCAGTATAATATGTTAAAAAAATTTTAAATTCCCAGATAAAATCATATGTCAGCTGTTATGTTAAATTAAATGCCCTAGAAGACATGTGCTTCAATTCAATCTAATATCAGTAAATAAAGGGGTAGGATGGTATGCCAACATAAATCTAAAGGGATTGGTAACTTTCATTTTACATGATACAAACTACTAAAATAAATTAATTGGATTACGTAAAGAGAGAGATAAAAGGAAGATTTTTAATATAAATGAAAGGAAGATCCAGGTATTCTTTAACCTAAAAAGTTTTTCAGACCTAATAGGCATGACAAAACCTGTCTTCATTCCTTTCTATTCAGCTCAGCAAGTGCTTTTGAGCTCCAATAGTTAATCAGTTACCAGATTCCACGGTCTTTGTTTTTCACACTCCTCAATTTTTACTGTGAATTGTTCCTCTAATGAATGTACTTAGGATCACCAGCCGGCCAATGCTTTTTTTGGCCTTAAAAGGGCAATTATTATTTATCCACAATTAGATTTACCATATAAAATTGTTACCATATAGCAACAGCCTATAAAACATAATAGTTACATTATGAAGGAAGTAGATGGCTTAATGTAAATCATTAATATGTGAAATTTATTTGGCAAAATTATTCAGTCCAGCTTTTAAAATGACTATAGCCATGCACAACTTACAGAAAAGCATAGTAAGAGAATATTATATACCAAATAACCTTTATGCAAACAATCAATGAACATAACGCAAGTGTTATAAAACAATATCTAGCTTTACAGAAAAGGTATAATGCAGGTATTACTATGTTAAAAATTGATTATCTTTTTAAACATCATTTCTTAATTTAACTTTCCAAAATGCATAGGAAACTGAGAAATTTTAAAAATATACTTACCCTTCGACTTATTTAGAAAACCTCTGCTCTTGGTGAAAAGCAGAAATTGTTTCACTGCTCACTTTCCCTGAATCTATCAACTTAAACATTAAATCAGTGAACACCACCTCTCTGGACCACACTGGTTTGCTAGACACTACTGCTATGTGGAAGAGTTCTGCTGCATCTAAGCTATATACTGAGTGCAATGGATAACCTAATATGCCTTTCATTTAACTGGCTGGGCAGGTTTCTACCGTCTGTGGAACATGGAATCAAACCAGAATATGTTGGCACAACAGGCCAGTAAAACCGGTTCTTCTGTAGATCCAGAACCTGTCCAACCAGTCTGTATCAAAGGCTAGCCCAACTTGCTGCAGCGGCTCAGCTCTGCTAAGCTTGTACTGGGTGGGTTATCCCCACCTCCTGTCAACTCCCAACAAACTACTCAGAATGTTGTAGCCTCCAGCAAAATAATTCAGAGTTCTAGTGGGAGGGGTAGATCTGTGTCAGGTATAGCAAGAGTCCATTGTTATAAGACTCTCGTGGTAGACATATATAAGCAAGTGGTCTATTATCTTCAGAGGTAGGTAATCCTTTTAAACATGTATTCTAGGGCATTCTCTTGACTACAGCCTCTAGAAATAGATTACCTATGATGAAGATGGATCCTATAATGCCTGACCTTTTCCACTAGTCTGCTTGGCTTTGCTTGATCTAGCTTAGCCTTGAGGAGCGAGATTGATATTCCCCACAGGGTAGTGGGCT
Source organism: Homo sapiens (assembly GCF_000001405.40). Classification (NCBI taxonomy): domain Eukaryota; kingdom Metazoa; phylum Chordata; class Mammalia; order Primates; family Hominidae; genus Homo; species Homo sapiens. The sequence continues at coordinate 22,913,559 of NC_000018.10, read as the reverse complement.
TGAGAGCTAGAAGGAAGCATTTCTAGAAGGAGAGAAACAAGGTGTAGGTTGACCAAACATTTGCCTGGGTGTGTTATCTTCCTTGTTCTCAAATGATCCTCATACCATTCCAGTCTAAAATTGGAAAAACTCCTACTTCTACATACTAGGGACAACTTAAAAAGGTTTTGCTCTGAATATTCAACAGTTCAACACAAAGTATTGGTATCAACTATGTTTCAAGAACTGTGCCAGGTACAGGGTTCACAATGTAAGTAAAATTAGTAAAGATGAGAGCAACGTCAAAGTTCTCGATTAAGCGTGTCTAGTAAGTTTTGGAAAGAAGAAATGAGCAGCAAAACATTACATTTTGACAGAAATTGGTTTGTATTAAGAGAGATCATGTGGGATTTGTTCTTACTCTCTCATAATACTTGCACATTTAGAAGCAGTATTTCCTGTCTACTGACATAGTGTTTCTGAAACCTTTGTGCTTAAGAATCATCTGAAGTGTTGATTAAGAGCACAGATTCCTGGGCCTAACCACCGCAGATTCTGCTTCAACATTCAATAGGAATGTTGCCCAAGCACTTCTAGTGATTCTGATGCAATTATTGCAGGGACCATAGGCACAATTCCATGCTCAGTTTCTTTTCTATTTTTATACCTAATTAAAAAGAATACATATGAACCAAAAGATGCCATTTTTATTTTTGTATTTCTAGTGTCTAGAACACTGACTGACACTTAGAAGGTACTTAATAAATGCTTATCAGAGTTAAGCAGTTGCTAGATCTCAGGGGAATCACAACTAGTAATGACTATATGAATCAAACTCCACTAAATACTGTAATTATAATAATTGAGATGGGAGCTCAGAAATGGGAGTGAGTATGACTATAAGTATGGGGAAGACTTCACATGGGAGATGGGTTTAGAGGCTTTTCTTTTTAAACCATGGCCAAAGATTTCTATCTGCAGGGTAACAAAAGGCTAAAGGAACAATAAAAATAGTGCCTTTGATTTGATAACAGTAACAAAAGTGTTAAGTATATGAGGACACCATGAATTCAAAACTTGGTAATAAGGTTATTTTCTACAGCAGGGTCAGCAGATTTTTCCTTAAAGGAGCAGAGACTAATAGAGTTTGTCAGCTAGATTGTCTCTGTCTCAACTATTCAGTTGTAACAGTGTAGCACAAAAACAGGCATAGACAATAGTCATTTAAATGGGTGTGATATTGTGAAATACGTGTTTGGTCTTTGACCCTTTTTCCTGGTGTATGACTCCTAAAATCCTTACTCTCCAAAGTGATGTCTTTGGATGCTAATGAGTTGACTGGTAGCTGGCAACCCCTAGGTAGCTTCAGGATGGGGGCTGGTCACCAGAAAGACCAAGGCAGGATTAGGGGCTTAGGATTTTCAGCCCTTCCCTACAACCTGTGGGTTAAATTGATCACTAATGGCCAATGGTTTAATCATACCTATGTAATGAAGTCCCGTGAAAACCCAAAGGACACAATAGCTTTCCGATAGCTGAACACATGGAGCTTCCTGGAGGGTGGTGCACTGGAGAGGGCAGGGAAGTGCAACACCTCTTCTAACGTGCCTACCCCATGACTCTCTTCACCTGTACCTGTGGCAATATCCTTTACTGTAAACTGGTAAACGTAAATGGTTCCCTTCAGTTCTGTGAGTTGCTCTAGCAAATTAATCAAATCCAAGGAGGGGGTCTTGGGATCCCCAATTTATAACCAATCAGTTAAAAGCACAGGTAAAAATAACCCAGGACTTGTTGGCATCAGAAGTAGGGGGCAGTCTTTCGGTACTGAGCCCCAACTTGTGGAATTTGATTTCTAGGTAGATAGTGTCAGAACTAAATTGGAGGATACCTACCTGGTATCTGCTGCAGAATTCATTACTTGCTTGTTGGTAGGGGAAAATCTCCACACATTTGGCTGCAGAAGTCTTCTGTGTTAATTCTTGGTGTTGAGTGAGAGAATAGAAAAAGTACTTTGAGTTTGAGTGTGCTTTTTTCCACACGATTGGTATGGATATGTTCTAATAAAACTTTACAAAACAAGGGGCAGACCAGATTTGGCTAGTAAACCATAGTTTGCTGACCTCTAATCTAGAGTAAAACCTGTGAATTGTTAATTGAAAAATTAACAAGATTGCATAATTGTCTAGGCAAATTGGCTTTTGAGTCATAAAGACTTGGGTTCCATCGCAGTTCTGTTCCACCCTAGCCTTGTCACCTGAATCAAACATCAGTTTTATTTATAAAATGGGAAGCAAAATAATAGTACCTATCTCCTAGAGTTATTACAAGATTCAGATGATAATTTATATAAAGGTTTATCTGCAAATCTAATACACAGTAAGCGCTTGATAAAATGTCAGCTGAAAATAAAACTAGTTAAACATTGCAGGTGAACTTGTTTATTTCTGTTGTTCTTGAAATCCCAGTAAAATGACAGTAGAGAAACCAAAACTGCATGAACCCTTAAAGACCAAAAAGATTGAGAGACGTAGCGGATAAGAGACGTCTATGTGTTTTTGCAAGGAGGAATGAGAATGAGTGGTGACTTAGCAGAATAGAGAGGAAGTCTGACTACTTGCCATGATAAAAGCATGTCTGTCTCTACTGTAGAATGCTGGAAAAACTCAGGATTTGGAGGTACAAGTTCCCCTTAAATAGCCTTGGGGAGTAGAGTGGGCTTGGAATGGAAGGATTGGTTGAAAATCTGTTTAAGCAACAGTTTGCTCCGTTGGTCCCATCTCAATGAAGAAGCCTGGATTCTTCAACCTTGACAGAGATAGATAGGACTTGTTGATTCATGGTAGAAGAGATTATCTCAGGTTTGTTCTAGATTTGGGAATACTAAGCAGAACTGAGAGTGGATGCTAAAGCACCATACTGAAATCAAATGATTATATGATTTTTCCTATTGGTTCTATAACACATTAACCCTCAAATATAGTGGTTTAAAAAAAACACAAATTTATCATCTTATAATTCCAGGGGTCAGAAGTCCAAAATGAATCTCAGCGGGTTAAAATTAACGTGTCAGCAGAGTTGTCTTTCTTCATGGAGGCTCTAGAAAGAAATTTTGTTTTCTTGCCTTTCCCAGCTTCTTTCAGCCACCTGCATTACTTGGCTCATGGCTTCCTTACTTCTTCAAAGCCAGCAATGGATTTTTCATGTCATATCATTTTGTCCCTGACTCTCCTGCCCTCCTCTTCTGTATTTAAATCCAACTGAATAATCCAAGATAATCTCCCTTTGTTAAGGTCAATTTTTTAGCAAGCTTAATTCTACCTGCTATCTAAATTCTCTTTTGCCATGTAACATAACATGTTCATAGGTTCCTGGGATTAGGATGTGTGGACATCTGTGAGAGGCCATTATTCTGCCTACCAGAGAGATTAAGTCAGAGTCTGTGTATTGGTTGGTGAGATACCTATGTCTGTTCATCTGCTTGGTTTCCAAATGCTAGTGACTAGGTTCATATTCTTCACTCACAAAGTAGGAAACTGGAGAACTTCTCTGAGAAACTCTCAAGACCCTGATCACCGTAATGCATTGGCTAAAAACTAGGACTGGTTTCCCCCCACAGGGGACATTTGGCAATGTTTGGAGAGATACTTGATTGTAATAACTAAAGATATGCGCAGAGGTGTGCTACTGGCATCTCGTGGATAGAGGCCAAGGATGCTGCTAACCATTTTGCAGTACACAGGGAAGCTCATCTTCCTGTTCCCCAAAATAATTATTCAGTTCAAAATGTCAATAGGGCCAAAGTTGAGAAATCCTACCCTAATATTAAGTCTATCAGTTAACATCACCCTAACATAAATCAATGACTGATTAGAGAGCATGTAACATGAAAAAGAGAGAGGAAGAGAAACCAACAGGTAAAATGAACATAGAAAAAACAGTCAATGCGGAGAATAGAATAGTGTTTTAAATTGACTATATTAATATGTTCAAAGAAATAAGACAAGTTACTGATTGTGTAAAACAAGAATAGAAAGGCTATCCAAAAGTAGAACTTTTTGAGAACAAAAAAGAGATATTGGAAAGTAAAGATATGATAGTAGAAAGGAAGTCAGTAACCCAGGTAGAGTTTAGTGATTTCACAAAGATTGCCAGATTGGTTAAAAATGTAAGACCCAACTATATGCTGCCTGCAATAAACATATTTTAGACATAAAAAACCAAATAGGTTAAAGGTAAAAGGACCAAAAAAGACATACCATGGCAACACTAATCAAAAGATACTCATATTACTATCAGACAAAATAGGTTTTAGATCAGAGTATATTACTAAGGATAAAAAGGGTCATTTCAAAATGATAAAAGGGTGAATTCATCAGGGGTACCTAATATAATTGTACACATTCATGTGTCTAATGATACAAATGGAAAACACACGAATCAAAATCTGATAGAACTGAAAGGAGTACAGGAAAAATTTATAACTAGATCCCATAATTATATCTGAAGATTGCAATACTCCTCTTTCAATAATTGATAGGGTAAGTAGACAGAAAATCAGTAAAAGTGTAGAAGGCTTAATTAACACTATCAACCTAGTAGATGTAATTGACATTTGTAGATCACTTTAAAACAACAAAACACACATTCTTTTCAAGTGCACATGGAACATTGACCAAGTTAGGCTATATTCTAGGTCATAAAACAAGTCTCAAATTTAAACAGACTCAAGTAATACAAAGTATGTTTTCTGATGACAATGGCATTAAGTTAGAAATCAATAACAGAATGATGTGTGGGGAATTCCCCAAATATTTGTAAACGAAACAACACACTCCTAAATAACTCATATGTCAGTGATGAAATCAAACAGGAAAGTATTTTGAGCTAGATGGTAATGAAAATTCAACATATTAAAATTGTGGGATGTTGCTACAGCAGTACTTAGAAGGAAATTTATAACACTAAATGTGTTTTAAATAAAATATAGACATTAAATGTCTATGTTGGAAAAAGAAAGATCTCGAATCAATGACCTCAGCTTCCACCTTAAGAAACCAGAAAAAGAAGAGAAAGAAAATAATAAAAATTAGAGTAGAAATCAATGAACTGGAAGACAGATAGAAAAAATCAGTACAACCAAAAGCTGCTTCTTTGACTGAATCAATACAACTGATTTAAACTTCTAGCCACACTGATCCGGGGGGAAAAAAGGATTAGCGGTAGGGGGAGAAAACACAAATTTTGAATATTTGGAATGAAAGAAGTGGTATCAATACAGATGCAACAGATGAAAAGTGTGAGAAGGAAATATTATGAATTTTATGTCAGTATGGTCAACTTAGATGAAATAGACACAATTACTTGAGAGACACAAACTATCAAAGCTAATCCAAGAAGAAATAACCTTTTATTTATTAAATAAATTTAATTTGTAGTTAAAGACCTAACCATAAAGAATTCCAAGCCAAGAGTTTCACTGGTAAGTGGTTTCACTGGAATTCTTACAAACATTCCAGGAAGAAATAACACCAATTTAATGCAAACTTTTCCAGAAAATCAAAGAGGAGGAAATAACTGCCAATTCATTTTATAAGGCCAGCATTACTCTGATACCAAAATTAAATACATTGCAAGAAAAGAATTTTATAGATTCGTATTTCTTATGAAATAGTTATAAAATTCTAAAAATTTTAGCAAATTGAAGCCAATGATTATTTCAATAGGTGCAAAAAAAATTTTGGACAATATTTAACAGACTTTCCTGATAAAAGGTATTTGTAAGCTAGGAATGGAATTCACTCATTATGACAAGTGGCATCTATGAAAAACCTACCGCTGACATCATAGTTAATGGGGATAGTGAAAGACTGAGGCAAAAAAGGCAAGAAAAAATAAAAGGCCATGTAGACTGAAAAGGAAGAAGTAAAACTGTCTTTGCAGGTAACATGAGTATCTGTGTAGAAAATTCTGTAGCATCTACAAAAAATATTCTAAAACTAATAATTGAATTTAGCAAGCTTGTAGTAAACAAGATCGATATACAAAAACAATAATAAATAATAGCAATGAATAACCTAAAATTAAAATCTGAAAAACAATACTATTTATAATAGTATATTGAGTAGTACCAAAAATTATGAAATATTTTGGTATAAATTTTACAAAAGATGTGTGAGAACTGTAACTAAACACTATAAAATATTGCTGATGGACATTAAAGACTACTCAAATAGAGAGAGATACAGGGTTCATGGATTGGAGGACTCTTTATTCTTAAGATATAATTTCTTGGCTGGGAATTGTAGCTCATGCTTATAATTCCAGCACTTTGGGAGGCTGAGATGGGGGTATCGCTTGAGCCCAGGGGGTCAAGGCTGCAGTGAGCTGTGTTCATGCCACCGCACTCCAGCCTGGGCAACAGAGGGAGAAAAAAAGATGTAATTTCCTCCTAAATTGATCTATAAATTTTATGCAATCCTAGTAAACATCCTAGCATTTTTGTATAAATTGACAGGTTGATTCTAAAATTTATGTTGAAATGCCAAGTCAGAACAACTTTGAATAAATAGATAATTTATACCTAGTGATGTGCTGATGTTTAACAACTAGCTCTCTGGAAATACTTTTGTGGTATAAATACACCATGGCTGATTTCAAGCTACTAATGTGACATCACTGAACACAGGGTACGGAAGAGATATACAAGATCAGTTCTTGTGAATGGGTGCAAGCCAGTTTCAGCACACCACTTATTACACTACATGATTTTAAGATTTATCATAAAGCCACAGTAATCAAAATGGTATGGTACTGGCATAGGCAATAAAAATTCAGTAAGAATGTATAGAGAGTTCAGAAATAGAGCCACACATATATGACCAATTCATTTTTGACAAAGGTGAAAAGATAATTCAGGAGAAAGGAAACAGTTTTTTCAACAATAGTGCTGGAAGAATTGGATATTTACATAAAAAAGAACTATCCATACATTATACAACTGTTAACTTAGATCATGGTTCTAAATATAAAATATAAAACTTCAGAATTTTTAGGATAAAAACTTTGTAACCTTGAGTTATACAAAATACTTACTATGTATGACACCAAACGAATGATTCAAGAGAACAAAATTCATAGATTTTACTTTGACAAAGTTAAGAACTTTTGATCTTCAAAAGTCATAATTAAGAAATGAAAGGATAAGCCATAGACTGGGAGAAAATATTTGCAAATGACATATCAGATAAAGGGCTTATATCAAGAATACATAAAGAAGCTGGGAGCGGTGGTCTGTGCCTGTGGTGCCAGCTACTTGGGAGGCTGAAGAGGAGGATTGCTTGAGCCCAGAAGGTCAAGGCTGCAGGGAGCTGTATTGCACCACTGTACTCCAGCCTGGGCAACAGAGTGAGATACTGTCTTAAAAAAAAAAAAAAAAAAAGCATGTTTGTATTCTGATTTATATAAGCAATTTTTCTAATGAAAAAAAAATTAGCCTGGCTTTGTGGATCAGACCTGTAATTCCAGCACTTTGGGAGGCCGTGGCGGGCAGATTACCTGAGATCAGGAGTTCAAGACCAGCCTGATCAACGTGGTGAAACCCTGCCTCTACTAACAATACAAAATGAGCCAGGCGTGGTGATGCATGCCTGTAATCCCAGCTACTAGGGAGGCTGAGGCAGGAGAATTGCTTGAACCCCAGAGGTAGAGGTTGCAGTGAGCCAAGATCACGCCATTGCACTCCAGCCTGGGCAGCAAGAGCGAAACTCCGTCTTAAAAAAAAAAAAAAATCAAACCTAGATAAAACCATTAATGAAATGCAGAAGAAATATCTAAAGAACTTTGGAGCTGGAGGTCTGTATTATGGTTCTATTCTGTCACTTTGGGTATCGTTATTGTGATTTTCAGTTTGCTTAAAATGAGGGAGTTGAAATGTTTGGCTTATAAGGTCATGTATAGCTGAAAAATTCTGTGTAAAATATGGAGAGTTCTCAAGAAACTATTATGTGGAAGATAGTGTTCTGCATTCACATTTGTAAGTGTTTTAAATAATTTTTATAGGATCAGAATAACTGATGGACCCTTACATATCTCAGTATTGTAATTAAATAATTTTGGGGGTGAGGTAACAGAATCCTATTCTCAAGGAAAATTGTAAGCAAATGTAACATAACAACTATAACTTTTATGGTTTTAGGTAAACTCAATTTTTACAAAATAATTATATTTTTAAGTAGAATTTCTGATCACAATAATTTTATTCCATATTTTTGAAATATCTAAAATATTCTACCAATTATTTTGAGTTTTACTTTTGCTATTTAGAATGATAAAGAAAAGCCCAGTTGGCTATCTTTCTGTATATAATTACATCATTTTTGAGATTTGAGAGGATTTATTTTTGTTAATACTAGTTTACAATACCTCCAAGAGTAAAAATCTATTTGAGATAATTCTGATAAGCATTATTAGTTTAAGAAATTACATGATACAATATATCAGTCTAGCAAAGTCATACTTGTATTCCATGAATATATACAAATAAAAATAAATTAAAATTTAAATTTAAAAATAGATTAATAAAACAAAATTTAAAAAAGAAATTGCATAATAGTGGTCAAAAAATGTCTGAAACCAAAGTAGAAGTCATTATCTCAGTTAAGAAAAGGATCATCTACACACGATTAAAGTAAGTTAATATTAGCTTATAATCCCCACACTTCGGAAAGCTGAGGCTGGAGGATTGCTTGAGGCCAGGAGTTTGAGAGCAGACTGGACAACATAGAGAAATGTGTCTCTACTAAAAATAAACAAAAAATTTTTTTAAAAAGTGAGTTAACATTAAATTAGAAAAATTATTTAGGCCCTGTTAACATGACCTTGGAGATATGACAGCCATGCAAATATAAGTGGTTGTCCCCAGGTACAGTATATATCCTTAATGCCATCTAAATGGGATACGAATCAGAACATAATAAAAATAATTATACATAAAAAATTGAAATACTATAAAGCTATAGCTAAATTGTGGCTCTACGTTAACTACCAACCCCTTCAACAGCAACAGCATATTTTAAAACCCTTTGTCCTGGTTCTAATCAGAGTTCTTGACTTTTTGGCCTTCTGTGGTGTCACTGGCCAGTCTTCTTCTGTGTCTCAAGTTGGTTCATTCTGAATGGGTCACTTTCCTTTTTTTTTTGAGACAGAGTCTCACTCTGTTGCCCAGGCTGGAGTGCAGTGGCACGATCTTGGCTCACTGCAACCTCCGCCCTCCAAGTTCAAGCAATTCTCCTGCCTCAGCCTCCCGAGTAGCTGGGATTACAGGTGCCTGCCACTGTGCCTGGCTAACTTTTTGTATTTTTAGTAGAGATGGGGTTTCACAATCTTGGTCAGGCTGGTCTTGAACTCCTGACCTCATGATCCACCTGCCTTGGCCTCCCAAAGTGCTGGGATTATAGGTGTGAGCCACCTATAATCAGCGCCCTGCCCTGAATGGGTCACTTTCTTTAAGCTGATATATAAAATCTAGAAAGTTCTAAGCCTGTCTTGGAAGTTGATAAATTACAGATTTTTAGGGAGGCTTCTTCATAATAATAACTAGCATTTTCAGAAGTTTGCCACTTTGACGTACTTTTTTTTGAGACAGAGTCTCACTCTGTCACCCAGGCTGGAGTGCAGTGGCACAATCTTGGCTCACTGCAACCTCCACCTCCCAGGTTCAAGCGATTCTCATGTCTTGGCCTCCTGAGCAGCTGGGACTACAGGCGTGTACCACCACACCTGGCTAACTTTTACATTTTTAGTAAAGATGGGGTTTGACTATATTGGCCAGGCTGTTCTTGAACTCCACAAGTGATCTGCCTGCCTCAGCCTCCCAAAGTGCTAGGATTACAGGTGTGAGCCACTACGCTCAGCTGAAGTACTTTTTATATAGTGATGTGGTTTGGCTCTGTCCCCACCCAAATCTCATCTTGAATAGTAACTCCCATAATTCCCATGTGTCATGGGAGGAACCCAGTGGGAGGTGATTGAATTATGGGTGTGGGTCTTTTGTGCACTGTTCTCATGATAGTGAATGAGTCTCGAGATCTGATGATTTTAAAAAAAGAGTTTCCCTGCACAAGCTCTCTCTTTGCCTGTTGCCATCCATGTAAGATGTGACTTGCTCCTCCTTGCTTTTCACCTTCTGCCATGATTGTGAGGCCTCCCCAACCTCGTGGAACTGTAAGTCCAATAAACCTCCTTCTTGGGTATGTCTTTATCAGCAGCATGAAAATGGACTAATTCATATAGTAACTCATTTAATTCTCACAAAGCATTGAGGTAAGTATTATTTAGAGATGAAGAAATAGTTACAGAGGTTGGCAGCCTAGTTCTAGAAGTCATGTGTTTTAACCATTACATTATACTGCCTTAGAGATGAACTAGATTTTGTCCTTACATTGATATTATATTATTTTAGCTACTTTTGTAACAAGTATAAACTTGTTATTGTTGAAGTAATTACCTTTTAAGTTCCCTCCAATAATGTACCTTCTCTTCTCTGCCACTCAGTGGGAAGAAAGGGTCTTATAGTCAACTCCCCTTAAAAAAAAGTCTCCCCCAACTGCTCAGAAGTCATTTATTCTGTATTAGTATTTTCCAAATGTATTTGACCTCAAAACATTCTTTTTTATAGCATACTTATTAACCCCTACCTAATAGTGAGTGAAGTATTCTATGTGACACTAGTTTGGAAAAATGAGGCAGTACTTTTATTCACTGTATTGTTGTGGTATAAATGTCCCCCCTGGAATAGCAGCCCAGATTAAAACTTCTAATAACTGTCTGGTTTTGCTATTTATTTATGATGTCCTTTGATATGTATATTATATAAATCCTAGTTAAAATTATTTTAATCACAAATGAAACTAACATGAGCTACTTTAACCAACAACAAGAAAGGGAGATTTATTTTGAGGCTATAAAGTTATCCCAAGAGGAATATAGGGATGTGGGTATTTCAAAAGCAGGGAGTCAGTCTGGCCAAATGAGGAATTAGAACCAGAAAATAGCCTTATAACTCTCATTCTCTCTCTCTAGGGTCACTTGGTCTTTCATTTCTGCATCTATCTGCAAGTCTACTTCATCTTTCTTTGCAGTTCCAAGTGTCAGCTAAAATATCCTAGTGCTTTGAGATTTAGATAATATTGGCATGAACCATATTTCATACCTTGTGGGGCTCATGTGGCTTCTGTGAGATTTCTACAAATTTCTGAATGAGAGGGCAGTGAGATAAGGGGGTGGAGGAATGCCAGGTTGATATTCTCATGGTCACCTCTGGCTGTGGGTTTCTGTTTCCATATGTAATAGATTTTGTTGAAGGTTTGGGGGTTTATATCATAGGAATATAATCAGAATTTCCTGTTGGGGGTACTTTCAGACCCTCCTGAGAAAATTCTTTTGGCCCTTTGTCCAAAAAGTCCCTACACTTCAAATTTTCTTACTGACTTCTTTCTCTTTCTTTCCTCTTCTTTCCTGGAGACAGAAAAAACAGTTTTCTTCTGGTGCCATCCAGAGTAGTTTTACCATCTGCTTTGTTTCTGTGGCTTCTGACACCTATTCCCTCAGGGTCTTACCTTCTATCCCAAGCATCTCAAACAAGGATGTGTCCCTTTATGGTTGTGTTAGTTTGCTAGGGCTAACTAGCAAATTTATTTTCTCACAGTTCTGGAGGTTAAAAGTCTGAGATTAGGTTATCAGCAGGGTTGTCTTCTTCTGAGGGCCGTGAAGGAAGGATCTGTTCCAGGCTTCTTCTTGGTTTGTAGATGGAAATGATCTCCCTGCCCCTTCACATTTCCTTCCCCCTGTATGTGTGTGTGTCCACATTTCCACATCTTAGTAAGGACACTGGTCATGTTGGATTAGGGCCCATCCTAATGACTTCACTTTAATTACCTCTGTAAAGAACCTAGGTTCTTTTGTGTTTCATAAAGTAATGATTGTGTTTTCACATTATTGTGTGAGGTGTGCCTCCCTCAGACCTTGATACCAGTCTGCACATTACCTGATGTGAAGAAGTTTAAAAAATGACCCTATCTCTAAATTCAGTTACATTCTGAGGTACTAAGGGCTAGGACTTCTACATAAGAATTTTTGGGGCAGGGACGTAATTCAGCCTATAGTGCTGGTAGTTTTTGTTAAGATAATACATATTTGCCCATGTTACTTTTGCTTCACAGTGTTTATGGTTCGGAGCGGGGGCGGGGGGTGGGGGGACGTTCTCCCTGAAGCAAATTAGTTTAAGCAAGCAGCCTTAGCTGATTAGAATTGGGTCTCAATTCCACATCTCCAGGAGGAAGAATCAGATTAACAGTGGTTAGATTATGTATCCACTTCAGAACACTCACTTTTGGCCAGGGATCAGGTTTTCTCATACAGTAAGGCTGATGGGATCCATCCTTGTTGACTAGAAACAGTTTTCAGTGAAATGAGACAATTAGGAGCTGGCTAGTCCACTTAAGCATTTCATCTACCATTAAAAAAAAAAGTAGGCAGTTGCAGTCATGCTCTCTGAGTTCCTGTCTCCCTGCCAGTGCTGCCTGGATGGCCTGCCAAAACTGCAACACAGCTGCCACCAGCATTGCTGCCCATAAAGGAGCAGAGTGCAGCAGTGGGTACGGCAGGATACAGCAAGAGCTGAAGACCCTTGTGATCTCTGGCAACAAAGGAATTTCTGCCTTACCTGCATCAGACAACCTTTTGAAATCAGTAGGACCATCCCTGAAGCAGCTGGCACAGAAGACCTGAGATGTAAGGTTTCCCTGGAGTTCCCCAGTGGCTACCCATACAACATGCCCTTGGTTAAGTTCCTCACGCCCTGCTACTATCTCAACGTGGACGCCCAGTGTTAACACCTGTCTGGACATCCTGAAGGACGAGTGGTCTGCCCTGTATGATGTCAAGAACACCCTGCACTCCATCCACAGCCTGCTAGTAGAACTCAACATCAATAGCCTTTTGAACACACATGCTGCTGAGCTCTAGAAAAACTCCACAGCTTTTAAGAAATATCTGCAAGAAATCTACTCAAAGCACGTCTCCAGGAAGGAGCCCTAACTCGGGCTGCCCAACCTCTCCTTGTGTTGTCTCTTCATTTTTCCCTTAGATGGTCTGTCTTTGCTTGATTTCTGTATAGGACTCTGTATCTTGAGCTGTGGTGTTATTTTTGTTTTGTTTCTGTTTTTTATTTTTTATTTTATTTTTGAGACAGGGTCTTGCTCTAACAGGCTGGAGTGCAATGGCATGATCACGGCTCACTGTAGCCTCGATCTCCTAGGCTCAATCAATCCTGCCACCTCAGCCTCCTGAGCAGCTGGAACCACAGGTGTAAGCCACAGTGCCAGGCTAATTTTTAATTTTTTTTTGTAGATATGGGGTCTCCCTGTATTATCCAGGCTGTCCTGGAACTCCAGGGATCAAGAGATTCTCTTACCTTGTCCTCCCAAAGTGCTGGGATTACAGGCATGAGCCATGACATTTTGCCCATTTCTGTTTTTAAAATTAAGTCTCTGATTGAGCTCTTGTGATGTATATTAAATAAATACATTTTGTTTATTTTTGTAAAAAGAAATTGTAAATTAAAATTTATTTAGAATAGAAAAGGAAAGAGCATTATGGTATATTTTCTAATTTTAGTGGCTAAAACCAATTTCAATAGTAGAATATACTCTTAAGAATGTATACTTAGAAAAGAATGTATTACTTAGAAAATGCTATGATTGATCAAAACTTAAAAGAAAAATAACTTGAAATGGTTATTTTATATCTGTATTTAATGATGAAGTAATTGGTATACTTAAACTTCTAATATGAAGCCATAGAACTACAAAGCAAGATGAACTTATGGTTAAATATGCAACTTGCTTTGTCTGAAATTACCCAAGTACTATACAGGTGCTAATGAATTCTCCAACTTGAGAAGACATGTAGTGAAAATTGCATCACTCTTTGGTCCTGTGTGCTGCTGTAAGCAGTGATTTTTTTTTTTTTTTTTGCCTACCTATAGTTTTTTTCTTTAAGTTACTGCCTTGTGCCAAATTAAGAGATATGAATTTGCAAATAGCTTCATTTTATGTGCCAGCAGTAATTAGACTCACAAGGAAAAGTAACCTCAGCTACATTTACAAAAGTTAGTATTTTATATTTCATTCACTGGATACATGTGTCACTATAACTTATTGAAAATTTTCTGTGACATATTTTAGAGATTTCCTTCGTCTGAGAGTGTCGTGATCAGTGTCTTTAATGCCAGAGAAGTCATAATTGGCTGGAAACATGGCTGGAGGTCACATTTTCTAAGTAGGAACATGCTATTACTTCTGGCCTGGAAAGTAGTGGCAAACTTTTATATATCTCCCTACCCCACTTTCCCCGCTCAGTATTAGAGTAGTCGTATTAAGAGTTTGAATTTCAAAATGAGAAAGACCTGAGTTAAAATCCCAGTTCAACCATGTACTAATTGTAAGATCTTAGGTAAGTTATTGGGCTTCTGAGTGTAGTTTCTTCATCTGTAAAAAGGAATGATAAGATTATTACAAGGATTAAACGGGATAATATTTGCGATATGCTTAGCAAGAGCTTGACACATAGTAAGTGTTTTAAAAGTAGTAACAATAACTAAAATAATATTAATCGTAATTTTCAAGGCCAGGTCTGGGGAAACAAAGTTGCATGGGCCATGGTCATTATTTTCAAGAAACTCAATAGACTAACGGAGTATGTGACTCAAAAAGCATCACTGTAGAAGGGTAGGAGTATTATGGAGATGTTGCTTAAAGGGCACAAAATTTCAGTTAGACAAGAGGAATATGTTCTATTTTACCTCATGGTGATTATCATGTGATCTGTTTTACCTCATGGTGATTATCATTAATAACGATAGACTGGATATTTGAAAATTGCTGAGAGTAGACTTTAAGTGTTCTTATCACCAAAAAATGGTATGTGAAGTAAATGGCTTGATTTAATCATTACACAATATGTACATACATCAAAACATCATGTTGTACACCAAAAATACATACAATGTTTATCAATTTAAAATGGTATCACTGTAAATGTATCATTATATTGGAAATGTACTTGGTACTGGATAGTTGGTTCTTGGTATTTCCATGAAATGCTGTGTTACTGTTTTTAAAAATTACCTATAAAAATTTTTTTTCTTAACTTTGGATTTTAAGAACTTTATACTTAGAACAAAGTATTGTAAATGACTCGTTAGAACTGTAGGTATTGGCATTCTCTGTCCTGGTCTTAGTTCTGTTTCAGCCCCACAGCTGTTGGGCTCTTTCTTAGGTACCAAGAAGACAGCCAAGTGGGCATGATATCCAAATAATGGGCCATATTCACCCTAGAAGATGAGTTTTGGTCAAGATGGGAGGTTGAGAGGAAGGACCAGAATATGAGATGCAAACTCAGGAAATCTATCCAAAATTGAGGCAAAGAAAAACAGGATCAAGTCATTCAGTTGATACCCAAGGCCAGGATTCCTCCAGGCACCTGTACCTTGGAAAAGAGGGACCAGAGAAACTTCAGGAACTCAAGAGATCTGGGTAGGAGCTCAAGCTGGGAGCCTGACATTTGCAAGAGCAGTATCTAACCAGGGGGTAGGGTAGAGTGAGAGAGGTGGAGAGAACAGCACTTTCAGTGTTCTAAGCGGGCTCTAAACCTTTTTTGATTGTTGATCTTTATTTATTTATTTATTTATTCATTCATATATTATACACATGTACACAATTACATCTTAGTTCAATGAATAATAAAGTTCATTGTTACTGATAATTGCAATTTTTTCAAATAGTTTAAAAAATAATTTTAAATTATTTTGATTAGCTTCTTTCCAGACTTGATTATATTGTTACTGTTTTTAAATAAAAATGGGGCTGATGGAGATTGTGCTATTTTCTTGTTTGGTATTGTGTGTGCATTGTTCCATTACCTTCAATTTGCCTTTTCTTTGCCTTTTAAAGCCATTGTGTGAGAGTGAATTTAGTAATCCATAAGTGCACTTAATTGGGCACATATAGGTAGAAATATATTGCCATACACTGAAACTCAGTGAAAATTTAAGATATCTTATTTACTCTTTCTATTTGAAAACACCTGCTCTTCCCTCTGGTTTCTTCGCATATCATGTGGAACATGTATCTTTTCCTAACATTCGTAGAATAAACAGTCACAATATAATCCTTCTATTTTTCTGAACTGATAACAGAAGAAGTTGGGAGAAGTTAAGAATGTACTACTTTGTTTCTTATAAGAAAGAAAAGAGAGACAGATTGATGTATAGAGCTGCAGAGAAGAGGAGAAAAGTGGAGGTTAAAGAGATGTGGGCAATTACTAGAGGTGGCAAGTTTTGGGATAAAGATACAAATATCAGATCTTTTGAGGAAGTTTTACTATTTGAAATTGAAGTAGCCTATCCTCCATACCTTTTATTCTGGTTACGTATTTTGACTAAATAAAAATGCTGCATTCTTTTAAACTCTAAATGACAGAGTGCAGCAGTATACACTAAAAATATCTTTTCTTGCTTCTTCCTTATCTAAATCCTGTCATGCTCAAGATCCGCCTTTTCCAGGTAACCTATGCCAGACTCCAGGCTGTATTTTCTAGAAATGCCAGCAACAATATCTCCCATCCTGAATGCTTTTTTATACAGTAACCTTGGCACTCTTTCCATCCCTGAAAAGGCTATACAGATGCAGATAAGTACATAAAAGGATCACTAGCCATTAGCAAAGTGGAAATTAAAAATACAATAAGATATTTTTAAGATAATTATTATAACAGCTAAAATTTAAAAATTACGATACCACCAAATACTGGTGAGAATGCGCAGAAATTGGATCTTTCATACATTGCTGATGGGAATATAAAATAGTGCAGCTACTGTGGAAAATGGTTTGGCAGTTTCTTAAAAAACTAAACACACTTTGGAGTTTGAGACCAGCCTGGCCAACATGGTGAAACCACATCTCTTACTAAAAATACAAAAATTAGCTGGGCATGGTGGTACACACCTCTAATCCCAGCTACTCAGGAGGCTGAGGCAGGAGAATTCCTTGAACCCGGGAGGTGGAGGTTGCACTGAGCTGAGATCATGCCACTGCACTCCAGCCTGGGTGACAAAGACTCCCTCTTGGAAAACAAACAAACAAAACAAAACAAAAAGCTAAACATAACATATGATCCAGCATTGTATCCCTTGGTATTTACCCAAAGGGGTTGAAAACTTGTGTTCGTACAAAAATCCTTACACAGATGTTTATGGCAGCCTAATTTATAATAGCTCCAAACCAGAAACATTAAAATGTTCTGCAATAAGTGAATAATGATGGGAGCAGTGAATACTACAGGGAATACTACTTAATAAAAAGGAATGAACTGTTGATACACAAAATCATTTAGATGGCTCTCATTATGCTAAGTGAAAAACACCAATCTCAAAAGGTCACATGTTGTATAATTTTGTTTATATAATGTTCTCAAAATTACAAAATTATAGAGGTGGAGAACAAATTAGTGTTTGCCAGGGGTTTAGCATGGGGAGGTGGTGTGATTGTAAAGGGGTAGCATGAGGGAGATCTTTGTGGTGATAGTTCTGTATCTTAATTTTAGAGGTGGTGAGTGATAAATGGCACAGAAAAATGACAATGTCAATTTCCTGGTTTTAAGTAACTATAAGTACTAGGATGTATCTATTGGGGAAGCTAGCAGGTACATGAAAACTTCATGTACTATCTTTGCAATTTCATTTGAATCTTTAATTATTTCCACATACACAGTTAAAAAACTACAAGAGATTGAAAACTTCTTGTACTATCTTTGCAATTTCGTTTGAATCTTTAATTATTTCCACATACAAAGTTAAAAAAAACAAGAGATTAAATTTAGATTAGACCCTCATCAGCCTTTGTCTCCACTCCTTCCCTGCTCCTGGAAAAAGCAGCAGAAGGGCATGGGCAGGGCACACCAAAAATATGTTATAATTTCTCTTGTGAGTTTTTTTTGACCCCAGTATTAAGTAGAATTGTGTTATTTAATTTCCAGATATTTGTAGATTTTCTAGATATCTTATGATTAATTTCTAATTTAATTCCATTGTATAACATCTTACGCTTTTTAACTTTTTTTTTTTTTTAATAATACTTTAAGTTCTGGGGTACATGTGTAGAACATGCAGTTTTGAAACATAGGTATACACATGCCATGGTGATTTGCTGCATCAACCCGTCACCTACATTAGGTAATTCTCCTAATGCTATTCCTCCCCTAGCCCCCCACCCCCCGACAGGCCCCGGTGTATGATGTTCCCCTCTTTGTGTCCATGTGTTCTCATTGTTCAACTCCCACTTATGAGTGAGAACATGAGGTGTTTGGTTTTCTGTTCTTGTGATAGTTTGCTGAGAATGGTGGTTTCCAGCTTCATCCATGTCCCTGCAAAGGACACGAACTCATCCTTTTTATGGCTGCATAGTATTCCATGGTGTGTATGTGCCACATTTTCTTTATCCAGTCTATCATTGATGGACATTTGGGTTGGTTCCAAGTCTTTGCTATTGTGAATAGTGCCACAGTAAACATATGTGTGCATGTGTCTTTATAGTAGAATGATTTATAATCCTTTGGGTATATACCCAGTAATGGGATTGCTGAGTCAAATGGTGTTTCTAGTTCTAGATCCTTGAGGAATTGCCACACTGTCTTCCATAATGGTTGAACTAATTTACACTCCCACCAATGGTGTAAAAGCGATCCTGTTTCTTCACATCCTCTCCAGCATCTGTTGTTTCCTGACTTTTTAATGATTGCTATTCTAACTGGTGTGAGATGGTATCTCATTGTGGTTTTGATTTGCATTTCTGTAATGACAAGTGATGATGGGCATTTTTTCATATCTTTGTTGGCTGCATAAATGTCTTCTTTTGAGAAGTGTCTGTTCATATCCTTTGCCCACTTTTTGATGGGGTTATTTTTTTCTTGTAAATGTGTTTAAGTTCTTTGTAGATTCTGGATTAAAATTAGCCTTTTGTCAGATGGATAGATTGCAAAAATTTTCTCCCATTCTGTAGGTTACGTGTTCCCTCTGATGATAGTTTCTTTTGCTGTGCAGAAGCTCTTTAGTTTAATTAGATCCCATTTGTCAGTTTTGGCTTTTGTTTCCAGTGCTTTTGGTGTTTTAGACATGAAGTCCTTGCCCATGCCTATGTCCTGAATGGTATTGCCCAGGTTTTCTTCTAGGATTTTTATGGTTTTAGGTCTTATGTTTAAGTCTTTAATCCATCTTGAGTTAATTTTTCTATAAGATTTAAGGAAGGGGTCCAGTTTCAGTTTTCTGCATATGGCTAGCCAGTTTTCCCAACACCATTTATTAAATAGGGGATCTTTCCCCCATTGCTTGTTTGTGTCAGGTTTGTCAAAGATCTGATGGTTGTAGATGTGTGGTGTTAATTTCTGAGGTTTCTGTTCTGTTCCATTGGTCTATATATCTGTTTTGATAGTAGTACCATGCTGTTTTGACACTAGTACCATGCTGTTTTGGTTACTGTAGCCTCGTAGTATAGTTTGAAGTCAGGTAGCATGATGCCTCCAGCTTTGTTCTTTTGGCTTAGGATTGTCTTGGCTATGCAGGCTCTTTTTCGGTTCCATATGAAGTTTAAAGTAGAAACTTTTTATTGAGAATGTATAGCTTAGTATATATGAGTATTTTACCTTAGTGAATTTACTATGTACGTTTGAGTAGAATGCACATTCTGCAGTTGTTGGCTGAGTGTTTTATAAATATTAATTAGGTAAATATTATTGATCATTTATTTCCTTGCCGACTTTTTTGCCTAATTGTTATCAGTTAATGAGATAGAGCTATTATAATCTCTAATATTATTTGTAGATTTGCCTATTAATATTCCTTCCTGTATTTCTATTAATATTTGCCCAATGAATTTTGATGTTCTTCTTAAGTACATACGTATTTATTTTATTTTTTGAGACAAGGCATCACTCTGTTGCCCAAGCTGGAGTGCAGTGGCATGATCATAGCTCGCTGTAACCTCAAATTCCTGTGCATTAAGTGATCCTCCTGAGTAGCTATGACTACAGGTATGTGCCACCATGCCTGTCTAATTTTTAAATTTTTGTAGAGATATGGTCTCACTGTGTTGCCCAGGCTGCTCTTGAACTCCTTGAATCAAATAATCCTCTTGTCTTAGCTTCCCAAAGTGCTGGTATTACAGGCATGAGCTACCATGTCCAGTCTACATAGATATTTAGATTGTTAGGTCTTCCTGATGAATTGTTCTTTTTATCATTGTGAAATTTCCTGCTGTATCCTTTGTAATATTCTTTATCTTGAATCCTACTTTGTCTAATATTAATATTGTCATATCAGTTCCCATTTTCATCATGTTTATTTTTCCATTCTTTTACTTTCAGTGACTTTGTGTCATATACTTTTTATCTCTGCTCTTCACAGTGTATAATTTCTATTGACCTACGTTCACATTCACTGACTCTTTCAGTTGCCATATCCAAAATGCTATTATGCTCATTTACTGAATTTTTCATTTCAGTTATTATATAGTTTTCGGTTTAGGACCTCCATTTAATTCATTTAAAAAAAATAATAGCCTTACAGGAAATATTTAATATAATGTAATTCACTCGTTTAACATGTACAATTCAACGACTTTTAGTATATTTACAGATATATACAAGCACAACCACGTTCATTTTTAGAACATTTTCATCACATCAGAAAGAAACCCTATAGTTATCACTCCTAATTTTTTCCCCAATCCCTAGGCAACACTAATCTACTTTCCATCTCCATAGATTTACCTATTCTGGACATTTAATACAAATTAAATCATATAATATGTGATCTTTTGTGTCTGGCTTTTTTTCACTTAGCAAAATGTTTTCAAGGTTCATTGATATAGTATGCATCTGAACTTCATTCTTTTATATTGCCAAATAATATTTAATTAGATATGCCACATTTTGTTTATCCATTTGTCTGTTGATGGACATTGGGTTGTTTCCATCCTTAACTATAATAAATAATACTGCTATAAACATTTGCATTCAAGTTTTTGTGTGGACATATATTTTTATTTCTCCAAGATAGATACCTAGGAGTGAAATTACTAAATTATATGATAACTCTATGTTTAACTGAGTAACTGCTGGACTGTTTTCCAAAGTGGCTATACCATTTTACATTTCCACCAGCAGTGTATATGGATTCCGATTTCTCCAGTTGTTATCTGACATTTTTACTTTAGCCATCCTACTGAGTGTGAAGAAGTATCTCATCGTGGTTTTGATTTGCATTTCCCTGATGGCTAATGATGTGGAGTATCTTCATGTATATATTGACCATTTGGTTTAGATGTACTATTTTGAATATTTTGCTTTTCTTGACTATAGGCCACATTTTCTTATTTGTTCCTTGACTCAGGGTCTTATAAAGATAAAAATTCAGTTATTGGCTGGTCTGTGTTGTCAGCTAGAGCTCTGGGTCCTCTTCCAAGTTCATGTGGTTGTGGCAGAATTCAGTTCCCTGTGGTTGTATGACTGAAATCCCCATTTCCTTGCTGCCTGTAATTAGGGACCACTCTCAGCTCCTAGAGTTTCTTGCCACATAGCCCTCTCCATTTTAAAGCTAGTAATGGGGAACATTTTATGCATTAAATCTCCCTCATGCTTTGACTCTCTGGCTTCTTCTGGCCCACATGGATAACTTCCTTATCTACAGTCAACTGATTTAGGATATCTACAAAATTCCTTTTCAGGAGTACCTAAATTTGTGTTTGACTGCATAACTGGACAAAGGTGTGTGTACACTAGGGACTGGAAATGTTAGGGCCATCTTCAAATTCTGCTTATGACAATTAGTGTAGCTCCACCAGCGTTTAATTTTGGTAGTGACAGCCTAGTGTATTTTTTTCTATAATAGTAACTTTTCTGTGCTCTCAGGTTTAAATGTCTTCTTAACAGCAGATTAACAGCTGGATTTTTAAAATTATACTTTAAGTTCTAGGGTACATGTGCACAATGTGCAGGTTTGTTACATATGTATACATGCGCCATGTTGGTGTGCTGCACCCATTAACTCGTCATTTACATTAGGTATATCTCCCAATGCTATCCCTCTCTGCTCCCCCGACCCCACGACAGGCCCCGGTGTGTGATGTTCCCCTTCCTGTGTCCAAGTGTTCTCATTGTTCAATTCCACCTATGAGTGAGAACATGCGGTGTTTGGTTTTTTGTCCTTGCGATAGTTTGCTGAGAATGATGGTTTCCAGCTTCATCCATGTCCCTACAAAGGACATGAACTCATCCTTTTTTATGGCTGCATAGTATTCCATGGTGTGTATGTGCCACATGTTCTTAATCCAGTCTATCATTGATGGACATTTGGGTTGGTTCCAAGTCTTTGCTATTGTGAATAGTGCTGCAATAAACGTACGTGTGCACGTGTCTTTATAGCAGCATGATTTATAATCCTTTGGGTATATACCCAGTAATGGGATTGCTGGGTCAAATGGTATTTCTAATTCTAGATCCTTGAGGAAATGCCACACTGTCTTCCACAATGGTTGAACTAGTTTACAGTCCCACCAACAGTGTCAAAGTGTTCCTATTTCTCCACATCCTCTCCAGCACCTGTTGTTTCCTGACTTTTTAATGATCGCCATTCTAACTGGTGTGAGATGGTATCTCATTGTGGTTTTGATTTGCATTTCTCTGATGGCCAGTGATGGTGAGCATTTTTTCATGTGTCTGTTGGCTGCATAAATGTCTTCTTTTGAGAAGCGTCTGTTCATATCCTTCGCCCACTTTTTGATGGGGTTGTTTGTTTTTTTCTTGTAAATTTGTTGGAGTTCTTTGTAGATTCTGGATATTAGCCCTTTGTCAGATGAGTAGATTGCAAAAATTTCCTCCCATTCTGTAGGTTGCCTGTTCACTCTGATGGTAGTTTCTTTTGCTGTGCAGAGGCTCTTTAGTTTAATTAGATCCCATTTGTCAATTTTGGCTTTTGTTTCCATTGCTTTTGGTGTTTTAGACATGAAGTCCTTGCCCATGCCTATGTCCTGAATGGTATTGCCTAGGTTTTCTTCTAGGGTTTTTATGGTTTTAGGTCTAACATTTAAGTCTTTAATCAATCTTGAATTAATTTTTGTATAAGGTGTAAGGAAGGGATCCAGTTTTAGCTTTCTACATATGGCTGGCCAGTTTTCCCAGCACCATTTATTAAATAGGGAATCCTTTCCCCATTTCTTGTTTTTGTCAGGTTTGTCAAAGATCAGATGGTTGTAGATGTGTGGTATTATTTCTGAGGGCTCTGTTCTGTTCCATTGGTCTATATCTCTGTTTTGGTACCAGTACCATGCTGTTTTGGTTACTGTAGCCTTGTAGTATAGTTTGAAGTCAGGTAGCATGATGCCTCCAGCTTTGTTCTTTTGGCTTAGGATTGTCTTGGCAATGTGGGCCGTTTTTTGGTTCCATATGAACTTTAAAGTAGTTTTTTCCAATTCTGTGAAGAAAGTCATTGGTAGCTTGATGGGGATGGCATTGAATCTATAAATTACCTTGGGCAGTATGGCCATTTTCACGATATTGATTCTTCCTATCCATGAGCATGGAATGTTCTTCCATTTGTTTGTGTCCTCTTTTATTTCGTTGAGCAGTGTTTTGTAGTTCTCCTTGAAGAGGTCGTTCACATCTCTTGTAAGTTGGATTCCTAGGTATTTTATTCTCTTTGAAGCAATTGTGAATGGGAGTTCACTCATGATTTGGCTCTCTGTTTGTCTGTTATTGGTGTATAAGAATGCTTGTGATTTTTGCACATTGATTTTGTATCCTGAGACTTTGCTGAAGTTGCTTATCAGCTTAAGGAAATTTTGGGCTGAGACAATGGGGTTTTGTAAATATACAATCATGTCATCTGTAAACTGGGACAATTTGACTTCCTCTTTTCCTAATTGAATACCCTTTATTTCTTTCTCCTGCGCCTGATTGCCCTGGCCAGAACTTCCAACACTATGTTGAATAGGAGTGGTGAGAGAGGGCATCCCTTTCTTGTGCCAGTTTTCAAAGGGAATGCTTCCAGTTTTTGCCCATTCAGTATGATATTGGCTGTGGGTTTGTCATAAATAGCCCTTATTATTTTGAGATACGTCCCATCAATACCTAATTTTTTGAAAGTTTTTAGCCTGAAAGGCTGTTGAATTTTGTCAAAGGCCTTTTCTGCATCTATCGAGATAATCACGTGGTTTTTGTTGTTGGTTCTGTTTATATGCTGGATTACGTTTATTGATTTGCGTATGTTGAACCAGCCTTGCATCCCAGGGATGAAGCCCACTTGATCATGGTGGATAAGCTTTTTGATGTGCTGCTGGATTCGGTTTGCCAGTATTTTATTGAGGATTTTTGCATCGATGTTCATCAGGGATATTGGTCTAAAATTCTCATTTTTTGTTATGTCTCTGTCAGGCTTTGGTATCAGGATAATGCTGGCCTCATAAAATGAGTTAGGGAGGATTCCCTCTTTTTCTATTGATTGGAATAGTTTCAGAAGGAATGGTACCAGCTCCTCCTTGTACCTCTGGTAGAATTCGGCTGTGAATCTGTCTGGTCCTGGCCTTTTTTTGGTTGGTAGGGTATTAATTGTTGCCTCAATTTCAGAGCCTGTTATTGGTCTATTCAGAGATTCAACTTCTTCCTGGTTTAGTCTTAGGAGGTTGTATGTGTTCAGGAATTTATCGATTTCTTCTAGATTTTCTAGTTTATTTGTGCAGAGGTGTTTATAGTATTCTCTGATGGTAGTTTGTATTTCTGTGGGATGGGTGGTGATATCCCCTTTATCATTTTTTATTGTGTCTATTTGATTCTTCTCTCTTTTCTTCTTTATTAGTCTTGCTAGTGGTCTATCAATTTTGTTGATCTTTTCAAAAAACCAGCTCCTGGATTCATTGAGTTTTTGAAGGGCTTTTTGTGTCTCTATCTCCTTCAGTTCTGCTCTGATCTTAGTTATTTCTTGCCTTCTGCTAGCTTTTGAATGTGTTTGCTCTTGCTTCTCTAGTTCTTTTAATTGTGATGTTAGGGTGTCAATTTTAGATCTTTTCTGCTTTCTCTTGTGGGCATTTAGTGCTGTAAATTTCCCTCTACACACTGCTTTAAATGTGTCCCAGAGATTCTGGTATGTTGTGTCTTTGTTCTCATTGGTTTCAAAGAACATCTTTATTTCTGCCTCCATTTCGTTATGTACCCAGTAGTCATTCAGGAGCAGGTTGTTCAGTTTCCAGGTAGTTGATCAGTTTTGAGTGGGTTTCTTAATCCTGAGTTCTAATTTGATTGCACTGTGGTCTGAGAGGCAGTTTGTTATAATTTCTGTTCTTTTACATTTGCTGAGGAGTGCTTTACTTCCAACTATGTGGTCAATTTTGGAATAAGTGCGGTGTGGTGCTGAGAAGAATGTATATTCTGTTGACTTGGGGTGGAGAGTTCTGTAGATGTCTATTAGGTCCGCTTGGTACAGAGCTGAGTTCAATTCCTTGATATCCTTGTTAACTTTCTGTCTCATTGATCTGTCTAATGTTGACAGTGGGGTGTTAAAGTCTCCCATTATTATTGTGTGGGAGTCTAAGTGTAGTTCTCTAAGGACTTGCGTTATGAATCTGGGTGCTCCTGTATTGGGTGCATATACATTTAGGATAGTTAGCTCTTCTTGTTGAATTGATCCCTTTACCGTTATGTAATGGCCTTCTTTGTCTCTTTTGATCTTTGTTGGTTTAAAGTCTGTTTTATCAGAGACTAGGATTGCAACCCCTGCCATTTTGAGTCTTCCATTTGCTTGGTAGATCTTCCTCCTTCCCTTTATTTTGAGCCTATGTGTGTCTCTGCATGTGAGATGGGTCTCCTGAATACAGCACACTGATGGGTCTTGACTCTTTATCCAATTTGCCAGTCTGTGTCTTTTAATTGGAGCATTTAGCCCATTTACATTTACGGTTAATATTGTTATGTGTGAATTTGATCCTGTCATTATGATGTTAGCTGGTTATTTTGCTCGTTAGTTGATGCAGTTTCTTCCTAGCCTCGATGGTCTTTACAATTTGGCATGTTTTTGCAATGGCTGGTACTGGTTGTTCCTTTCCATGTTTAGCGCTTCCTTCAGGAGCTCTTTTAGGGCAGGCCTGGTGGTGACAAAATCTCTCAGCATTTGCTTGTCTGTAAAAGATTTTATTTCTCCTTCGCTTATGAAGCTTAGTTTGGCTGGATATGAAATTCTGGGTTCAAAATTCTTTTCTTTAGGAATGTTGAATATTGGCCTCCACTCTCTTCTGGCTTGTAGAGTTTCTCCCAAGAGATCCGCTGTTAGTCTGATGGGCTTCCCTTTGTGGGTAACCCGACCTTTGCCTCTGGCTGCCCTTAACATTTTTTCCTTCATTTCAACTTTGGTGAATCTGAGAATTATGTGTCTTGGAGTTGCTCTTCTCAAGGAGTATCTCTGTGGCGTTCTCTGTATTTCCTGAATTTGAATGTTGGCATGCCTTGCTAGATTGGGGAAGTTCTCCTGGATAGTATCCTGCAAAGTGTTTTCCAACTTGGTTCCATTCTCCCTGTCACTTTCAGGTACACCAATCAGACGTAGATTTGGTCTTTTCACATAGTCCCATGTTTCTTGGAGGCTTTGTTCCTTTCTTTTTACTCTTTTTTCTCTAAACTTCTTACTTCATTTCAGTCATTGGATCTTCAATCACTGATACCCTTTCTTCCAGTTGATCAAATCGGCTACTGAAGCTTGTGCATTCATCACGTAGTTCTCATGCCGTGTTTTTCAGCTCCATCAGGTCATTTAAGGACTTCTGTACATTGGTTATTCTAGTTAGCCATTCGTCTAATCTTTTTTCAAGGTTTTTAGCTTCTTTGAGATGGGTTTGGACTTCCTCCTTTAGCTTGGAGAAGTTTGATCTTCTGAAGCCTTCTTCTCTCAACCCATCAAAATCATTCTCCATCCTGCTTTGTTCCGTTGCTGGTGAGGAGCTGCGTTCCTTTGGAGGAGGAGAGGCGCTCTGATTTTTAGAATTTTCAGCTTTTCTGCTCTGTTTTTTCCCCATCTTTGTGGTTTTATCTACCTTTGGTCTTTGATGATGGGGATGTACAGATGGGGTTTTGGTGTGGATGTCCTTTCTGTTTGTTAGTTTTCCTTCTAACAGTCAGGACCCTCAGCTGCACGTCTGTTGGAGTTTGCTGGAGGTCCACTCCAGACCGTTTGCCTGGGTATTAGCAGTGGAGGCTGCAGAACAGTGAATATTGCTGAACAGCAAATGTTGCTGCCTGATCATTCCTCTGGAAGCTTCATCTCAGAGAGGTACCCGGCCATGTGAGGTGTCAGTCTGCCCCTACTGGAGGGTGCCTCCCAGTTAGGCTACTCAGGGGTTAGGGACCCACTTGAGGGGGCAGTCTGTCCGTTCTCAGATCTCAAACTCCGTGCTGGGAGAACCACTACTCACTTCAAAGCTGTCAGACAGGGACATTTAAGTCTGCAGAGGGTTCTGCTGCCTTTTGTTTGGCTGTGCCCTGCCCCCAGAGGTGGAGTCTACAGAGATAGGCAGGACTCCTTGAGCTGCGGTGGGCTCCACCCAGTTCGAGCTTCCTGGCGGCTTCCTTACCTACTCAAGCCTCAGCAATGGCCGGCACCCCTCCCCCAGCCTCGCTGCTGCCTTGCAGATCGATCTCAGACTGCTGTGCTAGCAATGAGTGAGGCTCCGTGGGTGTGGGACCCTCTGAGCCAGGCGCAGGATATAATCTCCTGGTGTGCCGTTTGCTAAGACCAATGGAAAAGCACAGTATTAGGGTGGGAGTGACCCGATTTTCCAGGTGCCGTCCGTCACCACTTCCCTTGGCTAGGAAAGGGAATTCCCTGACCCCTTGCACTTCCCGAGTGAGGTGATGCCTCACCCTGCTTTGACTCACACTCCGTGGGCTGCACCTGCTGTCCTGCCCCCACTGTCCGACACTCCCCAGTGAGATGAACCCGGTACCTCAGTTGGAAATGCAGAAATCACGCGTCTTCTGCGTCGCTCATGCTGGGAGCTGTAGACTGGAGCTGTTCCTATTTGGCTATCTTGGAACCCAACAGATGGATTTAAGAAAGTAACAATTTTGTAGTCTCCAGTGTGTATCTGGTGAGTTTACGCCACTTAGTGATTACTGACATATTTAGAATTATTTTTATCATCTTTTGTGCTTCCATTTACTCTGTTTTTTTTTTTCTCTGTATCTACCACTTCTCTCCCCCTCTACTGGTTTGATAGTTATATATTCTGTAATTTCAGTGGCTTTCTTAAAATTATTTTATTAACAAGTCTAAAGTTAATATATCTGTCCTCCAGACAAATAAGACAGGAACCTTAAAATTATGTTAATTCCAATTGTCTCACTTTAATCTTAGAGAAAAAATGGATTGCTTATACATGAATGATAGTCTGCTGACAGATTTCTCATCGGCATCAGCAGAATACAGCAAATAAACATCTTCTAACAGTTGAGGTAAATGAACTGTCTGCTTAAGAGTTAATAACCAATGAAAATATCATTCAAAGGCAAAACTCACAGATTCTTCCCAAGAGAACACTAAATGATATACCTCAGTCACAAGAAAACAATGGAGAAGAGTGGGATGTAAGTAACAATGTTTATCAAAGAGACTGGTAAATATACTGATACATTTTTATAAACACGAACTACAAAAAGTAATACTAAGAATAATTCTGTGGGATAGCTTTGCATTTTTTTTTACAGATGGAGAAAAGAAGAGTGGAGAAGTGAAGTATCAAACTTGTATGAGGTCACACAGCTAAAGACTACAGCTAGGAGAATGTCCTCTAGCTCAGAAATGACGTGAAACTCAAAAAGCAATTCTAACAGTCTGCATTTATTCTTTTAGCTCATTTGTGACCCAGAGAGTTTTAATGTCTGTGAGTTCTAGAATGTATAAGAAAAATTTACTCAGGCACTATCCTTTGAATTAGAACATGGAACAACAAGGTCCTATAAATTGTGATAATTTATCTTATTTGAAATCCCAGTTATGCAGAGTGATTTTTCAGTCACTTGCATAATTACAGAAACTTTGAGAAATATTAAGTAATCGGTGGTGATATGACCATGTTCAGAAACCAAAGGCCAAAAGAGAAGCCAAATTGAATAAACAAAATTGTCTTAGTAAATAGCAAAATGTAGAGTTCCTCTGTATTTGGAGGTAAATTCTAAACAATAAAACACATGTGATGTTTTGTTTTTTAAAAAGATCACCTTATTTATTCTTAAACCAGGCTTACAAGCTACAATATAATCTTTTAAAATTATAGGTAATTACAAAAAGGCACATTAAACTTCAGTTAATCACAGTTGTTTCAAAAATATGTCCCTTCTCTTGACAAAGCAGTAACTCAGCCAAAACTTGGATAAACTGGCATTTCCTTAGATCACATGTTTCATTCCTAAACACAATGCCCCTTGTGTTTCTTTCAGGTGTCCATACTTTCTCTGAAAAATAGATCTCCCCTTCCAAAGCTTGAGCATTATCTACTCTTTGTTTGAAAATAAATGCATTGTTCATGTGGGGACTAGTAACGCAGGTGTTTTACCTCTCTTTTCCCAGTCAGGCTGATTCTTAAGCCTTTTATGAAATCAGTTCAGTTTAGTCAAATCTCTGACATCCACTTTTTATTGCCATTTCCCTTTATGGCTATAATATCAGCCCTAAATACAACAAGATCATCTTTTATTCCATTATGTTTACCTCTTTCTTCTACAACAGTTATCTTAGAAGATGTTTACATTTTTAGTTAATATCTCAAGTCTTGCCAACATTCTGCTTTCTTCTCACTTCTTGAAGACTAACTCTGGGGCAAGGCCAAAGTTCAGATCAAGCATTAATAGTTCAAGTTGTTTTCATTTTTCCTAAACTCCTTAAGGTACCCAGATTTGCTCCTGTCACTGGAAAGCACTGTCTAAAAGCTTTGCATGAAATTAAACTCCCTGAGGTGTGACCAAACTGAATAAAGCTGTGGAGGGATGTATTGAAGCAACTCTTCCTGAGTGAGGCATGAGAAACACTGACATTCTTAACACAGCAAGGATTGGTGTTGGGTGTCAGGTAACTGATTGTGTCTTCTGAAATACAGAGTTTCAACCCCTCATTTTATTTCCAAACAATCACTTTTATGTTACTCTCTAGAGAATGAGGAGGGTCGGATCTTAGATCATGGGGCATGCTATAGCTGAGAACGGAAAAAGGGGAGCAGAATTACTTAAAGACTTCATCTCTTCAATGCAGAGGATAGTAATTGATATTACTTATCAAAGTATCTCTTTTCTAGCTATGCAACATGAAGTTTCAAGCAATTTATTATTGTCATTGATGTCTCAATTGTGTACATAATCCCCTTTTCCTGTCATTTACGATACTAAAATATACTTTAGTAAAATATAGTACATATTTTAGGTTTTTATCGTATTGTTTTCATGGCTAAGAGATTTAACAATTTCATCTTTTATTATAAATGTTAGAAGGTTTATGTGAAAATAGTGAATAATCAGTAAATAATCTAGCTTCTTTTTCTAATTGCAATGTTTTTCTTAATATGACAATGTACTGAAAGCTTTGTTGATTAAAAGTGGAATGTAACACGTTCATAGTGTATATTATTGCTTCTTTGTCCAGTTTGCCAAATGTAACTAATGTGAACTTATTCATAAAACACACTATGCTGTTATGAGTGGCTGCAGAGTTCCTTTACAATATTGCAGCTTCATTTTAAAAACAAGTACACATTTCTTCAGTTGTCCAAAAAACATTCTGTAGGAATTAGAAATCCATTTCAAAATGGATTTTACTTTATATGTTAAGATTGATAATTCTACAGAAAAACTTAAACCAGAGTTTGGTATTCATATTTTACACTGGCAATACTCTGTAACACTGGGTGCTATAGTTCATATGGACAATAAGATGGAGCTCAGCATTATGTGAATATATTAAGGAGATTTAATTACAAGGAGGTACATGACCCTGGCCTCAAGGAAAGTGTTAATCAAGACATTTGAGTGTTTAGAGATTTTGATATCAATGGCTGAAATGAATTTGTAAAGCATAATTATAATATGGAACCTCCACTCAAGCATAATCTCACCTTTCTTCAGTTATTCTTAAGCATAGGTCACTTATTTATGCTTGAGTCAGCTGATTTCAAAACTCCTACTTCATAGCCCCTTGGGCCAGCTAAAGAAAGCTTTCTTCACTGCATATATGGGAAATAGCACTCTGAAACCCCTTGCTTGAAATGGAGAAAGGGAAAAAAAACCCCTCTATATTTCCAGCATTTTGAAGTTCAAATTTGCAAACACAATGTATCCAAAATTTCTAAAGTTTTAGTTAAGCTGCAAATACACTAGGTAAATTGATTTAACAAATATTTTTTCTTTTTCAACTTTGTTGAGGAATAATTTATGCATAATAAACTGCATGTATTTAAAGTGTACAATTTGATGAGTTCTGACAAATTGTATGCACCTGTCCACAATCAGAATACAGAACATGTCCATCACCCCACAAAGATTCCTTGTGCTCCTTTGCAGTTCCTCCCTTTTTCTATACTCTATCCTCACTTCCACTGATCTGCTTTTTAAATTTTTATTTTGTTTTAATTTTAGAGACAGAGTCTTGCTCTGTCATCCAGGCTGGAGTGCAGTGGCATGATCATAGCTCACTGTAATCTCAAACTCCTGGGCTTACATGATCCTCCTGCCTCAGCCTCTGGAGTAGCTAGGACCACAGGTACATGCCACCATGCCTGGCTAATTAAAAATTTTTTTTTGAAGAGACAGGGTCTTGCTATGTTGTCCAGGCTAGTCTCAAACTTCTGGCTTGAAGGGATCCTCCCATCTCAGCCTCATCTCTATTTTATTTGTGCTTTATACAAATGGAATTATATAATATTTACTATTTTGTGCCTGGTTCCTTAATTCCACATAATGATTTTAAGACTCATCCATATATTGTTGCACATATCAATAGTTCTTTCCTTTATATTGCTGAGTAGTATCCCATTGTATAGAAGTACCCACATTTTGCTTATCCATTCACATGTTAATGGACATTTGGGTCATTTCCAGTTTGAGGTTCAATCAACACATACTTACTGACCACTATTAACTGTCCAGGCAAATGTTCTAAAGAAAAATGGGAGACCATGGGAAGCAAAATAGTCAAAATCATGGCCAAAATGGAGATTACTGGAGGGGATGGATATTATGTAAACAAATATAAAGCATGCCTGATGAGGAGAATAAAGCAGGATAAGAGAGAAAGGAAATCCAGAATTGAGGCAGATTCTGTTTTCTATAGGATGATCAAGAAAGGCCTCGCTGATGAGATAACCTTTGTACAAAGACCTAAAAGAAGAAAATGAGTGATCCATGTAGACATCTGGGTGAAGAGTACTGAGACTTAAGTGCCTAAAAGTTAAGCTTAAAGAAAAGTCTTTTTGCCTCACTTTATCATTCATGGTTCTAATAGTTATTTTTGGTTCAATGGTAGGTATTTTTACAACTGCTTTTGACATCAGTTTTAGCCTGTTGGGAAAGACAGTGGCCTGCTGCCTGCTGCTGCTGCCGCCGCCACACCTGGGGTCTCCAGGAAGAGCCTTGAACCTTGTAAAGTTCCTTTGAGGAGAATGAATCATTCAAATGCTTGTATAGAGTTTATCTTAAAGATTTTAGGAATCTTTCAGCTCCTCAGAGGAGACTATGAGACTCTGACTTTGTCATGTGGGGCAGCTGACACTTTGCCTTAATAACCTCATTTGTTATAGGATAGTGTCTATTGCTGGACTCATACTGAAAAGGTAAGGATAACTATCCCCAGGGGTGTTAGAGGGTTCCGTGGGGACAGAAGTGTATGAAATGCCCTTGGAAAACTATCTAAGTTACCTTCCTTTTTCTAAACTGGTGGCTGAGCCAGTATGTGGATAATGGAAATACCAGATTATAGAGAGATTCTTAAGAGCTACGTTTAGTAAATAATTTTTTTAAAGCATTATCTATCTTAGCTCTGCCCAATATTGCAGGTATTGAAAGACTTTCAGGATGTCCAATCTCTTCATCTTTGAAAGCAAAATGTAACACCATATAACCTAAACCTAGAATAGACCCAGTGTATCTATGAGTTTCTTTGGGCTGTAACCTGTCCCATTACACTTAACCATCTTTTACCTTGACTTCCTGAATGTTATCAGCCTCACCAAGAGTAGATCCCAGCATTAACCCAATGCTAGTACTTCTTCTTACTTATTATTTGATCTTCTATATATATCATTATGGATTCATGTATATTTATTTTATAATTTGGGATTATAATCCAATGCTATGTTATTTATTTTGTTGCTCAGATTTTTCCAGTTTTGGCCATTAGTTCTTTCAGGTTGGCTGTTGTGACTCTTTGGCATGCTTCTATCATTTTATTTTTTGAGCAGTTCCTTACTTTCTGGTATTGTAAGATGTTTCAGGCTTATTTTTATTTTCCCGGCCCCAGTCCTAGAATCAGCCAGTTTCCCAAGAATCTCTGGTTCCTTTTATTGGAAAATGGTATTTAGAAGCCAAGATATGAGTACTGGGTTTGTGCTTTGCTGCTGGGGTGTGATTGCTTCCAGGATGTCTGAGTCAACAGGGCTAGGTAATGTATGTATGTATGTATATTAACTGGTGTATACACACATATCTATAAGTAGTGTCTACCTGTCTATTTATCTATTAAACTAACCGTGAGTTCATACTGATGTCTTCAATTCTAATCCAGCACCACAGGGTTTATTTTATCCTCCCCTTCTAGTTTATTTGCAACTTTAGTCTCTCACAGGGAGAAATCTGGCTCCCACAACCTTCCGTTTGTTTACTTAGTTGTTCAACCTTATTATTCATGCAAAGCAATTACTACAAACATTTTAAATGCAATTCTGTATCTGACAATTTATCCTACCATACATCCACACTGGTATGTAACAATATTTGCATAAGAACTGTTCATTGAAGCATTGGACTCTCTCCTTTCCTTCCCTTTTAAACCTTATTAGATTATCTTTGATTTTTAAAAAACCTTTTGTTGTGGACGTTTTCAAGTACACGCAGCAGTAGAGAGAAAAGTATTCTGAACCCTATGAAACCATAGTTCAGCTTTAACAATTTTTTATTTTGCATATCTTGTTTAATCTGTTCCCCATATTCTTTTTTTTTTTTAGTATTTTAAAGCAAATCCCAGAGATCATATCATTTCACCTCTAAATACTTCAGTAAGCATTTCATCAGATAAGGTTTTTTTTAAAAAAGCATAACCACAATGTCATTCTCATACCTAAAAATTAATAGTAATTCCTTTATATAATACGATACCCAATCTATGGTAAAATTTCCCCAACAATGTGAAAAAAATCTTTTCACAGTTAGTTTGTTTGAATCAGAATCCATGGTAGACAGAATATTGCCCCATAACCCCATCCCTACGAAGATGTCCACATTTTATGCCCTGGAATCTATGTTACCATGTTACTTTATGTGGCAACGGGGACTTTGCAGATGTGATTATGTTAAGGATCTTGAGATGGGAAGGTTATCCTGGATTATCTGGATGTGCTCAGTGTATTTACAGTGTTTCCATGTGAGAGAAGTAGGAGGGTCAGAATCACAGAAGGAGATGAGAGCAGAAACAGATGGCAGAGAGATGCCCTTGCTGCAAGGGGGGCACAAGGCAAGGAATGTGGACAGCCTCCACAAGCTGGAAAAGGCAAAAAAATGGATTAACTCCTAGAGCCTCCAGAAGGAAGGTGGTCTGACTGCATTTTAGCCTGTGAGGCCCCTTTTTGGATTTCTGACCCCTAGAAGAGAATAAAGTGTCGTTTTAAGCCACTAAATTTGCGATAATTTGTTACAGCAGCACTAGAAAAATAAAGGATCCAAAATCTACATATCTCATAGGGTTGTCATATATCTTAAATTTCTTTTAACTGATTATAGTTTTATCTCTTTTTATTTTCTGATGTATTGGAAGAAACTGGATCATTCATCCATATGATGTTCTGCATTCTGGATTGGCTCATTTTACCTCCTGGTGTCATTTAACTTGTTGTTCTATATCCTGTATTTCCTAAAAATTAATACTAAATTATAAAGGCTTATTTATACTCAGGTTCAATTTTGGGGGGAGGCAGTATACTTCATACATGGTGCCTTGTGCTTCCTATTACATCACACCAGGAGACAATGAACAGTTGTCCTATTGTTTGTGCTGCTAACCTAATCTGGCCACCCAAAAACTTCCATCAATCTTTTACTTAGGGTTTTAGCAGCTATTGATGATTAATACTTATATCCATTATTTCACTAATTGTTCCAAAATGGTGATGAATTAGTTCTTCTGTAAGGAAGAACTTTCTCTGATAAGAGTGACTGTTTACTCTGAAATATAGTTTGCATATGAAAACAGAATATATCCTTGATTCCCTTCATTCATGGAATTTTTTGGAATAGTAAGTTTGTGTGTCCTAAGAACCTCTAATGGTAACAAATGAAGTTTTTTTTTTATTAGTTTAATTATGAATTCATGGATTTACATATTTGTTGTGTTTTAATCAGTTGGAATCAGTATTATTTTTCATGCTCAAATTGTCCTTTGCCAAGTGACAACCCTTCGAGGTGACTATCTAGTTTTCTGATGCGAAATTTTGTTTGCGTGCCTGTGCTTTCACTATTTTCTTTCCCACTCTACAGTATCATTTGCATGGTTTTAGTTTAGCTTCTCATTAATTCACTTTGAAAATAAAAAGAAAATGTGTATATTTTAGTTTCTTTTCTTTTTTCTTTCTTTTTTTTGACAAAAGTTAACATATACTCTGATTTGCACCTTGTTTTCTTCATTTAATGATACATTCTGGAGATCCCTTCATATAAGTATAAAGAGAGATGCCTCATTTCTTTTTACAGCTATACAGTATTCTGTGTTGGGATGTACCGTGGTTTAGTCAGTCAGTTCCATATTGACGAATATCTTTTTTTCTAGTCTTTGGGAAATAATAGCTATATTCCTGTATATACTTGCTATGATGTTGTAAGGTACTTCCTCCTTGGGACCCTGGCTTTTGATTTAGTCGGTGAGTTCTGGGACTGAGAATTGGCTCAGGTCTTGAAACCAAACAAGGGATTTCATTTTTTTTGTTGGCAGTAGTTACCATCAACCTCTTGTTTCATCCATCTTTGATTTCTTTTGATCAGTTAGATTGAGCAATACCCTTATTGGCTTCCCATCTGTCTGGCACCATGGGTACCATGCTCTATTAAAAAATCTGTATCTTTCTGTGGTTCAGGGAACTTTCACAGTGATCTGCTGTTGCTTGTGATAATTGTGCCTACCTTGCTTCTAATGGCTTATGAGTTTGGCAAGCGGATGGTATTTTCACTTCACTTAGTGTAGGCCATTTTGTTTTTGTTTTGTTTTTTTGGTTCTAAGAGTTACCCTGTCAGCATGGTAGCAGTGTCTCTTGGAGTTCTTGCCAGGTGACTAAATCCTATATTCTAGGAGAGTGCCATAAACTCAGAGCCTGGAGGAGAACCTGCTTTCTAAAGTGATAAGGAATGAGATGGTGAAAGGAGTACCATAATCATTGAGAAACTCAGTGTTGGCTATCCTCTATAGGCCACAGCTGACAGTAAGAGAGAGACTCTCACAGAACTAGTCTTACTGATAGCAATGGGGATAACAGGCTTCCAAAATTATAGAAGCCAGGTGACAAAGCTCAACTGTTTTAACAGGAAAAATCTAGAAACAAACTGAATGTTCATCAATATGGGACTGGTTAATTAAATTATAGTAACCATAATTTATGTGGTAATACATTCTGTGAGGTACATCTATATGTACATTAAGTCCTCACTTAACATTGTCACTAGGTTCTTGGAAACTGACTTTAAGGGAAATGATGTATAACAACATAAATTTTACCACAGGCTAATTGATATAAACAAGAATTAAGTTTCTTTTTTTTTTTTTTTTTTTGAGACGGAGTCTCGCTCTGTCGCCCAGGCTGGAGTGCAGTGGTGCAGTCTCGGCTCACTGCAAGCTCCGCCTCCAGGGTTCATGCCATTCTCCTGTCTCAGCCTCCCAAGTAGCTGGGACTACAGGCACCTGCCACCATGCCCGGCTAATTTTTTGTATTTTTAGTAGAGACGGGGTTTCACTGTGTTAGCCAGGATGGTCTCGATCTCCTGACCTCGTGATCCGCCCGCCTCAGTCTCCCAAAGTGCTGGGATTACAGGCATGAGCCACCGCGCCTGGCCAAGAATTAAGTTTCTATAACATAGTTCTGGTCATGAGAACATCACCAAATTTCTCAATAAAGACCAAAACACTTCTAATATTAAACATTGAAATAAATGTGAATTATACGTATGCTTAAGAAAGATTAATAAAAATAAGTAAGATAATTATTTACCCAGTTATTTCAGTTCAGGGTCACAGGAGGCCAGAACTAATCTCTGCAGCCGAGGGTATAAGGTGGGAACCAACCCTGGACAGAGAGTTCCATCCCATTGCGGGGCATACTCACACATGTCCCTAAACTCATCCTGGAACCATTTAGACACACCAGTTCACCTAATGTGCACATTTTTGGGATTGGGAGAAAACTCACCAAAGATGGGAGAACATGCAAACTTCACATGGCCCTGGCTGGGAATCAATTTTTTTTCTCATCAATGTTAAAATGAAATGATGTTGAATGAAATGACGTTATTTGAGGACCTGCTGTGCCACTATAGAAAAATCTTCAAGATACAGTATATGAAAAAAAAAATTGCAGATTAGGTTGGGCACGGTGGTTCATTGCCTGTAATCCCAGCACTTTGGGAGGCCAAGGCAGGCGGATTGCTTGAGTCTAGGAATTCAAGACCAGCCTGGGCAACATGGCGAAATCCCATCTCTACTAAAAATACAAAAAATTAGCCAGGTATGGTGGTCAGCATGTCTGTAGTCCCAGCTACTCGGGAGGCTGAGCCTGGGAGGTCGAGGCTGCAGTGAACTGAGATCATGCCACTGCATTCCAGCCCGGGCAACCAGAGTGAGATTCTGTCTCAAAAAAAACAAAAACAGAAACAAACATTACAGATTTAATATATAGAGTATGATCTCAGTTGTATATAAACAAAGGATATTTTATGTTTACTTATTTGAATTTGCATAGAAAATGCCTGGAAGACTACAAAAAAAAAAAAAAACCTTCTGGGCAATACAATTAGAAGCTGAAGAGGGATAAAGGTATTTTTTTACTTTTAATTTTATGCCCTCTCTACTGTTTGAAATTTTTATGGCAAGTACTGTTGATTTTATATTATTTTAAAAATGATACTGCTATTGAACCAACTGGTGAGTATTGTTGCTTGGAGTTTTGCTTTCATTTCATACCTCATCCACTTGATCAGCCGTCTGGGAAAAAGATAACAGCCCAGAGTTAGGCCCTGAAACCCAGACACTGTGATTTTTGTTGATTACCAGTCTCACAATATCCATTTAGCTTCAGTTCTCTCTGGGCTTCTGTCACATTGTGGAGACCCCAATATCCCTAGGAGTCATGAAACAATGACTAGGGTCTTAATGTTTCTGTGCAATTAGACCAAAGTTTTTGGAGGAATACACAAATGAAAATGTGGGGAGAACAGCTTGTAATTGTGCATCTTTGGACTGACTTAATTTCCGTTATTTGGCCAAATAATCCAATTTAGTGTGTTTTTAAGTGGATATTAGTACATTCATTCTTTTTCCATTTTATACAGCATTATTTTGATCATAATTCAACTTTTTTTTTTGAGACAGAATCTTGCCCTTTTCCCCAGGCTGGAGTGCAGTGGCATAATCTCAGCTCACTGCAACCTCCGCCTCCTGGATTCAAGCGATTCTCCCACCTCAGCCTCCAGAGTAGCTGGGACTACAGGTGCATGCTACCACATCTGGCTAATTTTTATATCTTTTGGTAGAGACAAGTTTTCAGCATGTTGGCCAAGCTGTTTTTGTACTCCTGACCTCAAGTGATCCACCCACCTTGGCCTCCTAAAGTGCTGGGATTACAGGCATGAGCCACCACACTGGGCCAGATCATAATTCAACTTTTAAAGAACACAGTGTTAAATCCAATTTCATAGATGAAACTATGAACACTAAAAAGACTAATAGAACTTAATGACATTCTGGGTGGAATAATTATTTGGTTTAATTCTTAGATTGGTATTTGGAATTAAAATGCTAAGGTGATTATTGCTTTAGAAATTTGCTTATAAATAGTAAACAGTAAGTAAATGGAGAATATACAAGTTAACATCTATCACCTTCCTTCTCCCTAGTAATGTAGCAAGTAGGATTCTAATTTAAAATACTAATTTAGCTCCCACCTATAATCCCAGCATTTTGGGAGGCCAAGGTGGGAGGCTCACTTGAGGTCAGGAGTTCAAGACCAGCCTGGCCAACACAGTGAAACCCCATCTCTACTAAAAATACAAAAATTAGCCAGGCATGGTGGTGGGCACCTGTAATCCCAGCTACTTGGTAGGCTGAGGCAGGAGACTTGCTTGAACCGGGGAGGCAGAGGCTGCAGTAAGCTGAGATTGCGCTACTGCACTCCAGCCTGGGGTACAGAGGGAGACTTCATCTCAAAAATAAAAATAAAAATAAAAATAAATAAAACTAATTTAAACCTGATCTATTTCTGACATCTCGTCAGGTTTTTTCCCAGATAAGGCAGGAAATAAAAAATGTGCACACCTTTCAAAGCTTAAGTTAACACAATCCTACAAAATAAATAAACAAAAATACTATGTATATTGAGCAGACAACTAAAAGCTAGTGTTAAACCCCTGGGGGAATAAATAGGCTAATCATGCCTTGGTATATTTCTTGAGAACTTTTCATTTTTGTCACATAAATTAGATATTCTGAGATCTCTGCCAGGAAGTGGATATAACCTTTCCACTATCAAACACAGATAAAATCCTTGTCTACACGTTTTCGCAAGTAGGTCATTCATTAATCTGACATGCTCTACTCTGTTTACACAGAGCAGGGTAACATTTTAGCTTTTAGTTATACTTTCGGTTTCTGCCTTGCTAAGAGAAGGATTCAGTTGTTTTCAGTATAATCTCATTGTCTTTAATGAAAATGCAACAAGGACCATGATATGGTTTGGCTCTGTGTCTCCACCCAAATCTCATGTTGAATTGTAATCCTTGGTGTTGGGGTAGGGACCTGGTGGGAGGTGGTTGGATCATGGTGGGGGGGTTCCCCACTTGCTGTTCTCGTGATAGTGGATTATCATGAGATCTGGTTGTTTAAAAGTGTGTAGCACTTCCCTTTGCTCTATCACTCTCTCCTGCTGCCACGTGAAGAAGATATTTGCTTCCCCTTTGCCTTCCACCATGATTGTAAGTTTCCTGAGGCCTCCCATTCATGCTTCCTGTTAAGCCTGCAGAACCGTGAGTCGATTAAATTTCTTTTCTTCATAAATTACCCAGTCGCAGGTAGTTCTTTATAGCAGTGTGAGAATGGATTAATACAGACTAGTAATAGCAAACTGCATTGTAACTGAGACCATCCAGTTCAACCTTATATTTCAGCTACTACAAGTCCTGATTGATGATCCAACCAACCTAATTTTTATAGTCAAGACACTCATAAGCACCTGCCATAGATTTAGCATCAAAACTGTCAGTTTTCTAGATTTTCCTTTCCGAAGCATCCTAGGCTCTTGAACATAGTAGTAAAAGGAAAAGTCACGGCTCTTTCCTGCTGTGTGTGTCAAACCTTCCTTGCTGGCATCCGTTCTGGTTGGTGAGAGGCAGTTTAGACTAGACATTGTCTGAAGTTTGGAGTTGTTAAAAGGGGCTATTTGGGAGGTATCTTGAAAATACTTAATGCTTCTCTTTGCTTGCACCAAGGCAAAGAAATAAACCTTTTAGA
The DNA here is from genome assembly GCF_000001405.40 of Homo sapiens. Taxonomy (NCBI): domain Eukaryota; kingdom Metazoa; phylum Chordata; class Mammalia; order Primates; family Hominidae; genus Homo; species Homo sapiens. The sequence continues at coordinate 22,872,473 of NC_000018.10, read as the reverse complement.
ATTCACAAAGGGAGGAAAGAAGAACAAAAGGGCAATCATCAGAGGCAGTGGTTTGGATGATAAGCAAGTCTGTTGTTTTCATGTCACTTCTGTTGTTCCTGTGCTGGATGTCTTCCAATTGCACACTCCTCCCTTATCTACCCTGCTTTCTGTCTAGAGAGGCTGACCTGTTTTAAATTAAATCAATGGTTTTCCAAATGTGGCCCCTGGATAATCAGTATCACCTGGGGACTTGCTGGAAGTGCACATTTTCAGGCCCCATCCCAGACCTCTTGAATCATAAACTCTGGGGGTGGGACCCAGGAATCTGTGCTTCGACAAACTGGCCAAGTGATTCTGAAGCATTCTAACCTTTGAGAATCACTAGATTACAAAATTAAGCTCCTTTGTGGCCTCTAGTTGGTTTTGATCAGTGGGGAGCATCAATAGGAAATCTGAGGGAGGGAGGAGAATGTGGTCTGGGCATTTATTTTCCCAGCTCTCTCCCTATGAGGTCACTGGCATTTGGCCACATTCCTCTAATGGAGGCCACATCTGTAGGAGGCTTTTGCAGGTCACAGTAACCTCTCCTCCTCTTGGGGCTCTTGCTGTGGCTAGCCTCACAGGTGCTACATTCTTCCTTAATAGCTTCTCTCAAATCTGCCCACACTTGTAAATAGTCCCTTTAATGACCTCTTCTTGATGACCCTATTTGAGTATAGTTGGTATAGTTCCCAGTGCAATTTTTGTAATGTCTATTTAAGTGACTCTTTACTTTCGTGAATACTCTTTTTTCCCTTATTTACTTCATAGGATTGTTAGGAGGACTAAATGAATTAATATGCTTATCACGGTGTCTGGTTCATAGGCAGACAATATATAGTAGTTATTTGTAGAGGTGTTACAGTGTTTTTGCTGTATGCAGCCATTAGATATCAATATGTAAATGTCTTTAGCATCTTTCCATTATTGCACCTCTGCCCCTTGGCCATCCGGTATTACAGTTGATTTTCATATTGATTAACTGATTTCAGGTGGAGGAATAATCAGAACCATGAAAAAGTTCAACAGTTTGGTGGTTAAACATTAAAACCAGTTTTAAATCATCAGAACCAAAGTGCCATTAAACTCAATAATTAAGTGATTATTATCTAATTTATAAAACATGTAGAAAGGTTTGCAGTTCCTTATTAACAGCTATTGTTGCTCCTCAATGGATTCTAAGTTTACTGGCACTGCTGTGAACATCTCACTAGTAATAAGACATCATGAAATTATGTGTGTGATCACCCAAATAGGTAAAAAATTAAGTGGAGAGTATGAGGGGGTCTTAACAGTGACTTCTATCTCAGTATGTCTGCTTTGTCCAGGGCGAGCTTCCAGGATCCTGCACCCAAAAGGACTATGGTTTGATTTAATGATTCGTTTGGAATTTTTAACAATTTTTGAACAGTGGGCCCCACATTTTTACTTTGCATTGCCCCGTAGGATTATGTGGTTGGTTCTTGCTCTGCCATATTCATATTTGTTCAAGATGACCCAGTTAAGTATGATTACTATCAAAAATAAAGTCTGACTGTATTATCATACCTATTAATAATTACTTTATTCATTTTGGTCTCCAGATGAAAGTTTCTAAAACTCCAGCTCTCACTGTATTAAACAAATGTGTTCATCTCAAAAACTGAAAAATAGTTTTACCTGTATCACTATTTCTAATTAAATATAACAGATAAGGAAACAGATAAGATCCAGTATACAAAATCAACAGGATTATGTTGAAAATACTGAGAAGTTAAGGTGCTAACAGGAACTGCTATTCTATTTCATCAGGCAACCAAGCCATAAAGGTTCTGACTCAAAGCTACAGACACACACGAAAAATGCTTTTCTTTGGATAGATTTCCTTTGAGAGTAAAATAAGGAATAGTAGATATCCTTGGTAGCTCAGCAACAGGTAAGTTTCATCTAAACAATAACTTTGTTAGTCAGAGGCTATCTTCCCTGAATAACCTAAAATTATTATTAATTAAATTTTTTTTTGAGATGGAGTCTTGCACTGTCGCCCAGGCTGGAGTGCAGTGGCACGATCTCCGCTCACTGCAACCTCCGCTTCCTGGGATCAAGCGATTCTCCTGCCTCAGCCTCCTGAGTATCTGGGATTACAGGTGCCTGCCACCACGCCTGGCTAATTTTTTGTATTTTTAGTAGAGACAGGGTTTCACTATGTTGGCCAGGCTGGTCTTGAACTCCTGACCTCATAATCCGCCCACCTTGGCCTCCCAAAGTGCTGGGATTACAGGCATGAGCCACCACACCTGGCCCCTAAAATTATTTTTTTTTCTTTTAAGTTCTGGGATATATGTGCAGGACATGCAGGTTTGTTACGTAGGCAAACGTGCCTTGGTGGTTTGCTGCACCTACCAACCCATCACCTAGGTATTATCTTGATGCTCTCCCTCCCCCACTCCGCCTCTGACAGGCCCCAATGTGTGTTGTTATCCTCCCTGTGTCCATGTGTTCTCATTGTTCAGCTCTCACTTATAAGTGAGAACATGTGGTGTTTGTTTTCTGTTCCTGCATTAGTTTGCTGAGGATAATGGCTTCAAGCACCATCCATGTCCCTGCAAAGGACATGATCTGGTTCTTTTTTATGGCTGCAAAGTATTCCATGGTGTACATGTACCACATTTTCTTTATTCAGTCTATCATTGATGGGCATTTAGGTTGATTCCATGTCTTTGCTATTGTGAATAGTGCTGCAGTGAACATATGCATGCATGTATCTTTATAATAGAATGATTTCTATTCCTTTGGGTATATACTCAGTAATGGGGTTGCTGGGTCAAATGGTATTTCTGGTTCTAGGTTTTGAGGAATCGCCACCCCGTCTTCCACAATGGTTGAACTATTTTACACCAACACTGTAAAAGCATTCCTATTTCTCCACAGCCTCACCAGCATCTGTTTCTTGACTTTTTGATAATCACCATTCTGACTGGCATGAGATGGTATCTCACTGTGGTTTTGATTTGCATTTCTCTAATGCTCGGTGCTATTGAGCTTTTTTTTCATATATATTTTGGCCGCATAAATGTCTTCTTTTGAGAAGTGGCTGTTCACGTCCTTTGCCCTAACCTAAAATTATTGATGAAAATAGAAAAACTTTGGGTTTGAGAATAAATTTTTTCTACAGGGTTGGGACTTGGTTATGAAAATGGAAGTAATTTCTGGTTAAAAATTTATTTCCTCAAGGAATAAATATCTAATACCTGACATAAGGGTGACTCAGAATGTCACTGTTTTCCTTTTTGGCATCCAATGAACAAATCTTAGAAAAGGTTACATGAGCCAATTAACAGCCTTTTCCCAACATGGTGAAGAAACACTCTATTCAATTATGGTTTGCACGGCAGGCTCTCTTACTGTCTTTACTCTGACCAGTCCTTGTGAGACATGGCATTAGTATACAATTGGATCCATTGAAATAATTCATTCCATTATATATCATAATACAAGGAACCTTGCCATGGCAAGTCAAGAAATCTCACTACCCAAAGCAGCTGTGGGCTAAAAGAATGTCAAGGCTTGCAGGGACAGATATATTGGATGCTTGCAATGTGTGGGTAGAATTGTGAGGCCTTATCCTGGTGCTTGGATACATCATCTAGAATTAAATGCTAAAGTCTTTCAGTGCTTTCTTAGCATTTACAGCTTTTCTCCTATACTGTTTGACTGGACTTCACTAAAGGAAATTTATAACACTCAAACTTAATATCAGTTTTCTCACTAAGCAAACCACCCAACCAGTGTTTTAAAGGAAAAAAAAAGTGTTATATCATTCCTTCCTCCTAAATCACTAAAGTGGACCCATTGAGCACCCACAGACTGATGAAAATGTGCTCCAAGGCAGGAGGATGGCTTGAAGCCAGGAGTTCAAGACTAGCCTGGACAATATAGTGAAAACTGTCTCTACCATTTTTTTTAATACAAAAATTAGCCAGGTGTGGTGGTTTGTACCTGTAGTTTTAGCAACTCAGGATGCTGAGGCGAGAGGATTGCTTGAGCCCAGGATTTTGAGGCTGCAGTGAGCTACGTTTGCATCACTACACTCCAGCCTGGGTGATAAAGTGAAATCCTGTCTCAAAAAAGAAGAATGAACAAAAGAAAGAAAGGAAGAAAGAAAAGAAGGAAGAAAGAAAAAAGATGCCATACTAACACTAATCTAAAGTAAGGTGTAGTGGTTATAATTATAGCAAACAAAATAGATCGCAAAGAATATTACTGGGGATAAAGAGTCATTTCTATAAATGGGTCAATTTGTCAAGGGGACATACCATTTCTAAATCTTTTTTGCCTAATAGACTTCAGAAATTCATAAAACAAAAACTGATAGAACTGAAAGAAAAAAATAGCCAAATCCACAATTTCAACCTGTCTCCATATTGATAGAACAAGTAGAAAAACATCAGTAAGGATATAGAAGACTTGAACAACACTATCAAATAATGACAATGTTTATATAATATTAGACTCAACAACAGCAGGATACAGATTCTCTTTAAGCATACACAACATTTGCCTACATTGATCAGATTATGGGCTGTTAAATAAGTCTCAATAAATTTAAAAAGACTCAAATCATAAAATGTATGTTTTCAGTCAACAGTGGAATTAGAATTCAGTAAAAGAGCTATCAGGAAAATTCTAAGTATTTGGAAATTAAATTACTTCTAAATGACCTATGGGCCAAAAAAAAAAAAAAAAAAAAAAAGAGAAACAAAAAAGGAAATAACGTACTTGAACTGAATAAAAATGAATGCACAACATATTGAAATTTGTGGGATGCTGTCAAAGCAGTGCTTAGAGGGAAATTATAGCACTAAATGCTATAAAGAAGATCTTAAATGAGTGACCTCAGCTTCTCTTTTATAAAAATGGAAAAAAAAGCAAATTAAAACTAATCAGAAAAAGGAAAAAATGGTAAGAGCAAAGTCTATTAAATGGAAAATAAACAAAAAGAGAAAAATAAATGAAACCACACCAGATTCTTAGAGAAAATCAATAAAATTGATAAATCTCTAGTCAAACTGATGAGGAAAAAAGAAAACACGAATTGCCAATACCCATAATGATAGAGATGACAAGTACAGATTCCACAGATATTAAGAATAGGTACATAGATAGATATAATAAGGGAATATTATGACAAACTTTATGGTAATAAATTTGAAAACATAGATGAGATGGATAAACTCTTTGAAAGACAAACTACCAAAGCTCACTCAAGAAGAAATAGATAACCTGAATACTCCTGTAGGCTTTGATGAATTTTATGAAACATTTGAGGAAGAAATAATACTAGTTGTACATGGAGTTTTTCAGAAAATTGAAGCAGAGGATATATGTTTCAATTAATTCTGTGAGAACAACATTGTCCTGATACCAAAACCACACAAAGACATTACAAGAAAGCCATAGAGCAATATCTATCATAGACATAGATGAAAAAATTCTTAAAACTTTAGCAAATCAATTCCAACGATACATAAAAAGGATAATATCTAGTGACCAAGTATCCCAGGATGCAAACTTGCTTTGAAATTTGAAGATTAATGGAGATAACTGTTCATTTTCCTATCTACTCTGATATGGCACATGCCAATTTTCCTGGATTATTTCCTCTGGAATTAATGTGTCCTCTTAAAAATCTGACTAAATCTGAAAAATTATTCTTCCCAGGGTGGCATAGAAGTCTTTTTAAAAGACATGTTGACTTTAGCCAGGCAAAGTTTTGCTTTTTAAACAAACAAACAAAGATCTAGTACTATTGTAGGATTCAATAGAACTCTTACATATTACGACTTAAACATTTCTTTTTTATTACTTTTCTATTGCTCTATAACAAATTACCAAAAATGCATTGACTTAAAATAACACACATTTGTTATCTCACAGTTTCTGTGTATCAGGAATCTGGGAATGGCTTAGCTGGATCCTCTGCTTAGGGTTTCACAAGGTTATAATCAAAATGTTGGCTGGGTTGCAGTTTTGTCTGTAGGTTTGACTGGGGAATAATCTGTTTCCAAGCTCACTCAAGTTGTTAACTGCATGAATTTCTTTGTGACTGTAGGGCTGAGGGCCCTGGCTTCTTGTGTGATGTCAATTGGAAGTCAGCCTCAGCTCTTAGCAGCTGCCTGTAGGTCCTCAGGCTGTCCATAGTCCTACAGGTGCGTGCCACCACACCTGGCTAATTTTTTATTTTTAGTAGAGACAGGGTTTAACCTTGTTGGCCAGGCTGGTCTCGAACTCCTGACCTCAGGTGATCCGCCCACCTCGGCCTCCCAAAGTGCTGGGATTACAGGCGTGAGCCACCGCGCCCGACCGCTACTCATTTTTGTATGTTGATTTTGTATCCTGCAACTTGAATGAACGCATTGATCAATCTTACTGTGCAGGCTTTCCCAGCATGGCTGTTTAATTCATAAAGTCAATAAGAAGAGTCTGTGGAGTAAGTCTGCTAGCACGATAGTGTGGAATGTAACATTAACATAATCACAGGAGTGACAGGAAATTTCATTATCATTGTCTTATTTTATTGGCTAGAAGTCCACATTCAAGCAGAGGGGATTATACAAGCATAAACAGTAGGAGGCAGGGATAACCTGGGGTCAATTCACAATCTCCCTGCAACATATGCTTAAAGGACTTTAGGCAGCAATAGATTCTAAAACAAAATTAATTGGATCCAATAATGTATAAAAAGAATTATACAACATGACCAAGTGAGATTTATCTCAGGTGTAAAAGGCAGGTACAACATTCAAAAATCAATCACAGTAGTCTCTCCCGGCACCCTCCTACAATTCAGTTTCACTTTCTTCAGTTTCACTTACCTGTGCTCAACCCTGGTTAGAAAATATTACGTGGAAAATTCCAGAAATAACTCATAAATCTTAAATTGAGTGCTATTCTGAGTAGCAGGAAGAAATCTCACACTGTTCTGCTGTATCCCACCTGGAACATGAATCATCCCTTTGTTCAATATATTCATGCTGTATATGCTACCCGCCCATTATCCACTTAGTAGCCATCTCAGTTATCAGATTGTGATATCAGATATAAGATATCACAGTGTTTTTGTTCAATTAATCCTTATTTTACTTAATAATGACCCCAAAGTACAAGAGTAGTGATGCTGGTAATTTGGATACACCAAAGAGTTGCTGTAGAGTGCTTTGTTGAAGTGAAGAAGTAAACGTTCTTGACTTAATAAGGAAAGAAAAAAAAAGTATGCTGAGGTTGCTAAGAACTATGGTAAGAATGAATCTTCTAACCAGGAGATTGTGAAGAAGGAAAAATAAACGTGCTAGTTTTGCTCTCATATCTCAACAGCAAAAGTTATTGCCACAGTGTATGATAAACACTAGATAAGATGGAAAAGACATTAAGTGTGTGAGCAGAAGACATGTACAGAAATGTGTTCCAATTGACAGCAAGAAGGTTGGGTACTATTCAAAATTTCAAGCATCTACTGGAGGGTCTTGGAATGTGTGCCCCTTGAATAAGGCAGGGGGACTATTGCTGTAATGTCATTCGTCACATCAATAGCTAAAGAAGAAAAATCACATGATCATCTTGATAGATGCAGAAAAAGTATATGATAAAATGCAAGAATCAATCATGATAAAAATTCTCAGTCAACTAGGAATAGAGGTGAACTACTTCAACTTGATACAAGAATATCTGCAAAAAACCTACAGTTAACATACTTAATAGTGAGAAACTAGGTTTTCCACTAGGACTATGAACAAGATAAGGATGTTCCCTCTTAACCACTGCTTTTCAGTGTCATTCTGGAAGTCATAGGTAGTACAATAAGACAAGAAAAAGAAGGAAAATGTGTAATGATTGAAAAGGAAGAAATAAAACTGTCTTTTTGGCATACGATATAAATTTCTATGTAGATAATTCAAAAGAATTGACAAAAAATCCTGGAACTAATAAGAGATTACAGAAAGGTTGCAGGACACAAGGCTAATATACAAAAGTTAATCACTTTCCAGCAATGAACAAATGGAATTTGAAATTAAAAACATAATACCATTTATATTAGCACCTCCAAAAAATACTTAGGTATAAATCTAACAAAATAGGTATAAGATATGAGGAGAACTATAAAACTCTGAAAAAAATCAAAGAACTAAATAAATGGAAAGATATTCCATGCTCATGTATAGAAGATTCAATGTTGTGAAGACATCAGTTTTTCTCAATTTGATATACAGATTGAATTCAATCCCAATCAAAATCCCAGAAAGTTATTTTGTGGATGTTATCAAACTGATTCTAACTTTATTTGGAGAGACAAGACTCATAATAGCCAACATAACATTGAAGGAGAAGATCAAAGTTGGAGGGCTGACACTACCTGACCAAAACTTGCTATGAAGTTACAGTAATCAAGACAGAATGGACAAATTAGCAAAAGAATAGACAAATACAGCAATGGAACAGAATAGAGAAACCAGAAATTGACCCACATAAATATAGTTGACTGATCTTTGACAAAGGAGTAAAGGTGGTTTGACCATGAAAAGATAGTCTTTTCAGCAAATGGTGTTGGAGCAACTGGACATCTACATGCAAAAAAAAAAAAAAAAAAAAAAAAAGGAGAATCCAGACACAATCCTATACCCCTCACAAAAATTAACTCAAAATGGATCATAGACAAAGTGAAATGGGAAACTATAAAGCTCCTAGAAGATAATCTGTATGACCTGGGTTTGGTGATGACTTTTTAGATATGACATTAATGGCACCAACAGGATGGTCCATGAAATAAATAATTGACTAGACTTTATTAAAATGAAAAATTTCTGCTAGGAGAGAGATACCTTCAACAGAATAAAACGACAGGCACAGACTGGGGAAAAATTTTTGCAAAAGACATATCTGATAAAGGACTCTTATCCAAAACTTGCACAGGACTTTTAAAACTGAACAATAAGAAAAACCAAACTGATTTTAAAAAATGACCCAAAGACCTTAACAGTCACCTCACCAAATATGCATATGATGTAAATAAGCATGAAAATATGATCCACCTTTTATCCTCAGGGAAATGCAAATTAAAACAACAGTAAAATACCATTACACGAATCTTAGAATAGCCCAGATCCAGAACACTAACAACATCAAATACTGGTAAGGATGTGACGGAATAAGATTTCTTATTCATTGCTCCTGGGAATGCAAAAGGGTTACAGCCACTTTGGAAGACAGTTTGGCAGTTTCTTACACAAGTAAACGTAGTCTTACCATACAATCCAACAGTCATGCTCCTTTGTATTTACCCAAGTGAGGTGAAAACATGCCACACAAAAACTGGCATGCAGATGTTTATTATAACAGCTTTATTCATAATTGCCAAAACTTGGAAGCAACTAAGATGTCCTTCAATAGGTAAATGGATGAATTAACTATGGTATATCCAGACAATGGAATATTACTCAGTGCTAAAAAGAAATGAGTTATCAAGCCATGAATGGCATGGAGGAACCTAAAATGTGTATAACTAAGTGAAAGAAGCCTATCTGAAAAGGCTACATACTGTATGATTTTCACTATAAGACATTCTGGAAAAGACTAAAACTATGGAGACAGTAAAAAGATCAATGGTTGCCAGGGATTGGGGGAAGAGGCGGATGAATAGGTAGAACACAGAAGACTTATATAGGACAGTGAAACTACTCTATATTATACTGTAATGGTGGATACATGTCATTGTACATTTTTCAAACCCATAGAATGCACAACACCAAGAGTGAACCCAGACGTAAATTACGGACTTTGGGTGACAAGGATATGTCATTGTAGGTTCATCAATTGTAACAAATGTACCACTCTGGTGGAAGAAGTGGTATATAACAAATCTGTGTTCCTTCTGCTCAATTTTGTTGTGAAGAAAAACTGCTCTAAAAAATAAAGTCTAACAAATTAAAAAGCAGTAATACAAAATAATTATAAACTAAGCAAATAGATGTAGGAATTTGGATTGAATGATAAATTAGTTGGGTTTAGTTTTGTTTTGATTTTTTAAAACGAACTGTGGTTTGAATAACTGTGTATATTAATTTATAGATGTTAAAACTTTCCTAATGTTGTATATCCTACCTAAATCTAGTTTTCAAATTTGGCTGTAAGTTCTTGAAGGCAGAAACCGTATCGTACCTTTCTGGTATGCACAATATATTTTAGCATGTTAATGGAAGCATGTCGAAATTTTGTAAATACCATTCAAATGTTTACAAAAAGCATGAGTGAATTTATTGCACATTTAAAATTAAAAGTACTAAAAAAACCCCCAAAAAGTGCTTTGGCTTCATGTATTGGTCAATAAAACGTTATTAATTGGGTTCAACTCAACTTGAAGTTTAGAAAAATAATGGGATTTGTTTGATTTAGGAGTTATTTTTGTTTCATTTATGTTTTGTTTGTGCAAGTTTATGGGTACATGTGAATTTTGTTACATGTATTTAATGTGTAGTGATCAAGGCAGGATTTTTAGGGTGTCTATCACTTGAATAGAATACGTTTTTGTTAAGTATAGTCACCCTGCCCTGCTATCAAACATTGAATATATTTCTTCTATCTTACTGTATGGCTGTGTCCTTTAACCCACTTCTCTTCATCTCCCTCATCCCCCTATCTCATCCTTCCCAGTCTCTGTTGTCTATCTTTCCGCTCTCTATCTCCATGTAATTTTAGCTCCCACATATGTGAGAACATGCAATATTTGTCTTTTTGTGCCTCGCTTATTTCATTTAACGTAATGACCTCCAGTTACATCCATGTTGCTGTAAATGACATGATTTCATTACCTTTTATGGCCAAATAGTATTGCACTGTGTATATATACCATATTTTCCTTATCCATTCATCTGTTGATGGACATTTAGGTTGATTCCATATCTTTGCTACTGTGAATAGTGCTGCAGTAAACATGAGAGTGCAAGTATCCCTTTGATATATTGATTTCTTTTCCTTTAGATGGATAGCCAGTAGTGGGATTGCTAGGTCATATGGCAATTCTAGCTTTAGGTTTTTGAGAAATCTCCACACTGTTTTCCATAATGGCTATACTAGTTTACATTTCCACCAGCCACATATAAGAGTTCCCTTGCATCCTCATCAACATCTGTTATTTTTTCTTTTTAATAATGGCCATTCTGACTGGAGTAAGATGATACCTCCTTGTAATTTGATTTGCATTTCTCTGATAATTAGTGATGCTGAGCATTTTTTCAGATGCCCATTAGCCATTTGTATGTCTTCTTTTGAGAAATAGCTATCATGTCCTTCGTCCACTTTTTAATGGGATGATTTTTTTTCTCTCGAGATGTTTGAGTTCCTTGTATATTCTGGATGTGTCAGCTTAGACCAATGTTGTTGAATAACTTGCAAATATTTTCTCCCATTCAACAGGTTACCTCTTTGCTCTGTCGATTGTTTCCTTTGCTGTGCAGAAACTTTTTAGTTTAATTAAGACCCATTTATCTATTTTTGTTTTTGTTTCCTGTGCTTTTGAAGTCTTAGTCATAAATTCTTTGCCTAGCCCAGTATCCAGGAGAGTTTTCTGTAGGTTTTCTTCTTGTATTTTTATAGCTTTGGGTCTTATGTTTAAGTCTTAAATCCATTTCGAGTTGATTTTTATATATAGTATGTATAAATTTTTGAATAGATTTTGTATGGTGAAAGATGGGGTCCAGTTTCATTCTTCTGCATGTGGGTTTGTGGCAGCACTTACTGAAGAGGGTATCCTTTCCCCAGTGTAAATTCTTGTTGGCTTTGTCAAAGATCAGTTGGCTGTAAATATGTAGTTTTACTTCTGGGTTCTCTATTCTGTTCCATTGGCCTATGCATCTACTTTTATAACCAGACCATGCTGTTTTGGTTACTCTAGTCTTATATTTGAAGTCAGGTAGTGTGATGCCTCCAGATTTGTTCTGTTTGCTCAGGATTGATTTGGATAATCAGTTCTTTTGGCTAATCAGTTCTTTTCTAGTTCCACATACATTTAGGATTTTTTTTTTCTAATTCCATGAAGAAGGACATTGGTATTTTGATAGGGACTGCATTGAATCTTTAGATTGCTTTGGGCAATATGGTCTTTTTAACACTGTTAATTCTTTCGATCTATGAGCATGGGAGGTTTTTTCATTTGTTTGTGTCTTCTTCGACTTCCTTCATTTATGTTTTGTAGTTTTCCTTGTAGATATCTTTCACCTCTTGGTTAAATTTATTCCTAGGTATTTTATTCATTTGTAGCTATTGTAAATAGGATTTCCTTCTTGATTTCTTTTTTGGCTAGATCATTATTGGTGTATAGAAATGCTACTGATGTGTGTGTGTGTGTGTGTGTGTGTGTGTGTGTGTTTGAGACGGAGTCTCACTCTGTCACCCAGGCTGGAGTGCAGTGGTGCGATCTTGGCTCACTGCAACTTCTGCCTCTGGGGTTCAAGTGATTCTCTTGCCTCAGCCTCCCAAGTAGCTGGAACTACAGACGCCCGCCACCACACCTAGCTAATTTTTTATTTTTAGTAGAGACAGGGTTTAACCTTGTTGGCCAGGCTGGTCTTGAACTCCTGACCTCAGGTGATCCGCCCACCTTGGCCTCCCAAAGTGCTGGGATTACAGGCATGAGCCACCGCGCCCGACTGCTACTCATTTTTGTATGTTGATTTTGTATCCTGCAAATTGAATGAACACATTGATCAAATATAAGAGTTTTTTGGTGGAGTCTTTAGTTTTTTTCTTGGTATAAGATCATATTATTAGCAAAGAGGGACAATTTGACTTCCTCTTTTCCAGTGTGGATGCCTTTTATTTCTTTCTCTTGTATTATTGCTCTGGCTAGGACTTTCAGTACTATGTTAAATAGGAGTGGTGAAAATGGGTACAGGATATCTTTTTTAAAGTTATTTTAATGGAAAATTTTAAACAAAAACTAAACAATTGTATGAGGGTTAATGTTTTAGAATATTAAGTTTTAGAAAGTTTACTTATTTTATGAAATAGTGGAAATTCAAGATTATTGCTATAAAAAATCACTGTCATTTATTTGCATTCTTAGATGCTTTCATTTGCTAAAAGAGAGAAAATTGTGTTAACAGAAATTGCACTTGAACAATGATCTATTTCACCTATGCCACAACCTATGGAAAATAGTGTAGTGAACTCCCAAGTACCCATCACTGGGCTTCAGTAATTATCAACACATGGACATCTACCCACTAACTTCTTCCTATCTTTTTTCATATTGAAGCTAATACTAGGTATTACAGAATTTCATTTACGAATACTTCAGTGTGTATATCTTCAAAATATAATCGTTGCAATTATACTTAAAATTAATAGAAAATTAAAAATATATCAAGTATTCCATCTGTGTTCAATTTCTTCAATTATAGGTTTCAAACACAGTCCACATGTTGTACTTAGTCACTATATCTCTTAAATCTATAGACCCCTCTCTTTTTTATCTTGTTTTGGTTAGGTCCCTTAATAGAATTCCTAACTTGAAGGTGGTTAGAGACCTTAGAAAGTTACCGAATTCATACTTCATGTCAAGCATGATCACACCTAAATTATCTTGGGCAGAGAGGAGCTGTCTGAGAAAGTTGCCATTCTGATGAAATCGGCTCTCTTGAAGTGTCTTCTACATTGAGATATGTGAGGTTGTGATACTTTGTGGAAGGGAGATATCTAAATCTAAGGTGCACAATAGCTAGTAGTGCTAGAAAGACCTCTTATTTGCTCCAGCTCTGTTTATTAGAATTCACTTTCATTACTAACCTGACAACAAGAGGTTTTCTTTGTGAGAGGCAAGGGGGTTACTATGGAAGTATAAAGAACTTTCTCAATGGAAGAATTTGTCCAGGAATGATGTGTCCCTTCTGTGAGTCTCTGGAATTCTTAACCTTAGTCAGAAATTCAGTTAAACAGTGTTTATATGCTATTTTATATTATCAAAGGGTAATTGGTGTTTTCTTTAGAATCCTGGCCAAATTCCAACTCTGATAAATACGTTCTACTTCCCTAAATTTCCCCTGCAATTTCAAATGGATTTGGTATTCTTAATTACCTGCCCCAACCTGTTGCTTGGTGTTGAAGTTCACCTATTAAGCAGCTGCTACTTGTGGTTTCAGAGGGACCCAAGTAAATTTGGCAAATGAGTGGGTGTATGTGTGTGTATGAATGACTTGGAAGGCTCTAGAACTTAAACTTATTTTCTAATATGAAAAAATTTAAAACAGAGAGAGGGAAAGAGAGAGAAAGAAATATACATAATAAATATATAGTACTCCACAACTATGGGGCCTTTCGTTTTCTTGCTCTGTTACCCAGGCTAGCTCAGTGTAACCTCAAAATCTGGTGTCAATCTCCTGGCCTCAAGTGATCCTCCTGCCTTGGCCTCCCAAAACGCTGGGATTACAGGCATGAGCCAACACACTGGCCTGCTCAGTAAACCTTTATTAAGAAGTTTGTATGTGTAAGGTTTTGCTCTAGATATGGTGGAGGATACAAAGATGAAATAGATAATAGTTCTTGCCTTAGAAGATACCTATAATATTAAGTAGTACTAATTAACCTTTTTAAAAAGTCTCCTTATAGTGAATAAAAACTTGGGCAAGTTACTTACCTCTTTAATCCTAGGTTTTCTTATCTGTAAAATGGAGATAAATATTTATCTGAGAGCGTTTGTGAGCATTTTAACATTTGAAGTGCTTTTTGATATTGCCTGGCACATAGTAAGTAGGTGCTTAGTGACCATTAGTTATTGTGCGTTTTAAAATGTATCACTTAGGTCAGCTGCTAGAAAAATGTGAATACCATGGAAGACTGTACTAGGTTGAGCATTCAGATTCAGATATCTCAACTGTCTAGATTACAGAACCATGGATGGACAGCTCACTCATCCCATAAATGCCAGGATTACAGGAGAATTCCACACCCAAGTTTTCTAGCAGGCTCTAAATCTTTCACTTACTAGATCTCTGGTAAAGATTGTAAAGTCAGGAAAAGGAATTGGTATCCTTCTGCTCCTACCCCATTATCGAATTTAAAATTTGGAATGGTGTTGGGGACTAAGATTTGGAAATTCAGAACTTTAAAGCTGTTATAACAGGAGAAAATAAAAACTTTACTGTTTGGCATTGGCACATATTCCAAAGTTCCTCCCTATTTAATGAGCTTTAAGCTTTCATATGAAACATAAGACACTAAAGGAAAAAGTATTGCCACAAGGCTAATGATGACAACAGCTGCCAGCACACCTTCCATCAAAAGCATGTGAAGACTTGAAACAAACCTGAGCTCTGGTTTGTTTTAGAAGCATCACTGTGACATGCCTGTGCCGGCAGAGGCTCAGAATACATTCCTTAACACTAGGACTCCAAGGTGTGCTGGATGCCAGAAGCCCAGTGGTAATGAGAGAGCAATTGTGAAGCTTCATTCAGATGATGTTCTTTCATTGTGGGTATGCTAGCTCAGAATGTTTGGTGTAGGGAGCCACAATAAAGAATCGGCCAATCCCTTTCCTTCATCAGGGGTTATAGTCTGGCAAATACATGTATTCATACCCTCATCCTCCAGATATTTATTGACTGCCCACTATGTTCAAAGGTTGGTGTTGGTGATTAAAGCAAGTAAAATAGTATATTTGGGACTGTCAGTAGATTATAAACTTCATATCCTATTCTTTGTGTTTTTAGACAAAATCCACTGGGATACTTTAAATTGAATCAAATATATGTATATATATACATACACACATAATATGACTACAAAAAGTAAAAATTTTATTCTTTTATATTGATAATTTACTATATGTAGAACACCATTCTAGGTACTTAGGAAATCCTAAGAAGAATATGGTTGGACTCTAATAACTAGGTTAGAGTGAGAACAGGCTACTTCAGCTTCACAGAGAAATCTGTATTTTTTTTCCATGGGAAACATACTCTGCTTATAAACATATGGTCCATTTACTAACTCTTGGTTTCCTACCTATATATCAGATAGCTAGGTCATTCTAAAAACCCTAAATTGGCAAGTTGTGATCTTAACCTTAACAGTTACTGTGGGCTTTCCATACACATTCTCACTGTGATCACTTCCCCCACTTCAATTTGAGTGAGCGGTGGAAATTCACCTCCCCCTTTCAGCATTTTTAAAGATTATAGTTCCACAAGTATCCATTGGGATAAACAGTGTATATTTGGTGTCTCCATTTCAAACCATATTTGTCTTTCACAAGTAGAGTAAGAGGGAGTTTTGGGAAAAATTTGTACAAATCTAATAAAATCAATGCTATGTAATCAAAGTTTTATTGGATAAGGAACACTTACATAGTAAAAATGTGCTGCATTTCTAACTTCTAAAAGTCTAGGAACAAATGGGTTTTATTAAACTATTATCAACAGATTGATGTGCTAAGACAGAATGATACATTTTGTTCTCTTTGTTATCTGAAAAGCCAGTTATATTCATTTGCACCCACTCTTTTTTTTCCTATCATATTCTTAATAGTTAAATTTCATTCAACTCCTCCTCCCCACTTCTGGCCAGTTCCATCATGCCTTGAAATACACAAAATCTATCAGATCTTTCTTCTTGGTCTGGCTTTTTCTGTTTCCTTTAGTGCCCAGGAATATTACCCAGATTCTTTTTCACTTTGGCAGTTCCATTTTCCAGGCATTCGTAGCCTTATTAGCATATATTAACAAAGATGTGATTCTTGTCTCAACGAGTGTTTAGCACTCTGTTTAGATAGATAAGACATACCTTTTAGGAGAAGTAACTCCTACCTATACTTTTTTCATGGAATTTTAATTTTATGAAAGACCATGAAGGTCTTATAATTTAGTAAGTATAAGTAGCATTGGAAACCCAGGCACATAAAAATAAAAATCTTTTTTCTTTAAATGATTTCAGCATTGTGGAGTGATTCAAAATATTAAACAGCAGCATAGACTTCTTCTAAAAATGGTTCTTTATTTATATCACTGGCTATTTAGTTGGTTAGTCTTTGATATGTTGGGGCTTTTTATGCTATTGTTGCTTTAAATGCATAATCAAATGGTCCAGCCATGTAGAGATTCGAATTATTGTCAAATCAAACAACATAATACTATATTAATTTTTTATCCTAAATACAAATTATATCTTCATGTAATTGTATTTATCATAGTCCTTTAGTAAAATAGAAAAAAGTAGAAGGAAGTAGAGATAACATTGGCCAAATAATTATTTTTTGAAATTATTAATAAGAATGCTTCTGATTTCTTTTTTTTTTTTTTTTTTGAGACGGTGTCTTGCTCTGTCGCCCAGGCTGGAGTGCAGTGGCGCCATCTGGGTTCACTGCAAGCTCCACCTCCCGGGTTCACACCATTCTCCTGCCTCAGCCTTCCAAGTAGCTGGGACTACAGGTGCCCACCACCACGCCCGGCTAATTTTTTGTATTTTTGGTAGAGACGGGGTTTCACCATGTTAGCTAGGATGGTCTTGATCTCCTGACCTCGTGATCCACCCACCTCAGCCTCCCAAAGTGCTGGGATTACAGGCGTGAGCCACTGCGCCCGGCCAAGAATGCTTCTGATTTCTAAAGACACAGCAGTACCTCTGGTGGGTCAATGGATAATAAACTTCACATGTAGTGGAACTAGGTTATTTATAGTTAGGCAAATGAAGAAAACAAATATTTGTTTATTGGAAGCCATACTGCAATTTGAATTATTTGAAAATGCAAACACAATTTATACAACTGTCTATTATGTTTATGGTTCCAGATAAGATACGGTTCTGGTTCAATTAGAATGTGCTTCTTGAAAAGTATTTTCAACTCCTATTTGAAAAGTAATAGTAAGCAGAAAGTGGTACAGAATTCAAAGTACCACCAAATAGGTGATAAGATAACCATTTCTTGTTTCTAGGTAACCCCTAACCTGAACTTAAGGCAACCCAAACCAAAAAGGGAACATAGACACAGAGAGCTCCAGGAGGAGACCTCTAATTCTTCCAGGAAAAGATTAGCTAATATTTAGAGAAAGAGTTGGAAATCCCCTTTCTTCCTCCTTCTCTCCCCCAGCTCCTCCTCTTCTTTTTTTCCCTCCTCTTCTTTTTCTCCTACTCTTTCTCCTTTAAGTCTCTACTCCATTCTCTTCTGCCAGTCTTTAGGCAATTGTGCTGTGATAGGGGCAGTGACAGCAAGAACAGCAGCTACTGGGTTCCTCCTAAAACTGGGGCATGGGAACATTTCTCTCTGATGGGAGAAGCTGTGGTTTCAAAAATGTGGAGTGAAACCCTCTTGCTTTCCCTCCACTTGTTATCTTGCTGTTGGCTCCAGAGAGGGGCCACTAGAAAATGTGGAGGAGAGGGAGGTATGGTGGCTTATGCCTGTAATCCCAGCACTTTGGGAGGCTGAGGTGGGCGGGTCATTTGAGGTTAGGAGTTTGAGACCAGCCTGGCCAACATGGTGAAACCCCGTCTCTACTAAAAATGCAAAAAAATTAGCTGGGCATGATGGTACACACATGTATCCCAGCTACTAGGGAGGCTGAGGCAGGAGAATCGCTTGAACCCAGGAGGTGGAGGTTGCAGTGAGCCACTGCACTCCAGCCTGGGTGACAGAGTGAGACTCCGTCTCAAAAAAAAAAAAAAAAAAAAAAAAGAAAAAGAAAAAGAAAATGTGGAGGGGAGGAGAGAAGTTCAGTGTCCTGATTAGAACATTGAAAAGGGAGCCCCAGGGCACCAGAAGTACTAGGGAGATCATGGAGAGCAGGGAGCCTGGGAAGAAAACTCATAAAGTTGTCTGTGAACTCTTGAGCTCACCCTGGATTTGTGCATGCATGGATCCTAAACAGGATACTAAATACTTTGAGAACTGAACTAAGGGGTAGGTCACAGTCTAGGTCCCACACTGGTCATTCAATGACACACACATGGAACAGAACTGAACAACAGTAAAATCTCAACCTGCATAAGAATCAACAGATGCCACTGCTAATGTATCACAAATGTTGAAATTATCTGATAAAATATGTACAAATAAGTAAGGGCATACACTCTTGAAAATAATGAAGAGATAAAAAGTCCTAACAAAGAAATAGATAATATAAAGAATAACCAAAGAGAAAATTTAGAACTGAAAAATACAATAACTAAAATTAAAAATTACAGAATGGGTGTAATAGCAGAATAGAATTGACAGAGGAGTCAGCGAATGTGAAGATATAGTAATAGAAATTATCCAATCAGAAAAGACATAAAAAATATTTTAAAAATGAAGGAAGATGTGTGGGATAATACTCAAAAGTCTAATGTTCATGTGATTAGAGACTCGGAATGAATGGAGAAAGAACATGGGGGAAGAAACATCATTTCAATAAATAATAGCTAAAAACTTCTCAAATTTGGTAAAAGACATATACCTACAGACTCAAGAAGTCTAGTGAATCCTAAATGTGACAAAACCAAATAAATCCATGTCTAGACCTATCACAATTAAATCATTATGAGCTAAAGACAAAATACTATGAAAGCAGCAAGAGAAAAATGATGTATTATTGAACTGGCTACGGTTTTCTTATCAGAAACTGTTCATGAAAAAGATAGTGGAACAACATTTTTAAGTGCTGAAAGAAAAGAATTGTTAATCTTGAATTTTATACCTGGTGAAAATATCCTTTAGGAATGAAGGTTAAATAAAGACATTCTCAGATGAAAGAAAACTAATACAGTTCACTACAAACAGTCCTGATCTAAAAGAATTACGAAATGAAAATTTTCAGATAGGAAATGACACCAGAAGGAAATATGGAGCATGAGGAATGAAGGAAGAGCAATATAAATAGCAAATATTTGGGCAAATATAATAGACTGTTCTTCTCCTTTTAAGGTGTTTGAAGTATATTTGATCATTGAAAACCAAAACTATAACATTATCTGATGGGTTTTCAATGCATATAGAAGTAATATATAAGGCAAATACAACATGAAGGATGGAAGGTAAAGGGATCTTGGAAGAATTTCTACATCACATTTAAAGTGGCAAATATTGATTCAAAGCATGCTGAGAAAGTTTAAGTTTGTTTACTGTAACAGTCATCACCACACACATACACACACACACACACACACACACACACACAGCCCAAAGTGAAATAATAAGAAACTAAAATAGAATACTAACAAATGCTCAAGTAACCCAAAAGAAGAAGAAAAAAAGGGTAACAGAGGAAGGAAAAACATAAGGAGTGATGAGTAAACAGATAATTAAATAGTAGCCCTAAACCCAAACATATCAATATTAACATTAAATGTAAATGGTGTAAGCACACTAGTTAAAATAGAGATAATCAGAATGAGTAAAAAGGTATCACTCGACTATATGCTGTCTACCAGAAACATACTTCAAGTATAAAGATATAGGAAGGTTAAATGAAAAAGAATGGGAAAAGACACATTTTAAACATGAATAAAAATAAAGTTGGTATAAATATATTAATAATCAAAGTAGACTTCAGAGCAAGGAAAATCACCAGGGATAAACTGAGACATCATGTAATAATATAAAAGTAAATTCACCAAGAAGACATACAAATCTAAATGTGTGTGCACCTAACAGACTTTAAAAATACGTGAAGCAAAAATAGACAAAACTGAAAGAAGAAATAGACATATTCTCAATATATATATAATAATTCTAAAATGTATATGGGAAGACAAAACAAACAAACAAAAAACCAGAATAGCCAAAACAATTTTGAAAAAAGGAGAAAGTTGGATGACTTACACTGATGTTAAGATTTACTACAAAGCTATAGTAATCAATATAGTGTGGCATTGGTGAAGGGATAGACATGTAGATCAGTGGTACTGAATTGAGTCCAGAAATTGGCTTCATTCAAATATGGCCAATTGATTTTTTATGAAATTGCAAAGGCAATTCAATGGAAAAAGGATCATCTTTTCAACAAATGGTGTTGGAACAATTGGATATAGACATGTAAAAAAAATTAACCTCCACCTAAACTCATGCCTTTTTAAAAAAGTAAATAGAAATGGATCATAGTTCTAAGTGTAAAATGTAAAACCAGGCTGGGCACGGCTCACGCCTGTAATCCCAACACTTTGGGAGGCTGAGGCAGGTGGATCACGAAGTCAGGAAATCGAGACCATCCTGGCTAACACGGTGAAACCCCGTCTCTATTTAAAATACAAAAAAATTAGCCAGGCGTGGTGGCATGTGCCTGTAGTCCCAGCTACTTGGGAGGCTGAGGCAGGAAAATCGCTTGAACCTGGGAGGTGGAGGTTGCAGTGAGCCGAGATTGCACCATTGCACTCCAGCCTGGGCGACAGAGCGAGACACCGTCTCAAAAAAAAAGAAAAAAAAAAAAAAAAAAGGAAAACCATAAAGCATTTAGAAGAAAACATGAGAAGGAATATTCATGACCTGGGGTAGGCAAATAATTCTTAGATATAATACTGAAAGCATGATCTAGAAAATAAATACTTGATAAATTGGACTTCAAAAATCAAAATTTTTGCTCTGCAAAAGATTTCACTGTTAAAATAGAAAAGTTAAGATTTTATCACTCTCCCAAACCTACTGATTCTCTTATGTAGGTACTCCTTTCTTTTTTCTGTTTTATTCCACTGTGCTGGAATTTAGTCCTGTGACTTCAGGACCTCTCTTTGCTCATCTCCAGGGCATCCATCTCTGGCACTTTCTTGGCACTATCTAAGTAGATCCCCAGATTTCCTTCTCATTCAAGCCTGCCTTGGGCCATGAGAAACATGTTTCTTTGCTCCACAGTTGGTAAGAATGCAACTAATTCACTTTTTTCATTTGACCACCTCAGTTCTTCCAATCCTAAATAGTTTTCTAATAACTAGAATGGAACTACCACCATCTAGTTATCTAATATCTAGAAATTGAGAATAAAATTTTATTTTTGTCTTGTGTATAATGCACATGTGTATTATCTGTCACAAATGCTAACTCTCAGATTTGCTATATCCTAGCTTGCATGCTCCTTGCTTCCTACAGATGTGTTCCAAATAAGAAAAATAAATCTTAAAATTAATCTAAGCAAAATGTAGGAAGATGGCACTGTTGCTGCAAAGAGTTGCCCAAAAGATTTCAAATAAACTCACAGATTTCACTTCTCTACTGTTGGATTATCCCTGCAAACAGTTTTCTCTCTACATAGAAAATTATTATATTGAGTTAATGTGATACTCAAATAGGAGAACTTAATTTCAATTTTAGATTCTTTTCTCGTGTGGAACAAATACCATTTGGACATCCATTTTATCATAAAAATCCTTCTATAAGCTAGAAAGTTGCTTTTTGTTTCCCCAGCTGAAAATTATTTTATGGCAGTTCATGAACAGATAAGTATCTCTATGCTGTGACACAAAAACTGGCCAATTTGTTGCAAAAAAAATCAGTTAAACTAGTTGTTTTGTCATTGCATAGTTTGAGATTGATCAATTCGTGAATAGATGGAACTCGAGATTTAATGATATACGTGAATGCTTTTAAGTTTCTGGGTGTTAGTCAGTGGTAATTTAGTGTTTTACTCTATTAAATTTCGTCCTTCCTCATCTCTTTTCCGTACTATTAAGAATGGGCCGGCCGGGCGCGGTGGCTCATGCCTGTAATCCCAGCACTTTGGGAGGCCGAGGCAGGTGGATCACGAGGTCAGGAGATCGAGACCATCCTGGCTAACATGGTGAAACCCCGTCTTTACTAAAAAATGCAAAAAAATCAGCCGGGTGTGGTGGCGGGCACCTGTAGTCCCAGCTACTCGGGAGGCTGAGGCAGAATGGTGTGAACCCACGAGACGGAGCTTGCAGTGAGCCGAGATCGTGCCACTGCACTCCAGCCTGGGTGACAGAGCGAGACTCTGTCTCAAAAAAGAAAAAAAAAAAAGAATGGCCATTTAGCTGATCTTGACTAGAGCTTACCCACTTTCAAACTATCCTCCACACTGTCATTCAATGACCTTTCAAATTGGATCATGTTGCTCTCCTGCCGTTTTAAAGGCACCCCAGTGGTTCTCTCTTACATACAAAATAGAGTTGGTGTTCTTCAGCAGGCCTTCGGGTCTTCAAAAGCTAGCCCCAATCTGCTTTATCCATTTTGTTTTCTTTAATATCTTTTCCTCACACTCTATAGGTGTTCTCACCTTTCTCTGAATATAGAATATTATTTCAGGTCTTCATATTTTGCATAACCTGTTCAATTAACCTGTAGTATTCATCCTGTGCCCCATTGCCCCTCTGCCACCTATGGTGATTCCTTCCCATGTCTTTACATTCCAATTCAGATGTCACTTTTTTTGTGAAATAGGCCCTCTGATGCTTACTTCGTGCCATTATAATACTTTTTACATACTTGTGACAAGGTAGTACAAGTATTTGTTTACTTTTCTATTTTGTTCAATAGATTGCGAGCTCCTTGAAGACAGAGTCTGTTTATTCCCATATCTTGAATCCTAGCCTAGTGTTTGAGATAATACACACCCAGGCAATATTTGTGGAATGAATGATTTATTGACTAAAAGAGTTAATGCACTTTTAGTGGCTTATCACTTACTTATAAAGGGAACACCTACTCTGGGAGAATCTGGCACATGTATGTTTCATAAATTTCCCTATATAATGGAGTGAGTGCCTGAAAGAAGTTGTGAAACTCTTATGGGGCAGCTTGTTCCCTTCTTATTCATGGACTCAGGCCAGGGCATTAGAAGAAAGGTATGACTGTACTTATTAAGCAATCCTCTTAGAATTCCTAAGCATAACCAAGTATTTGACAAATGTAAAATTAAATTTGGCTTAAAGCTGAAGGAATTCAAGCCCCCCAAATATTTTAGAGTTTTTTCTCCATAAAAAGCCCTATCATTTTCATATCAAAAAATTATTTCTTTAATAGGGCCTTGTCCTAAGTAGATGCTCAATAACCACTTGTGAAATGAATTGATTTTTTTCCCTATTTAGTGAAATTATAATAGCAAATGTCACCTATGCATATGTTCCCCAGTATATCCTTATATGAACATGATCCTGTAACTTGTAGAATCATAGAATAGCAAACCTAGGACTTTTGAGTTCGTCTTATTGAACATCCCCAAGTTTAAGATGAAGAAACAGGTCTAGAGAGATGAGTCCTTTCCTGAGCTGAATCATGTGAAACTGTGGTTTCTATATGTCAAAAATGGTACAAAATTTACAATTTTTTTGGTTGCATCCAAAAACCACCAAAGTGTACATTGCATATCAGGCTATAGGACTCTTCCTGAGAATGATAAGAACAAAAGAAATATCATGTAAAGTAAAAATTAAACACCAAATCAGTTAGCTTCTGAGTTGTAGGAGAGGGATCATGTCTCTGTGGCTTTACCCATTACATGTGGTCAAGGATACATTTGAATCATAAGGTAAAAATAATGATTTGCATGGTATGTTGGGTTGGGAAACTTATAAAGAAACAATTGGTTTTTAAAAAATATACTGAGTTATAAAAGCTTCTTCATATAGTTTTTTTAAGAATACAATTTTAAAACCTTTTGCCAAGTTTGACTGTGTGGCTATATTTCAAAGAGCTAGAATTTCCCGAAGAATTCCTGTTCCCTGAACATTCTAGATCCTACCTAAAGTAAAGAAATGGAACTGAAAGTGAGGATTATTTTGTTTACTCTGTCCTGCCTTTATGGAAAGCTAGGCTTACCATAGGGACTGCATTTCATTTTCAGAATGAGCTTTCAGCAGGAAGCAGTCTGCTCATGCATGCATGACAGGAGAGGAATGTGCCCTGAAATGATGATATTTTTACTTAAGAAAGGGTTTTGGCTCAAGGATTTCTTTGGGAAATTCTTTATGATATTTTTCCCCTTGACACATGTGGTCTAGTTGACACTTTCCTTCATAAACACACATAATTCAACCCAAGCCATCCTGTGGACCTTTTTTTTTTTTTGTTTTCTCTTGTTTCTGTAGCCTGTCAGAAGAAATGTGACATTAGGTTTGGGGCCAGGAAAGTCATTATGACCTTAGAATATTCAGAGATTTCTATCTTAGAATTTGGTCCTTGGAAGACCTATCCATAGGTGAAATAGAATGCAGGTGCAATTTCCTGGTCAATCATGGTAAACATGTTTTTCTTTGTTTTACTTTTGGATGAGATAATTGCTTTGGCTCTTACTTTGCCTCAAATTCTCAGGTAATTATTTTTGCTCTCTGTTTTGCTTTATGTTAACTGAAAAAATCAGCAGTGAGAAATAGTTTAAAAACATGTCTCATGTTTCTGATTTTCTAAATGAACATATTCTGATTTACTGGGCAGCCTATCCAGTTAATTCTATAGGCAGTTAAAATAAATGCTTTATGGCTGTCTTCAAATGTAGCTTACATTGATAAGCACAATCTGTAAATGCCACAGGGCAGGAATTGTTGGTTTTGCTCACTGTCAGATCCCCAGAATTTAGTATTCTGCCTGGTATATAGTAGGGACTCAGAAAATACCTGATGAATTAGTTAATGGAAATAGAAATATTGACCTTGAGCTCTGTGAGGGATACTTACCTAGACTTATGAAAATTAACTTAATGAAATATTCAATTATAGAGGACAGAGAAGACATAAAAAATGTTACTCTGATAGAAAACAGTCTAGGGAAGCAAGTGCCTGTGGGAGGATTTAACCCTAATTCTTGCCCTTCAAATCTGGGTGTTTGTGAGCCTTTGAATCTGAAGGAAACTTTAAAGGTCATCAGGTCCAACTACTTATTGACAAAAGGTCATCCAGCTTTCAGTTGTTCACCATTTATAATACAGTGACAGGGCTTTTCTAATTGATAGGCAACATAGTCCTTTATGGGAAAATTCTGATTACTAGAAAGTTTTGTCCTTTTGAGCCAGAATTTACTCGTCTGTTATTTCCAAATGCTGGGACTATTCTGCTCTCTGGGACTGCATGTGATAAGTCTGACGGGAGACCGAGGAAGACCTGACTTAAGATCTGAAATCCTTTATATCAGCACTAGTCTAGTTTTATTTGGGGATAAGGCCCAAACTAGATAATAAGCCTCACCAGTTCCGGCGACATAATAAATATAAATTAGCATGCTTAGCACCACCTAGTGTTCTCCTCTCGTACATTATTTGTGGGAATGTACATTGATAACACTTCTTTCTAGAGCAGTTTGCCCCTACATAGGAAATTACACTGTTTCATCAAGAAATTCCATTATAGGAATTTACCTTAAAGAAAGTACTTCCAAATTTGTACAAAAATAGATAGGCAAAGATGCCTTCAGGTGATCCAGCATACCCATTACAAAAATTTTAAAACCATTTAAATATTCATTAGCAGGTAAATAAACTTGATATGCCCACTGAATGGAACAGAGTCATGAAAAAGAATGAGATAGAGCTACATATATCTAGTTGGCAGAGGTTCATGATATATTATTAAATTAAAAAAATCATAAAAGTATATATATCTTCTTTTATAAAATAATAGTGTAATAATACATCTATGTTAGTATGTCAGACAATTTTGAAAGATTATATAATAAGCTGTTAACACAATCTCTAAGGGATAGCATTATGGTGGACTCTAATTTTTACTTAATATATTTCTGTATATATATATATATATATATATTTTTTTTTTTTTTTTTTTTTTTTTTTTTGAGACGGAGTCTCATGCTGTTGCCTGGGCTGGAGTGCAGTGGCGCAATTTTGACTCACTGCAGCCTCTGCCTCCTGGGTTCAAGCGGTTCTCCTGCCTCAGCCTCCCAAGTAGCTGGGATTACAGGCACCCACCACCACGCCCAGCTAATTTTTTGTATTTTTAGTAGAGACGGGGTTTCAGTATGTTGGCCAGGCTGGTCTCAAACTCCTGACCTTGTGATCTGCCTGCCTCGGCCTCCCAAAGTGCTGGGATTACAGGCGTGAGCCACTGTGCCTGGCATATTTTTGTATTCTTTGAATATTTTTAAGTGAGCAGGTATTACCTTTGTAATTAGAAAAATAACCCAGACACTTAAAAATGTTATCTGGATGAGTTATAGGATATTAGGGCTGGAATAGACCTTGGATTGAGTAGGAAGAGTCTTGAGAATTAATCCAACACCCTAATTTTACAGATAAGAAAACTGAGTCTTTAGTTTTTAGAAAATTAAAAATGTGAAATGAACTACCTAAAGCCCCAAAAGTAGTTAGTAGCAAATCCATTTTTAGAAGCCATGTTTAGTACTCTTTGAGTTATACCACAGTGCCTTTAAAATGCAGCACAGATTTTGAGAAAAATAAAATAGGAAAGTATTTACTTATAAATGTCTTTATATTTCTTCTTTAAAAAAAGTGTCTCATCATTAGAGCAATATAAAAGAGTAACAACTTCACAAATTATGACAGATTTTTTAAAGGCCTGAATGTTACTTTAGAGATGCTTAACACCAATGTTCTCAATCTCGGAAGAGAGAATTAAAGCCAAGTGATTTGTGGAAGATTGTATAATGCACTAGCAGCAGAGTTGGAACTAGAACCCTGGTATCTGGATTCTCAGTCGATGACTCTGTTAAATTGTCCACATTTCTTCTTGCAAGTTGATGTGCATTTATTAAATATCTGTCACTGTGCTAGGCTACACCCTTGAAAAATAAAATGTGCCAATGAAATGTGCATTCAGCAGACTTCAGTATAGATAAATAATTAAGTTGAGAAAGCCTAATAAATTAAGCCTCAAGATTTGATTGAATTCTTTTGCCTTAGATTAAAAATGGTGTGTATGATAACTTTTTTTCCTTTTCTCATTAAAGATTTCAAGGCATTTCATACAATTATATGAAACATTACAACCTTCTTAAAGGGAGGGATTATTATATTCATTAGGAAATGAATGTACAGAGACATTAAATCGTTTGTACATTAGTCACCAAGAATAAGAATAACCCTAGGATCCCTTAGTTCTGGGTGATTTCCAAAAAACCACACCTTTCATGGATTCAGATTAACTTTGGACCACTCCTAGAATCCTGGACATGTCTGGAAAGTGAATAGGTCATTGCATTTCATTTTAGGTCAAGTCAACCACAAATCTGGCTGAACCTGACTAATCTGAGCAGAGTCCACCAAACTATGGCTTCTAACCTAGGTTAACTCCAACAGAACTGGGGAACCATTTATTATTCTGTGGGTGAGGCCGCATGCATCACAAGTCAACAGCATATGAATGAAAACCACAGAATTAAAGGTGTTACTGGCACCAAGACCCAAACTAAAAGTGCTGATCCAGGAATGACAATTTCTAAACATTTTCAGGCAAGTTAGGAACACAAGTAAGACTAGCTCTGGGCAGATCCCATTTGTGTGACTGGCACCAACACAGAAAATACTGTACAGTGTGTGCCTCATTTACCTTGGCACTGAGGCTGCATCAGCCCCTTTGTGCCCTGACTATGCCTTATGCAAATTTTAAGATACAAAGCAATTTTTTGTTCCAGGTTTATTTTAATCATCTTTAGATTCTCCTTCCCTTAGCAGGTTACCTTCATTGTGGTAAAAATAAAGAAATAAGTAAGTCTGTGATCCCCTTGTATAGTTTAAAAACATTCTGGTTGCCAGGGGAAATGCAAATGCAGATCCTTTCTTCCATAGTCTTCCAGGTTTTCGGGGTATATTAGGTCAAGTCCATTAAGAAGTAGGAGATTTACTGGGGGAAGGAGGAGAAGGTGGAGAGATCCTTCAGATTGTGTAGAAGAGAAGGAAGAAAGGAAGACTGGGTATGAGGAGTCTCAGACTGCAGTGCAGTACCAAGGAAGATTTGGCCAGGTTGATGGGGAGTCCTTGAATCAAAGTTACTGAGGAGTCCTGTATATTGCCAAAATGGACCTACCTTAGTATCTCTGAGGTGGTCCAGAATTGGCTGGGAACCACCCCCCACAACAAAAGTATGTCCTTGGGGCAAATGCAGTGCTGGATCCAGAGGGACAAGATCTCAGGCTGTTGGTCAGTTATGCTCCTCACAACAGGAGGTCTGACAGGAGCATTTTCATGCCTGCTCCTGTCTAACCCTTGTTCCACACAGGTCTACTTCACATAGCTTTGGGATGCAACTCCTCCGTGGTTCCTTAGGGGTCTCTTTCTAAGGGGGAATTTAGAAGAGGGATAGTAGAACCATGTCTGGCACAATAGCTATCATCAGGGATACTCCTTTGTTGAGCTTGTGATAGTCTACAGATGGCTTTTGCAGGGGCCAGATTAGTGAATTAAATGAAGATATGATGAGAGCCACCATCTCTGCCTCCTTTAGCTCTTTAATGACAGCAACAATCTCCTTCATCATCTGTAGGATATATTGTTTTTGAATTACTATGTTGGCTGAGGAGGAACAATTTTAAAGATTTCCACTTGGTTTTTCCTGCTGTGATAGCTCTTACTCCATAGGCCAAGGGTCTTAATCTGGGGGTTACTCCAACTGCCAAGTTGTTGCAGTGGGTGTCGTAGGAATGATTATAGAATATACTTTCTGTGGTATTTAGTCAATGGATTTTGGTTCTAAAAATCTGCTCAAGTCTGGGAATATTAGCAGAGGATTGTGACTTTTTTATAGGTATGACTATCCTCTGCCTCTTGCTCTCCCATTCTTGCCTTTTTTTAAATTTAAAGATGTTAAGTAGCACCCTTGCTGACTGCCCTTCTATTTTGCTCCTAGGAAAACCATGCTTTATCAACCATCTCCACAACTCCCTGTGGATCAAACCCATTGGCTGCTCTGATCTTGCAGGCCATTATGGTAATTGCAGCCTCCTGACTTTTGATAGTTAAGTGCTATCACTTGGCCTCTATTCCTGTGGGGCCTCTATCATGAATATGAATACTAATGAGCCCAGCTCTATGATGGCCTCTCCTACAATCAGCCCTGGCCTGCAGAGGAACCGCTACCAAACTTCTTAGTGATACTGCTTTCCCTCTCAGCACATTTCTGGTGGCCTTGGTAGGCTTTCTTGTGAACACAATCCTCTAGGGGAATCTTACTGCCTTACATAATAGATACACTCTAGCATACCCATTTCCAGGTCCAGTACTAGGATGAGGCAAAGACCCTAATATTTCAAGACCATGAGAGTGAGCGGCTCCTTGAATTATGCCCCTTAGACACTGCTCTTGCCTCACCCTAATTTTGGCCTTGCCCGCTTCCCTTAGCCTCTTTATTCTTTCCTCTAGCATTTGTGAGGGCAACTCAGGTATTTACACTTTGCCGTGTTGGTCATCACTTTTTTCAGTGTTCTCAGAGCCATTCTAAGCAGTGAATTTTCCTCATACTCTGGGATCCTTGCCAGGCTTTAAATCCTGTGTCCCAAGTAAGTGCCTTCAAGCTAAATTAAATTCAAGTTAATGAATTTCTGCTTACCCAATCCAGTCTTACATTCTGGCCCTTTTTATCAAGCACACTTAAAATCTAATCCTAGGCTCCTGGCTCCTGCTGGTGCATGCTAGCTCACTCTTGTAAGCTCTTCTTTGGTATAGAGTCTCTTTCTTATCAGGCCCATCAGGTGCTCAGCTGGGTAACCAAGGGGAGGAAAGGGCAGCTTCTGAGGGGGCATTTACTTCCTTCTAGAGGGGACAGGACTCTACCATTTTCTAGCACAAAGGGAGGTGCTTCCACTTACGAGGGATGGGTAGGCCACCTTTGCAAGCTCTGAAGGTTCGGGGGGATCTTCATAACCAGTATCTTGAGGAGGCATCCATCTAGATGTTCTCATCTCATTTTTCTGGATCCTAGTTTTTCCCAAGTAGGGCCCTGACCTTACCATAGTAGACCTACCTTGGTGGATCATTCAGACGTCTTTGGAGCTCTGCATGCACCACCCCACCCAGCAATTTTGTATTTTTAGTACAGACAGGGTTTCACCGTGTTGATCAGGCTGGTCTAGAACTCCTGACCTCAGATGATCCACCCGCCTCGGCCTCCCAAAGTGCT
Source organism: Homo sapiens (assembly GCF_000001405.40). Lineage (NCBI taxonomy): Eukaryota > Metazoa > Chordata > Mammalia > Primates > Hominidae > Homo > Homo sapiens. Next base: position 22,841,435 of record NC_000018.10, on the reverse strand, counting down.
GGGATTACAGGTGTGAGCCAGCACACCTGTTGTTTTTTCAAATGCCTGAATGATTGGAACTGAATGATTGTTCCCTTCCACCGGGACATTTTCTCAGGTCATTGTGGGTGAAATCTTGAGCAGTTGGGCCCCTACCTTGGGCCAGGGACTATCTGTACCCTACCTACCACACAAGATGGCCCCCACTTAATCTAATGTTGGGTGAGTGAGCCAATCCCAAATCCCCATCTTCCTGCCTGTTTTCTCACACCACTCTGTGTACCACCTGTTTTGATTTGGACCCATTCCAAATAAATCTCAAGCTAGGATTAGATATGAAAGAGATTACTGAAGGAGGGAGCAGGAGGAGGTGGAGAGAAACTTCAGAACCACAGTGTAGCAAAGAAGAAGGAAAGTAGCAGGATTGGGTAGGATGGGTCTCAGACTGCCATGTAGTGCTAAGAAAGTTTGGCCAGGTCGATGGTGAGTCCTAAAATAGAAGTTACTCAGGAGTCCTGTATATTGCCAGAATGGGCCTGCCTTAGTATCTGCTGTGCTCTATCATTGGCTAGGAAGTATGGCCTTCGGGTAGATGCAGTGCTGCATCCAGAGGGACAGGATCAATTAAGCTGTCTCCAACAGGAGGTCTGAGAGGAGCATTTTCATGACTACAACACACAGCAACCCAGCTGCTAATGATTATAGGCTTCGTGGGTTAGACATATTTGTGTTTTACAGTTGAAAACAGCTGAGAGGAAATAGGCTTAGTAGGTACTTCTGGAACTTCATTTAGATAAACACTTTGCATTTTTAATTTTAAAGAATGTTAGACATATTTGTGTTTTACAGTTGAAAACAGCTGAGAGGAAATAGGCTCAGTAGGTACTTCTGGATCTTCATTTCGATAAACACTTTCCATTTTTAATTTTAAAGAATAAGGCAAACTAAATACATCTGAACAGTTTACATCATAGTTAAGTGGAATAACAAGTCTGGCACAGGTTAGATAATTCAGACCACAAATTCCCATTCTCTCTGGTTCCACAGTGGCTTTTTGGATCTGTGAAATATAGAGGTGTCATTTTGTGGACAGGTGTGCCTTGGCATAACAATGCTTTAGCTCATACAGATGATCACACACTACCAATATCATTGAGTAATTTTGGATTGAGTGGTCGGTCTGAGGTAGATTCACGCTCCCTGGTCTGTAGTGCAGTGTGATTGCTTCATGACACCTGCATTATACAAGTGTTTTTATCTTCTGAGTAGCTATTTGCCTTGCGTTTCCTCATGCCTATATTTATTTCTCTCTTTTTACATCTCAGGGGTGTTAGAATGTAAATTCCCAGACAATACATAAAAACCCGATAATTTATCAATGAGACTGATAATAATGATGCTATTTGACATTTGGCAACATAGGGGGTTTTCTTGGCTCACGTTGGGTATCTTGAACCTATGCCCTATTAGGTAACTTTCTTAAACTGCCTGGAGTATATGCTTTTTTCTCTGTTATCTCAATGAATCATTCTTCTAATGTCTCTTCAAGTTTATTTCCTCTGTTGGTATCTCTCTTTTGTCCCTCATTTGGCATTTTGGGGGTAATGATAAATGTTGGGTGGAAAAAATAAGAAAGGTGGAGCAAAGCTTTGCATATGCTCATTGCATTTTTGGAGCCCGTTTACTCTTATTGTATCATCAGGAAAAATTCCTAGGATGCTTGTATGGCTAAGGTAAGTCAGATAACTTGATACCTATTCATCTCCAAAGGTATCTTGGATTTATAATGGAGATAAGGCAGAGAAAGGAGAGATTACGTTAGTGACCCCTGTTCAGGGCTGTGGGAGTTCCCTGAGTCTAATGAACAGCTATATCATCTTAAGATCAAAACAGAAACTATAGGCTTAAAGGTCAGCAGTCAGGATATGCAGGAGTCTGTAAGCTGGTAAGCACTACTAAGCTTGAGTTTTCAAGCTGTACTCAACAGGGATATAGAATATTTATAGTTTTTTGAAGCTTATTTATCTTTTGTGACATACTTAAGACCTTCCTGTGATCTGACAGTGTATCATAAAGCATTTTAATGCATTTTCTTCTCAATTTATTTTTATTGGTAATTCAAATTGTGTAAGCAAGGAGGTATATTGAAAAAAAACAGTTCTAAAGAGATTGAGAAGACTGCCTTAAAGATTTAATCACCTTAGTTTTCTAGGAGGGTTCTGGCTGTCAGACGGTTTCATCTCATGAGCCTCTCTGCCTACAATTACGTTTCCTTTCTGTAACTGAAATGCAGGTTCAGTCAATCTCTGCTTTCAGAGTCTGATTAACAAGAGCGAGATCTAGTATAAAGAAAGTGATTTTTTATTCTGAAACTAGCTTAGGGGAAGAAGTACAGGCTTCCTGCCTTAAGGGTGTGGCTTCGCTTTTGGAGCAGAAAGTGAGTGCTTTTAAAGGGGAGCTTATGAAGGGGCAGAAATGAGCAGGGTGGTGGGGGAGTGGTCCACATACTCACTTCAGTGCCTTATCTGCCAGGCAGCTGGTGTTTTCATGGGCAGAAATAGGTTGTAAGAGTGGTTGAAAACTCTCCAGGTGGGAGAGAGTTTCGTAGCAGGGGTACTTTGGGCTGTAAATTGATTGTTATCTCTCAAGGCAGTCTCCTGGTGGGAGCGAATTTTGTGGTGGACACATTGTGGGTGTAAATCGACTGTTATTTTGTGAGGCAGTCTCCAGGTGGGGGAGAGTTCCTTTCTGGAGCTTCTAAGTACATAGTTAGATGAACTTGTTCTGTAGGGAGCATCTGGTGAAAAGGAGGTAGAAAGTTATAATTGCACTTCCAGAGGGCTAAGTAGGAAGTGGGGAAGAAGGGGAAATGGAGAAAAAAGAAGAGAAAATAATTTTTAAAAAGTAACTTACTCTCTTTCACTTAGAAAAATGGGGGTACTCGGTTATACTTCCACCCCCTCTCCATTAGAAATACAACTTAATCCAAACAAAAAAATCACCACATATACAGCAAGTAAATTCCATGTGAAGGTCCTCATGCTTTATTCATGCTTTTGGAATGGGAAGAGCAATTGTAACATTTTTCATGTTATAGGGAAGAAATGCTAGTAGGGATAAAAGATATGGAAAGAGGTTGGATGAACAGGAGTTAAGAAAAGGAGATAAAAGCTGTGATACTGTTGGCAAGGGGACTTTGATTTAGAATCTACATTCTTTTTACATTCAAAGAGTTACTTTGATCTTCATTGCTCCAAGTGGACCCATTTATATTTTTCTTTTTCTCATCTCTTCCCCTCCCTTCCCACCTATTTTGTGTCAAAGCAACCTTGTTTAAAAAATATTTACTTTTCCAAAAGGAGTTCTCATAGAACAAGTCTAATAATTACCTTCTAAATATTAGCATTTAGAATAATTGTAAAAAATAAAACCATTATAATCCAGAGGAAGGAAGGCCGCTCAGCAGCTGATATTCAATTCAGCAGCTGAGGGAACATAAAGTCATGGGTATCTTCTCATATGTCAGGAAGGGACTAGTAATTAATCTTTCTTCAGATCTTATAGTATCATTACATATAGAAAGTCATTTAATTCTGACAGTAGACTATGAGATAGGTGCAATATTATTCGTCTTATTGTACACACAAGGAACTGAGAGGAGGTAAGAAATTTTCCCAAGGGGCTGAGAGAACTGGAGCTGAGAGAAGTTAAGTAGTTAAGAAATTTTCCCAAGTTCATATAGCTGTATGGAAATGGTAGAGCTGGAAATGGTAGAGCTAGGACTGGTTCCATAGTCTATGATTTTCCCATTCTATCTCTATCGGGCTATAATTACACACACACACACACACACACACACACACACACACACACACACACACAATTAGAACCATGAGTAACCCATTATGACTGTTTCTTATATACAAGCCCCTAGGTTGAATAACAAACAACCATCTGAGGAGAAAACATCAATTATGAGGCGAGAGAATGTCCCACACCAGACCTGAGAGAAAATGACAGAGCAGCCTTTAGTAGAATTGATATGTTTTCCTTAAAACACTTTCATCATTTGGCTTTCCTAATTTTCCTACCTCATGAGCCACTATTTGTGTTTCCTGAACTGATTTCTACCCTTGTTCCCAAACTGTTAATATTGAAATGACCCAGAAATCAGGTTTTGGACCTTTTCTTTTACCTATACACACTCTCTCTTTAGATTTCATTTATTCCCAGAGCTTAAAATAGCAAATATATGATGGTGACTCTAAGTCTTTATCTCCAGGTTGGACTTTTCCCCTGAACTTCAGACTCATATATCCAACCTCTTCAGTATCTTCACTGGAATGTCTGATAGATATCTCAAATCTAATCCTTCTCAGGCCTCACATACCCACATACAGTATTCCCCATCTTAATGAATAACAACTATTTGCTTCTAGTTTAGGACAAAAACTGTCTTGAATCTAAAGTGAGATTCCTGTAGCAGCATATAGTTGAATTATTGTTTTTAATCTGTTCTGCCAGTCTCTGTCTTTCAATGGTGAGTTTAATCCATTGATATTTAAAGTGATTACTTGATAAGAAAGGACTACTTCTGACATTTTTCTATTTGTTTTCTATATGCCATTTTTTAATATTCCTAATTTCCTTCAATACTACTTTGTCTTGTGTTGATTTTTTTTTCTAGTGTATCATTTTGACTCTCTCCTTATTTCCTTTTTTGTATATATTTTTAGTTATTTTCATTGTGGTTACCATGAGGATTATAATTAAAAATCTTATGTTCATAACCTCGTTTGAATTGATACCAACCTAGCTTCAATTTGATATGAAAACTTTGCCTCTTTACAGCTCCACCTTTTTTATATTGTTATTGTCACAAAATTATTGTGTACCCATTAACACAGAATTATAATGATTGTTCATGTACTTGGCTTTTAAATTATAAAGAAAATTAAAAAGAAGTTATAAACCAAAAATAAAATAATATTGCCTTTTATATTTATATAGTTACTTTCACTGGAGTTCTTTATTTCTTTATTTTTTCATATGACTTTGGGTTACTATCTAGCATGACTTCTGTTTTGGCTTGAAAGAATCCCTTTAGTATTTCTTGTAGGGAATGTCTAAGTGATGAACTCTCTAAACTTTTGTTTATCAGGGAATGTCTTAATTTCGCCTTCATTTATGAAAAGTAGTTTTGTCATATTTAGAATTCTTGGTTGACATTTTTTTTCATCACTATAAATAAGTCCTCTCAATGCCTTCTGGTCTCCATCGTTTCTAATGAGAAACTAGCTGTTGACCTTTATTGAGGATCCTTTGTTTATGACAGATTACTTCTCTCTTGCTGCTTTCAAGATTCTTGCTGTGTCTTTGGCTTTCAACGATTTGATTGCAATGTGTCTCTGTGAATCTTATAGTTTATCCTACTTGGAGTTTATTGAGCTGCTTGGATGTGGATTCACACTCAAGAATCCCATTGAGCCTCTTGGATATGTGTCTTTCATCAAAATTGGGAAGTTTTCAGCCATTATTTTTTCAGATATTCTTTCTGCCCTTTTCCTCTTTTCTCATTACGCATATGTTAGTATTCTTGCTGGTGTCCCACCGGTCTCTGAAGCTCTGTGTCCCTCCATACTGCTATTTGTTTTCTATTTGTTCTGTGTGTTCCAGGTTCTGTGTACCATTTTTCTTCTTTTTCTGCCTTATTTTAAACTAAGTGCATATTTTTAAGAATTCTGCTTTATCCCTATTTTGCTGCATTCTGTTTTATTTTTTAGTGGTTACTTTAGTGTTTCCTATGCATTTCTACATTGTGGCAGTCTAACTTCACATTATATTACCTCACATATAATGTAAGATCTTTATAAAAGTATAATTATATTTCTTTCCTATTGTCCTTTGTGCAGTTGTCATACATTTTACTTTTACATATATCACATGCCCCAAATATGGAGTTATTTTTTTTTTGCTTTAGTTCAATTATCTTTTGAAGAAGTTAATAAAGTACAGGGTACAGTGGCATACGCCTGTAATCCCAGCACTTTGGGAGACTGAGGCAGGAAGATTGCTTGAGCCCAGGAGTTTGAGACCAGCCTGGGCAATATAAGTGAGACCACATCTCTATTAAAAAAAGAAACTAAAAAAAGAGAAAGTATCCTTTATATTTAATCATTTATTTACCCTTTTTGACAATCTTTATTCCTTTGTGTAGATTCAAGTTTCCATCAGATATTATTTTCCTTCAGTGTGAGAAACTTTCTTTAGTGTTTCTTGTAGTATAAGTCTTCTGGGTATTGTCTCAGCTTTTGTCTGTCTTATGAACTCTTTACTTTGTCTTCATTTTTGAAGGACATTTTTTGCTGTAAATAGAAGACATGGTTAACAGTTTTCTTTCACCGTTTTAAAGTTTAAAAATGCCATTTGTTATATTCTAGTTTGCATAGTTTCTATCAAGACATCTGCTTCCATTATTATCTTTATTCATCTGTATGTACTATGTCTTTTTTCCCCTGGTAGCTTTTAAGATTTTCTATTAGTCACTTACTTTGTAGCTATTTGATTCTGATATACCTTGGAATAGTTTTCTATGTTTATTCTCTTTGGTGTTCGTTGAGCTTCCTGAGTCTGTATGCTTAGAGTTTTCATAAAATTTTACAAAGTTTTGGTCATGATTTCATCACATTTTCCTACATCCTTAAACCCTTATCCTAATAATTCAGTTACACTTAGGTTAGCCCATTCAATATTGTCACAGATGACTGAGGCTTTTTTTTTTTTGTCTGTCTTTTTTTTTTGTACTTCAGTTTGGATAGTCTCTGTTACTGTACTTAAAGTTTATTGATGTTTTCTTCCACAGGGTCTTTTCTGCTCTTCATCCCACTTAGAGAATTTTTCATTTGGAGTCTATCTTTTTCTTCTTTAGGAGTTTTCATTTATTTTAATTTATTGATTTTATCTTCTTGTTAGGTTCCTGCTTTTCTTTAAATACTTTCATATATATATAATAGCTATTTGAAATTCCTTGTCTTAATTCTATCATTTCTGTCATTTACAGGTCTGTTTCAGTTGATCAATTTTTCTTCTGAAGTGGGTCACATTTTCTTCCTTCTTGGCATGTCTAGTAATTTTTGACTAATGTTGGACGTTTTGATCTTTACATTGTAGCATACTGATTTTTTTTTCTTTTGAGATGGGGTCTTGCTCTTTCCCCCAGGCTGGAGTGAATTGGTGCAATCTCGGCCCACTGCAACCTTTACCTCCTAGGCTCAAGCGATCCTCCCACCTCAGCTTCTCAAGTAGCTAGGACTACAAGTGCACACCACCACACCTGGCTAATTTTTGTACTTTTTGTAGAGACAGGGTTTTGCCATGTTGCCCAGGCTGGTTTGGAACTCCAGGACTCAAGCAATCTGCCTGCCTTGGCCACCCAAAGTGCTGGGATTACAGGTGTGAGCCACCATGTCCAGTTCCTTACCATATTTTTTTATATTCCTTAAAGAGTGTTGGGCTTTGTTCAGCAGCCATTTAAATTATTTGCATATATATGGATCATTTTTGAGAATTCTTTATAAGCTTTGTTAGAGTGATTTTAGAATAGCCTTAGTTTAAGCCTAGTTTAGTTTTGTCATTAATGTGTCACCTTTCTGGATGTCTACTGAATGCCTAGGTATTTAATAAGAACTCCCCATTCTGATGGTTAGAACACAAACATTTCCCAGCCCTTTTGTGATCAGACATTTTCAGCTTACTGTTCTCTGGTCACTTTTTCCATACCTCATGAAATTTAACTTTAGGCAAGTGTGACTTGGTATTCAGAAATAAGAGAATTCCTGTGCATATTTTCGGAAGTCTTTCTGTACACAGACCTTGTACACAAGACTTCTTTTTCGTACTTTGTTCTTCAGTTTTCCTGAATTCTGATTCTGTCTTAATTCAGAAAGACTGCTATGCTCAGCTTGATATCCTACTCTCCAAATCACAGTAAAAAGAATTGTCTTCAGACAGAAATCCAGGATGATTATAGGGCTCTCCTCATTTGTTTCCCTTTTCTTGCTGATCACAGTATTGTGCTGTCTGCCCAATAACTGAAAACAGTCATTTCATGTTTTCTTTAGGTTGTGCTTGGGTTAACCTGGTGTTGGTTACTTCATCATTTCCTGAAGCAAAAGTCAACTATGGGGCTCTTGGATATTCTTTTTGTACAAAATAGATCAAATAATATTTTTAAGGAGAAAATATAGCATGATGGTTAAGAATATACACTTGAAAATCTGACAAACTCTTCACTCTAATAGTTACTAATGAGTGGCTGGGCAAGTGAGAAAATTCTCATTTTCCTCAACCATAACAGAGGAATAATGTTATTATCTGGCCTTAGAATTATTCCAAGGATTTAATGAGGTAATGGACACTATGGGTGTAGCATAATGCCTGTCACATATAAAATGCGACATAACCATTATTATTGTGGTTTTATATTAGATTTACTTCTAAAACCATATTTCCTACTACTGCTGTGACAAATTACCACAAACTTATTGGCTTAAAACAATACAAATTTATTATCTTACAGTTCTGGAGTCAGAAGTCCAAAGGGAGTTCACTGGGTTAAAATAAATATTGTCAGGATTACATTCCTTCTAGAAAGGCATGGAGAATACATTTCCTTGCCTTTTCAGTTTATAGTGGCTGCCCCACAATTTTTGGCTTGTGTTCACCTTTCATCTTTAAAGCCAACGATGGAAGATTTGAGTCCTCACATCCCATCACTCTAATATTGTTTCTACTGTCACATCTTCTTCTCTGATTCTGACTCTCTTGCCTGTCTCTTTCACTTGAAAGGACCTTTGTTATTACATGGGCCCCTTCATATAGTCCAGGATAATCTCCCACCTCAAGGATTCTTAATTAGATCTGCAAAATTTCTTTTGCTCTGTAGGGGAATATATTAACAGGTTCTATATGTGCTTGGTGTGTTAGAAGCAAAGAAAAAGAAAAAAGAAAAAAACAGGTTCTATGGAATAGGATATGGATGTCTTTGTCTACCACATTATTGTATAAAGCCTTCTTGGATATTTCCATTCTTCTTTCCCTGTCATTAAATCACCCATTAAGTAACTATATGCAAAGACAGTCTCTTACAGAAAGGTTACACATGGTCGAAAAAGGAAAAACTCTAGAAGAAAATTCAGATTAGTAAAGAAGAAAGTATCCTGAATTTGGGTTCTAGTCCCAGATTTGTTTGTCAATAGCTGTTTATCTCTGAGAAAATAACTTCCCTTTCTGAATTTCTGTTTTCTTACAGGGGAAAATAACTAAGAAACCTCCTAGATACCTCTGTCTCTATGGTTCGATAAATCTAATATATCTTGCAGTTTGACTAAAGTAAGATATGAAATGTGCTCATTGTAGAGTATCCCGAGCCTCCTGTAGGTCTCTAAGGAGACACAGGTTTTTGGATAAAGGAGACCTCCCCTTGCTCTTGCTACTACCGGAAAAGAACTATGCAAATATAATTATACATGAAGTAATATAACCCAAACATAACAAAAGAGACTATTGGAGGAAGTCCCAGGACTCAGAGAGCAAAGATCAGAAAAGAGACAAAAGGCTGGCACAGGTTCAGTGCTCAGGAGGGATATCTTCTAGCAATGTTCCAAAGGGATACAACCAAGGTGAGGGTAAAAGCCCCAGCATCAAACACTTGCAAAGCCCTCCTCTGAGCTTATGCAATGGAAAAACAGACAGACAGTGACTCAGAGCCTTAGCTGTGTGTGGGAGCCACTGAAATAAACTGTCAAAGGGGAAAGGGGGATTGCAACAGCATCCATCAGTGGTACTATGCAATAATCAAATGAGGTATAGGGTAGAGGCAGTGGTTATAACCAAAAGTATTGTGAGTGATCAAGGAAGTGCTTGCAGGTTACTAATCAGCACGTGGGTCACTGTGCATAAAAGGATATGTGAGAAAATGGTTCCTCTCCTGGGACTTTGTTGGCTGTCCAGGTGCCACACTGAGAAACAGATTTTGTTGTGGCAAAAGGGCCCAAAAAGTCTTCATTCTTGATCTGACCCATCACCTGAGAATTTTCACCATGTTTCTGGCTTAAAGCTGATAGTGGGTAACGGGTTGCATGTTGGAGGAAACAGGGAGCATGCCTGTCACATGCCATAGTAGGGAGCTTAATGAGGAGGTCAAACTCACTTTTTTTCAGAATTCTGTTAAGACTGTGAGGAAATATAGACAAATAGCAATGCAAGGCAATGGATCATCAGAAATGGGACGTTATTTGGCTGGAATAATTTGAATAGCATTGCTGAGGACAAATGTCCCTGTGAAAGGAGAGGAAAATCTTTTACCCTTATGCTAAAGACACAACAGGTTATAGAAAAAGGGTTTGATGTTTAATTCTACTGTAAGATTCCAAAAAATTTTCCTTACCAGCTTTTCGGTTAATTTGAATAGCATTGCTGAGGACAAATGTCCCTGTGAGAGGAGAGGAAAATCTTTTACCCTCATGCTAAAGACACAACAGGTTATAGAAAAAGGGTTTCATGTTTAATTCTACTATAAGATTCCAAAAAATTTTCCTTACCAACTTTTCGGTAAGTATGCCATATATTATGTCAAATTCCCAGTACATGTGAGGATAATAATTTTCTTTCAGGTTGTTCTAACCTTTAGCACATGGGAATTGAATCACTAGATTATATAGGTTATATTGGATAACTAGGTTATATAGCAGGGTAGCAGTGGCAGTAATGCTAGAGGAAGTGGTGGTTGCCCCAAGATTAAGCTCCTAGGGGCAGTTGTACAAGCCATAATGTTTGGTGCTTTTTGGTAGCACCCATGACTACTTCACAAGATGAGTTTGGCAGCATGACTTTTGGGCTTTGTTCTTGACTGTGTAGCTCCAAGCCTTCCTTTCCATACCTCCTTAATACCTCCTTGATTTTGTAAGCTGCCTAATGTCCTTTTTTTTTTTTTATCTTTTCTAATGTCTTTTAAATTATTTTTACTTTGGCTCTGCTAGACTTTTATTTCTGCTGCTTGCAACCGAGAACATAATAGATACTGTTGGGGATCTTGTTAAAAAACAGATTTCAAGGCCTAGACATAATCATTCAGAATATCTGACATTGGGACCCAGGAATCTAATTTTTAAAGATCTAGAATCAGTCAAATATTTTTTTTCTGTAGCAGGTGACGAAATCCTCAGTTCAAACCAGTTTAAGCAAAAAACAATGTTATTGACTTACATAATTAAAAAGTCTAGGGAGTAGACTAAATTAAGGCAGTACTAAATTCAGAGCTCAAGCAGTACCTTCAGAATTTGGTTTCTCTATTTCCTGGTTCTATCTTCTGTAGTGTTTTCTTTAGTCTCAGATTTTACGTGGTAGTCAGATGGTGGCAGGGACTCCAGACATCCTCTCAGCTTGTGTTCCAGGAGACAAGAACACACTTGTCTTTGTCCTAAAAGGTGTGACTCTGTTGGAGGTCCATACCTGAAACCATTGCTCTAGCTAAGGGAATCCCAAGATTAGTTGGTCTGAGTCTCCTGCCGTCTCTGGAGCCCAGATTATTTCAATAGACTTTTTATTTTTTCATTACAATGACAGTCTCAACTTTTTGTTAGCCATCTTTCCTGAGGGCTACTGAACATCCTCATGCTTGCTGTTAAGTTGTATACTCATTTATACACTTATTCATAAATAGATTGAACACTTACTAGGCATTGTGCTAGGCAAAGGGGATTTAAATGGAATAAAACGTGGTCCTTATTTTAAAAGAACATAGCTTCTAGTGGGAGAGACATATAAGCAAACCAGTATTTAAATCCATTTGATTTATTATAGAACATCTATTGAATGCTTGCTACTACTATTCTAGTGCTGGGGATACACCAGTGAATAAAATAATGTACTTGTCCTGATATTGCTTACATTATAAGGGAACAAGAGAAAATAAATCAATAAAGATATAAATAATATAGGAAAACATGATAAGTATAATGGGACATATTGTAGCATAAAGAAAGTATGATGAGTAAAGAGAAGACTGATGATGCAAAAAGAGAAAGTGGATGATTTCAGGAGCAAAGTCCTTAAGTAGAAGAAAGGGGACAAGATCTGGTGCACAACTGGAGTTGGATAGGGACTGAAACAATTGTTCTTATCTTTTAGGAGGTAAGAATTAAAAAAAAAAACTATGAAAGCCTCTTCATAGCATCCATTTATTAAATATTTTTAAGAGCCTGTTATGTGCCAGGTACTGTTCTAGTTTCTGAGGATATGCCAGAGAACAAAACAAACAAGATTCCTGTTCTCATGGGGAAGACAATAAATAAGTTTAAATATATACATATATAATTTCTTTTTTTTTATTATACTTTAAGTTTTAGGGTACATGTGCACAACGTGCAGGTTGGTTACATATATATACATGTGCCATGTTGGTGTGCTGCACCCATTAACTCGTCATTTAACATTAGGTATATCTCCTAATGCTATCCCTCCCGCCTCCCCCCACCCCACAACAGGCCTCGGTGTGTGATGTTCCCCTTCCTGTGTTCATGTGTTCTCATTGTTCAATTCCACCTATGAGTGAGAACATGCGGTGTTTGGTTTTTTGTCCTTGCGATAGTTTGCTGAGAATGATGGTTTCCAGCTTCATCCATGTCCCTACAAAGACATGAACTCATCATTTTTTATGGCTGCATAGTATTCCATGGTGTATATGTGCCACATTTTCTTAATCCAGTCTATCACTGTTGGACATTTGGGTTGGTTCCAAGTCTTTGCTATTGTGAATAGTGCTGCAATAAACATACGTGTGCATGTGTCTTTATAGCAGCATGATTTATAATCCTTTGGGTATATACCCAGTAATGGGATGGCTGGGTCAAACGGTATTTCTAGTTCTAGATCCCTGATAATTGCCATGAAGAAAAACAAAACAGGGTAAGAAACTGATGAGGAAGAAAGACTTCTGTGAGATGTGATTTTGACTAGATGTTATTTAAAGCCATGACTCTAGATGAGATCACCTAGGGAGGAAAGCAAATAAAGAAGAGAAATCTGAGGACTCAGCTCTTGGGTATTTCACCTTTTCCATTTCAGTAAGAATAGAAAGACCCAGTGAATAAGACTGAGAAGGAGGTAGCTGGTGAGATAAGAAATAAAACAGGGAAATATATGTTGTGGAAGCCAACAATAACCCAAAAATAAGTGATTCAATAAAATGAAGTAATCAACTATGTCTCATGCTGCTGAGAGGATGAGTAAGATGAAAATTAAAAATTGTTTCTTGAATTTGGCAAGAAGGAGATCTTTACCAATGAAAAGATTGGTTTCAGTGGAATCAGGGTACAAGAGTTAGACTAGAGTGTGTTCCACAAATAATGGGAGATGAAAGGATAAAGAGAGTGATTATGGAAAACTAAGAGAATTACTGTCAGTTGGGGAACAAGGAAATTGGGAGAGGAAGTGGTCAGATGGAGTCAAGGAGAGAATGCCCCTGCAACAAATACTTAAACATGAGGAAGCAGCTTTGGAATTGGGCAACAGGTAGAGACTGGAAGAGTTTTGAGGTGCACATAAGGGCGATTCTGGTAAGGGCTCAGAAAGAAAATAGGAAAGCTGGAGATAAAGTTTTTGTTTTCTTAGAGAATACATAAATAATCATAAACTGTTGATAGAAATGTGGACATTAAAGGCCATTCTGGTGAGGTCTCAGGAGAAGTGAGGAACATGATATTGGAAACTAGAGGAAAGGTAATCCTTGTTATAGTGTGGCAAAAATTTCAATTAATTGTGTTTATGTGCTAGTGTTTTGTGGAAGGTAGAACATGTAAGCAATGAAATTGGATACTTAGCTGAGGAGATTTCTAAGCAAAGTGTGGAAAAAGTGGCTTGGTTCCTCCTGACTACTGATAGTAAACTATGAGAAGACAGAGATGAATTAAAGAAGGAATTGTTAAGCAATTCCAGAAGCAGAACTTGCAGACTGGAAAATTCTCAACTTATCCATATTGCAAAAAAAGAGAAACAAGTATGTGTTGCGTAAGCCATCCAGTCTGTGGTATTTTGTTATAGCAGCCTGAGCAGACTAAGACATATTGGTAGCTAGCAGCACTTGGAGAAGTGCAACTTGCAGCATGACATGCTGGCTTTTCTCGCTGTGGATTCGGTTCAGGGTTTTGCTCCAAATCAAAATGATCTGGGAACTGGTTCTTCAAAAGATTGAGTCTCTCACTTGGCCTTCTCCAGGTAATTAATTGTCAAGGTAGTTTATCCTCATTTCCAGAGGGGAGGAAGTTCTGTGAAAAAGGGGATATAGCCTGAGTGAAAGTCGACTTGGCCTGGAAATGACCACCATCTCCATCTGACTCAGAAAGGAGAATGTGGTGTATCTTGCATTCCTACCTTGAAGGGAAGTTTTTTTAAAGCATGGAGATGTGGAAATAGGCAAGTAATTCAAGGCCTTGGGGTAAGGCAGAGGTGCCAAGGCTACCCAGAGGTGGGAGTTTATAGGAGGCGGAAAGACATCCCGAGGACAAGTTTATACAAGAACTGTTCAGGGAAGGACATAAAAGGAAGTGAGGCAAGAAGCCTCAAGATTAACTTGGCATCTTGCAAGTCTTTTTGAAAAAATCCCCAACGGGGTTGTCAAAAAGCCTTCCTGTGTTTTCCTCAGATGCTTGTACTTGCCTCAAGCCTGCTTCCTTGCTGGATGTGCAACTTGAACCAGTCCTTAGATACTCAACCTTGGCAGTATTTAAAGCAAATCATTTCTTGCTTAGCACTTTTCCCTGGGTAGGAGGGAGGACTCTTATGAGCGGGTGTTGGCATGGTTAATGTAAAGCTATGTTCTTCCAGGTAATATTTTGAGGAGAAAAGCAGAATGATGTCATTCCTGCAGGCATGTCCCCCATCGCCAACACACACACACACACACACCCCTACATTGAGGTCCTGTTGAATAACTGACAGACTAAATGTTCAATTCTCTATTTCACTTTTCTATTGAGATATATAAGGCTTCAAAATAAAGTGATACTTTTCAGAGAAAGGTGTGGGTTAGTAAATCTACTGATTGATTGTTCTTTAATTACTTTTTAAGTTTCCCACTAGAGCAGCTATAGATCCTACCTCTCTTTAATACTTCTTTTATTAAAAAAGCATTAATAGATTCATGCTTCCAAAATCTGCAAGAGGTTGTGCTTTTGCTAAAAGATGAGTATTTTTTAGCCTTTATGAGTATCTGTAAAATCTTTAACAAAGATAGGTGTGTCTCAATGGCTAGACTCCAAAGATGAAGCTAGAAACAGTATGACTATAAATGTAGTTTTTGCCAGTGTGCCAACATTTTGTCAAATATAGGTTGTTATTATCATTTGGAGGTATTTACTATTAATATGCCTGGCCTGGCATACATACCTCAGTTTGATGAAGAGCAACAAAGTTTGTTAATGCTTTCTCTAACAAATGTTATCTAGATAGTCTTATAGTAGGAAAGGCATCTAAACTTAGTATAAGAAATAATGCCTATTAAAGCAAATTTAAACTAGGAATTTTTGGGTAATATTGTAGTGTCAAGAAGAATGATGTGCTTGCAGAGTTGCTTCTTTCCATCAAATTGACAGGTTCTACTTGAACTAATAAGATACTGTTGGATGTCATTGAGGTTAATACAAAGTAAACTCCAGAGAACTGATAAGGTTGTGTTACTTGTACAAGAATGCCTGTAATCCCAGTACTTTGGGAGGCCAAGGTGGGCAGATCACCTGAGGTCAGGAGTTCGAGACCAGCCTGGCTAACATGGTGAAACCCCGTT
The DNA here is from genome assembly GCF_000001405.40 of Homo sapiens. Classification (NCBI taxonomy): domain Eukaryota; kingdom Metazoa; phylum Chordata; class Mammalia; order Primates; family Hominidae; genus Homo; species Homo sapiens. The sequence continues at coordinate 22,825,615 of NC_000018.10, read as the reverse complement.
TCTACTAAAAATACAAAAAATTAGCCGGGCGTGGTGGCGCGTGCCTGTAATCCCAGCTACTCAGGAGGCTGAGGCAGGAGAATTGCTTGAACTCGGGAGGTGGAGGTTGCAGTGAGCCAAGATGGCACCATTGCACTCTGGCTTGGGCAACAAGAGTAAAACTCTGTCTCAAAAAAAAAAAAAAAAAAAAAAAAGAAATCTACTACTTGTAGACATGATTTTTGTGGAAAATATATCATCAGCAAAATAAAGACTATTCTTAGTAAGTGCTCTGATTTTCTTAATTCACGGTTCTCAAAATGTGGTCTCTGGACCAGAAGCATCAGCTTCACTTAGGAACTTGTTAGAAATGAGGATTATCAGGTCCCTGTTGAACAGAAACTCTAGGCCTGGGGCTCAACAATCTGTATTTTAACTAGTTCTTAACTAGCGTGATGCATGCTAAGTTTGGAAGCCACTGACTGGAACCCAAATCAGTACTGGGGCTAACAGTGCTTTTCAGTTTTGTAATTACCTAGAAGTCTTTATGTTGGGAGATCCTGACACATAGAATGTTATTTATTGGTCATATTTTCTATAGACAAAATGTTTTGTCTGGATAGGATAGGCAACTGATGATAATAATTTTCATTAATTAACTCATTCAACAAATATTATTTGAATGCTTACAATGTAGGCACTAGGCAAACAAAAGTGAACAAGAGAGAAAAGAGTTCATCTTTGTAAGCTACCATTCTGGTCTGAATGTATATTTTGATGTTAATTTAACACAGTGGCTCAAATTGTCTAGTATTAGATCATAGGGGAAAAAGTTTCTATAATAATACTCTGTGCTTATGGGTGAATTGCCCACTTTTTAGAGCAAATGAATTCTTTCTAGGTTTGACCTGATCATATGACAGTGTTGTATCACATTGAATTAACACAGCCAGTGAAAAGTAACAGTTCAATTAGTTGTTTCATTAATCCCAAATTACTGGATTTTACTCTACTAAATTGACAAAACCAACTAGTAACATTGGAATTATGTCAGTTTAGCATAAGGCTGTACTTATGTGGAAGATTATGTCTGGAGAAAAAACACTGGCGGATGAAAAGAACATTTGGAGCATAAATGATCCAGTTTGGCTATTGCTTGATTTCACTAGTTTTTTTTCATTGCTCCAATTTTTTTTGGTAATATACATAGCCTCCCTATTTGAGAAGAGATTAACCATGTTAACAATAAAAGATGATATAAAGAAAATTTAGGACCAATGTCTAGCTTTATAAAATTTATTTGGTTGCTAGAGAATAAGTGACAATTCTAGTTTTCATCCAATTTAGTGGTTTTATTGGAGGTGAATATGAAATAGAACATACCTTAAGTTCTCTCTACCTTTCTTGAATGTATTAGTATACATGGTAGGGGAATAACAATCCTAAAAAAGAAGCCACTTTATTAAAGCAAACTTTAATAAAGAATCTGAACATTTTTATTCATATGAAGGCACTAAATCTTTCCATTTCTGTCACCATGAATATTTTTTAAAGTAGTTATTAAGCACCAGTTGGCATATGAGGTTTTAATGAATACATTGTATGTTAACCAGTCGCTGTACCTTCTTCTAAAGAGGCTTCCTTTCCCATGAACTAGTCGAAGATGAATGATAGTCTTTTAAAGAAAAATATCGGCTTAATCTCTGGCTACGCCCAGGGAAATCAGAAACATTTGTCTCAGAATTTAGGCCACCCAGTTCAGTGCATGTCTTGTCTAAAAGTGGTTCAACTTCAAATGTTTCAGTCCTGTCTTATGCATCAATATTTATACTTCATTCATTTCTCAAAATTTGCTGATTAAAAGAGAATGGGGTTAAAGATTAGTGGTCTGGCTCTAGCCTTTCATCTTTGGTATCAGGATACTGGGTTTCTCCAGGTTTGATAGTTTGTGAATGTAGGTCAAACCATCAAAATGTATTAAGTTGAGCTGTATTAAATTGTCATTTTTGTAGGTAAAAAATGGCCAAGTATTGAGGCTATGCCATTTGATTAAGCCTAACATTTTCTGTCAAGAACTAACAAAAGCAAGGCATATACTCTTTCATCCTTTCCTTCATTCTCTAAGGAAGAGGCATTTTTAGTTTATATGTTAGTTTGCTTCTCTTTCTCTGTAAAGCTACATTCTCCTATTGATTCAATCATTCAAAAATCATTCTTTTTTAGAGGTTGGGGATGCAATCGTGAACAAGATACACACCATACCCACCTCTTGATACTTACAGTCTAGTTTCTAGAGAAGTAAAAAGGCAACTTTGTTATGGCAGAATGTGTTAAAGAAGTTCAAGGTCCTGTGAGAGTACTTAGGAGGGGGATACTTAACTTGAAACTGGGAATCCAAGAAAGTTTCCTAGAAGAAGGAACTTCTAAATTAAGAGTGGAAAGATGGTTAGGACTTAGCCAGGCCAATGGGAGGAGTGAGAGTGATTAAAGTAGATGGAATAACATGCAAAGCTGAAAGAGAACCTGATTATTTTTAGTGAACTGTAAGTAGTTTATCTTGACCGGAACATATATGTGAAACAGAAAATGAAATTGGAGAAGTATCAAGAGACTGTAACCGAGAAGGGTCATTTATGCCAGGTTAAGGTGTTTGGAGGCTATCTCATAGGCAATGGCCAGTTATTGAAAGATTTTAAGGGGTACTGGGTATGGCATGATCAGATTTGAATTTCAGTAGAACCACTTTAGAAAATTAGTTTGAGACTATTGCAGTAAAACTGGAAATAGAAGATAGTTACTTGAGATAGGCAATGGCAGTGGTGATAGAGAGTAGCTAAGATAATTTTATTAGGAGTTAAAATCATTAGGCCTGATGGTTAACTATGAGAAGAAAAACAAGGAGTTAAAGATAACCCCCAAGTATCTGACTTGAACAACCGGGTAGTTTCTTTTTAGAGAAGCAGAAAACTGAAGAGGAGGAGCAGGTTGGGAATAGAAGATTATGAGTTCAGTTTAGGACTTGACCAAAGTGTCCAATAAATAGATACACTGGGGAGACACTAGGTAATGGAGCTATAAATTAGAAGCTGTGTATAGATGTAATTTAAGCCAGAAGAGTAGATAGATTCAAACACTGAGAGTTTATAGAATGAGTCAAGATTCTAGCATAATCCTTATAGAACAGAAAATTTAAGGGAAAAGCAGAGGAAGAAAACTCCACAAAAGATGCTGAGAAGTAATTAGAGAGGTAGAAGGAAAACCAGAGGGTGTGTTGTAATGGAAGCCAAGGGAAGAGTGTTTAGCGGAAGGAGTGATTAGCCACAACAAATGCTGCCAAGGGTACAAGTGAGACTGAAGTTCATTGTATTTAACAATAAGGAAGTCATTGGTGACCCGCTGAGAGCAGTTTTTGCTGGAATAGGGGGGTCAGAAACAAATTGAAATGGTTTAGGAGTGAGTCAGAATTGAGCAAGTGGAGATCTTTAAGAAGTCGGGCTTTGAAGGAGAAAAAGGAATATGACAGTGAAAGACTAGAAAGAAACTTCTCTAGAAAAAAATATAATCAAAATGAAAAAACATTCTTGAGTGTTTTGTATATAGAAGGATTTAGTAAGAACATGACAGGTATAACAAGCTCTCAAATAGCAGAGTGAAATGAAAGAGAATTCACAGAGCTGAAAAAAAAACAGAAGACCAACACCATTATAGAACTAATTTATATGGTAATGAACAGATTAGACACGGCTTAAAACAGAATTACTGATGTGGAAGAAAGACTTAAGAGAATCAGTGCAAAAAATACATTAAAATAATTAGACAAGGGATAATATAGAAGTGAAAAGGCTGGTATGTCAGAAAGATATTTGGTATCACTAAAGTAGAAAACAGCACAGAAAATGTAATAAAACACATGATATAGAAATGTATTACATGCATATATATGCATATATATTACTTATATATATTCTGTATAGCCAAATTCAATTAAGGGAAGAAAATATAACCAAACGGTATAATAACCAGCCAAATTGTAATTCGTACATAACGGTAACAGAAAGTTATTCCTAAACATTCAATAACTCAGTGAATATGGCACATATGAAAGCTTATTGGAGAAAAAAGACGATTTGATAAAATACCGATAACCAAAGAATAAATTGGCTGGGCATGGTGGCTCATGCCTGTAATCCCAGCACTTTGGGAGGCCAAGGCAGGCGGGTTACCTGAGGTCAGGAGTTCAAGACCAGCCTGGCCAACATGGTGAAACCCCGTCTCTACAAAAATACAAAAATTAGCCTGGCATGATGGTGGGCGCCTGTAATCCCAGCTACTTGGGAGGCCAAAGTGGGAGAATCACTTGAACCCAGGAGGCGGAGGTTGCAGTGAGCCGAGATCACGCCATTGCACTCCAGCCTGGGTGACAGAGTGAGACTCCGTCTCAAAAAAAAAAAAAAAAAAAAAAAAAGAATAAATTAAAAATATAGAGCTATGGAATGGAAAAGACATTACAAAAGAATAGGTGGAGATTATTGGCTTCATTTAGATATTATCTAAGACTTAACAGTTGTAGGAATTATGGCTATAGAAGCAAATGTAAATGTTATAAAGCCTGAAATATAAAAATAAAAACTAACCAAAATGAGTATGTGGGAAGAAGTGAAAGCTTGCTAATTTTCTTAACTTGTTTAGGAAAGAGTCAATTGATAATGTCTATATTAAACATATCATTATTTAATAATTGAAACTTTTTGTTCTATAATTTTTTCTGAATCTTAGAGAGATATTTTAGAAAACAAAATATTCTATGGTGATAAAAATGTTTAGCTGAACCCAAACAATTATTTTAATGCATTTCAGTTTTTTTTCTTTTAAAGTCAATAATACTTATATTTAGTGCTTTTTATGACAATGTAGCATTCATGTGATTCTAGTTTATTAAACTTTAATTTATTTGCCTATATAGCTATCATTTATCTAGCTAATTCACATATCTAGGTATATTTATGTATATAGAGATACTTGAGATGATTGCCATCTTTTCAGAATAATGTTCACCTAATAAAAAAATGATTATTTTTTGGTGCTGGGAAAACTGGCTAGCCATATGTAGAAAGCTGAAACTGGATCCCTTCCTTACACCTTATACAAAAATCAATTCAAGATGGATTAAAGACTTAAACGTTAGACCTAAAACCATAAAAACCCTAGAAGAAAACCTAGGCATTACCATTCAGGACATAGGCATGGGCAAGGACTTCATGTCCAAAACACCAAAAGCAATGGCAACAAAAGACAAAATTGACAAATGGGATCTAATTAAACTAAAGAGCTTCTGCACAGCAAAAGAAACTGCCATCAGAGTGAACAGGCAACCTACAACATGGGAGAAAATTTTCGCAACCTACGCATCTGACAAAGGGCTAATATCCAGAATCTACAATGAACTCAAACAAATTTACAAGAAAAAAACAAACAACCCCATTAAAAAGTGGGCGAAGGACATGAACAGACACTTCTCAAAAGAAGACATTTATGCAGCCAAAAAACACATGAAAAAATGCTCATCATCACTGGCCATCAGAGAAATGCAAATCAAAACCACAACGAAATACCATCTCACACCAGTTAGAATGGCAATCATTAAAAAGTCAGGAAACAACAGGTGCTGGAGAGGATGTGGAGAAATAGGAACGCTTTTACACTGTTGGTGGGACTGTAAACTAGTTCAACCATTGTGGAAGTCAGTGTGGCGATTCCTCAGGGATCTAGAACTAGAAATACCATTTGACCCAGCCATCCCATTACTGGGTATATACCCAAAGGACTATAAATCATGCTGCTATAAAGACACATGCACACGTATGTTTATTGCGGCATTATTCACAATAGCAAAGACTTGGAACCAACCCAAATGTCCAACAATGATAGACTGGATTAAGAAAATGTGGCACATATACACCATGGAATACTATGCAGCCATAAAAAATGATGAGTTCATGTCCTTTGTAGGGACATGGATGAAATTGGAAATCATCATTCTCAGTAAACTATCACAAGAACAAAAAACCAAACACCGCATATTCTCACTCATAGGTGGGAATTGAACAATGAGATCACATGGACACAGGAAGGGGAATATCACACTGTGGGGACTGTTGTGGGGTGGGGGGAGGGGGGAGGGATAGCATTGGGAGATATACCTAATGCTAGATGACGAGTTAGTGGGTGCAGTGCACCAGCATGGCACATGTATACATATGTAACTAACCTGCACAATGTGCACATGTACCCTAAAACTTAAAGTATAATAAAAAAAAAGAAAACAAAAAAAAGAAAAAAAAAAAGAACTAAAACCAGAAAAAAAAAGTGTATTTTGTGGTTACCATTAAAAAAATAAATAAATAAATAAAATGAATCAGTTATTTTTAGCTATTAAAAAATGATTATTTTTAGAAGGCAAGATTTGGGAATAATTTTTTTTCTTTCTTTATACTTTTTGTATTATATAAATTTCTTTAATAGCTTCATTTTTAAAATTACCTTATGTTCATGTAAGAAATTATGTTTATAGAAAAGTACAAAAAAGAAAAAATCACCTGTAGGTCTAGCCCTCAGAAAGAGTTATTGTTTTGTTACATAGCCTTACAGACTTTTTTCTGAATATGTGTATACATGGTTACACATACACATATCTTTTAAACATTATTTTAAAACAAATTGAGATCTTATTTATTTTTAAATTTGCTCATTTAGCATATTGTGGACATCTTTTAATGTTAATAAATGTAGATCTGCACCATTATTTTAAATAGAATTTCATTAGATGGCATTCCCATAATTTGTTTTACCATTCTCTAAATGAGCGACATTTACAATGTTCAACATTTTTTACTATAAAAGTAATTATAGGTGAACAGCTGCTATCGTTTGTGTTTGCATTCTTATTTATTATGGTAAGTTCCTAAAAGTAGAATTTGTAGGTTTAAATATATGCTTTTTGGGTGGAGGGGGAGGCAAATTCTGTGTGTGTGTGTGTGTGTGTGTGTGTGTGACCAGGCATCAAGCAGTCTGCTGCAGATTTTTCCACTAAAGAGAAAAAGTGACAATCATCACCTGGGGCCTGAAGGTATGTCTTCAGATACCCAGCCATAAGTGTGGATTGTCTTTGTTTCATATTTTAAAAATTCATTTAGATTCTTGCATTGTACTTTAAAAAAAAAATGTCTTATGTCTCCAAATCTTTGAGTGAATTTGATGTTCTAGGAAAGTGTGTCAAGAATATCCTGTTGTTCATATAACTCCCATTATCCCTTATTCTATGCTTGAAAAATAAAAGGGATAAATCAACAAAAGCTAATTGTTAATTGAGGAATAACTGTCAACCAAGCATTATACTAGTTTACTGTGGGGAATTACAAAGAAGTTGAGAACACAGCCCCTGACTTTGAATAGCCTCCAATTTACTTATTTTCCTTTAACAAGCTCATCAAAGAATTATGCTTAACCTGATAACTGACTGGGCTATGATGAATTTGCTTGACAGGATGGAAAGTCCCTAGTAGCTTTCATTGCACACTTCCAGGACCTTGCTAATGTGTTTGTTTTGGACTTCAAGGCATTATTATTAGCATCTGTAGCATTCTAGAGTCTTGGGAAGGGGGGTCGGGTGCCCTGCTGGCAAGAAGTCAGTGTAATGAAGGTAGGAGTTTTTAGGCTTTTACATTTGGGACAAGTACAGTACAGGAAATGTAATAGATCCTAAATTAACCAGGACTGCCAAATCAGTAGACATTTGTTGTTGTTGCTTTTGTTGTTAGAGTCAGGATCTCACTTGTTGTCCAGGCTGGTCTCAAACTCCTGGTCTCAAGCAGTCCTCCTGCCTTGGCCTCCCCAAGTGCTGGGATCACAAGCTAGAGCCACATGTTACCACATGTCTGGCCAGACACTTTAATGTACATTATCTTAAACACTTAAAATTGTTACTAGGAAAATGTCCCTAGGAAAGGCTCTTATCAGAGATATTAAAGTCACATTCAGAGCCCATTTGGAGGATAACAACAAATAAGGTCCAATGTTGTTTAACTTCTGTGGCTCCATTCTATTTTCCTTACACTGACACTGATGCATAACACAGTCCCAAGAACAGAATAGGTAAATGTTGGCTGAATAAATAGATGAATGCTCCCAATAATGAATCAAAGGTATTAGATTGTATTATCACACTGTACTTACTGAAAGAACTAAAGTATGCTCTTTTGTTTTAAGAAGGCCTTTAACATCAAGGATTGATACAGAAAATGTTTGCTTGTGAACCTTGAGCAAAGCTAGAGAATGCTTTTTCTCATCTTCTGAGCCATGTCTCTCTATAGCTTACCTTTAGTCCCAAGTTTTTGCCATTATACTCCTAGGGTCTGGCTGTAGAGGGTCTCTTGCAGGGAGGATGCCTTATATCTGTTCTTTACTCTCCTGACCTCATACTGGGATCACTGACCTTTGTATAACTCTCTTGCTTAAGGTGCTGCTGTAGAAGCTCCAGACTTTGAACTTGGCATTCTTCCAGTGATGGCAGTGGCTGCTGCCATCACGTCGGCTGCAGCAGGGAGGAGCAGCTGGGGCTGCACACTCCATGGAGCGGGTGGGAGCCACGCCCTTTCTGAGTTGGGGTGGGAGCTCCCTCGGTGCCGCTGCCCCTGCCCGAATTGTGGCTGCAGACCCAGGCCTCCTGCTCTATGGAGCAGGCAGAAGACCTGCCCTCCTGGGTGGGGCTATAGCCACCCAAACTGCAGCTATGGATCGGAGCCTCCCAGTGATCTTGGGTGGGGGCCGGAAACAGGCAGGATCTGCCCTCCTGGGTGCAGCTGCAGCAGCCAGACCCGAGGCTGCAGACCTGGGCCTCCTGTTTCATGGAGCAGGAGCCGGGACAAGCAGGAGCCCAGCCCATTTCCGAGTTGATGGGGCTGGAGCTCCCGCTCTCCTAGGCGCAGGAGGACCCTGGCATCCCTGCAGCCTGTACCTTGGGGGCCCCAGGAAAAACCCTCCCTTCTCCTTTCCCAGTGTCTGCTGGGATATCTGAGTGGGGTTGGGGCCGAGCCCTGGGCCTTGAATGGCAGCGAGAGGCAGAGTCCTGGGTGGAAGGGGGCAGCCCGCATTAAGGCCCCACCTTCAGGCTGGGAAGGGCCTGAAGGCTTGGATCTGGGCTGCCAGTCCTGTGGATGGGAGTGGGGACTCGTGGTGCCTCTTCTGGACCACCCATGGCTGCCCATGGACCAATAGGCACACACTTCCTCCCCTCTGAGGTCCATAAAAGCCCTGGGCTCAGCCAGAGCAGGGCAGAGGATGGCCAGAGGAACAAAGAGGGGAGAGAAAGAGAGGATGGGACGACCAGCTGTAGAGAGGAGCTATTCTCTCTGCTGATAGCTGCAGATGATGGGATGACCAGTTGCAGAGAGGAGTTATCCTCTCTGCTGAGAGCTGCAGAGACGACTTGCTGGCAGAGAGGAGCCGTCATCTCCAGGGCCTCCTCTCTGGGGGAGAGCTGCAGAGCTGCAGACATCAGGATGACCAGTTGCAGAGAGGAGCTATCCTCTCCAGGGCCACCTCTCTGCTGAGAACTGAAAACTCCATAGATGACCTGCCTACAGAGAGGAGCTACCCACTGCAGGTCTCCTCTGAGCTGTTGTAACACTCAGTAAAGCTCATTTTTGTCTTGTTCACCCTTCACTTGTCTGCATACTTCATTCTTCCTGGATTCAGGACAAGAGCTTGGGCAAAGGTGCTGTGGCCACAGAGGTTTCTGGCCAGAAAATTGACACCCCAAAGATCCCATAACACCAGGACATGACTTCTGATGTTTCTTCTGATCCTTGCACATTTTCATTCCTCAGGAAGGAGGCACCTGTCCCCTTACTCTGACCTGAAGCCTTGTAAGATTATCAGCATGCAGCCGGGCGCAGTGGCTCATGCCTGTAATCCTAGCACTTTGGGAGGCCAAGGCGGGCAGATCACGAGGTCAAGAGATCGAGACCATCCTGGCCAACATGGTGAAATCCCGTCTCTACTAAAAATACAGATGGGCGTGGTGGCACGTGCCTGTAGTCCCAGCTACTCAGGAGGTTGAGGCAGGAAGATCACTTGAACCTGGGAAGCAGAGGTTGCAGTGAGCCGAGATTGCACCACTGCACTCCAGCCTGGCAACAGAGCGAGACTCTGTATCAAAAAAAAAAAAAAAAAAAAAAGATTATCAGCGTGACTGTTCCTCACTCAAGTTCCCACCAATGTGGGAGAACCAGACATCCTGATTCTGAATTATTTTTGCCCACGTTATTTCCCAGGACTGAGTTGAGTAGTTACAGGCAGATGTTTAGGCATTGGGTCACATGGATGTGGAATGTTATGCTACCTTTGACTTATTCTGTTTATTTATTTAAGTACATAGAATTGGATTAATTATAGTCCTTGCTTCATAAAATATTATTGTCATTGTTTCATGAATGGCCTTCTTATTTTATTTGCTTATTTATGCTTTTAGAATATAATGGATGCTACTCATTCGAGAACTAAAATATTACCAATAATTTATATCTACCTATATATATATTTTTTTCTATTTTTTTTTAACTTCTCCTTTCACTGATGACAGTCCTTTGCAGCTATGGGGTGGATATCTTTACTTAAATATAATCCAGTTTACATAAAAAAACCTTCAGGCATCAAACTTCCAGGTGCAGCCATTCATAAAGACAGTTTCATGACTTATATAATGGAGAACTAAAGACCTGGTGTGGGATTTCCACTAGACAGAGGTGTCATTGAGAATCGGAACAGTTGCTGGGTGTGATGGCTCATGCCTATAATCCCAGCACTTTGGGAGGCTGAGGTGAGAGGATTACTTGAGCCCAGGAGCTGGAGACCAGCCTGGGCAACATGGTGAGACCTCCATCTCTATAAAAAAAACAACAAAAAGAATTGGAACAGTTATTATTTTGACCTTACTTGGTAGGGGCACATTGGTGTGGCATTGCAAGAATGCTGCCTAATGCATCGGCACTCATAAAAGACAAAGACAGTAAAAGCTGGCTTGTGTGTTTACTTTTATAAATCGGAGTTATTTAAGGGTCAGAAATGCTTTGAACGTTTACAAATTAGAACTATATTTCTCCTGTAATACAATGCAGAGGAAGTATGATTCATATAAATCTTCCTTTATGTTTCATATTGGCCCTGGATTACCTGCTGGTTAATTCGCTTTTAGTCTGAACAATAAATTCAAATAAAGACTTTCTTTTTCTTGAAATTATGTTTCTGACCATGTAAGACAAATTAGTAAAGGAGCCCTTTAGTTTAGTGATTTAGTGGTTTGTTGATCTAGACCAGCTGAGGAATTTTTTTCCCCTACACCTGGCTGTAGTCTTAGGTTCTTGCCTGAGCTTGCCTGGGTCTGGAAAGAAAATTCTGCCTTGCTCTACAAAGCATTTCTCCATATTGTTGCTCCTCCAGGAAAGGCAACTTTCTAGTTTAGGAGATTTCACTCAGGCTAGAGCTTTTCTTGAACGTAACAATTACCTGACAATGTCTGCAGAATTAGAGCTGAATTCTGTCCTTGGCAAAGCAGGTAATTATAAATAATTTGGGAAGGAAAAGACCATGATCGTTATTAATAGCATTTTCTCTTTATATCTTCAAGAAGTGCAGTTATTAATAATTGAGATTTCCTCCTTTGATTGACGTCTGTAAAAACATCTATTCAGTGAGGTTTAGTCTTTAACGTCGCTGCAAAGAGTGTCCCTGCTCAGCTCAGTCAATTAGCACCACCTAGTGTATCACATGTGCAGAAACTCAAGACCAACTCCAGTACAAAACATCCAAAAAAGTTCTTTGGACCTTTGGGGAAGTTATAAATATGGTCATCTAGGACATATTCCTTTGCGAATCATAATTGCAACATCAATATTTTTTATAAAGATGAAAACAATGAAAATAAGAGCATATGTCAAAGAAAAGAATAAATGAGCACCAAAATTATGTGAGAGGATATGTGTGGGGAGCCTGAGAATGGGTATCAGCACTTGTTGGATGCCTACTGTGTACCAGGCTGCATGCTTTGCTTAAATTTTTTTGAAAGGGAGGGAGTAGAGAGTTGGGTTTTTAAATTTTAATTTCACCAACATTTTCTTTTGGTGCAGATGAATGATAAAATGGGCTGATATTTCGTGACTCCAGGTTTTTTTTTCAGAACCTGCTAAGTCACTGTTGAAGGTAATTCTACTTCTACATACATCTCTTGCACAGCTAGTGAACAGAGGCACTGACAGCCCTTTGTTCCAGACAACCTTTCCAAGGATGTTTTATAGTGAAAAGTCTTGGAAAAAAGAGATAGTGTCTTCCTCCAGAGTAGAGCTTTGCTTTTGTTCAGTATGTCTCTCTCTGGAGCAAAGGTTAAGCAGGTTTGCTTGCAGCCCATTATAAGATTTGGGTTTCCTAAGCTTGAGATTACTCAACTGTGATAGAAACCCATAGTGTATACAGCACCAACCTGGGAATCTCTACTTTGCCCCTGTGTGACCTGATGGGCAAGGGAAACTGATGCAAGCATGAAGTTCATGCTGCTTCCTGTGGCTTAGGTAATAAAATCCTTTTCCCTGATCCAGGAATCTTGCATCTTCTAACAGCATCCATAAAACAAGTTAGCTTGCCAGTAGGGTAAAGCCTCAGACACTTGCATTTCTTGACAGTTACCATCCCAATTGCCAGACACCTGGTTCCCACAGTCATGTAGCACCCGCCCTTCCCTATCTTGCAGAAGGAGGGCATCCCGGTTGACCATGCCATTGTTCTGACCACAGTCCTGTTCCGTTAAACAAAACCAGATACTAAATAATCCAAATATTAAAAAACTGAACCAGCAGATGATTAGGCACATAATACATAACATTTACATTATGCATCAACTAACAAGCAAAATAACCAGCTAACATCATAATGACAGGATCAAATTCACACATAACAATATTAACCTTAAATGTAAATGGGCTAAATCCTCCAATTAAAAGACATAGACTGGCAAATTGGATAAAGAGTCAAGAACCATCAGTGTGCTGTATTCAGGAAACCCATCTCACGTGCAGAGACACACATAGGCTCAAAATAAAGGGATGCAGGAATATATACCAAGCAAACAAAAAGGCAGGGGTTGCTATCCTAGTCTCTGATAAAACAGACTTTAAACCAACAAAGATCAAAAGAGACAAAGAAGACCATTACATAATGGTAAAGATATCAATTCAACAAGAAGCGCTAACTATCCTAAATATATATGCATCCAATACAGGAACACCCAGATTCATAAAGCAAGTTCTTAGAGACTTACAAATAGACATAGACTCCCATGCAATAATAATGGGAGACTTTAACACCCCACTGTCAACATTAGACAGATCAATGAGACAAAAAGTTAACAAGGATATCCAGGAATTGAATTCAGCTCTGCACCAAGAAGATCTAATAGACATCTACACAATTCTCCACCCCAAATCAACAGAATATACATTCTTCTCAGCACCACACCGCACCTATTCCAAAATTGACCACATAGTTGGAAGTAAAGCACTCCTCAGCAAAAGTAAAAGAGCAGAAATTATAACAAACTGTATCTCAGACCACAGTGCAATCAAACTAGAACTCAGGATTAAGAAACTCACTCAAAACCACTCAACTACATGGAAACTGAACAACCTGCTCCTGAATGACTACTGGGTACATAACAAAATGAAGGCAGAAATAAAGATGTTCTTTGAAACCAATGAGAACAAAGACACAACATACCAGAATCTCTGGGACACATTTAAAGCAGTGTGTAGAGGGAAATTTATAGCACTAAATGCCCACAAGAGAAAGCAGAAAAGATCTAAAATTGACACCCTAACATCACAATTAAAAGAACTAGAGAAGCAAGAGCAAACACATTCAAAAGCTAGCAGAAGGCAAGAAATAACTAAGATCAGAGCAGAACTGAAGGAGATAGAGACACAAAAAGCCCTTCAAAAAATCAATGAATCCAGGAGCTGGTTTTTTGAAAAGATCAACAAAATTGATAGACTGCTAGCAAGACTAATAAGAAAAGACAGAAGAATCAAATAGACACAATAAAAAATGATAAAGGGGATATCACCACCGATCCCACAGAAATACAAACTACCATCAAAGAATACTATAAACACCTCTACGCAAATAAACTAGAAAATCTAGAAGAAATCGATAAATTCCTCGACACATACACCCTCCCAAGACTAAATCAGGAAGAAGTTGAATCTCTGAATAGACCAATAACAGGCTCTGAAATTGAGGCAATAATTAATAGCTTACCAACCAAAAAAGTCCAGGACCAGACAGATTCATAGATGAATTCTACCAGAGGTACAAGGAGGAGCTGGTACCATTCCTTCTGAAACTATTCCAATCAATAGAAAAAGAGGGAATCCTCCCTAACTCATTTTATGAGGCCAGCATCATCCTGATACCAAAGCCTGGCAGAGACACAACAAAAAAAGAGAATTTTAGACCAATATCCCTGATGAACATCGATGCAAAAATCCTCAATAAAATACTGGCAAACTGAACCCAGCAGCACATCAAAAAGCTTATCCACCATGATCAAGTGGGCTTCAACCCTGGGATGCAAGGCTGGTTTAACATACGCAAATCAATAAATGTAATCCAGCATATAAACAGAACCAACAACAAAAACCACTTGATTATCTCAATAGATGCAGAAGAGGCCTTTGACAAAATTCAACAGCCCTTCATGCTAAAAACTCTCAAAAAATTAGGTATTGATGGGACATATCTCAAAATAAGAGCTATTTATGACAAACCTACTGCCAATATCATACTGAATGGGCAAAAACTGGAAGCATTCCCTTTGAAAACTGGCACAAGACAGGGATGCCCTCTCTCACCACTCCTATTCAACATAGTGTTGGAAGTTCTGGCCAGGGCAATCAGGCGCAGGAGAAAGAAATAAAGGGTATTCAATTAGGAAAAGAGGAAGTCAGATTGTCTCTGTTTGCAGATGACATGATTGTATATTTAGAAAACCCCATTGTCTCAGCCCAAAATCTCCTTAAGCTGATAACTTCAGCAAAGTCTCAGGATACAAAATCAATGTGCAAAAATCACAAGCATTCTTACACACCAATAATAGATAAACAGAGAGCCAAATCATGAGTGAAGTCCCATTCACAATTGCTTCAAAGAGAATAAAATACCTAGGAATCCAACTTACAAGGGATGTGAAGGACCTCTTCAAGGAGAACTACAAACCACTGCTCAACAAAATAAAAGAGGATACAAACAAATGGAAGAACATTCCATGCTCATGGATAGGAAGAATCAATATCGTGAAAATGGCCATACTGCCCAAGGTAATTTATAGATTCAATGCCATCCCCATCAAGCTACCAATGACTTTCTTCACAGAATTGGAAAAAACTACTTTAAAGTTCATATGGAACCAAAAAGGAGCCCACATTGCCAAGTCAATCTTAAGCCAAAAGAACAAAGCTGGAGGCATCACGCCACCTGACTTCAAACTATACTACAAGGCTACAGTAACCAAAACAGCATGGTACTGGTACCAAAACAGAGATATAGACCAATGGAACAGAACAGAGCCCTCAGAAATAATACCACACATCTACAACTATCTGATCTTTGACAAACCTGACAAAAACAAGAAATAGGGAAAGGATTCCCTATTTAATAAATCGTGTTGGGAAAACTGGCTAGCCATATGTAGAAAGCTGAAACTGGATCCCTTCCTTACACCTTATACAAAAATTAATTCAAGATTGATTAAAGACTTAAATGTTAGACCTAAAACCATAAAAACCCTAGAAGAAAACCTAGGCAATACCATTCAGGACATAGGCATGGGCAAGGACTTCATGTCTAAAACACCAAAAACAATGGAAACAAAAGCCAAAATTGACAAATGGGATCTAATTAAACTCAAGAGCTTCTGCACAGCAAAAGAAACTACCATCAGAGTGAACAGACAACCTACAGAATGGGAGAAAATTTTTGCAATCTACTCATCTGACAAAGGGCTAATATCCAGAATCTACAAAGAACTCAAACAAATTTACAAGAAAAAAACAAACAACCCCATCAAAAAGTGGGTGAAGGCTATGAACAGACACTTCTCAAAAGAAGACATTTATGCAGCCAACAGACACATGAAAAAATGCTCATCATCACTGGCCATCAGAGAAATGCAAATCAAAACCACAGTGAAATACCATCTCACACCAGTTAGAATGGCAATCATTAAAAAGTCAGGAAACAACAGGTGCTGGAGAGGATGTGGAGAAATAGGAACACTTTTACACTGTTGGTGGGAGTGTAAACTAGTTCAACGATTGTGGAAGACAGTGTGGCGATTCCTCAGGGATCTAGAACTAGAAATACCGTTTGACCCAGCCATCCCATTACTGGGTATATACCCAAAGGAATATAAATCATGCTGCTATAAAGACACATGCACACGTATGTTTATTGCAGCACTACTAACAGTAGCAAACCTAACTACAGTAGATGAACCTAAATGTCCATCAATGATAGACTGGATTAAGAAAATGTGGCACATATATACCATGGAATACTATGCAGCCATAAAAAATGATGAGTTCATGTCCTTTGTAGGGACATGGATGAAGCTGGAAACCATCATTCTCAGCAAACTATCGCAAGGACAAAAAACCAAACACTGCATGTTCTCACTCATAGGTGGGAATTGAACAATGAGAACACTTGGACACAGGAAGGGGAACATTACACACCGGGGCCTGTTGTGAGGTGGGGGCCTGGGGGAGGGATAGCATTAGGAGATATACCTAATGTAAATGACGAGTTAATGGGTGTAGCACACCAACATGGCACATGTATACATATGTAAGAAACCTGCACGTTGTGCACATGTACCTTAGAACTTAAAGTATAATAAAAAAATAAAAAAAGAAAGAAAAATATAGATCCATAAGTAGCAACATGGAAAGTTATCCAAGATATATTGTTAGATGAAAAAGCTATTCACAAAAAAAATTATATTATGCTTCACAGTGTACATGTGTAAATTACATAATAAATGTACAGTGTACATGTGTAAATTTCAGGGACTGATTCTTTTTATAGGTTTAAGTTAGTTTTAATTAACTTTTTATGGCATGATTAATTTCCAGGACTTACTAGAAGTGTTTATTACATTTAGCAAAGACAAAAAAAAAAAAAAAAAGGCCGAGGAGATTAAAGGAACTTTTACTGAGCCAGGTTCTTCCAAAGATGTCATAGTTTTTCTTATTCTTGGAAACCTGAAAATTGCTGTCAAACTTTGGAATTACAGTGTAGGAGTGGGTTAGTGTGTATCTGTGTGTGTGTGTGTGTGTGTGTGTGTGTGTGTGTGTGAAAATGCAAATTATCCAGACACATCCCCAGAGATTCTAATTTGTCAAATGTGGGCTTGATCTAGAATTCTACATTTGCTACATGAATCTAGGTAATTCTGACTCTGGTGTCTTGAGAATCACATTCTGAGAAACATATCTTGTGACAGAAAAGACTTCTCAAATGAATCACTTAAGGCATGCAAGTGATTTGTGCAACTGTGGCACTCTAAGAATGAGTTATTTTTTATTAGGTTGCTGGTGATCTTTATTGTAAGAATAAGTGAGTGCCACCCAAGTGTAAGGCTGTTTGAGATTTCCCAAGGCACAGAATAGTAAATGGTGGCAGAATCAGCTATACCTTCTTTTTATTCATTCAAGAAATATAATGTATGGAGTCTGGCTATGTGTGGCAATACGCTTGTTGCTTAAAATGGCTTCATTTTCATACCCTTTGCTTTCCCCCCTGTGTTGTTTCCAATTCTTGTAAGTGGATTTTTATGAAGAGGGTTTGAAATCCTAGAGGATATGGATTTAGCCTTTCTTTATCCTTCTCTAAAACATTTCACTGGGTCCTCACAAAATCCATAAAGTAGGTTAAAAAAAAAAACCAACCTCATGGCATCTTCATTTTACAGATGTGAAAACTGTTGGGCAGAGGCTAAAAGACTTACCAAAAGTCACACAGGTAGGAAGAGATTGAACTGGGGCTTCAGTTTGATTTTCTGGCTCCCACCCTCCATTCTTTCCTATATGCAGTATTGCCTCTTGTATGATTTTCCACAGGGACCCCAGAAATAGTGAACGCCTCAATTGTATTTTGGATGTAATTTGATTTTGATGAAATATGATTTACATGTACATTTTCAGGCCAAAAATTTCCTATCGTCTAAGCACAGTATACCTGTGCAGCAAAGAGAAACACTGACATCCTTATGATGTTATAAAAAATGCTCCAAAGGAAAAGACAGATTTCTGTTTTCAAAATGAAGTGATGTCTGCAATAAACAGAGTCAAGCCTAATTACATAACATCATACTCTGTCCCCCAAGACCTGCATACTGAATTATCTTACCAGTCTCCAAAAATGCCCCATGAGAGTGGGGAGTGGAAATAGGCAGTGCAGAACAGGCTCAGTAATGTGGACACAGTGCTATGTTAATTCTGAAGGGGACTTGGGAACCACACATTTGGTTTCTTGTTCCCAAGTACCATGCCAAGCATTGCTCTGGGTTTCCTGCCTTTCCCAGACACTTCTCTAGATTTTGTATTTTCCAGGGCACCCAGACCCTGTCTGGCTTTCAATAAATGTTCAGTAACAACAATAACACAGAAGTGACTGTTTATTCAGATGGAAATTAACATGGATGAGATAACATTCTTGATTTCTGTTTCCCACCCCTAAGATTGTAGGTTTTAGCAACAAGAGAGAGAATAGATTCAATACACATTTCTATTGCTGATAGAGATTAGCATTACTTACCTTGGGGCAGGTTCTTTACTGTTTTCAAAATGCTCTCACATGTATTAACATCCTTAATTAACCAAACACCTATAGAGTGAGCAGGAGCGATATTATTTCATTTTATAAGTGGGCCTCAAAAAGAGTAATTGATTTGCTTAATGTTGCAGTAATTGAGCTTGTCCAAATTTGAACCCGGGTCTTGACTATTTTTTTTGTTGTAGTTGTTCACTCAACCACATAGTCTGGAGATTCTCCTCTAGCCAGAAAGTGGGCATCACTTTAGAACCCTGTACTTGGCAATACCATGCAGTGGCCAGAATGCCCTGGGTTTGATTTGAAGGTCTGCCTATTACTTGTCTGAGTATTATCTTGGTCAAGTCATTTAAACTATTCAAGTCTCAATTTCTGCATCTTTTATTACTTGGGACAAAGACTCAAGTTGAACTAGCTTGGCCCCTGGGATGGATTCACGGTTGATGTAACTAGAAGGGCAGGGGCATAGTAGAACACATGGGAACCAAGGTTTTACTGCAACTGGGCTTCCTCTCTGCTTCTCATGGACCTCAGTTTGATTCCCTCCCACTGCACTTCTGCCTGTCTGTGTTGTATATTAGTAGTTTGGTGCAGACATGTGAACAGTTTTGCTATGAGAGGAAGGAGACCTTCACACCAGTTATAGTTTACAAAAATCTACTCAAGATTCTCATTCTTTTGATCAGGTCACCTTGAGACTGTGGCCAGAAGTGTAAGGTACTATAATGGTCAGCTTGGGTCACTGGCCTTGGGAGGCATAGGACATGACACTGGCTCCACCCAAACCACTTACCTACGGTCTGGGAGAAGTGGTTTTTTAATGGTTTTCATTTTTTAAAGATGGAGGCTGTTACTAAATCAAGAAGGAAAGGGTTCTGGGCATATGGCATCAATAGATATGCAGTATGGGCTTTTAATCTGTAAAATAGGAATAATTCTAGATGTTTTTGGTGAAGACTGTTGATACACTGAAAACTACCAGATCTCTGTATTCAGTCTTGATACCTTACTGACGTTCTAGATCTCTATATCCAATTGCCTGTTGGACAGTTAGTATAATGGTTAGTTTTATGTGTCAACTTGATGGGATACCCAGATAGTTGTGAAAACACTATTTCTGGGTGTATCTCTGTGTGTGTTTCCAGAAGAGATTAATATCTGAATCAGTAGACTGAATAAAGATCCACCCTCACCAGTGTGGGTGGGCATCATCCAATCCACTGAGGATAGATCAAGAAGGTGGAAGAAGGGCAAATTCACTTTCTTTTGAGCAGGGACATCTATCTTCTCCTGCCCTCGGACATTAGAATTCCTGGTTATCAGGCCTTTGGGACTTAGGCCAGTAGTTCTCCCCTCAACGCTTCCAGGTTTTTAGGTCTTCAGACTCATACTGAATTACACAACCAGCTTTCCTGGTTCTCTCACTTGCAGATGGCATATCACGGGACTTTTCAGCCTTCATAATTGCATGAACCAATTCCCAAAATAAATCTCCTCTTATATATGTCTATATATCCTATAGGTTCTGTTTCTCTGGAAAACTCTAATATAGTTAAGATATTTCACCAGCATCTTAAATTCAAAGGACAAAAATCAAACCATTGTCTTCTTCCTTACACATGCTCCTTCTCCTTCTTATCTCAGTTAATGGCACCTCCTTTACCTGGCCGCCCAAACCAAAAACATGGCAGTCACTTTCACCTTCTCCCTCCCCATTCTCAGCTCAGTCTCTTCAGATAGTTACTAGAGCCATTGATTCTACCTTTGCTGTCTTTTGGACATTTCTAATTCCCTCTTTTCCTACTGTCACCACCTTTGTTCTGGCCTTTTTCTCTCCTAGATTACTGCTGCAATTCTGCACTGCTATTAGAGGAATTTTCCTACAGTGCAAATTTTTTTCCTAATTAAAACTGTTCAGTGACTTCCTTCTTTCCATCTATCAATGCAAAGAAAGAAACTGAGGAACAATTCATATAGAGAGTTTGTTTGGGCCAAGGTTGAAGACAGCTGCCTGTGAGGCTAAGATTGAGGACAGCTGCCTGTGACACACTTCCAAGTTGCCTTGGGGAGTGCTCCACTTGGTCTTTGTTACAAGCAGGTTTTTTAGGCAAAAAGAGACAAGGAGTGGGCTGATACAAAGTTGTTCGGCAGGAATTCTCATTGGTTTACAGAAATAACATTGGTTAGTGATTGGCTATACATTGTTGAACTATAGGGTGTGAGTTATGGTGTCCAGGTATGGCATTTTATGGTGACTTAGTGTCAGTGTCTAGAACCCACATAGCAAGGGGCTTTAAGAGGCAATTATTTAGCTCAAGTGGGGAGTGGGTGACTGTTTCACATGCTGCCACATTTCAATGCCTCTAGGCCTGATAATTAGAGGGGGTTCACATTCCTCAGATAAAAAGTTTATTTTTCTCCTTCCCTCTCTCCTTTCCTTTCTTTATTTATAAAACATAAATGTCAAAAATCCTTCGTGTGACACTAGGTCTTCTTGATTTTTTGCCTTCTTGGCTTTACCTCTTGAGCCTTATCTTTTTCCACTCTTCTCTGGAACTCTATGTTCTGATTGTATTGAATAATAAAGTTAGAATTCCCCCCAAATAGCATACTCTCTCTTATCTCTAGACTTTAAAATGTGCCTAGCAGGTAGTAGGTTACCCTTGAATATATGTTAAATTAATTAACAAATTAATTAATAATATTGTGGTAGCTCACGCCTGTAATCCTAGCACTTTGGGAGGCCAAGGTGAGCAGATCACCTGAGGTCACGAGTTTGAGACCAGCCTGACCAACATGGTGAAACCCTGTCTCTACTAAAATACAAAAATTAGCCAGGTGTGGTGGTGTGCCCCTGTAATCCCAGCTACTTGGGAGGCTGAGGCAGGAGAATCACTTGAACCCCAGAGGAGGCAGAGGTTGCAGTGAGCGGAGATGGTGCCACTGCACTCCAGCCTAGGTGACAGAGCGAGACTCTGTTTCAAAATAAATAAATAAATAAAAATAAATAGTGTCTCCAGTGTCTGGCCTGTGGCAGGTGTTCTCTATAAACAAGTTATTATTACTTCCCATTTTGTTTGTAAGCTGCTAAGCCTGTTGTTGCATTGATCTTGTTCCAATCAAAGGCCAGAATCTTCTTGTGCTAAAATACTTATTCTCAAAGATAGAGGTCATTCTGGGTAGGCAGTGGGTTGTTGAGATTGATGTGATTATTCCTGGAAAAAAGACATCTGAGTTGTACCCCATGGAGGCCCTTTAAGTCTATGCTCAGGGCCAGTATGACCACTAACCATAGGTAACTAAAACTGACCGTCACACTAATTCCAACAGGCAATTGGATATAGAGATCTGGAACTTCAGTAAGGTATCAAGACTGAAGACAGAGATCTGGTAGTTTTCAATGTATCAATAATCTGATAAAGGGCCTCCATGGGGTACTTCAATGCTGGTCTGAAGAGCGCTACTGTTGTAATATCTTTTCTTCCTCCAGAAGCCATGCATATGTCACCTAGGAGGGGAAAGAGCTTCTCTAGCCCTCTTTCCTTAGTGTGGGGACCAGGGGTGTCTAATCTTTTGGCTTCCCTGGTCCACATGGGAAGAAGAAGAATTGTCTTGGGCCACACATAAAATACACTAATGATAGTGATAGCTAAAAAAAAAAAAAAAAAAAAAAAATTGCAAAAAAACTCTTAGTGTGTTGAGAAAGTTCACAAATTTGTGTTGGGCCACATTCAAAGCCATCCTGGGCCTCATGTGGTTCACTGGCCATGGGTTGGACAAGCGTGGCATAGACAGATGAATTTATTAGGCAAGATAACTGTAACCTTGGTAGGCAGAGAATATCTAGTTCTACGGTTAAGGGAAGGGGATGTAGATTTTTGATGGAGAAAACAAGTCAGATATATGTTAGCGTGGCCTTATTAGCAGAGGGCAAGGAAGAATGATCAAGGAAGGATGGGCTAAGGGAGGCCAGGTGGGATGTGAGGGGTTATGTCAGAGAACCCAGACTAGGGAGGTCCAGAGGCTCAACACTTAGAGGAGGGCTTCAGGAACATGGTGAGATGGCAAGAGCTAATCTAGCAGAGAGTAGGAACATCATGATGGCCAAAAAAGAGCACTGGATTAGGACACTTGCATTCTGGGCTGGGATCTACCACATACCTACCTTTGGCTAAGCCACATGTTTCTCTGAGCTTTGTCTGGGGGCACACTGAGGAAATTACTTTATTAGATTAGTTTTACTAGAGTGTAACATGATTTGTAAAGCTATAATATACAAGTGTGTAGTTTACATAAATTATAATTATAGAGCCGTTCTAGAATTCATTCCTGTGGGACTTTATCTTACAACTTTTCCATTAGGAAACACAAATATATTAAGCTATAAGATAAATATATTTTGTCACTTATTTTATTTTAATTTTTTTTGATACAAGGTCTCGTTCTGTCACCCAGGCTGGAGTGCAAGATCATGACTCACTGTAGCCTTGACCTCCTGGGCTCAAGTGATCCTCCCACCTCAGCCTCCCAAGTAGCTGGGACTACAGGCATGCACCACCAAACCTGGCTAATTTCTGTATTTTTTGTAGAGATGGGGTCTTCCTCTGTTGCCCAGGCTGCTCTCAAACTCCTATCCTCAAGCAATTCTCCTGCCTCAGCTTCCCAAAGTGTTGGGATTAAGGCATGAGCCGTTGCACCCAGCCTATTTTGTCATTTAAGAAGTCATTCAAAAGTTGATTGTGAAGAAATTCGATTTTTTTTTTTTAAGAGATAGGGCCATACTGTTGCCCAGGCATGAGTGCAGTGGCACTATCATAGCTCACTGTAACCTTGAACTCCTAGGCTCAAGCAGTCCTCCTGCCTCAGCCTCCTGAGTAGCTGGGATTACAGGCATGCACCAGCATGCCAGGCTAATTTTTAAATATTTTGTAGAGACAGGGTCTTGCTGTGTTGCCCAGGCTGTCTTGAACTCCTGGGCTCAAGTGATCCTCCCACATTAGCCTCCCAAAGCACTGGGATTACAGGCAAACACCATTGTGCCTGGCCAAAATTAGATTATTTTATCATGTTTAATTTCCATTCTTCATAAAGAAATGGAGAGTAAGGTTTACATGGTTATTATGTTTTAAAAGATTTTCTAAAAGAATTTTGCATATTAGAAATTCTGTTTTTATGACCTAAGTATAATTATTTTTGGGCCTAAGCCTGAACTACTTTCAAAAGGCAATTTTAAGAAACTCTTAAAAAGATAATACTAAAATTTAAGGCTCATTGCTTGTTATTTCCTACCAGATCAGATTTCTTTAAACAGGAGAGGAGGGTGAGAATAATGAAATGAGCTCATTTTTTTTCTTAGAAAGAAAAAGTCACAAGGACCTATTCCTGTAAGATGGAGAACTCCATTTTTACATCTAAATCTATTTTGTGTTTCTGATTGGCAAAGGACTACGATAAATCCTCACAAGATTTGATAAATCCCCACAAGATCCTATTACAGCAAGTTCTTGGACAAATGCTTATCTCTAATTAATAGTATTTTCATCCATACTGACTATGTGATTGTATGACATAGCTTTGCAAATGGTGTGATACCCTGGTAAAATTAAACTGATTCAATATAATGATTTCCCTAATGAATTTGAGGATAGTCCCAAAGATAGAATCCAGAGAGTCAGCTGATGTTATTTAGGAAAATGGTTTTTATGGTCCATCCAGGAACATGTCATCAGATTTCTGGTACGGATTTGTTTCTTGGAGATGGAAACCAATCCCTTTCTATGATTAACCTTTGGCCGTAAAAGTTCTTGCAATTCTGTGTCTGTTTATGGACAAGAGGAAATGGCGAGGTGTCATAGTCTCTGCAGTCAATCCAATCACCTTTGCTCCTCTAGGACCAAAACAGACACAGCTAAGTTTACATTTTATACTGGTTCATTTTTCCTTCTTAAGTTTCTCTTTTATTGCGCAACTGGAAGAAATGGGTCATTTTATGTTCTCTGGAACCAAAGATAAATTCCCACTTGTTCCCATGACTCCCAGCAGATATCACAAGACCTCTGTCTACTAGACCCTGCCGAGACCGTGGCAACCCTGTGGCTGCCCGTCCAAGCATGCCCAGTGTTTGCTGCCACCACCGCCACAGCATCTATGGTCTTGGGTGCTGGCGGGAGAACATTTTGCATCAGAAACCATGGCTGAAGGTGATCTCGCTAAAAAAATCCTGTCCTGTATGTTACCTTTCACTGTTTCCCACAACTGATTTAGAGCCCAAGGAAAAGGATGCTAAGAGCTTGGGTTCTTTCTCACTGCAAATCTGTGAGCTGGTACTCTTAACCAGCTTTAACTCTTAACCAGTGAGTTAACTCTGTGAGCTTTAACTCTTTACCAGTCACTGCTTCCCCGTACAACCAGCCTGCTTAACCTAGAAGTAAGGGAAAAATCACTCCTTTGCTATTACCCTGCTTTTACCTGACCCCAGACCCCCAAGTCCTAGATATTAAAGTGGGATTTAAAGTCTTTTTTTATTGTTAAATTTGTAGCCAAGGCATGTAGAGGTGTTTGTTCCCTAGTGGGTGGCAGGTTGCAGTCTAATTTTATTTTCATTTTCAAGATTTGGTTTCAGGGCTTAATGTGGGAAATTAGGTGATCATGAATAGAAAGTAATTGTGCAACCATCTATGTCTGATTTATTAAAAAACAAAACTCTGAAAAGGAAAATCACAGCAGTGCCTCATAGTTGTACTTCTATGTTAATATCTGTTTGTCAAAAAGCTTTTCCCCTTTGCACATAATAGGTGATATAAAAGTGTTTCCTAAAATCTCAAATGTAAACTATACCAACAACATGTTCTATTCAGAAATCTGTTTTAGAACAGCTTTTGCATGTTAATGATAAATTCATTTCATTATTAGATTTTTCCTATAATTAGAGATATCTTTTAAAAAGTGAAACAATACCTGCCTCTTAATAAAGTCTTCCTCTTTGTTGAATGAACTAACAAATGAAGACTTCAGGGAAGACTAAAACCATCCTCTACCAAATTCCATGGTATGGCTTGGGACTAGATTGCCTTTGGCTCTGGCAGAACATTATAATCCCTGGAGGGATCTCCTGAATTTAGTAAATGCCTCCTGTGAGTTGAATGACACATTTCTTTGCTAGTGGGTGGGAGTATTCCTACGGTTTTTTTCAGCGTGGATAGTGCCAGGAATCCTAAGGGCTTTGCTTTCAAAAGCAGACAAATAACTCAGTTTTGCAAACCTCAGAGGATCAGTAAGAGAAAGTGACCCAAGCCCCAGAGAAAAAGCAGGGATGTTTAAGGATAGAACCATCCCTTTATTTATCCTTTTATCTCATTCCAGAACCATAAATCTCTTCGCCGTCTTGGATTGCCTCCCTATAACAACATGTGGTAGAGATTTTGGCCCAAGTACTAATTAAACCTGAAGGAACCCCAAGGGGAAAACTCAGTCTTGAGTCTCCCTCTGGTGGACATTTGTAGTAATCCACATACAGCTCTGTCAAATGAAGGGACGAATTTCAGAAATAAATATTCAAAGAATAGTAAACATATTCTAAGACACCAGCACTATGCACTATTATTTTCTATGCATTAATTAAAATTCTTAAATTATTCACCTCTATAATCTTCTGTTTTATTTCCTAGAATTTACCCTCACTTTGAAAATCTGAGCTGGATGCAGTGGTTCACGCTTGTAATCTCACCACTTTGGGAGCCCAAGGCAGTAGGCTCATTTGAGGCCAGGAGTTCCAGACCAGCCTGGCCAAAATGGCGAAACCCTACCTCTACTAAAAATACAAAAATTAGCTGGGCATGGTGTTGAGCGCCTGTAATCCCAGCTACTCGGGAGGCTGAGGCAGGAGAATCACTTGAACCCGGGAGGCAGGAGAATCGCTTGAACCCAGAAGGCGGAGGTTGCAGTGAGCCGAGCTAGCGCCACTGCACTCCAGCCTGTGTGACAGACCGAGACTCCGTCTTGATTAAAATAAAATTTAATAAAAAGTTTAAACAATTCCTTGAAACAAAACAGCCTAGAGTCCCCTCACCCCAGCGCTACAAAGTAAATGAAAGAAGTAAACAGTTTGTCCATCTCCATTTCCATTCTAACACAGAACACCAAAGCAGAGATGATTTAAAATTTGCCATTTGTAATTAACTGCTGGGCAGGATTCCACTGGAAAATTTCCCTCTCACCTTTAACTTGAATCCAGAGGAGGTTTAAGGTGTTATCAGCTCTTCCTCAGGGAAGCTTCCACGCAGGAGGCTTTCTTTGGAGCTCTGTTCCCTAGGTAGCTCCAGGATCTTTGGACTTTTCTTGTGCTTATATAGTTAATGGCCCTCTGAATTGCTCTCTTCAAAAGGGGAACCGTTTGAACTTGGGGGGCGGAGGTTGCAGTGAGCCGAGATCTCGCCATTGCACTTCAACCTGCGCGACTGAGCAAGACTCTGTCTCAAAAAAAAAAAAAAAAAAAAAAAAAGGCCAGGGGCGGTGGCTCACACCTGTAATCCCAGCACTTTGGGCAGGCGGATCAGGAGGTCAGGAGATCGACACCATCCTGGCTAACACGGTGAAACCCTGTCTCTACTAAAAATACGAAAATTAGCCGGGCATGGTGGGCGGGCTCCTGTAGTCCTAGCTACTCCGGAGGCTGAGGCAGGAGAATGGCGTGAACCCGGGAGGCGGAGCTTGCAGTGAGCCGAGATCGCGCTACTGCACTCCAGCCTGGGCGACAGAGCGAGACTCCGTCTCAAAAAAAAAAAAAAAAAAAAAAAAAAAAAAAAAGGAGTAGGGGAGACAGTGAAGAAATGCCTCTCCATTCTTCAGATCTGACTCTTGCTCACGTTCTTCTGTCGTTACACTCATCTTCAGGCTCAGGCTCCATTTGATGTGCTCTGGAGTCTGATATTTGAGCAGGACTCCTTATTCCTCCGCCAGTGAATCTTCTTCCCACTACCAGATTCACAGGCTAGTGTTAATTTCTCTTTACGTATTTTACTATTTTGAAGTTTGTAAGGTTAACCGTAGTTCCATTACTTAAAAAAAAATTCTTTCCCTTAAATAGACAATCGCTATATCCTAGTTATAACTGGTAATGATCTCGGCTTGTAGTACACTTAGGTTTACATAAATGTCCTTTTCTGATACTCTTGCTCCCTAACTAGAATCTAACACCATCTTTTAATTTTTTAAATTAATATACAACAAAATTGACTTTTTTGGGGAGAGTTTTAGCTCTAGAGGTTTTAACATATATAAATTCATGCAATAACCATCACAATCAGGATACAGAATAGTTCTATCACCCAAAATACTAACTCATGCTATCCTTTTATGGTCCTATCCTCCTCCACCTTAACCCTTGACAACTACGGATGTGTTCTCAGTACCTATAGTTTTGCCTTTTCCACAATATCATATAAATGGAAACGTATAGCATATAACCTTTTGAGACTGGCTTAGGATACTATCTTTGATAATTATTCATGTTGTTGTGTGTATCTGCTATGGACTGAATGTTTATGCCCAACCCCAACTTCCTATGTTGAAATCCTAACCCTCAATGTAATATTAGGAGGTGGGGCCTTTGGGAGATAATTAGGTTTGGATTGTGAGGGTGGAGTCCTTCAACGGGATTAGTGCCTTTATAAAAAGAGGAAGAGGCCGGGTGCCGTGGCTCACGCCTGTAATCCCAACACTTTGGGAAGCTGAGGTGGGCGGATCACGAGGTCAGGAGATCAGACCAGAGACCATCCTGGCTAACACGGTGAAACCCCGCCTCTACTAAAAATACGAAAAATTAGCCGGGCGTGGTGACGGGAGCCTGTAGCCCCAGCTACTCGGGAGGCTGAGGCAGGAGAATCGCTTGAACCTGGGAGGCGGAGGTTGCGGTGAGCTGAGATCGCGCCACTGCACTCCAGCCTGGGAGACAGAGAAAGACTCTGTCTCAAGAGAAAAAAAAAAAAAAAAAAAGCTGGGGAGGAGACACCAAATAGAACTCATTTTCTCCTCCTTGTCAGGAAACCATGAGAAGGCTGCTCTTGGCAAGCCAGGAAGAAGGCCTTAGCCAAGAACCGAATTGAATCTAAGGGCACCTTGATCTTGGACTTCTCAGCCTCTAGAACTGTGAGAAATATGTCAGTCATTTAAGCCATCCTGTCTATGGTATATAGCAGTCTTGACGAAGACAATGTTAATAGTTGGTTCCTTTTTGCTGCTGAGTAGTGTTCCATTGGATGGATGCTCCACAGTATGTTTATTACTATTTACTCATTGAAGTATATTTGGGTTGTTTCCGGATTTGACGATTATAAATAGTTTCTATAAACATTTTAGTTTTCATTTCTCTAGGGTAGATAACTAGGAGTGCCACTGATGAGTCATTGGATAAGTACATGTTTAATTTGATAGGAAACTGCCAAACTGTTTTCCAGAGTGGCTGTAACATTTTGAATTATCACCTCTAACATATGAGAGTTAAGTTGTTCCATCCAGTATGTGGTCTTGTCGTGATTTTTTAGTTTAGTAACTCTAATAGGTGTGTAATAGTATCTCATCCTGTAGTAGTATCCTGATTTGCATTTCCCTAAGGGCTAATGATATTGAACATTTTTTCATGTGCTTATTTGCTATTCTTACATCCTCTGAGGTGAAGTATCTGGATACAAATCCTTTAATGGATATGTAATTTGCAAATATTTCTCCTGCTCTGTAGCTTGTCCTTTAATTCTCTTAACAGTGTTTTTCACAGGGGAAAGATATTTTTAGACCTTATTCTTTTTTAAAAAGTTGTGACATATATATATATGCCACTATATATGTATATTTATATTTACATATATAAATATATGAAATTTATATAAATTTATATATATAATATACTTGTATATTATAGTTATAATAAAATTTGCTATTTTAACTATTAAGTATACAATTTAGGGGCATTAATTATATTCACAGTGGTGTGCAACCATCACTATTTCCAAAAGTCTTTCATCACCCCAAACAGAAACTCTGTACCCATTAAACAATAACTCTTCATTCCCTCCTTTTCCCAAACCCCAATAACCTTTATTTTACTTTCTATCTTTGTGAATTTGCCTTTTCTAGGTACCTCATATAAGGGGAGTCATACAATATTTGAGTCTGGCTTATTTCAGTGTTTTCAAGGTTCATTCGTGTTATAACATGTGTCAGAATTAATTCCTTTTTAAGGCTGAATAACATTCCATTGTATGTATATACCACTTTTATTTATTCAAATGTTGGCCACTTGGGCTGTTTCTACCTTTTAACTATTGTGAAGAATGCTGCAATGATCATTGGTGTACAAGTATCTGTTTGAGTTCCTGCTTTCAGTCCTTTTGGCTATATACTTAAGAGTGGAATCACTGAGTCATATGGTAATTCTATGTTTAGCTTTTTAAGGAGCTTCAGAGGAAAGAGTCTTAATTTTAATGAAGTTCAATTTATTAATTTTCTTAAATGAATTGTCCTTTCAATGCCATGTTTAAGAACTCTTTGCCTAATCTTGTTATGAAATTTCCTCCTATGCTTTTTTCTGAAAGTTTATAGCTTCTGTTTTACATTTAGCTCTATGATCCATTTTGATTTTATATCCATATCTATATCTATATCTATAAATTTTTTTTTTTGAGACAGAGTCTTGCTCTGTCGCCCAGGCTAGAGTGCAGTGGCACGATCTGGGCTCACTGCAAGCTCTGCCTCCCGTGTTCACGCCATTCTCCTGCCTCAGCCTCCCGAGTAGCTGGTACTACAGGCACCCGCCACCACGCCTGGCCAATTTTTTGTATTTCTAGTAGAGATGGCGTTTCACTGTGTTAGTCAGGATGGTCTCGATCTCCTGACCTCGTGATCCACCTGCCTCAGCCTCCCAAAGTGCTGGGATTACAGGTGTGAGCCACCACACCCGGCCTTGATTTAATTTTTATATAAAGTGTAAGGTTTAGGCATGGGTTAATTTTTTGCATATGGATGTCCATTATTCCACTACCATTTGCTGAAACTACTGTCCTTTGCATGTTAAAACATGCAAAGGACAGTAGTTTGAATCCCTTTGCATGTTAAAACAAATTAATTGATTATATTTGCGTGCATTTTTATTTTGCCCCATTGATTTTTGGCTGGATCCCTTCTCTGATAATATGTTGTCTTAATTACCATATGTTTATAGTAATTTTAAAATCAAGCAGTGTGAATTCTCCAACTTTGCTCTTTTTTTTTTTCAAAATTATTTTGGCTATTGTAGTTCCTTTGCCCCTCCATATAAATTATATAATCAGTTTGTCTCCACCTACAAAAAATTCTGCTGAGTTTTGATTGGAATTGTGTTTAATCTGTAGATCAGCTTGGAGATAATTGACATTTTGCATGTATTGAGTCTTCTAACTTTTAAACACAGTATGTGTTCCATTTATAGCTTTTTAGCAAACACAACCTGGACACTTCTGTTAGATTGTTACCTGAGTATTTAATTTTTTTGGCCATATTCTTAATGATACTGTTTTTAAAATTTTGGGTTTTAATTGTTCATTTCTAGTGTTTATAAATCAGATTGATTTTTGGTATGTTGATCTGGTATCCTGAAAACTGGAATAATGGACTCCATGAGACATAGCTAAATTGAGATATCCTGACAAAACTTTAGTTAAGAGGAATGGCAGGCAAGGGGTTGCTGGTTCCTGGAAGCTGTAGAATGGACCAGTGGGTGAATGTGGAAGAGGGGAAGTGTCCGGGAATGGAGTAGTGGAAAGGAACTCACACGTTTCCTGTAAGAGAGCCTACATTTAAGGACTTGCAGAGTGAAGACATCAAGGAAAGTCCGTGTTAACCAGAGGCAGTGAAAAACTTTCACTGTGTCCAGTTAAATAGATACCTGCCCCTTTCCTCCTTCCTCCTCCCAGTCCTGACACACTGAAGATGCCAGAGACTTGAAGAAGGAGAGTCTTTAAATCAGAGGATGAGATTGGATTCTTGCATTGGCCTGTTCTAAATTTTGAAAACCAAAAGTAAGTAGAAAGTTATCAGTTAACAGAGATTTAACATAGCATCGGAGAAAAGATAAAACCACTTCATGCTATGCAAAAACTGGCAACACTGACTTAGAGCCACTTATGTTTCAACCTTGGCAAAGATGTCGCTTCTCCAGAATTTTATCCTCTATACTGGATTAAGTATCCCTCTGATAACCTCCTATGGTCCTGTATTTACCCCTGTTTTATCACATTTAACAAAGTATTTAAAACTCCTGATTTATTCTGTATATTATTGGGCTGGCAAGTACTTTGAGAGCAGGGCCTGTGTTTTGTTTGCTGGTGTGTATACAGTGTCAGCATGTTGCCTACCACCCATTAGACATTAACTAATATTTACAGTAAATTAAATGTATGCAGATAAATTGCATCCTGCTATAAACTGTCCTATCAT
This sequence comes from Homo sapiens, assembly GCF_000001405.40. Lineage (NCBI taxonomy): Eukaryota > Metazoa > Chordata > Mammalia > Primates > Hominidae > Homo > Homo sapiens. The sequence continues at coordinate 22,793,236 of NC_000018.10, read as the reverse complement.
CTCTAAAATTCTGCAAGTTTTTCCATAAATAAGAAAGCTTTCTAATTAAAACAATGCAGGGAGATAGTTTTTCAATGCATGATTTTTTTTTTTTTTTGTCATAGCTGACCGAAGATGAAATGGACTATATAGGGAGGTAATGAGTTCTCTTTCATGTTTGGGGGTGGGGATGATCTTCATATCTAAACTGAATGGCCACTTGATTTGGACATTTGTAGTGATTCAGATTAAAGGCAGGACTAAGTCATCCTTAAAGTTCTTTCCAACCCTGAGCTTATAATTCATGTTTACTATGTTTAAAAATAAATAATAGAACTGAGTGCAACATTCAACTCTTGAGTTAATGCCGAGGCTCTCTAAGGCTCATCTTACATATTAGCAAAAGGAGAATCTAACAAGCCAGAAATATCCACTTATGAAAATGTTTTAAAGTAATTGGCCCATTTATGATAATCCAACTAATGTATTTTATTCGTTTTAATATGAATATTTCTTATGAGTAATTATTATTGCAGCACGGGCGTGAGTCTAAATTAGATAGGGAAAGAGAAAGCTTTGGAAGTCAGTGTTAGGCAAACCAATTGGAGAAATTTTAATGTCATATGAATCTCCTGAAATCGTGTTAAAATGCAGACTCTGGCCGGGCGGGGTGGCTCATGCCTGTAATCCCAGCACTTTGGGAGGCTGAGGCAAGTGGATCACCTGAGGTCAGGAGTTTGAGACCAGCCTGGCGAACATGGTGAAACCCCGTCTTCACTAAAAATATAAAAATTAGCTGGGTGTGGTGGCAGGTGGCTGTAATCCCAGCTACTCGGGAGGCTGAGGCAGGAGAATTACTTGAACCCAGGAGGCGGAGGTTACAGTGAGCAGAGATCGCGCCACCGTACTCCAGCCTGGGCAACAGGGTGAGACTCCATCTCAAAAAACAAAAAAACCCAAAAAAACAGATCCTGTTTCAGTGGACCTGGGGTGGGGCTAGAGATTCTATATATCTAACAAGCTCCCATGTAATGCCCATACTGCTGGTCCATGGACCTCACTTTGAGCAGAAGAGTCCTAAAATGGTGTTTACCAAACTTTGCTATTTGCATAAACCTCATGTGGGCAAATGTAGACTTCAGGTTCTTGTCCCAGAACTACTAAATCAGAATCTCCAAGGGAAGATCCTGGGATGTATATGTCTGATAAGTGCCCCGAGTGATTCTTACATCAGGCAACTTGGGAATCAGTGACCTAAGAACGACCAGGTCTGCGTTTGTCATCTCAGCCTCTTTGGGGGAGAAGCGAACCCCAAGGTGCTGGTCTTGAAGGGTTGATGGAGAGCTGAGGGGAAGAAGAGCGGTGATCTCAACTTTGGCTGCATTTTAGAACTACCTGGGGGAACTTTAAAAAATGCTCAGAATCCTTGAGGGTGAGACCTATGCCTCAGTATTTTTGAAGTTCTCTGGGTGACTCCAGTGTATAGACAGTGTTGAGAGCCATGGCAGGAAAGGGAGGTGGCTGAGCCAGGGAGAAACAGCCAGCTGTTCAGGAAAGAATTATTGAATAGAATGAAGGACAGATGATTTATTTAGTTTATAGGTATGTTCTTTATGCATCAGCTGACCTCTTTTTAATACTGGCTTTCTATAAATGTGGTTTGAAAATACTTTGTACTTTAAGGTAAATCTTCTTTTATTTTCTTTTACTTTTGTGATTGAAGAAATAGGAATTCCATGTCTCCTTTCCATCCCTCCCACTGCATGCTTCTTTCCCCCAACACATCATTATTAACAGACCCTGATGGGAGAATGCAATGTTAACCGAATTAAATACAGAAAAGGCTGGAAACCATCAAGAAAGGCTTGCTGGCAATGAGCGTTCTCAGCTAGCAGAGTCCTTTTTATTCACTAACCAGCTGGCTTTCTGTGGCCATCAAGCTGGGCACTTAGGACATCTGATCAACTTGGAGCTTCTAGAAAGGTGTGGACATCAACACAGGAAAGTGTCTAATGAATTTTTATTTTCACTTCCCCAAACCAACCTACCACGAAGCAGAGAGGACCTGTTTTCTCATATCATCACATCTGATGGATATGCCAAACTTCATCCAAATTCAAACAGGCACACCCTGGTGAGATTTACACTTTCTTCTTTAGTAATTTACTGCTTCCTTCTCCTGTAAATCTAGTAAACCAAATAACAATGGAGTGAGGGGAGAGAAGGAATTGTTCTCATCTTTAAAATAAGAAACACCATGTTTTGGCATAAAGCAGGGTGAACTTGCTACTGTAAACATCAGCAATCCTGTCACAGACAGCTGTGCACTGGTGGGCCCCCCCTAACCCCGGGAAATGTGTACACAGTTGAGACGTACATACTGGACTCAGGCAGCAACAATGGAGAATAGGACCTGGAGGTCTTTTCCCAGGTTTTATCTGTAGCAGGCATCAATGTCTAATATAGTAAGTCAGCTACTAAGTTCTCCCAGAAAGAGTCTGGCTTCCTCTGTTTGTATGGAATTTCCTCCATTGTGTGGCTGAAGAGAGATCCAAGTCCACAAAGAACAACAGTATGGGACTGGATTAATGTCACCTGTCGTTCCATGTCTGCTCTGCTTCTGGGGAATAACACACTTCAAGCAATACAAAACAATTCCAAACAACTTGAGAGCAATAGCTTTTAATTCCCAAAGATTTTTTTCATTAAAAGATAGACTTATGTATTATTTAAAAATGATAAGAAAATGTCATGAGCTTTACTGATGCCTTCAAAACTAAGTTGAATACCTTACCATGCAAAAGTTGTTTCAGAAACGATTATGAACACGATTTTAAGAAGTATAAATGTCATTATTGTTTCTGGAGGTTGAAAACAGACATTTGGATTTTTTGCACTGAAAAATATTAGAAAACAGCTTGGATTTTATAAACTTACTTGAAAATAATACAGCAGTATTATAAAAACATAATAGAAATGGGAAGTAATAGATTATTGAAGCATAAAGTCACAGGTGTTAGAGCCAGAGATTCGTTAAAGATAATCTAGTCCAGTGGTTCTGAAAACTGAGGGTGCATCAGGATCCCATGGAGAGCTTGTTAAAGCACCTATTGCTGGGCCTCACCTCCAGAGTTTCTAATACAGTAGGTTTTGGAAGGGGGCTGAGAATTTGCATTTTTAATGAATTCTCAAGTGGTGCCGATGATGCTGATCTGAGGACTACATTTTGAGAATCTCTGGTTTAGTGCTGTCTCATTGTACAGTTGAGGCAGCTGAGTCCTGAAGAAGTCAAATGTCTGAGCCTCCTTCTTAAGCCTGTTCCTGTCTAGGGTAAACACTTCCACTTGAGTACGAGGTACTATCCACTCTCAAGGACACCGTTTTAATAATTATCCCTTCTCCTGGCATCAATATCTCGTGGTATAAATTCTTTAGTTAACTATGTTAGTCAGCCTATAAACATGCTGTGATAGCGTCCATCTTAAGAAGACAGAATGGACTCACATTCCACTCTGCCATGCCCTATAGAAAAATCTCCTCAGAAGGCTGTCTATTTATTGTTCCACTCCTCTCCTTCCAGTCTCTTTTGAACTCACTTGAATTGGGCTCTCATTCCAATTATTTTCTTGAAACAGTTCTTGCCGAGGTCACTAGTAACCTTCATATTGCCAAACACAATGGTCAATTCTCAGGTTTGTCTTGCTTCTCTCACCAGCCGCAGTTGATGACTTTCTTGAAACTCCCTGCTTTGTGGTCTTTGGGATACTGCTCTTTTGATTCTCCTAGCTCACCAGCCACTGCTTTTCAGTCATCTTTGTTGATTCTTTCTCCTTTCCTTTACCTCTGAACATTGGAGTTCCCCAGGGCTCTATCCTTAGATCTCTTCTTTATCTGTACGTCAGGTGATATCATGCAGGAATACTGTTTCTGTAGTGATAATTTGCAAATTTATGTCTCCAGCTGAATTTCTTCTCCTAAACTCCAAATTTGCATACAGGCAGTTCTTGCTTCATGCAGTAGTGTGGGCCATAAAAATGACTGTGCAAACTGAGACAGCACCAAGTGTTCTTAATAATCAGTGATAAAAATTATGATTGTTGCAGGACTTAAAATTTTTTCAAAATATTAGGCTCTTACTGTTGATTATAAACATATGAGGTAACGAAGAAATAAAAAGTAATATTTTAAAACTAATATTTACTTAGTTTAGTACACTAATTTAAAACATTAGAAACATTGAGAAAGTGTTTCATTTATTTGTAAAACACTTATCAGACTACTTAGAACAGTGCTTGCCTTCTTGTCATATAACTTTCAATATGGAGTAAGCATCAATCCTACACCTTGGCAAATTATCATATTTCTTTCTAAATTTGGATCAGCTTCCAACATTTTAGCCTTTGTGCTTTAGATGTTGTGACCTATCTCTAAGAGTTCTTTTAATGTGAAATATTTTGCCTGAATCACTTGCTCTGACGTATTCCTCTGGAACATCTTCGTCTTTTTCCTTACAAGCACTTTCCTCCTTTATGTCTATAAAGTTACCTGCACGAAGTGCTTGTGGCTGCATTCTAGTGTCTTAAACAGTGGCAGTGTCAGTATTCCTGGGGCAGCTATTTCTTCTTTAACTCCATTTATATTTGATTTGAATTTCACTTTTAGTGTTGTCATGTTTTTCCTTGCTGCCCTTTCATCTTTGTGGACCAGTTTCTTCTTTTGATAATCCATTTTTGTGGAATGTCATGTGGGCTTATTACTGAGAGACAGGAGACAACACAGTGACACATTTTGCTGTGTGTGAACTGAATAATAGATGCACAAGTGACCAGTCGGTGACCAATCAGTCAGGCAGACTCTGAAAGAAGTGACATGATTGGTCACTAATCATAATATACATCTGTTATATACAGAGTGATTTGTGGATGGGAGAAACAGTGAAATTGTACTTTATGCGATTATTCAGTTACTATAATGTGGCAAATGCAATTTCAATCATATTTTTGGAGGACTGGTGTTATTTAACTAAACCTGGGTGACTGAAGTTTGTGCGTGTTGGAATCTTGCAAGGAGAGGACTGCGTACAGCCAACTGCCCATTTGACATCATCACTTGGGTGTTTAATAAATAGCTCACACTTAACATGCCCTAAGCTGAACTTTTAATTTTTTCAACCTCAAACCTACAGTTCTCTTTGTGTTAAATGGCAATTCACGTCAAAAATCTTAGAGTCATTTTTGATTTCTCATTTTCTGTTGTAGAACACATCCAATTCATCAACTAATCTTGCCCGCTCTGTGTTCAAAATATAATTAGAACCCTACCATTTCTTGCTGCTATCATTCTCATCTGGGCCATCATTATCTTCCACCTACCTTCCTAAGTGGCCTGCTCACTTCTACCCTAGGACACCTATATCTATTCTCCATGGCAATAAGAATGATCCTTTAAAAATGTGAGTTGATTACATGACTCCTCTTCTGAAAATCCTTCTATAGCTTCCTGTTTCAATTAGAGTAAAGCCCTAAGTTTTATAATGGTCTCCAAGGCCCTATATCATCTCACCCAAGGCTACCTCTCTGACATCCCCTCCTTTAACATCCCCCCGCTCACTCTGCTTTCACTGCAGTGGCCTCCTCACTCTTCCCTGAATGGGGTGAGCATTACTTTGCCTCAAGTTCTTGCCAGCTGTTTTTACCACATCTGGTATGTTTCTTCCCCATCTATCTACGTGGCTCATTCTCTCACTTCCTTCATGTCTCTGTACAAATTTATTTTATAACCATGCTATATAAAATTGTGATACCCATCTTTCCACTTCTCATCTGGGAATCCTTTATTCTCTTATACTGTTTTGTTTTTTTTCCACAGCTTCTGTCACCATTCAACATATTACATATTTACTTGTATACTTCCCCTGCGAGATTGTAAGTTTCATGAGGGCAGAGACTTACTCTGTTTTGTTCAGACCTTAATCTCCAGAGCTTAAAATCATACCTGGATCACAGAGGGTCCTCAACGAATATTTGTTAAATGAATGGAAGATGAGTATTGCTGGTTTGTGGCAATTATGAAGAACCAGATTTCCAAATATGGCTTCTGCCAAAGCAGACCCGGTAACTGGAATAAGCAGAGGAATGACTTTAGTGCTTTGCTTGGTTCTGACTGGGGATACAGGGCTGTCATAGAAGTGTAAAATTTATTGAAAACTTTCTTGTAGAAGTTTATTTTTACCTACAGAGCATATACATCTTGTCTGAGAACTTGTTCTAGTGGTCATTTTGCCATCAAATTTACCTTATTAAACAAATCTAAAATGGTTTTTCTTTGTATAAATAAATTAAAGCAACATTTAAAAAATGGTATGTCTATTTTTTGTTTGTTTTCATTTATTTGTTTTAGAATGACATGGGGAAATGGAAGGAGAAAAAAAAAAACAATGCTAAAAAGCCTAGAGATGACCACATATGAAACGACCATGTGTGTAAAGGATTGCTGGAAAATAAATCAGGTAGGAACCAGGAAGTATGGTGTTGAGTTGGATTGACCTTCCTTTGGAGAGTCTACCAGACACCTCTTATATAGACTTTTCTGGGAGGAGTCCCCTTTTTACTCCAGCCATTGCTGGGGTCACCAGTTGCATGCAGGTATAACTTGACAATGCCTCACTTTAGATTCACTGTTTATTTCTCACTTTCTGCCCCAGGGTTTCTCCACCTTCACTAAGTAGGATACCTGTAGAAATGCATGTGGGCATTCTGGAGCATATACAAACCTGCAGATGTGAGGGCAATCCTTTGTTAATGGGGTCTGGGAACTGGAAGATAAATGTTTCTCTTTTTCAACTCCTGAGTGAATAATTCTGAGAGGTATCCTTTCTGGTCCTTTTAGAGGATCCCAGAGGAATCAAGCCTCAGTTGCCCACAGTGGTGAGGAGCTAGATTGGGTTGCATTTCCCTCTTCCTTTTTTTATTCTTCCCAGGCTCTCCCTGCAGCTCCTTGGGATCATACCCCAGAATAAAGCATCTGTACATTGGACTTTGTCATATGTTCT